>NC_000001.11:152559587-153184587 GCF_000001405.40 Homo sapiens | reverse complement strand
GCTGATAAGCAAATACAGCAGTCTCAGGATACTAAATCAATGTGTAAAAATCACAAGCATTCTTTTACACCAATAAGACAAACAGAGAGCCAAATCATGAGTGAACTCCCATTCAAAATTGCTACAAAGAAAATAAAATACCTAGGAATGCAACTTACAATGGACGTGAAGGACCTCTTCAAGGATAACTACAAACCACTGCTCAAGGAAATGAGAGAGGACACAAACAACTGGAAAAACTTCCATGCTCATGGACAGGAAGAATCAATGGCCATACTGCCTAAAGTAATTTAGAGATTCAATGCTATTCCCATCAAGCTATCATTGATTTTCTTCACTGAATTAGAAAAAAGTACTTTAAATTTCATGTGGAACCAAAAAAGAGCCCACATAGCCAAGACAATCCTAAGCAAAAAGAATAAAGCTGGAGGCATCATGCTACCTGACTTCAAACTATACTACAAGGCTACAGTAACCAAAACAGCATGGTACTGGTACCAAAACAGATATATAGACCAATAGAACAGAACAGAGGCCTCAGAAATAATGCCACACATCTACAACCATCTGATCTTTGACAAACCTGACGAAAACAAGCAATGGGGAAGGAATTCCCTATTTAATAAAAGGTGCTGGAAAACTGCCTAACCACATGTAGAAAGCTGAAACTGGATCCCTTCCTTACACCTTATACAAAAATTAACTCAAGATGGATTAAAGACTTAAATGTAAAATCTAAAACCATAAAAACCCTAGAAGAAAACCTAGGCAATACCATTCAGGACATAGGCATGTGCAAAGACTTCATGACTGAAACACTAAAAGCAATTGCAACAAAAGCCAAAATTGGCAAATTGGATCTAATTAAACTAAAGAGCTTGTGCACAGCAAAAGAAAATATCATCAGAGTGAACAGGCAACCTGCAGAATGGGAGAAAATTTTTGCAATCTATCCATCTGACAAAGGTCTAATATCCAGAATCTACAAGGAATTTAAATAAATTTACAAGAAAAAAACAAACAACCCCAACAAAAAGTGGGCAAAGGATATGAACAGACACTTGTCAAAAGAAGACATATATGTGGCCAACAAACACATGAAAAAAAGCTCATCATCACTGGACATTAGAGAAATGCAGATCAAAGCCACAATGAGATACCATCTCACTCCAGGTAGAATGGCGATGATTAAAAAGTCAGGGGCCAGGCGCGGTGGCTCATGCCTGTAATCCCAGCACTTTGGGAGGCTGAGGCGGGTGGATCACTTGAGGTTGGGAGTTTGAGACCTGCCTGACCAGCATGGAGAAACTCTGTTTCTACTGAAAATACAAAATTAGCTGGGTGTGGTGGCGCATGCCTGTAATCCCAGCTACTTGGGATTACAGGCATGCGCCACCACACATAATTTAAAGAATCGCTTGAACCCAGGAGGCGGAAACTGTGGTGAGCCGAGATCATGCCATTGCACTCTAGCCTGGGCAACAAGAGTGAAACTCTGTCCCCACCCAAAAAAAAAAAAGAAAAAAAAAGTCAGGAAACAATAGATGCTGGAGAGGATGTGGATATATACGAACACTTTTACACTGTTGGTGGGAGTGTAAATTAGCTTAACCATTGTGGAAGACAATGCAGGAATTCCTCAAAGATCTCTAACCAGAAATACCATTTGACCCAGCAATCCCATTACTGGTATACACCCAAAGGATTCTAAATCATTCTACTACAAAGACATGTGCACACATGTTTATTGTAGCACTATTCACAATAGCAAAGACTTGGAACCAACCCAAATGCCCATCAATGATAGACTAAAGAAAATGTGGCACATATACACCATGGAATACTATGCAGCCATAAAAAAGAATGAGTTCATGTCCTTTGCAGGGACATGGATGAAGCTGGAAATCATCATTCTTAGCAAACTAACGCAGGAACTGAAGACCAAACACCCTAAGTTCTCACTCATAAGTGGGAGTTGAACAATGAGAACACATGGACAGAGGGAGGGGAACATCACACACCAGGACCTGTCAGGGGTGGTGGAATACAAGGGGAGGGAGAGCATTAGGACAAATACCTAATGCATGTGGGGCTTAAAATCTAGATGATGGGTTGGTGGGTGCAGCAAACCACCATGGCAAATGTATACCTATGTAACAAACCTGCATGTTCTGCAGATGTATCTCAGAACTTTAAGTATAATAAAAAAAAAAAGTCATGACAAAAACCACGATAACTTTTGCACCAACCTAATAAAAAAATTCTTAAAATATAAGTATTATATTTTGGGTATGCAGGAACTCAAACAACAGCAAAAAACCAAACAATCCTGTTAAAAAGTGGGCAAAGGATCTAAACAGACATTTCTAAAAAGAAGATATACAAATGGCCAACAAGTATATGAAAAATTGCTCAACATCACTAATCCTCAGGGCAATGCAAACTAAAACCACAGTGAGATATCCTCTCACTCCAGCAAGAATGGCTATGATCAAAAAGATGAAGAATAACAGATGCTTGAGAGGATGCAGAGAATTCTCATACACCATTGGTGGGTATGCAAATTAATACAGCCATTATGGGTAACAGTATGGAGATTTCTGAAATAACTAAAAATAGAACTACCATGTGATCCTGCAATCCCACTACTAAGTATTTATTTGAAGGAAAGAAAATCAGTATATCAAAAGGATATACACATCCTAATGTTTACTGCAGCACTATCACAATAGCAAAGATATGGAATCAACCTAAGAGTCCATCAACAGATGAATGCACAAAGAAAATATTATATATATATATATAATGGAATACCACTCAGCCATAAAAATAAGGAAATCATATTATTTGCAGCAAAATGGATGAAACTGGATGGAGGTCATTATGTTAAATAGAATATGCCAGACACAGAAAGACAATGATCACCTGTTCCATCATATGTGGGAGCTAAAAATGGTGATTTCATGAAGGTAGAGAATAGAATGATAGTTACCAGAGGCTGGGAAAGGCGTGTATGTGCATGGGGTTGTGGGGGATAAAGAGAGGTTGGTTAATGGGTACAAACATATAGTTAAATAGAATAAACAAGTTCTAATGACTGATATTAGAGTGAGCTGACTATAGTTAATGAGAATGTGTTGTATCTTTCAAAATATCTGGAAGTGAGGAACTGAAATGTACTCACCACAGATAAACGATAAATGCTCACGGTGATGGATATTCTAAATACTGTGACTTGATCATTATACATTCTATGTGTGTAGCAAAATGTCACATGTACCCCATAAATATGTATATTATGTACCCATAGAAAATAAAAATATATTACACAACCAAAAACAAACAAACAAAATTCTAAACTCTGGGAGAATGTCTTCAGATCTTGTCAATAGGAAAGATTCCTTAATCAGGTAATAAAAAGCATACCAATAAGGTGGAAAAATGACAAATTGGATTTCATTAAAATTAAAAATTTCTGATTATCAAAAACACCACCAAGATTGCAAAATGCCAAGCCACAGAGATGGAGAAGCTGTATGTAATATCTATATTTAACAAAGGGCTTGTTCCCAGAACATATATACACATGTGTTCCTACTCACAGATCAACAAAAAAACAAGAAATGAGCAAATAGAAAAATATCTGAACAACCTGAACAGGCAATTCATGAAAGGGCATTTCTGTATTTCCAATAAACATATAATAAAGAGTTTAATCTCACCATTCATAAGAGAAATGCAAATTCAAGTCACAACGTGTTATCTCCACATAGCCACCGAAATGGCTAACACGAAAAAAGATAGACAATACCAAGTTTAGACAGAGTGTGGAGCAATTGAAACTTTCACACACTGCTGATGGGAATAATAGATGGTAGAAAGAATTTGGAAAAGTTAACAGTATTCACTAGAGCTGAGCATATCCCTATCCTCTGACCCAGTCATTATATTTTCCTAGGTATGTACCTAACAGAAGTGTGTACATATAGTCACAAAAGGACAAATACGTAAATATTCACATTAGCACTATTTTTAAAAATTCCAAATTGGAAACTACTAAAATACCTTTTAGCAATAAAATGGATGCATAAATGGTAGTATATTCTCATAGAGAAATACCATACAGCAATGAGAATCAACGATCTATATCTACAAACCAGAAAATGAATCAGTATCACAAACACAATTTTGGGGAAAAAAAATCCAGGCACCAAAGAGTTCATACTGTATGATTCCCTTTATATACAGTTCAGAACATGAAGAACAAATGTACAGTGTTAGATGCCAGGAAAAAGTTAATGTTTGGGGGCTGGTAGTGACTCGGACTGCTTTTGAGAACCTGCTTCCCAGGTGGACTGCTTCTGAGATGCTGGTAACATGTTATTTCTTCATTTGTGCATTGGTTGCATGGTTGTTTAGCTTATGAAGCTTTATTAAGTTGTATACCTGTACTTGGTGAGCTTTTATTAATTTATACTTCAATTTTAGTCAGTTAAAAGGTTACTTTAAAGGGAAGGAAGCCACCAGAATGCCAATATTCCTGCAACTTAGTGAACAAGGAAAGAAAGATATGATGAAGTCAGCATAAGAGTCAGTGCCACAGCATGAAGTGCTTTGTAGGACAGTAAGGTCTTCAGACTTTTCTCTAGATACAATGGCAAGATATTTGATCATTTCAATTAGGGAGGACATAATCTTCTCTATATTTTATATGATTGCTGTGGTTGTTCTGATATGGGATTGCTGTGGCACAAGATAGGAATACGGAGACAAGATAGAAATCAGGACACAAGATAGGAAACTTCTGCAGTGGTTCAGGTGAGGGTGATGGTGGCTCTAATTAGGGTAAGAACATTGAAGATAATGAGAAGATGAGAAGTGATAATAAGCTTAAGGCAGAACTTGGGATCTAGGAAGAAGTAGTATGTGGGAGGTGAGGAAAAGAGGAATAAGAGATGAATCCTAGGTCTTAAAAATTATTATTATGACTACTATCATTATTTCAAACATTATTATCCTTATTTAGTTTGTGGCATGAGTACCTTCACACACACGATGATATTGTATATTTAAAAATGAAACCATTTCACAAATGATAGGCGTGACATTGTTATATTTAAAATGAGTGGATATTATAAACAACTTCATATTGAATTCTACAACTTAGATGAAAAGCACAAATTCCTTGAAAATAAAAAACTAACACATAAATGAAAACTTGACAGCCCTGTGATGGTCTTTTGACGTGTCAGCTTGGCTGCATGACAGTCCCTAGTTACTCAATCAAATACTAATCTAGGTGTTGCTGTGAAGGTAGATGTGATTAAAGTCCATTATGAATTGACTCTAAGTAAGGGAGAAAATCCTAGTTTATACAGGCTGGTCTGATTCAATCAGTTGAAAGGCTTTAAAAGCCAAGCTAAATCTTCCCTGAAGAAATTATATGTGTGGATTACAGCTTCAGCCTATGACAGAGTTCCAGCTTACCCTCTTGATGTCCTGACTTCTGGATTTTAGACTTGCCTAGCTGCCTTTGCAATCACATAAATTGAGTCCTTGTAGTAAATCTCTGAAGTACATTTCCAACTGGTTCTGTTCCTCTCATTGTACCCTGACTGAGACAATCTCTAAAATTATTACAGAAATAAAACCCATAGTTTAAAACCTTCCCATATAGAATGCCCCAGGTCCAAAAGGATTAACTGGTGAATTATACCACACACTTAAGAAATAAAAATTTCAATCATACATAATTTCTTTCATAAAACAGAGAAAGAGGGAATATTCACCAAGTCTTTTTCAGGTTAACGTAGCCCTGATATTGAAACTTGACAAGGACATTAAATGAAAAGAAAGTTACAGATCGTTATTCCTCAGGAGCATAGAAGCAAAAATCCTTAAGAAAATATCAGTAAATTGAGTCTAGCAATATATTAAGAGGATTTGTCACAGAATGCAAGGTTTATTTAATATTATAAATGTAATTCACCAAATTAACTGAATAAAGGAAGAAATTATATCATCTGAATAGATGTAGAGAAAGCATTTGACAAAATTCAACATGCATTGAGGATAAAACTCTTGCAAACTAGGAATAGAAAGAAATTTTCTCTATGCGATGAAGGTCATCTATGAAAAGCCTTGGCTAACATTATATTAATTGTGAAATATTTTTCCCCTAATATCAGAAACAAGGCAAGTATATCCCAATTTACTACTTCTATTCTAACATTTCCTGGAAGTTCCAGCCAGTGCAATAAGGTAAGAAAAATAAGTACAAGCATGGATTGGAAAGAAGAAGCACAAATGTCTTTACTCACAAATGGCATAATTGCCCATGCAGAAATTCCTAAGAAACTTATAGAAATATGTATTGGAACTAATATGGAACTTTATCAAGGCCACAGAATACAAGGTCAATATATAGAAATCAATTATATTTCTATAAACCATCACCACACAATTGGAAATAAAATTTAGAAATAACTTTATGACAGCATAAAAGATAAAATGTTAGTAATATATTTAACAAAAATTTGTAAGTCTGCTACACTGAAAATAATAAAACAATCTGGAGAAAAACTAGACAGGATCCAAATAAATGAAGAGATATAGGTTCACATATTGGATAACACACTATTTTGAATGTATCAGTCCTCTTAAATTGATCTATTTATTCCTTGCAATCCTAATAAAAATCCCAGCTGGCTTTTTTTTTTGGAGGACTTAATGGACCAAATTTAAAATTTACATGGAAATTCAAAGAATCTAGAAAAGTTTAAACAATCTTGGAAAATAACAAAGTTGTAGGTCTCACACTATCTGGTTTCAATACTTACTATAAATGCTCATCAATCAAGAATGTGTGGTTTTGGTGTATGAATACACATATAGATAAATGAAAAGCATAAAGAACTCAGAAATAGACCTACATTTATGTTCAAGTGAAAATGTATAAATGACCAAAAAGCATGTGAAATCCTTAACCATATTATCAGTCAGGGAAATGCAGTTAAAAAGCCCCATAAGATATCATTTCAGACCCACAAAAATGGCTAATATTAAAATTAATGACAAAGCAAGTGTGGCAAGGAGGTGGAGCCCCTGGAACTCTCATACAGTGCTAGTATGAATGTAAGGTGGCACAATCAATGCAGAAAACAATTTGGCGGTTTCTTATAAAGTTAAACATACAACCATGCTATGACCAAGAAGCTCTGCCCCTAAATATTCATTTAAGAGAAATAACATGTCCACGAAAGACTTGTACATAAATATTCGTAACAACTTTGTTCATATAGCCCCAAATTGTAATAACCTAAATGTCCATCTGCAGGTAAATCAATAAATTATGGAAAATTCATACAATGAAATACTGCCTAGCATTAAGAAAACTTAAGAAAGTATTAAAAAAGCAGGAATTTGATGTGTATCAAGACACTATGTTTAGCAAATAAGCCAAACACAGCAGAGTACGTTCTGTATGATTCTATGTATATAAATCATATTAAAACGTGCTTAACAACACTATTAGTCAGGGAAATGCAGAATAAGGAAAACTAACCTATGGTGAGGAATCTGAACAGTGCCTTTGGGAGGGGATTAACTAACTGCAAGGGGGCATTGGAAATATTCTAGATCCCCCTTGCGCTCACAGGTTTCAGGGGCTGTTATGATAGGATTATGGTTTCTATTTACTTTTCTCATTGTTCTAAGTTCTTTGTTGAGATAAAATTACACTACCAGAAATCTACATACTTGAATTATCTTACTCACATTAGCCTTAATGAGACAATGCATTATTGCTGGGCTTTTTCACTTTTACTGACATGGACTGCAAGAACTGGCTATATGAAATCTGAGTCTGCTTTCATCTCGCCCCTTGATAAATGCCTTCTCTGTGAGCCCCAGGAGTGCTAGAAAAAGTAGACTTTGTCACACCCATACCGACATGGTGTGTTTTCTCCTCCAAGGCTCTTCTTCCAGGTAAGGGTAAACTGTTGTTGGTACCTGTACAGCTGCCAAAGTGGAATTTTCTTTGAAAGTCAGAAGTTAGATTTCAGGAATTGAAGTGAATCAAAATTGTTGGGGAAATACTTTTTATGTGTTCCAGACCAGTTTTATCTAGGATAAAAGTTTCCAAGTCTGTCTTATTCATGCCAGTGGGATCTTCTGAGGACAAGAGCACCTTGGACAGGTGGGGGTAGGAGGTAACTAAAACTGACAAGCAGACATGGACAATGGATAAATACATGGGTGAGTAACAAACATGAGTGCATAAAGGAAGTTCCAGGAAGAAGAAAATCCAAAGTCCACGTGTTCCAACTGCTGAACTGAGGTCTAGAAATGTAAAGTAACTTGTCTAGGGTTACATAGCCAATACTAGGACCCAGTTAGCGAGTTGACAGTGCCCTATTCCTTCTCTGGCAGTATCAGGTCTCACCTCCCCTTGCTTGCATGGCCAAGTCTTCATTTCTAGGAGGAAAGAGAAATGAACCGGACTGTAAAAACCATTCAACATTTTTTTTTTTGAGATGGAGTTTTGATCTGTCACCCAGGCTGGAGTGCAGTGGCATGATCTCGGCTCACTGCAGCCTCTGTCTCCGGGGTTCCAGCAATTCTCCAGTCTCAGCCTCCTGGGTAGCTGGGATTATAGGCATGCACCACCACATCTGGCTAATTTTTGTATTTTTAGTAGAGACGGAGTTTCACCGCCCTCAGGTGATCCACCTGCCTTGGCCTCCCAAAGTGTTGGGATTACAGGCGTGAGCCACCACATCTGGCCAAGAAATATTTATTGAGGCCTCATATGTCTTAGGAACTGTGAGGTGCTGGGCATATAGCAGTGGTGAATAACACATGGAATTTAAATTCAGCAAGGATAACAGACATTAAACAAAACAAATGGTTACCTTGATAATTACTTAAGTATAATGGTTACATGTGTCATGAAGGAGTTGTTCAGATTTATAAAAGCATAAAACAGGGAACTAACCTCATCTGAAAGAATCCATGAGAGTTTGCCTGAACCTTGTATGGAACATGAAAGTCCATCAGGGAGAGTTCCTGGCTGAGAGAGCAGCATGTGTGAAGGCTGGGAGGGAAGAACGAACCTGGCACATATCGGGAATAGAGAGACCAGGGCCTGTTAAGCCAAACCCAGGGAGAGGAGCGTTGCATGGACTGGACTTACGGGAACAGCCAAACAATTAGAACCTTACGGGTCAATGTTAAGGCGTTCAACTATTTTTTCTAAGTGTAACAGGAAGCCATTGAAGGAAGGACAGCAGGCAGGATAACACAACTGCCTTTGTATTTTTGAAAGATCATTTTGGCAGAGTGGTGTTTAGCTTATAGGGGATTGGGAGTTGAAGACCAGTTAAGAGGTTCTTACGATTAGTCCAAGTGAGAGATGATGGTACCTGGATGAAGGTAGAAAGAATGAAATGGAGAAAAGTAAATGGAAGATATAGAGGAGATATCAGGTGGAATTGTTAAGCTCACAATATTAGCTCTGATCATTCTAACAATTCCCTGGGTCTGGGACCCATGATAACATCTTAGCAGTCAACATCATAGCACAATTAATAAATACAGTTAGGTCTACCTTACTCTAGGGTACAGCCTGCTGCCTGAGGTATTAAGTGTTTCTTCTTTCTTTTCTTTTGTTTCTTTCTTTTTTTTAAAGCCCAGCATCCATCCAGGTCATTTTCAGCTAGCAAAACTGGATTTCCTGACAGATGCTTCAAATATGTGGCTGACAGTGCAGGTGTTGTCTCAACTTGCCTGGATCTAAAACCAGTGATAATTTGGGCCTGTAGCAAATATATGTAATCCTTTCCCTTGCTTTCCAGTACTCTTTGCACACTGTCACTATGTATGGACTATTTTACAGACTTGTATTCCTTCTCCCCAAGGTAGAACCCAGAAAGTAAATCTCACAGTCTGTTTTGCAGTCAGGGTGCGCACTGTGACGGAGGCTCTACCAGTCAGAGCTATGCTCTGGAAAGGAACAATTGGAAGAGGGTCTCCTTGCAGAAGACATTTTGCTGGCAGGGGTGGTGGCTCCCTTTTGCGGCTGGCTGAGGAGGCAAAGATGTGTTCCTGGCATGATGTAGCAATGGTGGAGCAGTCGCTGTGGCAGTAGAACTTCCTCACCAGGCTAGTTTTGTGGTGTGGTTTTTGGACATTTCCCCTATATGCTTAGCCTCAAGCCTGGTTCTGCGGCTTTTCCAAGAGTTCTATAATCTACCCAATAATATTTTAATAAACCCTTTTTCTGTTTAATCAGTCAGAGTGAGCTTTTGTTGTTTGTAATTAATATCCTGAGATGGTACAAAACTAAATGCTATTAATTACACAGTATTAGCCTGCTCTTTAAATTCTACTAAAGCAACATCATGAAATTGGAGTTCTTGGAAGAGTGACCAAAGAGGAAGAAATAGGTCTGATCAAAGCTTTTGTTCATAGTTGGCTTACATATGGGTTATGCCAAACATTTGTCAACATATAAGAGAAATGTATGTCCCTATAACATTTCAAATAGACTCTTTCATAGGGCCTTCTCATAGATGAATTTCTGAGCCCATCTGCTAAAAATTAAACTATAACAAAGTAAAAAATGTGAATGCCTCTGAATTACTGAGTGAATCTTTCCTGCCCCATCCTTTATGGTGTGAAAGAATCTGTAAAATTTCCCGAGGAGTCCATGAGCAGGTGGAAGAGTGGCCTAGGTGGGGAAGAACCAAGGCATAAATGATTCTTGAAGCCAGTGAGAGACTTGAGTCTTGCCACCTCCAACCCCATGGAAGGAACTCCCTGGAGCATCACTGACTCAGGACTTCTAGCCTCTGCTCTGACACCTCCAGTGACAAGGAGGGAACCGCTCTGTAGTTCAGAGCAAAATTCTCCTAAAGTAACAGAAGTCACTGGGAAGCACATTTCAGTCCAACCAAGGAAATAGTTTCTAAGTAAGTTCATTAATAATAAATCTGGTTGCCTCCCTTGTACAGAGCACTCTATTGTGGACAGACTTCAAGCAGAGGCTGAAAGACCATCAGGAGGTATTTTAGAGCAGATTTCCATTCAATATGTGCTTCTGATCCCATGATTCCTTTTCTTATCTGAGATTTTTTTTTCTGTTTGACTTCCCTTTAGAGCCTCCATCATTTCCCTCTATTTATTTCCCTCTCTCTGTAGGACAACCTCCATATTTATTTCCCTCTGTCTGTAGGACAACTTCACTCTTTCTTATTGTCCAAACCACAGGCTCTGAAAGAGCAGCCAGGGAGTAATCGAATATCACAAGCCTGGGGGTTCTGGAAGTGTTAGCCATGTTCTGTCCCAAGGCCTTCACTCAAATTCTCAGGTCTGTGTCCTCATTTGAAGACTGTTCTTTGTGGTTTCTGAATAGCTGGGATTTGACTTCAATTTAAGTGAAGTAAGCCCTCTTGGGGTTGTAGAAAGAACGTGAGATAGGATGTGAACATGTGGATGCTAGCTTTACTGACATTAACCAGCTGTGCTGTCTGAGTGAAGTTCCTCAGTATCTCCATGACTTTATTTCTTCATCTCTAATATTGAAGACTTGTAAGAGTTCCAAAGTTAATTCTAGAATTATATTATGTTTGTCCGCCTGTCTATTTATGCACTTAACTATCCTAATTCTTTAAAACCCCACCTTGAAAAAAGTGGTCACTGTCAGTCCAACCATACAATCTTCTTCCGGCCCAGATGAAGGCTAGCCCAAGCCCTAATGGAACTCTTCTCTCCTTTTAGGGATAATCCCAGTAGCTGTCTCTTCTTCAACTTCCTGCTTCAGAGGATTAAGGTGGCATAAAAAGTAATCTTGTACCTTTGATCCCAAGCACAGTCAAACTTTTGGAAAACAAAAGGGTTTGCCCCAGTTTTCCGTTTTTTGGGTGCCTCATTCCAGTTACTAATGTGATGTGTCTAACTCTTTTTTTGTACCGGAAACTCCAGTTTTGCAGGTATTGAGTGACTAGCAAGGTTTCCATCTCCTGAGGAAGGGTAGCCTGGGAGAAAGAGGACACAGAAGCCCTTTCCCACAGTATCTCTGGGGTCTCTGTGGGGGCAGCCAAAGGAAAGGTGCAATGAGGTGCATTGGGGGCAGGACTCTTGAGTGGGGGAAGGATGTGTGCAAGGACTGGTAGGTGGTAGGTTAGTGATAGAAGACTTGAACTTATGTTGTAATGCTACAGCAAAAGTCAACCGCATGAGACCAGACCACGTATTGTGATAGGTGCCACCAGGAAAGAACTCTGTGGAATTGATAGATAAAAAGGTTCATTAGAAAAAACTAAATGGGACAGTCTGGAGAAGTAGACCTGGTCTTCTGAGCATGAGAGTTATAATTTAAGGATAGTTTTTTCAGTCAGGGAGTGTTGATAGACCCTGGAAGGTGAGAGGTGAAGTAGAGTGGAAGCCAATTCCTGGTCCTCTCATGGGACATGGCTTGACTGTCACTTGTCTCATGTATTCAGGAGGATGCTGGATACCTGAAGCTGTAGGTCGCTCCAATTTCAATGGAGGATTAAAGTTGAGTGTAAAAGGAAATTGGTAAACCAAAGAAGAAGGTCTGAACAAGTCCTTAGTACATGGCCAAAGGACAGACGTAGATACTGATAGCTGGAGTACAGGGCTGGGGATTCGGGGGGCATGGGAGGGGAGGGCAGAAGCATTGGGCAGAGCTCAAGAGGGGAATTGTGGTCTTTGGGTAATGTTAGACATCCACTAATTTCACTGGTTGATGTGTTTGCTTTGTTGTATTATTTGGTAGGGAAAACTGTGCTTATGGAACCATACCTGGGCAAAAAAAGAGACTTCACTATCTGTGCCAGGGAGATGGGACCACCATCTGTTGGCAGCTGTGAAGTTGAGAGGTGGCTGTTCACCAGAGATGAATACACAGGGTTTCCAGTCAACTTTCAGCATTTTGGTGCATGATACCCAAGCCCTAGCCAGTGGAAAAAGTGAGCAATTATCTGCTGAAGAAATGTCCGTAGTGGTGAGTGGTGGTAGGCTGGGTGGAGGAAAAGCGGTGGCATGTGCAGTGGAGATTCAGGTACTGAAAGGGTATATGGTGTGATCACACAAGTCCGTATAACCCAAATTCTCAAATGTCAGTCTGATGAATGAATACAGGGAAGCATTCCTGGGGAGGCGAGTGGGTGTAAAGGCTCCTGTAGTCCAAGAATCTTGAATGTTTATATGCAATCCATTAGCTCAATAGTAGCTGTAATTGTTATTTACTCTCTTTTTGAGTTTTAGTGTTTGTGTGTGGTAAGACACACCTGTGTTTCAAGTAGTCCCAGGACGGCCGGGAAAAGGGTGGAGGAAGGAAGGGTGTTTACCTGCTCATATTCAGAGAAACTAATTGCCTGGGAAAATTTAGGCTAAACCAATGAAGATGAGAGAGTTTCAACATTTCAGTCATACTGGCATTTAAGGCAGGTGTGAACAAATAAACACTAGTGACAAGAACAGCCTTGCCAAGCAAAGTACTCTTCCGTGAAAAGAGGGAGGATTGACCCTCCCATGTGATGTCACTGCCAAGGCCAAAGAGGGTGGAATGAGCTGATCGTGGATCCTGGATCTTCTAGGTCTTTGAGAATTTCTGTGTCAGTTGCCCATGATACCCTGTTCTTCCTCACTTGTTGGCCACCTCTCTGAGTCACTGACCAGCCAGTGCTGATTTACTTAGGTGGATTTGTGGGGTCCTGGCCTGAATCACCATATGCAGAGGTGGCTCTCAGAGGGTGGTGGGCAGCCGTGGGGAGGTGCAGGGAGGTAGGACCTTTGAGTGGGAGAAAAGCAAGTGAGGGGCCTGGTATGTGGGTCTGTGGGATCCTGAGCTGATTTACCATATGCTGGTTAATTTTTAAAATCAAAAGTATTTTCTTTTGAAGCCATGGAATACCTCTCTTATCTCTCTATCAAGCCCTTCTTCCACCTTTTCTTCTTCCCTCCTTTCCTCTCTCTTGTCCTCTTGCCCAGTAGTCTTCTGGAGTTGATTCCTAAACCCAGGTCTACCTTTTCTGCCTGCTCTTTGCAACTCATAAAGCTTTTGTTTTCTGTTCATTTTTCATTGCCATACGCTGTTTTTGTGTCCTTGAAGTTGGCTTTTGTGTATCACAAAGATGATTTAAGGCACACTTTGGTTTACAAAATTTATATTTACTTTATTAAAGTTACCAATTATACAGCTTTTTGTGAGCCATAAGTTAGATAACTAATGTTATTAATTTAATTAAAATTCTAGAAATTTGTGTAATTTTTTCAAGGAGCTTTGGAGTAATAATTGATCCAGTTAACAACTTCGGTTAAACTCTCTTAACAACTTAAACTGAGGTTACCAAGTTGATATCCTCAATTTTAGAGTACTTTAAGTCTCCCACTGACTAATACAATTCCAAATACATACTCGAAGAAAATTTATACATCTTTTGATTCTTATGTTTTCTTAAGCATTTCAATGCTGTTTAGAAACCTAACCAAATTCCATTACACTTTGTAACTTAAAATCATGTCTAAATAAATTAATTAGTTATATTAGTTAATATAAACTGTAAGACTGTGAACTGAAGAATGATGAAATTCATATATTTGGAAAGGAGAGCTTTCTTTCCATAAAGCGGTTCAGTCTGCAAGGCAGCCATTCTGACATACTTGGAAACACAGTCTCCAGCCAGAAGCCAGAAATACAGATATTTGGAGGGTGAGAAGAATAAGGCAGGAATTTATGCTGAATGGCGTGGCTGAATATACATGTTGAATAAGCTATAGGAGGAGTCATGAATATTTGTGAAAGGAGAAATGTGCACATACACAATTGAGCTTCATGCCCTGGGTTGTTCAAAAAATGGCAGTGTTAACATGATGGAAGGCTGAAGTTTTCAGCCTTCTGACATTAAAAGGTGAAGTGGAGGACATGAAAGTCATCACTGTGCATCCTCTGTTGACTGGCCAGAACCACTTTGTGGTTGGTGGCTTTTTTTTTTTTTGAGATGGAGTCTGGGTCTGTTGCCAGACTGGAGTGCAGTGGCATGATCTCAGCACACTGCAACCTCTGCCTCCCGGGTTCAAGCAATTCTCTTGCCTCAGTCTCCCGAGTGGCTGGGACTACAGGTGTGCACCACCATGCCCAACTAATTTTTTTGTATTTTTAGTAGAGATGGGATTTCACCATGTTGGCCAAGATGATCTTGATCTCCTGACCTCGTGATCCACCCACCTCAGCCTCTCAAAATGCTGGGATTACTGGCATGAGCCACCGCGACCCCGGCTGGTAGGTGGCCTTTTATCAGGAAGGAACGTCGGTCTACTGTTGTGTTCAAAGGCAAAAGGGAGGAGTAGTCACAAGGTTGGTTGAAATCATTGGAGAGCAAGTCTTTCAAAAGGGCTGGTTTCTGTTTAACCCTGAGGGAAGAAAGCCTAAAGGTGGTTAGTGAGGGAGGGAGTATAACAAGGCACTTCCAACCTCTCATTCTGTAATGCTAGGAACTCAGTTTTGAGGTTTCTCTGGGGCCCCCTTGGCCAAGAGCGGGTCCACTTAGTCAGTTGGGAGGCTTAGGATTTTATTTTTGTTTCTCAAGGCTGATTTATTTGATGATCTAACATGCCAAATTTTACATCTTACACACACACACACACACACACACACATACACTCATGAGTACACAGTCAAGATGACAGTTGGGATTGGCATCCAGATAGGGTGCTCTCATAGCCTATGCTCTTCTGATTCAAATTGCACATTGACCAAGAATTCCCTGTTGTCCAAATCTGCATCTTCCTTCTCAGGTTTTATCTGATTTCGTTTGGTACTTATTTGGATTTTTCATTGCTGGGGGTATTTTAGCATACTTTTATGTTCTCTTCAATAGTTCTAAGAATGTATCAATGCCTTTCCATAGGATCATTCATATGCTTATGTAATTCCTTCAAAACTTCTTTGAAATTTAAGAATTTCGGATAATATAAAATAGCATCTAGTAATGTCCCAAGCAGATAATAAGCACTTAATAATTGGCAACTATTATGATTCTGCTATTATGATAAAAATAATAACAGTCAAAACCAGATTGTTATAAATGCCAAAATATAGGTACAGAATTAATGAGACTGTGAGGGAAATCAATTTCTGTGGCATTCACATGCATGTCTTTCTTGCTGTAAAACTGAAGCTCTGTGCTGAGTTGAGCTCCTGATATACTTCTATGTGATGTAAGATTCAGTGAAAGTTCTATCAAGACACAACTGAAGTGGAACTTTGAGAGACCAATTCCCAGACTGCTTGTTGAAAATAGATAAAGCTATGGGCATTGCATTGAGCCTTTGGTCTAGGAGGTTCTTCTATGGAACTGAGTGTTTCCAGAACTGATGGTGCTTCAACAGTTGGTGGAAGAGTCTATTCTTTT
Organism: Homo sapiens; assembly: GCF_000001405.40. NCBI lineage: Eukaryota > Metazoa > Chordata > Mammalia > Primates > Hominidae > Homo > Homo sapiens. The sequence continues at coordinate 153,168,148 of NC_000001.11, read as the reverse complement.
TGGTTGGTGTTGATAACTATGTTATATAAAGCATTCTTCTCTCCTAGTGATATTATTTTTGAGATGTTAAAGTAAAACAGATTCTTCTTTGATGGAGACACTACTCAGAGCACCAAGAAGGTGATTTAGAATATGGCATTTCTCCTGCTCATGGGATCATGGAACCATTTATACTCAGGTTCTAATATTTTATAAGACATGGGGTAGCAAATATTAGGCTAATGTATTAAGATAATTGCCATATTATTAGCAAGTATTACATGATTAAATAAAATGTATTTTTTGTTGAATCTTCTTAAAAACATTACTATATTATTGTGGTGGAGGGCAAACATGACTTTTGGTCCAAATGACAATGAAGCAGGTAAGATCCAAAAACCTTTATTATCATTTAAAATTATTTACTTGTAAGTTTACATATTTTGGCTTATATCTTCTATAAGAAGATAAGGTCAGAGAACTTAAATGTTTTCTGAGTTATCCTCCATTGTACATTCAGCATCTAGCAGAGTAATAGTTAAGTTCCACCTTCCTAATCTCTAATCATTAAACAGATGTAAAACAAATTTATATGGTACCAATACAGTAAACATATCAAAATAACTTACTGTAATTGCCAAATTTACCCTACCTAGTTTAGAGATTTCTTTTTCTTTTTCTTTTTTGTTTTTTTTTGAGACAGAGTTTCAATCTTGTTGCCCAGACTGGGTGCAATGGAGTGATCTTGGCTCACCACAGCCTCTGCCTCCCAGGTTCAAGCGATTCTCCTGCTTCAGCCTCCCGAGTAGCTGGGATTACAGGCATGAGCCACCACGCCTGGCTAATTTTGTATTTTTAGTAGAGATGGGATTTCTCCATGTTGGTCAGGCTGGTTGAGAACTCCTGACCTCAGGTGATCCGCCTGCCTTGGCCTCCCAAAATGCTGGGATTACAGGCATGAGCCACCACGCCTGGCCAGAGATTTTATTTTTTTTCCAAAACAAAGGGTCTCTTATTTATTTCTTCAGATCATTAACTGCAGTATGGCATGCCAAGGTTATTAGGATCCAAATATCTCATATATATTTTGAGCCTTCTGTGATGGTGGTGGTGGAATCAAAGTAGATTGCATCAGGGTCCATTCTGATTATGCCATGGTTCTGGATCTCGGCCCCTCTTCTCCATTCCAACTTATGTTCCCTTTATAGACCTTTGTCAATTTTCAAGTGGATTTTTTTTTCCTAAACACTTTTATGAAGAGATCAAGTGGATTTTTACAGTTCTTTTAACTGCCCTCAAATTCTGTGATACTCAACTTCCTAAAGTGCCAAGCACATCAAGATATTTTCTGTCTCTGTGTGGATGGTATCAGTTGTCCCAAGAGAGTTTTGAGTAGGACTGTTCTTTTCTTAGATTCAAAATCCATCTTTGGTCTTCCAGATCTTGATAATGTGGGCTAATATGGGAGTGAGTGATGAATGAAATGACATATCTATTCTTGGAGATCTTCATCCCCATGATCTGGAGACTGTGAAATGTGTTGCTTCTACCTGGTTGGGTGGTCCTCTGCTGTCCAGAGGCCCAATTCTGCTTATTTGAGGGTGCAGCATCAGAGCTTAGGTATCAAGGAAGAGAGAAGAAGGGGTAGTAATTTTTTTGTTGCTGCTGATATTAGGAACACTTCCTTGGGACCAAGAGAACAACAACAACAACAACAAAAAGGCTTGTAGAAACCAGATTTTCACATGGGGTTCTTTCTCAAACAACAAAACCTAAGTAACTAAGTTAAATGCCCATGTAGGAGAGGCTCATAAACACTCAAATCTTCTTCATCCTCAATGATTAAAAACCTTTCATTCCCCTCTACTATAATCAGAACTAAAACTACAAATGCAGAACCCTCCTTGGTACAAGGCAGGGCAGAAATCTAGTTCTCCCTGAGACTGTCCTTGGAAAATCTCTGCCCAGACACAGATTAGGAATGATTCTCTGGACCTGCCCTATCAACCCACCCAGTATATAGGTACAAGGAAAGAGACTGGGCAGAGAAGGAGCTAGGAATTGTGTCATGTGAGGCACTAGGGATGGCTTATGGGAAAGAGAAGGCTTGGGTGAGTAAGAGCATTAGCTGCACCATCCAAACAGCTGAGCCTTGAATAGAAAGCAAAATTGGCACCTGTGGAGTTTACGGTCAGAGGTTCAGCCTGATTCCAACACAGGACAAGAAAGACACTTCTGAGTTGACCCCAAGGCTGTCACTGCTATTGGTGGGGCCATGAAGCCTGTGCCTCACAGTCACAGAGGCCCCCAAAGTAAGAGTTTAGTTTTTCATCTTCAAAGAAGGTTTTATACACTATCACTGACACACCAGAAGGACTGAAATAAGGCGTTGCTTATCACCTGTGGAACTCTGATTTCCCTCCAAAGCCACACTTCCAGGACTTTATTATATATTATTTTGTCTTAGACTTTTCATTATTTCTGCCACTTCCCCACCAGAATACATGCTGTGTTCTCAACCCATTTTATATATGTTTTCTTAACCTCTGGACCAAAGGAGTTCTGGGAGAGGAGATAACATAACACTAGATTTGTATCCCAGCCTCATCCTCTTGCAGTTTTGTGTTAGAACAATGGTCCCTGAGTCTCTATTTGATGCCTCTGAGGAGCCAGACTTACATTATAAATTAGGAAAATGAAGTCAGAAAGGGCAGAAAAAGGATTCAAGTTCTGGAACCTGGGAAGTTCTGTCTGTCATAATCTAGCTGTGGGAAAGTTGTTGTGAAGTCTGTTATCTACTCCAGGTTCAGTTTTATGCTCTGTAGTAGGCTTCCTCTGTTCTTGAATCAATGAATTCTCTTTGATTTTTTTAACTTAGAATATCCTATTTATTGTATTAGTTCAATATCTATCAATATTTAGAATCACCTATATTTTGATCAATTAACTGATCCATCCATCCGTCCGTCCATCCATCCATCCATCCATCCATCCATCCATCCATCCATCCATGTTTGCTTTCTAAATCCCATCCTGAAAGCTGCCTGGGTGCAAATATTCTGGATCTGATTTTCAGCTCCTGCCAGGTAGAACCATCTCATTCATCATCCTCTTCTAGTTGCTCCTTTTCTCAGAGGACCTAAGTTACTTTTATCTTTGATCAACTTGATGGATGGAAACAAAAATAATTTCCCAAAAGTTTGCACCAGGGAGAGGTGAGAAGTGTGTAGGGAGAAGAGAGAAGTGTGTAGAAGTTATCCTGTTATCCTGCTAGTTTCCATCTCTAGCCTGAGGAGAGTTTATAGGTTCCTTAAACATACAGCTGTTACTCCATGTCTGTGGGTTCCACATTTGTGGATTCAACCAACTGTGGGTCAAATGTATTCAGAAAAAAAATTCCACAAAGTTGCAAAAAGCGAAACTTGAATTTGCAGTGTGCAGAGTTCTATGCTGAACCCACCCCACACAATGAAGTGATGTTTAGGAATCGTATTAGGTATTATAAGTAATCTAAAGATGATTTAAATTATACCAGAGGATGTATATAGGTTATATACAAACACTATGTGATTTTATATAAGGGACTTGAGCATCTGTGGATTTTGGTATCTATGGGAGGGTCCTGGAACAAATCTCCCATGGATACTGAGGGATGACTGTATTTGGTACTCAAATTATTTTAAAATAACAGAGCCACTTACTTCCTTCTCCCCTCTCCTCTTCAGACTACTCTTTTGAGCTTCTGACCACCCATCAGCATTGGATTAGAGATTCTGGACTAAATGACTTTCTCCAGGAATAGTTGCTGGTGGACAAAACTTCCAGGTACACCCACTTTTCACCTTTCTTGTACCTCTCTTCCTGGCCTCATGGTCCTGCCATTCATTGCTGAGCCAGCCTATCAGTCAGTTAGAGACCTGTGCCTCTCCATGCCCAAGGGCACTTAGATAATCTCCATCATTGTTCTTTGGGTTGTGAATGATTTTGTCCATTAAGTTTTGTTTACCAAATAACATTTTCTGTTATTTTAAAATCATGTAAAACCTGTTACTTGAAAAACGCAGTTGAGAACGAAAATATTTCATAACTTAGTGTGAGATAAATTATATAAAAGGAAGTTCTCTTTCTAATTGTATTGTTATTATTGATATTACTATATATTAGTATGAAACGGTATTGATACCATTTGGTGAGGACTGAGAAATATGAGGGTATTTTAGATGACTCAAAATCTTAGACTTTGGAAGACAGAATAGGTGATGTTGATATAGAGTTTTGGTCCTCCAGAAGAGCAGCAAGGTTATGAAGAATGGGATGGGTTTTGTTTTGGATACACTGTGCTCAAGAGCTGTGATAATCTAGGTCGAAATGTTAACTGGCTGTTTAGGAATATCATTCCTATGGCCTCCCAACAGGGCTGAGACACAGATGCCGTGCACAGAAGTTACATGGATGGGGTGAAGACTCGGGAAAGGAAGAGAGCAGTCAGAGGGACAAAGTGAGTAGGAAGGACTGAGCTGAGAACAGAATGCCAAGGTTAAGAGGATTGAGAGCTGCATTTTTAGGCTCCAAAAAGAGGATGGGACACCCCTCTTGCTTTGAAACTTGCTTTGGAATTGGTATGCACTGCTCCCCAGCTAACATTTTGAAGACCTCTTACCCTTTTCTTATGTGTCCCCAAATATAGGAGCCCCAAATACAAATAGTCAAGTCTCTATCACCCATAATTCCAATTGCTATAGGTAGGCGTGTGATGTTTGGCAGGGCTAATATAGTGGAAAGATGAGATGTTTAGAAATTCATGTGCCTTTGGCAAGATGGCCTTCTTTTTGGAATGTGTAGACAACCATATTTTTAACCTCACCTATGAGATAATTTGTCTGCTGATCCCTCAGCTCCATTTTTATCAATCACATGTGCACACAAAATCACACACAATCCATGCACAGTTCTAAAAATAATGCTTCTTTTCGAGTGCCACTTTTTCCATGTTGTGATCATCTGGAAGCAAGTCTTGTCTGTCACAATACACTGTATATTCTTCAAGATTAGGGTCATGAACAGCTCAAATCTTTATCTTGTGCATTTTTAATGGTGTCTGCTATGTAGTAAAACTATTGATTGAATGGACGGTTAAAAGCCAGTTTTGTTTCTACCATTATTATCACTGGACCTGCTAATCATGACAGAAGATTCTTTATTGTCATTTTAGGCATTAGAACTGATGTTTATTTACTTGTTTGATAATATTTCTTTGACCCAAATTATGTACCATGCCCTGTCACAGGCACTGGGGACCCAAGATTGAGTAAGGCACTATCTCTGCCCTAAGGGGCTCATACTATCTTGTATAAAATATAAAGACACATAGAAAATTAAAATATATTGGCAAGTGCAATGATAAAGATGTAGTTGGGAGAGGATTCCTGGAAGACATAACATCTGATATGAGCTGGAAGTCTGAGGTGGTCAGGCCATGGAGTTTGAGGTTCCCAGTCCATGATGTGTCCTGCTTTAGGACCCTGCGGCCCCTCACTTTCTCTCTGGTCACCAAGCAATTCTAAGGCCAGGGTCTTGGGCCTGCACCATTTCAGTGGGCTAATTTAACTGTGATTCTGTCTGTTTCCCCAGCCCTGACACACTAACTTGCTGTTTAATTGTGGGACGCATAGCAGTAATGGAGCCTCCAGGATGTCCTGGCTCAGGCACAGCAGAAGGGCAGAGTGTTTGGGTTATTCTGGGTAGCTCCCTGCTCCATTCAACAGAGGACATGCATTCCTGAAAACAATTGGTATTCACCATGGAATATTATGCAGCCATAAAACAGAATGAGGTCATGTGCTTTGCCGGAACATGGATGGAGCTATGGGCCATTATCTTTAGCAGAGTAATGCAGGAACAGAAAACCAAATACCACGTGTTCTCACTTATAAGTGACAGCTAAATGATGAGAACACATGGACACATAGAGGGGAACAACACACACTGGGGCCTATCCGAGGGAGGAGGTGGGGAGGAGAGAGAGGATCAGGAAAAATAACTAATGGGTACTAGGCTTAATATCTGGGTGATGAAATAATCTGTACAACAAACCCCCATGACACGAGTTTACCTATATAACAAACCTGCACATGTACCCTTGAACTTAAAATAAAAGTTAAACAACAACAACAACAACCACCACCACCACCAAAAACCCCCTATTGGTATCATGGAGACTGTTGAAATGCAGTTTTCTGTCTTCTAATTTTATGAAGGAGATTTTAGACATTGTCAATTTAGAAAGGTCAATTACCATTATTTGAAACCTATTTTCTTTTTGATGTGAAGATTCTCAAAGTCTGCATATTACCTGAGGTTATATTTCTAATTCTAGAGTAGTCTTTGTAATTTCTGTCCATCTGATTTCTAAGATTATTCACAGTTTATATATGGTCATTCTCATTTCTTTGCTCCAGAGTTCCAACAGACCAGCTAATGGCAGCCTGGGTCTCTTAGGTGAGTCCTAGGGTAATGATTTAATGCAAGTTATAGATGAAACTTACATGAAAATCACAGGCAATGAAATAAAAAAGTAGACAAGTGGGGCTGCATCAAATTAAAAACCTCTTGACAGCAAATGAAAGAATCAACAGAGTGAAAAGTCATCATACAGAATGAGAGAAAATATTTGCAAACCATACATGTGATAGGGGGTTGATATCCAAAATATACAAGGAACTCAAACAACTCAAAGGCAAGAAAACAAATAACCTAATTAAAAACTGGGCAAAGTGCCTGAATAGACATTTCTCCAATGAAGAAATACAAATGGCCAACATGTATATGAAAAAATGCTCAATATCACTAATCACCAGGAAAATGAAGAGCAAAAACCACAATGAGATGTGACTTCATATGTGTTAGGATGACTACTATTATTGTTATTATTTTTTATTATACTTTAAGTTTTAGGGTACATGTGCACAACGTGCAGTTTTGTTACATATGTATACATGTGCCATGTTGGTGTGCGGCACCCATTAACTCTTCATTTAACATTAGGTATATCTCCTAATGCTATCCCTCCCCCCACCCCACAACAGGCCCGGGTGTGTGATGTTCCACTTCCTGTGTCCATGTGTTCTCGTTGTTCAATTCCCACCTATGAGTGAGAACATGTGGTGTTTGGTTTTTTGTCCTTGTGATAGTTTGCTGAGAATGATGGTTTCCAGCTTCATCCATGTCCCTACAAAGGACATGGACTCATCATTTTTTATGGCTGCATAGTATTCCATGGTGTATATGTGCCACATTTTCTTAATCCAGTCTATCATTGTTGGACATTTGGGTTGGTTCCAAGCCTTTGCTATTGTGAATAGTGCCACAATAAACATACATGTGCATATGTCTTTATAGCAGCATGTTTTATAATCCTTTGGGTATATACCCAGTAATGGGATGGCTGGGTGAAATGGTATTTCTAGTTCTAGATCCCTGAGGAATCACCACACTGACTTCCACAATGGTTGAACTAGTTTACAGTCCCACCAACAGTGTAAAAGTGTTCCTATTTCTCCACATCCTCTCCAGCACCTGTTGTTTCCTGACTTCCCAAAAAACAAAGGATAACAAGTGTTGATGAGGATGTGGAGAAATTGGAGCACTTACATACTGTTGGCATGAATGAAGAATGGTGCAGCTACTATGGAAAACAGTATGCAGTTTCCTCAAAAAATTAAAAATAATTCAGTAATTCCTTTTATGGGGATATATCTAAAATAATGGAAATCAAGATCTCTAAGAGATAGCTGCATTCTCATGTTCATTGCAGCATTATTCACAATACCCAAGATATGGAAACAATCTAAATGTCTATGAGCAGATGAATGAATTGAAAAATTGTGGCATATATATACAATGTAATATTATTGAACCTTAGAAAAGAAGGAAACCCTGTCATTTGCAAAAACATGTTTGATCCTTGATGATATTATGCTAAGTGAAATAAGCCAGTCATGTAGAAGGAAAAATACTGCATGATTCTATTATGTGAAGTTTCTAAAATATCCAGACCTATGGAAGCAGAGAAAAGAATGGTGGTTGCCAGGGTCTGGGGTAGAAGGAAATAGAAAATTTGTTTTTCAGTGGGTATAAAGTTTCAGTTATATAAGATAAATTCTAGAGACCTGCTGTGCAATATAATACCTATGGTTAACAATCTGGTTGATATGGTTTGGCTCTGTGTACCCACCCAAATCTCATTTCAAACTGTAATTGCCACATTTCAAGGGAGGGACCTGCTGGGAGGTGATTGGATCACGGAGGCAATTTCCCCCAAGCTGTTCTTGTGATAGTGTGCGAGTTCTTATGAGATCTAATGGCTTAAAAGTGTTTGGCAGTTCCCCTCAACCTCTCTGTCTCTCCTGCCACTATGTAAGACACGCCTTGCTTCCCCTTTGCCTTCTGCCATGATTGTAAGTTTCCTGAGGCCTCCCTAGCCATGCAAAACTGTGAGTCAATTAAACCTGCTTTCTTTTTACCCAGTTTCAGGTAGTATCTTTATAGCAGTGTGAGAACAAACTAATACAGAGAATTGGTACCAGCAGAATGGGTACTGCTATAAAGATAACTAAAAATGTGAAAGTGACTTTAGAAGTGGGTAATGGGCAGATATTGTAACAGTTTGGAGGGCTCAGAAGAAGACAGGAAGATGTGGGAAAATTTGGAACTTCCTAGATACTTGCTGAACGGTTTTAACCAAAATGCTGATAGAGATATGGACAATGAAGTCCAGGCTGAGTTGTTCTCAGATGGAGGTGAGGAATTTATTGGGAACTGGAGTAAAGGTCACTGCTGCTATGCTTTAGCAAAAAGACTGGTGACATTTTGCCTCTGCCCTGGAGATGTGTGGTGCTCTGAACTTGAAAGAGATGATTTAGGGTATTTGGCAGAAGAGATTTCTGAGCAGCAAAGAATTCAAGAGGTGACCTGGTTGTTTCTGAAAGCATACCGTCACATACATTCACAAAGATATGATTTGAAATTCAAACTTAGGTTTTGCATAAGTAAGCAGGAAAGGAATGTTAATCACCAAGACAATGGGTAAATGTCTCCAGAGTATTTCAGAGATCTTCGTGGCAGCCCCTCCCATCATAGGCACAGAGGCCTAGAAGGGAAAAAATTGTTTAGTGGGCCAGGCCCAGGGCCCCACTGCTCAGTGCAGCCTTGGGACTTGGTACCCTGCATCCCAGCCATCCAGATTGAGCCATGGCCAAAACAGGCCAAAGTACAGCCCTGGCCATGGCTTCCTGCAAAGGGTGCAAGTCTGAAACCTTGGCAGCTTCCATATGGTGTTGGGTCTGCGGGCATGCAGAAGACAAGAGTCAAGCTTTGGGAACCTCTGCCTAGATGTCAGAGGATGTATGGAAATGCCTGAGTGTCCAGGCAGAAGTCTGCTGCAGGGATGGAGCCCTCATGGAGAACCTCTTCTAGGGCAATGCAGAATGGAAAAGTGGGGTTGGAGCCCCCACACAGTGTCCCAACTGGGGCACTGCCTAGTGGAGCTGTAAGAAGAGGGCCACTGTCCTTCAGACTTCAGAAAGGTAGATCCACTGACAGCTTGCACCGTGCACCTAGAAAAGCTGCAGGCACTCAATGCCAGCTCAAGAAAGCAGCTGCAGGGGCTGTACTGTGCAGAGCCACAGGGGCAGAGCTGCCAAAGACCATGGAAACTTACCCCTTGCATCAGCATGCCTTGGATGTGAGACATGGAGTCAAAAGGGGATTTTGAAGCTTTAAGATTTAATGACTGTCCAGCTAGGTTTCAGACTTGCATGGGACCTGTGGCTCCTTTGTTTTGGCCAATTTCTCCCATTTGGAATGGGAACATTTACCAAATGCCTGTACCCTCATTGTATCTTGGAAGCAACTAACTTGTTTTTGATTTTACGGGCTCATAGGTGGAAGAAATTTGCCTTGTCTCAGATGAGACTTTGGACTTGGACTTTTGAGTTAATGCTGAAATGAGTTAAGACTTTGGGGGACTGTTGGGAAGGTGTGACTGTTTTTGAAATGTGAAAAGGACATGAGATTTGGGAGGGTCCAGGAGCAGAATAATATGGCTTATCTCTGTGTACCCACCCAAATCTCATCTCGAATTACAATCCCACATGTTGAGGGAGGGACCTGTTGGGAGGTAATTGAATCATGGGGCCGTCTCATGAGATCTGATTGTTTAAAAGTGCTTGGCAGCCCCCCTCCCACCCCCCTCTCTGTCTCCTGCCACCATGTAAGACATGCTTTGCTTCCTCTTCACCCTCTTCCATGATTGTAAGTGTGGCCCCCCTCCAGCCATGGGGAACTGTGAGTCAGTTAAACCTGTTTTCTTTATTAATTACCCAGTCCCAGGTAGTATCCTTGTAAGCAGTGTGAGAACGGACTAATGGTACTGTGCACTTTAAAATATAAGAGGATAGATTTCACATTAAGCATTCTTACCCAAACCCAACCCAAACCAAACCAAACCAAAACAAACCAACCCATAATAACACAACAAAAAAAAACCCACAGGGAAATTTTTAGAGGTGATGGATATGCTTAGTGTCTTGATTGTGGTGATGATATCATGGGTATATGCATATGTCTAGATTCATCCAGATGTGTATATTAAATGTGCATGAGTTTTTATATATCAATTATACCTCAATAAAAGCAATAAAAAAGAGTATTATAATCTCCCTTGGACCCATCACCTAGCTTCAAAAATTATCAACAATTTGTTATTCTTGACTTCATCTACTCTCCCACACTTTGTTTGTTCTTTTTATCACTGAACTATTTTACAGTTCCAAATATCATATCCTTTCACCTATAAATTTGTCAGTATGTGTTTTTAACAGATATCTTAAAATAGCCACAAGATGATCATCACACTTAACAAAATTAATGATTATTCTACATGTAATCCAAAAAAGATATATATGAAACTTATACCTTAAGTTCTAAAAGCTGAGCAATAATTCACAAAATACAGATAATCCCCAACTTATGCTAGTTTTCCTTACAATATTTTTGATTTTATGATGGTGCCAAAGTACTATGCATTCAGTAGAAAGTGGTGTGATATTCTTGGGTGATGCTGGGCAGTGGCAGTAAGCCCCAGCTCCTCAATTTACCATGTGGTTTACCCTGTAAATTGAGGAGCTCTGTATATTTTGAATAAAGCCGAACAATCTTGTTCTGACCTTATGCACAGGGTGACATTCAGAAGAAATATTAGTCTGAGTTCTAAAAAGGAAACACAATTGGAAATCAATTTAAATACTGACGTTTACTTAACAAATGGCAAACTGGAATTATATTGCCACAAAATAACTTAAAATCCTCTTTACCTCTCTCCCCAAATTTGTACTAATTTTTGCATGGTAGCTGCCTTTACCTTCTCTTTTGCCTTTTCTGTCCTTTTTAGTATGACTCTGTCTAGGCTTTCTGGTATTATTTTAGTCCTCTTCTTTATCCATTATCTGGTTCAACACAACAAAACAAACTTCTCTACCAATCAGCAGTGGGCAGTGAATGGTGAGGGTGAGGGAGGATAGGGAAAACAGCGCGTATTTAAATGTACTGCTCTTACCAAATGTTATAAAAATAATATTTAATATTCTACTACCTCTGTCACAGGAGACATGAACTAAAGAAACTCTGCAATGTCAGCGTCTTAAAATTCTTTAGACAATTCCTTTTGTAATCCATTGGCAAGATACATGGTGTTTACAAAGTTATTCAGCAATCACATGCATTGGAACAAATTGTCATGGAGTATCCAAATATAGGAGCCCCAAATCTAAATAGTCAAGGCTCTATTATCTGTAATTCCAATTGCTATAGGTAGGTGTGTGGATTTTGGCAGGGCTAATGTAGTGGAAAGATGAGATGTCTGGAAAATCATGAAATCACAGAGTAATTCAGTAGAATATTAAATGTTATTTTTTTCTAGTCACAGAGGTAATAGCATATTCTTTCCCTCAGAACTCACAAGATTGTTGTGACACTCATGTAAGGCAACACAATTTAGAAACTAAAATCATTATTTTTTTAACAACTATTTATCTAGCACGTACTCTGTTTCAGGTATTGGATCATGTCCTGAGTGTAGGTGAAGTTGCAGTCTGACTACTCAAAGTGCTCGCAAGCTCAAGGGAAAAGGATATGGGTGGGGAATCCACTTAATGCAGATGGGTTGCACTTAACACTTAATGCAAAGCTCAGAGTGTTTTATGGGACTCTTAGGTAGGGTCACCTGCCCTAATAGGAGGGATCCAGGAAGGCTTTTCATTGAAGTGATGGCTTTTAGAGAATTGTGTAGACATTAACCCGGTAAAACAATAATAATATGGCATATTACAGGTTAGTAAATAAATTCACTGAGGATAGAAAAAACTGGTATGTCAGCAAAATTACAGAGTTTGATACATGACAGCACACAGTTCAAAAAGTGGAGTAATAAGGAATGAGGCTAGAGGCGAAGGAAGGGCTATGTAATGGACCTAGAACTTAAAGTATTTTAAGCATGCAAGTGATGTAGTCAGATTTTACTTTTTAATGTATCACTCTTATGGCAATGGAAAGATGGATTTAAATCAAACAAGATAGAGGAAGACAGCTATATTAGGAAGCTATGGTAATAATCGAGCAAGAGATGAGGAGGCTCTGAACTAGGGCATGGCAGTCAGCATAGAAGGAGAGAGATGGATTCCAGAGATACTTATGCTGTTGAACTGTCAGAATGAGGAGTTTAGATAAGTAGCATGTAGTAGAGGCGAAAATGTCAAGGTAACTCAAGTAGCTGGGTGATTATTGGTGTACAGGATAGAGAATACTGGAGGTTCAAGTGGTTTGTGGGAAAGATGATCAGCTTGTTGGTACTTGAGGATATTTGGACAGAGATATCTAGAGGGCAAGGGGATATTTAAGTTTGAAGTGAGTTCTGGAGTGCAAATGTAGATGAGTGAGTTAGTAGATTTGTGATGACTGAAACCATAGGAATCATTGATATTGTAACTAGAGAATGCATAGGATGGTAAGATCCATGGAATGAGCACCAGAGGACTCCATTTGGCATTTAGAAGAAGAGGTTCAGATCAAGGAGGAGAAAGATTAAGCACAGGAGTAGGAGAATATTAAGTGGATATTATGAAAACCAGTAAGTAGAGACTCTAGAGAAAGATGGAATGATTGGCACTGTGACATGTAGCAGAGAAGTCTAGGAAGATAAAAACGGAGAATGACTCAGTTTATCTGACAGAAAGCTTGGAATAATTTCAGTAGATGGTGGGCTAAATCCAGACTGCCATGGGTTGAGGGGTTAGTGAGATGTGGGACAGAAGAGACAGCAGTTGTAGATGACTCATTTGACAAACCTCTAGCTAGACTAATAAAGAAAAAAGGAGAGAAGATTCAAATTAATAAAATCAAATATGAAAGAGGAGATATGAAAACTGATGCCATGGATATAAAAAAGATCCTAAGAGACTGCTTATGAACAACTATATAGCAATAAATTGGATAACCTAGAAGAAATTGATAAATTACTAGAAACATGCAACCTACTGAGACTGAATCATGAAGAAATAGAAAATCTGGACAGACCAATAACGAGTAAGGAGATTAAATCAGCAATATAAATACTGTGATCAAAGAAAAATCCAGGACCACATGGCTACAGTAGTAAACTCTACCAAACATTTAAATAACTAATGTATTAATAAATTATTATTAAACTTTTCCAAAAATTGAGGAGAGACCACTTCCAAATTCATTGTATGAGGATGGCATTACCCTGATACCAAAGCCAGATAAGAACATTATAAAAAAATTACAGGCCAACATCCCTGATGAATATAGAAGCAAAAAGATTCAACAAAATACTAGCATACCTAGTAGTCCATTAAAAGAATAATGCAACATGATCAAGTGGGATTTATCCCTGAGATGCAAGGATGGATGGTTCAATAAATTTCTTTCTTTTCTAAAAAAAAAAAAAGATGGTTCAGTGTAGGCAAATCAATAAATGTGATACACTACATAAACAGAATAAAGGATACAAATTGTATGATAATCTAAATAGAGGCAGATAAAGCTTTCCACAAAATACAACATCTTTTCATGATTAAAACACTCAACGAATTAGGTATAGAAGAAATGTATCTCAACATAATAAAGGCCATATGTGAGTAACCCACAGCTAATATATTCGAGGGTGAAAAATTAAAAGCTTTTCCTCTAAGATCAGGAGCAAAGCAAGGACACTCACTCTTGCCATCTCTGTTCATTTCTAATTCTATTATTTTTAAATTCTATATTCTCAAAAACTTAAAGGCATATTATGTAGTAGCAGCATATCTTTATTTATTAAAATAGAAATAATTTTATTGGGAGCTTAAAGAACTAGGCTATAAATGTTAAATCAAGTAAAATCAAATGGCCCTTGGGAAATGTCATCCTCTCTCTCTTTCCCCTTTCCTCTTCTTTCCACTCGCCTGTCTTCTACCCTCTCTACCTTCCTTCGTTTCTTCATTTCTGGGACTCCCATAAAATAGCTTTGTCCTTCTTTTCAAAATCTTTAGGCAAATCAGGAACTTTGGGACCAGGTAATTCAGCCTCATAATTCCCAGCTTTACACGGTTGTTTTACTAGGCTTACTATTTATTTTATTTGCACCTTACAAAAATGTCCGTCAGAGAAGTATTATTATTACCATTTCTCAATGAAGAAACTGAAAATTGCAGAAATGTTAAGAAAATTGCTCAAATTTACACACCTAATTAGGACTTAACTCAATCATTGTGTTTATACAGTGCCAGTTTGCTAACATAGTATTTACTCACAGATTTATTTATTTCAATTTTAAAATATCTTTGAACATTTAAATATTTAAACACTTTGAATAAGCAAAAAATATACATGATACCAAAATTCAAAAGAGAAGAAAATGGTCATGCAGTGAAAAGTTAGTCTCTCCCCCACTCCTATTCCCTAGATACTTAACTATTCTCCTGAGATAACCACGGTTACTAGTTTATAAGTAAACTCCAGCAAACCCTCATGTAGATACTATGTGAGTTTCAGAGGTTTAATTTGCACAGAGTGCTTCAAGTGCCCATTATTTGTGAAAAATGAGGATCATCTGTCCTTTAGCTATTTTCTCTCTCTATAAAAAAACTGTCCTTTGTGAAGCTGGCAAACCTCATTAAGCATTCTTTTCTGAAAAGCCCAATCCTCCTTCAGTTTATCAAGCATAAATGATAAACCAAATAATTTATTGGTAAAAATAACTTTGGAATCTATTAGTAATTCATGAGGCAAAGAAAAGTAGGTCTAAAATTGTGTTGATAGAACTGTTTTAAGTCACGTAATCCTTAGCTAATTCTTCAGCATGCATCAGCTATGGTTCCTAGGATTTCAACATGAGAAAGAACGCTGTGAAAGTGCCTCACCCATCCCAGGAGCATCCCTGTTCCTTCTGGCATCCCTGAAGTGTGTCAGTTTCCTGATAGTAACTTAGATGACTAAATTGTTTAGTTTCAGAGTACTAGGGAGGGATAACTAGCCTCATGTTGTTCCTCTGAGATGCTGAGAAAGAATTTAATAGTAGGGCTCAACTCAAAGACGTTCCTACCTCTTCAAATTCCCATGTTAGGTCCTCAGTTTTTTTTGTTTCTCTACTGTACCAACCCAATCAAGTTTGAAACATTGCAGATACAACACAGCATTCTTCTGGGTAAAGAGCACAAGGCAAAAATCTTCCCTGAGAGGGGCTTTCTCAGGAAAACAAGGTGCCGACCCTGTAGGTGCTATGGTACCCATGCCGTCTAATTAGTAGTGACTACAGCTAGAAGAATGGGGGATGCAGGGAAAGGATCTTCACTAGATAGGCCTCACTCTAAACAATGCCATTCTTTATTATCTGTTTTTGACATGTTTGAAATTATTGGTTAGTTATGATTAGTTATTATTCTTATTTCTTCTACATTTTAGAGTTTATATTTCTTAGAAGACCCACTATGTAATGTGCATAATTTTAGGCCACTCTTTGAGTTTTTGTAGGAGACTTTTGTGGTAGGTGTATTTTTTATTTCTGTTTTACAGCTGTGTAAACTGTGTTTCAAGGAGGTTAGGAAATATTTAGTTCCACACAGTAGTGGTGGCTGTAGATGTATGCATAACCAAGGTACTCAAGTTTTTTCCAAGTTGGGACAGTGAGTAATACTAGCTGAAGTGTTAATATGGTTAAATAAGCTATACTAAGAAATTATCCGTGGGATCTGTGCCAGCTATACTTTACTTATTTAGGTAAAAACATCCATGAAGTAAACAGCAGGATAAATAGCTTTACAGAACTTCACTCCTCGAATGTGCAAAGAAAGCCTGAAATCCTACTAAATGTCATTTCAAAAGAGAGAAATTGTGAAGGAGTAAATTGAATTAGCATGTAGGAGAAAAGCTTCAAAATGGATGCAGCACATACATTAAGGCAGTTTGGAAGAAAATGGGAGAAGATGAGTTTGGATTTCTAGTAGACCACAAGTCACTCATAGTTACAAGGGCCACAGAGATGAGGTTAGTGTGTAAATCTGCAAATGTGAAGCTTTAAGAAGGGGCCCCAACATGACTCTAATGGCCTAGAAAACTGAGAGATGATGTTGCCTTGTTCAAGCCCATTAATACCATGTCAGAACACACCCAGGTTGGGGCTGTCAGCATCTAGGAAGCTGATATATGATTTTGTCACCCTGTTCAAGTCAATTAATTGTCAAGAAAAGCCTAAGGATCAATAGGCCATGATAAAAGGGGAAGTTAGTTGTAAAGAAAAACTGCAGTTGAGGGTTAGGATATAGCCAGGCTGCAGGATCAGCACATACTGGTCTCTACTAAAGAGAACACAGCTAGATACTGGGCATGTGCAACTGAATGGGAGTAGTTTTACATACAGGATACTTTGGAAGCTGGGAAGTAGGAGAAGCACCATCTCTAATTATAGGGAAGCACCACAATTGTCAGACAATTTGTCACGTTCTACAATTGCCACTGGCATGAGGAACCTGAGATAATGTCCCAAGTGAATCACTGTGCACTTATCCTGCTGGGGAGGATCATGGACTAGGAATTTTGTGATACCAGCATGGATTACATGCAAGTGGTATTTTGGTTGGGAAATAAGCACATCATGCTAGTCCTGGGCTGTTCCCTGTGTAGGGCTGCCTGCCCCTTATAAAAGGACTCTCCACCACACTGATGCTATCTTCTTGCCATTCAGTTGTAGATCTTTGAAGACTCTGGTGAGTACAAATATTAGAAGCTTTTCTTGCACTTGGATGGTGTTAGGGTCTAACCTGGGTACAGAAATGCCTGTTTATTTTAACCAATTTATCCTCATGGATAGGAAAAAGAAGATAATGAGGTCTTGAAGGTAAATTTTAGCTGGTATTTGGTAGATAAACATGAAGGTGATGAGGAACCTGGAGTCAAATATATAAAATCTTAAACTGAAGGAGAGTGAGAGACACAAGATGCTGTTCTGTCTCCTGCTTCACATCTGTTCCAAATACATCTCTCTTGGAGTGCAATCTCCTTGGGTGATGGGTGCAAGTTTTTGCAATTCTCTTAAAAAACTCATGGCTCAGCACCACAGCCAGCTCATTAAAACTGGTAACTAGGGCCTCATGGAAGATAAGAGCACAGATTTGTTTGGTATTGGCTAGACTTTTAATATCTGAGTTTTTCTTCTTCAGATAGTGTTTGTATTCAGACAACATTTGTTGCTGTCTCATAGGCAATTTTATTTTCAGAAAATGGTAGAATGAGAGAACAGCCAGAAAGACGGAAGAACTGAGGGTAAGAGGTCCTAAAAGTGAAGTGTGAAGAAGGTTCACAAAGTCATAAAGACTGTATTAGGGATCAAAGTTGGTCCCTAGATACTGGAGATTTGATGTCCTAGCTAATTGCTCCACCAACAGGACTGTCTCTCTTATGAGCACTGTTTCGTATGTATCTTTCAGATTCTCTGAGACTGAGGAGAGATGTCTTACCAGCAGCAGCAGTGCAAGCAGCCCTGCCAGCCACCTCCTGTGTGCCCCACGCCAAAGTGCCCAGAGCCATGTCCACCCCCGAAGTGCCCTGAGCCTTACCTGCCTCCTCCTTGTCCACCTGAGCATTGCCCACCTCCACCATGCCAGGATAAATGCCCTCCTGTGCAACCATACCCACCCTGCCAGCAGAAGTATCCACCCAAGAGCAAGTAACATCACTAGAATTCATCAGGACCATGAAACAACAAGATCCAGTGGCTCTTCTTACTCCCAGGACTCCATCATCTTCCCTTCAGCTGTAGTGGGAGGCTGCATCTTCCCTAACCTCTGTCTGGCTTGAGCGTTGACAGAGAAAAGGCTTAGTTCTGAAAACCGATATGTTGTTGGAAGATGAGCAGCCAGATCACTGCCTAATCTCGCTTTGCTGTCTGTGATGTAGATGGTGGTTCCTATCCTGAGAGCAAGTGTGTTTATTCTTTTGCTTCTCCCCAATAAAGCACATGTTTCATGGTCAAGCCCACATTGCTTTTGTTTGCATTTCGTGTCTTTAACCTCTTCTGTTAACTACACCAAGTGAATGTTCCTTTTCATTCCTATTGAATTATTAGAATTATTAGGCTTTTCCATCACTGAATTCAGTGTTGCGTGCAATGTGTGTTTTGGATTCGGTACAACAAATAATTCTCTTTTATTGGTTTAAAACTCATTTTTACCCCTTCTAGCTTGTATGGCTGAAAAAATTACCTAAACTCTCTTAGCTTCAGTTTCATCATCTGTAAAAAGTAAGAGAGCATGTATTCAGCTGAGTGTACTCATAGCAATTGATTTATTCACAAATGTTTCCTAATTGTCTATCATGTGCCAGCCAGTCTTCTATGCACTGCTGATAGGGATAATGATGACCAAACAAAGTCCTTGCTCTTATAGAGTCTACAGTCTTAAGAGAGTTACATATCACCCCCACCCCCCGACCCCCACACACCTCCCACACACAGGACAAATTATAGTAATACATGGGCTATATTTAAAGAAAATTATTTAGAAAGACCCTTTGAAGTGACTTTTGGCTCAAAGACATGAATGAATAGAAGAGGGAGCCATGGGTATATCAGGGGTAGATTGTTCCTGTTGGAAGAAATGGCCAGTGCTAAAGAAATACAAAATAACATTAGCCGGGCGTGGTGGTGGGCGCCTGTAGTCCCAGCTACTCGGGAGGCTGAGGCAGGAGAATGGCGTGAATCCGAGAGGCGGGCTTGCAGTGAGCCGAGATCGTGCCACTGGACTCCAGCATGGGCGACAGAGCGAGACTCTGTCTCAAAAAAAAAAAAAAAAAAAAAAAAAAAAGAAATACAAAATAACAAAAAGGAAAATGGTGGTCAAGGAGAAATGTCTGCAAATGAGGTCAGAGAGGTTGGATCTCTAGGATACAGTCATGATTTCGATATATACTTGAAGTTTGACAGCCATCTTAGGATGGTCAAAGTCTTGAAATTTTATTGTACATAACTCAACAATTGTATATAATTACTTTTGCATAGCATTTCAACCAGAAGTACATAGGGTATTTCAAACATATTTTTTTAAAAGTTGAAAAGAACTGAGGAATTAATTAAAACTCTTTTGCTAAGAGGGACTGCCCAAATGAAAAGTAGGTCTACCTGTTTTCACATCTTAAAGGGAAATATATTTGATTAGTTTCATCAAATTGCAGCTAGCAGAATGCTTAGGGAATTTTGTTCTTGCTGTGCTCCAAGCCCCAACAGGAATGTTAGAAGGTAAAGTTTACACAAGGCAATACAGAATAACTCCAAGTTATTGTCTTAACAGTAAGCTGTTGAATAAAGCTCTGGCTTAATGTTGTTGACAGTTCCTCCTAACCCCCAGGCCACATTTTGTCTTTAAGAAAAACAAAAATAAAAAATCCTTTATTTTAGGCGAAATATAATCAACACATTCGGAAAGTTCATAAACTTTAGCTGTACAGGGCGAATAATTACAAGCTGAGCACTCATGCAACCAATGCCAAATTGAAGAAAAATGACATTACCAAACTTTCTAAAGACTCCACATTGCCTTATTCAATAACACTCTATACTTTCATCACTGGAAGTAAACACTCTGCTGACATTTAACATAATTACTTTCTTGCTTTTTATTTTATTTTTTAACCATTAATATAGAGGGATCTATATTAATAGATATAGTTAAGTTTTCCAGTTTTTGAATTGCATATAAATGGAACCATACAGTATGTCATTTTTTTGCCTGTCTCCTTTCAACCATCATTGTGTAATTTTTGCTTATTCATGATTGCATTTTAGCATATCATTGTATAAATACACAACACTTTTGTATCCTTATTTATTCTACTCTTGGTTGACATCGGGTTGTTCCCTATTTGGTATTGTTATGAATAGTGCCATCATGATGTTTTCTTCCTGCCTGTGGGTGCACAAGCTCACACATTTCTCTAGGATATACACCCAGAAGTATGTGCATCTTCAACTTTGGTAGGTGATGCCAAACTGTTTTCTAAAATGCTGTCCCAATTTAAATGCCTAGAGCTGTGTAGTAGATTTTATGCTTCCTTTCCCTCCTTCAGCTAATCAATCAATGTCACCCTTCATAGTTTACCTATCTGGTATGGGCATAATTATCTTTTATTGTACTTTGAATATGCATTTTATTAAATATTAATGTCTTTTAGAAGTTTTAAAAAATATGTTTATTAATCATTTTGACATACATTCTTGTGAAGTGCCTGCTAAAGGCTTTTACCCATTTCTATTGAGCTGTTTTTTTCTGACTACTTTTTATGAATTTTTAGTATATTTTGGATACTTAGCTTTAATGGTAATTTGCCTAACCCACTGTAACTAAGATTTTCTCCTGTTTTCCTCCAGAATTGCAGAATGTTTTATTTTTTATCTTAGTGATATATTTTGAATTAATTTTTGTATATGTGAAGTAAGAATCAAGATTCACTATTTCCCATATTAATATCCAATTGCTTGAGTACCATTTGCTGACAAGTTTCTTTTTTTTGCCCATTAAATTACCCTGACACCTTCATTGAAAACCAACTAACTATATAGATATAGATACATATCCATGTGGGTCTATTTTTGGACTTTATTCTATTCTATTGATCTCTATGTCTATTTTTATGCTAATACTACATCTGATTAGTTTGGTTCTAGAATAAATATTCATTTGTCCTGCTCCAAGTACTATATATTTCCACATACATTTTATAATTAGCTTGCGAATTCTTTAAAAGACACTGAGGGGGTTTGACTGAAATTATATTAAATCTATGGCTCAATTTGAGAAGAACTGACAGTATTGACAAAACTTAGCAGTACTGACTTTTTGATCCATGAACAAGCAATATCTGTCCATATATTTACTTTCTCTAAGCAGAGAAGTACACAGTGTTCAGTGAAAGGTCTTGCACATCTTTTCTTAAAGTTTTTTGGTATTTATTTCAAATGTTATTATAAGTGGATTTTAACATTTTATTTTTGAATTGTCTGTTGCTGCAGATATTGCTATGACCCTGCTTCAAGCCACCTGAATATCTGCATTATTTCTATAGCCTCCTTACTCTCTCCCCGCTTTCATCCTTGCTCTATATGACAAATGCTCAACACAGTAGTCAGAATTAACCTCTTAAAGATAATGTCACTTCTCTAGCCAGATACTTCCCTTCTAAATCAGAATATGAGACACAGTCTCTACAGTGATCTACAAAGCCCAACATGAACTGAAACTCACCTCTGAAATCTGCCTCATCTGTATTTATTCTTCCTTCCTTCTCTCAGAAAAGCTTAAGTAGGATAGGAAATTGCATGGTCAAATGATGAGGTGAGAGGCAGCATTTTTTTTCTCTGTAAAATTTTGTGTACCATTTTATTATTATATAACACATATGTCATAACTACAACTAAAAATACAATTAAAATGTTCAAGCTAGTCCACTGAAATAGTAGGGTACTGAATGAAATGATTTGTTTTGTCAAGTGTTTTCTTTGATATGTGTTTACCATATGTTTATCCTGTATTTCTTTATCTTTTGTTAGTATTTATGTGGTTGAGGCAGAAAAACTTGGGAAAGTTACTAAGACTAATACTTAAAATACACATGCAAGCATCTTCTTTTTTTCAAAAAGGCGGAAAGCCTGTAATTGTTTGATTTGAGACAGATTATTTTAGCTCTTCTTTTGTTTTCATCTTACTCTCTTTCATTTCTTCCTTCTTCCCTCTGACATGCCCACCCTATTTATCTGATTTTTCCTTCCTTCTTGCCTTCATAAGTTTTGAGTATATATTTTCCAGGCACTAAGCTCAAGCGATAAATGATAAGCCATTTTGCTTGCCCTCAAAAACCTTAGAATCATATGTAAAATAAAATAATTGCAATTCTGGTATGCATACTGTGTTAAAATTATGTTCTATAAGGAACAGTTGGGGTCATTTGATTCTACTTGAGAAGATAGGGGTGGAGCAAGGAAAACCTCCAGATGACTGAGCAGATTGTAGAAGCATATGCAGGTGATCATCAGGGAGAGCTGAAAGGTAAAGTATTCCAGATGCAGGGGGCAACATCAGAGAACACACACAGACACCTGCAATGTTCCAGAGACTGCTTTGTCGTTCAGTAGGTCTGGAGTAAATGGTGCAATGGTAGGTGTTATGTAAAGTTGTGTTAGAGCACACACAGTCCAGTTGTGAACCTTCTTGTGGTTATCTACCAAAATAGCTACCATTTCTGTCTTATTTACAATGATACTGCTATAAAGTTAAAAAACTTCAACAGCACAGAAAAGCTATGATCCTCTCTATCTGAGTCTATGCTCTTTCTTTTTGCCCAAAGATAATCACAGTTTATTTCCAAAGTAACCATCATTAACATGAACAGCCATCATTATAGATACCTTTCCATGCATAGTAAGTAGAAAAAGAGATAGAAAGAATAGAGAAGTGCCGTAGCTGGAATTTTTAATGCATTAATTTAATTTAACAGAAGAAAAGGAAAGCAAGATATAATTAAGAATTGTCAAACTTCAGGCAAAATTTTCTCCCGTGCTCAGATTTCTGCAACAGTCTGAATAAGCAGGTCTTAAAATGAAAAGCATTTGGAGTCATTATTTTCTTATCTCCACATTTCAATATCAGATATTAATTATAGAATTACCAATATAAATGTTGAGTAAATTTGTATCTTCCCAACCCATTTTTACTTCAACATTTTTGCTAGTTATATAGAAATTTTCACATTGTTAGGGTTTATAAATACCGATGCTCTGTTTTATGACCTCAGTTCCTACAGATGACTATGCTTATTTCATTATTTAAAATGATACATTGCTAACTACTATTTCTCTTACCATAGCTTCCCATCTATGAGATGTTTAGTAGATTATATCTCTTGGATGGTTGTATTTGACAAAGCAGTTTTATAAGAATTTACTGCAGGGGCTGCATTTATTAGCTTCTTCCATATCTATATTTTAAAGCTTCAATAGCCTTTATTTTCTTGTTGGATTGTTTGAAAATTTAAAAGATGATATAGAGTCTGTTCTCCTTCTTGTTTTTCAGATTTTCATTTCTGGAGGCCTCTGTTTGTTTGTTTGTTTTTTCCAGTCTGTGCTGACAGCTCTCCAGGTCTCCTGTACACCCCTTGTCCTCTCCCCTTCTTAAATAATTTCCTGGATTAAACCCACCATTTCTCTACCTTTCTGTTTCTTGAGCTTATGCCACTACTCATTGAAGAATATCCTTATGTAATTCCCTAATAAAGAATGTGTGGGAGAAATAAGTGTCTCAAAGCAGATGCAGGATTCAGCTACCTTCCACAATTTGTGCAGCTAAGAGAAAAAAAACACATTGAGGTTTCCCTCATCATTCTACTCTGTTTCTCTTTCTTTCCTAATCAACTCTCATACCCAATCAAGAGGACTTTTGGCTCCTTTGTCCCCTGAAGTTAAAAGATCCTCTTTAGTTGGATCTTCAAGTCCACCTCCAGATTTATAAAGAAATTCCTTTTCCAGGTAATCCTTAGCATCACTTTATCAGCAATACAGGCTGCTAGGAGTCAACGGATAAAGGCCTTAAAATTCTGAGTGAAGTTTGTTTTTATTTTTCCAAGATAGTGGATTGGAGACATTGTTAGCATGCCTCTCTCACTTGGAAAGACAAAATAGTGTGTAGAGATCCACACTGTGAACTTTTTCCCAGGAAGTAATGCAGGAACTTAACAGGAAAACTGAAAAAAAAAAAAAGACCCCACACACAAAAAAACAAAACCCCATACATCCTTTGAAAGAAGCTGCAGGCTGCAACCTACACTGTGAGCCAGGCAGAAAACAGAGTTTTTCAGAGTATGAGGGGGGATGGACTGCCTCCAGGATATACACCACCAGGTAACCTGGCAATCCAGGCCATGGGGGAAGGCCTTAACCCTCCCCAGCACTGGAAATGATTTATGGAGCAGTGAGGAATATAAAAGTAGAAGCAGCAGTGGGAAGAGCCTTGTGTGTATCTCCAGTCTCCAGAATTTACATGTGATGGTGTGAGTCTACGCATCTTGTTCTCTGCTGTGAGGAACCACATAGGCATGGTTCAAAGCAGAACTGAAGGAAATAGAGACACAAAAAACCCTTCAAAAAATTAATGAATCCAGGAGCTGGTTTTTTGAAAGGATCAACAAAATTGATAGACCGCTAGCAAGACTAATAAAGAAGAAAAGAGAGAAGAATCAAATAGACGCAATAAAAAATGATAAAGGGGATATCACCACCGATCCCACAGAAATACAAACTACCATCAGAGAATACTACAAACACCTCTATGCAAATAAACTAGAAAATCTAGAAGAAATGGATAAATTCCTCGACACATACACCCTCCCAAGACTAAACCAGGAAGAAGTTGAATCTCTGAATAGACCAATAACAGGCTCTGAAATTGTGGCAATAATCAATAGCTTACCAACCAAAAAGAGTCCAGGACCAGATGGATTCACAGCCGAATTCTACCAGAGGTACAAGGAGGAACTGGTACCATTCCTTCTGAAACTATTCCAATCAATAGAAAAGAGGGAATCCTCCCTAACTCATTTTATGAGGCCAGCATCATCCTGATACCAAAGCCGGGCAGAGACACAACCAAAAAGGAGAATTTTAGACCAATATCCTTGGTGAACATTGATGCAAAAATCCTCAATAAAATACTGGCAAACCGAATCCAGCAGCACATGAAAAGGCTTATCCACCACGATCAAGTGGGCTTAATCCCTGGGATGCAAGGCTGGTTCAATATAAGCAAATCAATAAATGTAATCCAGCATATAAACAGAACCAAAGACAAAAACCATATGATTATCTCAATAGATGCAGAAAAGACCTTTGACAAAATTCAACAACCTTCATGCTAAAAACTCTCAATAAATTAGGTATTGATGGGACATATCTCAAAATAATAAGAGCTATCTCTGACAAACCCACAGCCAATATCATAGTGAATGGGCAAAAACTGGAAGCATTCCCTTTGAAAACTGGCACAAGACAGGGATGCCCTCTCTCACCACTCCTATTCAACAGAGTGTTGGAAGTTCTGGCTAGGGCAATTAGGCAGGAGAAGGAAATAAAGGGTATTCAGTTAGGAAAAGAGGAAGTCAAATTGTCCCGGTTTGCAGATGACATGATTGTATATCTAGAAAACCCCATTGTCTCAGGCATGGTTCAATAAATAGGTTTTAGGTGACTCCTTGTGGTTTTTGTTCACTTCTCTCCTTTCTTTAATTTGGCGATTAAGAGTACATTTTTTAATTCCTTAAAAGGTCTGTAGTACACATCTTTGAGGGCAGCAAGGAGGAAAAACACCGAGGGGACTTGATTCCACTGTGGAATCTGTCCTAGCAGAGAAATGCCTCTATGGATTGGGTGGAAAAGACAGCTCTAAAAACACAAAGAATATAGGTCAAACCCAGGATTATATAGGAAAAAAAAAAGAGAGGAAAAAATTTCAGGCTTGAAGAAGAGTCTACAAATAGCACAATGTGGACAGTCTCCAACCCAGAGCCAGGTATTATTCTCTCCTGTGAACACAGAAAGACTCAAACCCAGGGAGGAGAAGTGACCTACCTGTGATCACAGGACTTGCCAATGATAGAACTATGTTCAGTTTCTCATTACTTCTAGCAAATTGGCAAATTATACTAAGGGAGTAGAGGTAGAGTTGAGTTCATGTACAACAATATAGAAATCAGCTAAAGTGGATCAGAGCAGGAAGTTTTACAATTCAGGGAAAGGTTAAGATAGAAAGGGATCCTTTCCCCCAATCAAGAAAGACAGCCTTGGACCACCAGTTAGAGAATCCCCCAATTTTCTCTCTGCCATAAGTCACTGAAACTGAGAGCTAAGGCAGGGCCTCTGTGAGTCATGAGCACTTAATCCAGCGGGAGACCTCAGAACAGGATATTTCCTTTTTTGAGATTCCCTGTCATACCAGTTATGGATAAATTTGCATTTTGGATGGGACATTACTGGACCAGCCCATTTTAGGCAGTTCCGTTTCCCCCTGGGTGGGGCAGCAGGCCCTGTGAAGAGGTTCTCAGCCTCATGACTCCTAAACTCCTGGTACTTGAGCACCGATCTGCTTTGGAGAACCTGGTGAGTCTGCTTACTTGAATTTCTCTGTTCTTTGGGCCCTCAAAAGTTGAATTTAATCTGAAGACAGAAAGTATGGTTGATCCAAACCTCTGATGACAGTTTTGACACTACTTAGTGGATGGAACCTTAGGATTAGATCATAATGACACATTGTTTTAGCTTTTTTTTGTAAGTAGCTTGGTGTTCATATGAACAGCGAAGTTAATAGGAAGGCTTTGATTTGAGGAAGAGGTAAAAGCAAAGTGTTTTTCCTTTTTTCTATATCTTTCTGGTGTCCTTTTCAAACATTTGTGTTTTAGCAGGTGTGAGAGCCTGCAATTCTTCCCAAACAGCCCTTTGCTCTTTGCCCATCAGCCCACTGGGGCTTTACAACAGATAATGATGATAGGAATAGCTTCTGAGATTGCCCAGAGTATCTGAACTTGTGACTGCCTTTCATGAAGTGGTTATTTTCATGCTTGATTCTTTATAACAGAGATATTTTCTTTAGAAAAATTGCATGAGAAAACACAGGATTTCCCAGGGTTGATAAAGCAATTTGCTAAAGTGGAAAGGAGAAACCAGAGAGTCATGAAAAGGGAATTAGGAGTTTAAATAATTTTTTGGAGACTGGAGAAATAGCCCATGGTATTACATAAACGTTGGCTTTTCTTTGTAGGAGTCCCTTCCTGTGAACCCTGTTATATAATTTCTTTCAGATTCTGAGACTCCAGCAGGATGTCTTATCAACAGTAGCAATGTAAGCAGCCCTGCCAGCCACCTCCTGTGTGCCGCCTGCCAAAGCGTCCAGAGCCATGTCCACCCCTGAAGTGCCCTGAGCCCTGCCCACCACCAAAGTGTCCACAGCCCTGCCCACCTCAGCAGTGCCAGCAGAAATATCCTCTGGTGACACCTTCCCCACCCTGCCAGCCAAAGTGTCCACCCAAGAGCAAGTAACAGCTTCGGAATTCATCAGGACCACGAAAGGATAGGGATAATTGGCTCACCTCGTTCCACAGCTCCACCTGCATCTTCTCATCAAAGCCATCCAGGGATACACAGGGAGCTTCTTTCCCCTTAGCCTGTGATCTGCCCATGATGATCCCCGACAGCAAAATGTTTCCTTTCTGAGGCTGCCATGCTGCCACTGTCCAGGTGGAGACTGAGCAAAGGAAGTCCTCAGCTGTACCGGCCTTTCAGAGCTTCTCTTTGGGTGCCATCAAAGAATTATTTTGATGTCTTCTGTCTCTGTCTGTCACCTGGCATGAGCTTCTACTATCTGTGCAATTGTCACTTTTCTTTCACTCCCTGAATAAAGTAGCTATGCCTATATTTTTGTGAATGGATATTTCATTTCTGTTTAAACCTACTTTATTAACAATATCATATGATCATTTGGATTTATTTCTATCTTTCGTTGGTCCCCAGGACCAGGCTCTCATGATTATTGTAGGAATTTTGGGTCATACTAAAGATTATTTCTGTGTGATTTTAAACCCGTTTTATTTTCCTTAGTTAGTGTTTTGATTGATTCAAGGAACATATTATTCAACTTCCCCAAATGTCAGTCTCTTTACTGCAAAGTGAGCAAAATAACATTTACATAACAAAGCTAGTCTAAGGCATAAAATTGAATTACTATCTGAAATTTGGTTGGCAGAATGCTTGACACATAATTAGCAGTCATTTAATTGAGGTTTATTAGCAGGAATATATCATCCTTGTCTTCATCATCATCATCATTATCATCATCACCAGCATCACTACACCACTACAACCACCACCATAGTTGCTCCAGCAAGAGAGTAGCTTGGATATAACTAATACAGGAAATAAGAAGAGTCTCTATTGCTATTTTTTAAGAATTCATAATACTTGTATACAATTACGGGGTACATATGATATCTTGTTACATGAATAGAATGTGTAATGATCAAGTCAGGATATCAGGAAATTTAGACTATCCATCGCCTGGGGTATTTATCATTTTTCTTTGTTAGGAACATTTTAATTTTTCTCTCCTAGCTATTGTGAAATATAGAATACATTGTTGTAAACTAGTCACCCTACTCTACTGTTGAATATTAAAACTTATTCCTTGTATCTTTTTGTTTGTACCCATTAACCAACATCCCCCCCATCCCCCACAAATACCTTTCCCTGCCTCAGGTATCTTATCATTCTATTCTCCATGATATCTATCTCCATGATATTGACTTTTCTAGCTTTATATGAGTGAGAACATGAGATGTTTGCCTTCCTGTGCTTGACTTATTTCACTTAAGATAATGACCTCCAGTTTCATCTATGTTGTTGCAAACGACATGATTTCATTCTTTTTTGCAACCAAGTAGTATTTCATTGTATATATATACTATATTTTCTTTTTCCATTCATTCGTTGATGGACACTTAGGTTGATGGGCACTTAGGTTGATTACACATCTTTGCTATTGTGAATAGTGCTGAAATAACCATGGAAGTTCAGGCATCCCTTTGATATACTGATTTATTTTCCTTTGTATACACACACAGTAGTTAGATTGCTGAATTGAATGGTAGTTCTATTTTTAGTATTTTTTGTGAAATTGCTATTATTACCTGTGCTTTTGAAGTCTTACCCGAAAACCCCTTGCATACTCTTACATCATAGAGTATGTTTCCTGTGTGTTCTTCTAGTAGTTCTATAGTTTCAGGTCTTACATTTAAGTCTTTAATCCATATTGAGTTGGCTCTTGTATATGATGAGAGATATAAGCCCATGTTTCATTCTTCTGCGTATGAATTCCATTTTTTTCTGAACAATTTATTGATAAATTTGTCCTTTCCCCAATGTATATTCTTGGCATCTTTGTCAAATTCAGTTGGTTGTAAATATGGAGGTTTATTTTTGGGTTCTTTATTGTTTTCCTTTGGTTTATGTATCTGCTTTTATATAATAGCATGTTATTTTGTTGACCATAGCCTTGTAACATATTTTGAAGTCAGGTAGTGTGATGCCTCCAGCTTTGCTCTTTTTGCTCAGGATTGCTCTGGCTATTCAGGGTGTTTTTTGGTTCCAAATGAATTTTAGAATTTTTTTTTTCTATTTCTGTGAAGAATGACACTGGTATTTTGATATGGATTCATTTAATCTGTAGATTGCTTTGGGCAGTATGGTCATTTTAACAATAGTAGTTCTTCTGCTTCATGAGTATGGAATATCTTTCAATTTGTTTTAGTGTTCTTTAATTTTTTTCATCAGTGTTTTGTAGTTTTCCTTCTAAAACTTTTCATCTCCTTAGTTAAATTTATTCTTGGGTATTCTTCTTTTTTGTAGGTGTTGTAAATGGGATTGCCTTTATAATTTCTTCCTTAGCTAATGCATTATTGGTGTATAGAAATGCTATTGATGTTTATTTTGATGTTGTATCTTGTAACTACTGAATTTATTTATAAAATCTAAGAGTTTTTTGGTGGTGTCTTTCTGCTTTTCTAGATACAAGATCATGTCATCTGCAAAGAGTAAAAATCTGACCTCTTCTTTTCCAATTTGGATGGTTTTCTCTTGTCTGAATGTCCTGACTAGAACTTCTAGTACCTTATTGAACAGGAGTGATGAACGTGGGCATCCTTGTCTTGTTTCAGTTCTTAGAGGAAAGGTTTTCAGGTTTTCCTCATTTAGAATGATGTTGACTGTGTGTTTCCCATACATGGACTTTATCACATTGAAGTATGTTTCTTCTGTGCTTAGTTTGTTGAGTGTTTGTATCATGAAGAGATGTTGAATTTTATCAAATGCTTTTTCTTCATCTATCAAAATAATTGTATGTTTTTTCCTTTATGGTATTGATGTGGTGATTTATGTTTATAGGTTTCTGTGTATTAAACCATCCTTGTGTCCCTGGGATAAATCCCCCTTAATCATGGTATATAATCTTTGGATGTTTTGTTGATTTCAGTTTGATAGTAATTTTCTGAAGATTTTTGTATGTATGTTCATCAGGGAAATTGGTCTATAGTTTTCTTTTTGTGTGTGTGTGTCCTTGTCTGATGTTGGTGTCAGAGTAATGCTTACCTCATTGAATGATTTAGGAAGAATTCCCTTCTCTTCAATTTTTTTGAATACTTTGAGGAAGAATTTATGTTAGTTTTTCTTTGAAAGTTCGGCAGAATTGAGCAATGAAGGCATCTGTTCCTGGACTTTTCTTTGTTGGGAGACTTTTCATTACTGGCCAATCTCATTACACCGTACAAGTGTTCTATTTCTTCCTGATTCAATTGTGGTAGGTTGTATGTATTCAGGAATTTATCTATTTCCTCTACATTTTCCAGTTTTTTAGTATATCATTGTTTATTATAGTAAGATCTTTTGTATTTCTGTGGTTTCAATTGTGATTTTTTTCTTTTTTCTTTGTTTTTGTTCATTTGTGTCTTTTCTTCCCCCCGCCTTGGTTATTTTAGCTAGCAGTTTTATTTATCTCCTAACAAACCAACTTTTTGTTCATTATTTCACTTTTTGTTCATTATTTCTTTGTGTGTGTGGTTTTTTTTTTGTTGTTGTTGTTGTTTTTTTTTTTTTAGTATCTAATTTGTTTAGTTTTGCTCTGGTCTTCATTATTTCTTTTCTTCTCCAATTTTGGGTTTGGTTTGCTCTTGCTTTCCTAGTTTCTTGGGTGACATTGTTTATTTAAAATCTTTCTGCTTTTTTGATGTAAGCATTTAATGCTGTAAAATTCTCACTTAGCACTGTTTTTATGTAATCCATAGCTTCAATAGTCATTTGTTTTAAGAAATTTTTTTATTTCCTTCTTTTATTTTTTTTCATGACCTAACGGTCATTCATGAGCATGTTGTTCTATTTCCATGTATTTGTACGGTTTCCAAAATTCCTCATTATTGATTTATAGTTTTATCCCATTGTGATCAGTTTCTGGTTTTATTCCAAGAAGATACTTGATATGATTTCAATATTTAAAACTTTTTTTAGACTTGTTTGGCATCCTAACGTATGTTCTGTCCTGGAGAAGTTTTCATGTGCTGATGAGAAGAATGTACATTCTGTGGTTGTTGGATGAAATATTCTGCAAATATCTGTTAGGTCCATTTTGTTAAATGTGCAGTTTAAAGTTTCTTTCTTAATTTTCTGTCTAGATGATCTCTCTAATACTGAGAGTGGATCATTCAAGTTTCTAATTATTATTATATTGGATTCTCTCTCTCCCTTAGATCTAATAATAATTGTCTTGAATATCTAGGTGCTGTAGTATTGGGTGTGCCTGGATTTATAATTGTTATATCTTTTTCTATGCTTTTATAATTTCAGTCTATATGTGTCTTTACAGATTAGATAAGTTTCTTTTTGGATGCATATAGTTGTGTCATGCTTTTTATCCATTCAGCCAGTCTATGTATTTTAAGTGGAAAGTTTAATCCATTTACATTCAAGGTCATTATTGAGATGTGAGGGCTTATTAGTGTCATTTTATTAATTAGTTTTTGGTTATTTTGTGTATCTTTGGTCCTATCTTTGTCTCTTATTGTTTATCATTGTAATTTGGTGATTTTCTATAGTGGTAACATTTCAGTTCTTTCTCTTCTGTGTTTGCTCTACCAGTGGGTTTTATACTCCCGTGTGTTGTCATCGTCATGGATACCATTTTTTTTTCTTCCAGGCATGACTCCCTTTAATATTTCTTGTAGGACTGGGCTAGTGATGATGAAGTCCCTCAGTTTTTGATTGTCTGAGAAAGACTTTATTTCTCCTTCATTTATAAAGGATAACTTTAGGGGGTATAGTATCCTTGTTTCTTTTCCCCAGCACTTTGAATATATCATCCTCTGTCTTCTTGCCTGTAAGGTTTCTGCTGAGCAATCCACTGTTACTTTCATGGGGATTGCCTTATAAGTGACTAGATCCTTTTCTCTTGCTGTTTTTAGAATTCTCTCTTTATCTTTGTCCTTTGATAATTTAATGATAATTCATTGTGAAGAAGATCTTTTGAAATTGTATCTATTTATTTCTGAGTTTCCTGTAACTGGATGTCTGCATCTTTTGCTACATTCCAGACATTTTCGGTTATTGTTCTGTTAAATAGGTTTTCTACCACTTTTGTTTCCTCTTCACCTTCTGAGACATTGAAAACCTGAATATTTGGTTGCTTTATGTTTCCTATATGCCACATAGGTTTTGTTCTCTTTTTAAAAAAAATTCTTAAAAAAATGTTTATCTGACTGGGTTATTTCAAAAGACCTACATTAAATTCCTGAAATTCTTTATTCTACTTGGCCTAGTCTATTGTCAAAACTTTCAACAATATTTACTTTCTTTCATTCAATGAATTCTTTAGTTGTAGAATTTCTTTTTTGTTCTATATTATTATACCAATTTCTTTGGTAAATTTCACATTTATATTCTGAATTTCTTTTTTGATTTCTTTGTGTTGTTTATCTGTGTTCTCTCGTATCTCACTGAACTTTTATTATTATTTTAGATACCGTGTCTCACTATGTTGCCCAAGGTAGACTTGACCTCTTGGGCTCAAGTAATCCCTGCTTCTCAACCTCTGGCATAGCTGGGACTACAGGAATGTGCAACCACACTGGCTTCACTGAGCTTCTTTAATATCATTATTTTGTTTTATTTTATAATATTTCATAATTTTTCCCCAATGGAATCTGCTGCTGGAGAATTATCATTTTTTTGGAGGTATAATATATCATTGCTATTTCTTATTTCTTATGTCCTTACATTGATATCTGTTCATCTGATCTAACAGTTGCTTCTCCTAAATTTTTGAATTTGCTTTGGTAGGAAACAACTTTTTTTCTGAAGATGTATGATATTGGTTGGGTAGAGATTTTGGCTTTGATTCTGGGTACATACAGAAATGTTGTCTCCTTGTGATTCTTAAGCTGTGAACAGTGTCATTGGTGTCTGTGATTTCCTCAGTGGCTAAGGGTGTTAGTGTAATCTGTGGAGAAGTTTTGCAGGTAAAGGGATGCCAGGTGAGCCAGTTCTTGGTTTCTAGTGGTGGCAGTGGGGGGCTGAGCATACCTGTCCTTGGGCCCCAGGGTAGCATATGATGGCACCCATGGTAGTAGGTACAGGGGGGCCAATTTTTGGGTCTCCAGGCAACTTTCTCCGGTGCTAATAGTGGCAGCAGTAGGCCAGGAGGTTGGGCAGATCGTTGGGGCTCTAGGTAACCAGTGTGGCATGGGCAATGCCAGTAGCAGTGGCAGAACCACCCTCTGGTTCCCAACTGGTCTACTCTTGGTGGTGGCTGTGATGGCCCTGGTGGCCCAGTTCCAATGCCTGTAGTTGGTGTGTGCAGGTATGTGTCAGCTGTGGTGGTAATGGCAGGTTTGGCTGCCCCATTCTCAGGCCCCTGGGAGGAGTATTCAGGAGGCAACAGTGGTACATAGGGCTGGGTGACCTCCAGGTTCCTGGAAGGCATGCTTAGCCACACGGGGGACAGGGTGGAGCTAGGTGAGAAGGACATGTCCTCAGGCTCCCTGGTAGTCCATGTACATGCTAGCTGTGGTGCACAGGGGCGAGGTGATTCTCAGGTCCCTGGTGGAATGTGCTATAGCCCTGCTACTGGGGAGGGCTGGGCTGCTTTCTGTGGCAACAACTGTAGGTAGCTGGCTCAAAAGTGTGCACTTTTGCCCCAGATGGTAGTTGTGGGTGAGAGATTCTTTCCTCAAGACACTTTTGAATGCATGGCAATTCCAGTACTGGAGGCAGTGGAGTCACGGCCAGTGGCCCATGCTTCAGTGGAGGCAGCCAGCAGTGGTGGTCACTGCAGGCAGGGGAGTCTGACTTTGGGGCATGTAAAAATGCATGGCAGTGCTGCTGCTGGGGCAGTGTGTCATTGCCAATGGCTTGTGTTTCAGCTATGGTGGCTGCAGGCAACTGCAGTCATGGCTCTAGATGAAGCATGTCAATGGGACTCCAGGGAGGTGGAGATGCAGGGGTGGTTGGGCCTGAGGGTAGGAGGTAGTCTAGGGGGGACTAGACTCTCACTATGGTGCCTTGCTTAGCTGCTTATGACTTGGGGGTGTGTGGGATACAGTGTGAGATTCATCTCTGGAGTGGTGCTGTTTCATGGTCTCCAGGCAGCTCCCTACGTTAGTCTCAGGGCCTGAGGGCATTGAGAGGTTCTCCCATGGCTAGGATTGCAGGAGTCTGCAGAAGGGATGTGAATCCCTGGGGATCTCTCCATTACCCTTTTTTTGGGTTGAGAATTCTCTTCAGGCTCCCAGCCATCCTGACTGAGCAGGTTACCGCACTTCTCTCTCTTTCCTGCTTTAAAGGTTTCTTGTCACTTCTCTATTTGAATTCCAATGTTCTGTCTTAGATGATCTATTTGAAGTGTGATTATATACTAGCTATTTTGGTTCTTCTTCATGGGAGAGGTGAGTACCAGCTGCCACTAGTCAGCCAAATCGCTTGAAGCCCTCCAAATCTCTGAATTTTTAAAAGGTATTAGATGGTTATATTAACAAAATTATTCACTATTCTCAAATTTTTTTTTCAGTGTGATGCTGGAATCTCTCCACTGGACTCCTGGATTCTCAAAGAAATATTTATGTCTATGGAAGGCGATCAAAATTGGTGTTTCTGTGGAGTTATGAAGGCCAGAATAATCTAATCCACCACGTAAATGATGTCACTCCGTTTGTCTTGGGTTTTAATTGTAAAGTTGTTATACAAATTAAAGATATTTTGAAAAACAGTCTAAAATAAATAAAAGTCTAGACCTTGAAAAGTCAGAAAAAAAATTATTCAGACGTGCCCACAGAGAAAAACAGCAATAGTTTTTCTCATATTCAGTTCTGCTTCCCAGTAGGAAATACTCCTAATTTTTTCGTTTTTGTTTTACATTTAGTTATTTTGATTATTAGTTCCATACAGCTAAATAACATATCTATTTCTGGTTTTGATTTATTAATTTTAGAATATCTTTAATTCTTGCTATCACAAGTATCAGATATCTATCACCATATTAATACCGCATTACAAATAACCAACAAATCACAGCAGCATTTATCAATAAGCATTTATTTTTGCTCACAGGTCTTAGTGTTAGCTGGAAGGTCTGCTGTACCAGTCTGGCCTCAGTAGCTGATCTCAGCCCAACCCCCTCATGCACTTGTGATCAGCTGGTCCTGGATGGCCTCCAGGTGTTAAAGCTCTTCTCCATGTGGCTTCTCCTAATTCCACACTTTAGTCTCCACATGTTTCCATGGTGGTGAGATTTGGAGAGAGGGCAGAAGTTTGCAAGGGCTTGGGCTTCTACTGGCACACATCATATCCACCACCTTCTCTTGGCCACAGAAAGTCACAGGCCAGCTCTGATTCAAGGGGTTGGGAAAGTGCTCTCTGTCTCCTCTGCCGTGAGAATAGCATGTATCAGATAGACCCAGCTCCTTTGATTAGATTCTGAATAGAGACAATCTGTAAAAGAATTGCAATGAATTCACAAAAGACATACGTGAATGAGAAATCAGTCTTTGTTACTGTAAGCCACTGAGAAGTTTTTTCTTTTTGGTATTTCAGTATTGTTCAGCTATAGTAGTCTAGCTTAAAATACAAATATTGTATTCTATTATCATGCTTAGTCTATAGGTTCATTGTAAAGTTGAGGATCAATACAGTTTTTTAATTATTATGGCTTCTAAATATTATTCACTGACAGGCCAGTTAGTGACTATATTTCCTTTTCTCTATCACTTTCTTTCTCCTTTTCTCTTGCCTTATTTTATATTTCTTCCTTAAATTGCTCTGAATTGTTAAAAATGTATTTAAAATGATATTAAATATTTTGATTGACTCATTTTTCCTGGACTCTTCCCTACTGAAGGACAGCTTCCCCCTAGATAAATCCAGACTGGTTGCTCCTTGACCTCCTGCATAACTGTCAACCTGGAATATTTGTTTTTTCTTTAATATGGGTTGAAGCCACTTTTTGTTGGTTCTTGTATTTTCTTCCTTCTTGGTTTATCTCCTGATTTTCCTGTATTACTTAAGAAAGGACAGCTGAAACATGTTTTTGAGTCCTTTCATATCGGAGAGTGGCTCTATTCTACTGTAACATTTGAATTTTGGATTGAAATCCTTTTTGTGTCTAATCTTTGAAGATTTCTGTTCCATTATACTTAGGTATTGAACACTGCCAGTTTTTATTTTTAAAGAAGCTTCCTCAGAAGATTTGGAATTGTTTCTTTACATGTTGCTTCAAAATTTCACATTTAATGAGTCATTTTTAAAACATGCACTGGCAGTCAATTGGGCTTCTCATCTGGAATCCTTGTGTCTTTTAGATCCAGGTAATTACCTAGGATTTTTTAAAATTGATTTCATAGCATCTATTTTTTTCTTTCTCTATTTCTGAAATTTCTATTGACTGGAAGTTAGATCTTCTGCATTGGGTCTCTATTATCTTGATGTTTTCTCTTATGTTTTTCTTTTCTTTCTTTTGCTGCACCTTTTGGAAGTTTCTTTGAACTTCACTACGTGATTCCTGTTTGGGGGGCTTGGCCACAGAACCTGGAATGATGACACAGTCTGTGCTACCATGGCCAGAAGTTTGCTTCTAGGTGGCTGTCCACACGGATTATAGTCTCCTAGATGAGACCACAACTGGCTTGATTATTTCAGCAATCAAATTATTTCAGCTATTCACTCAAAATTTGAGTGAATAGCTGCCACTCAAATTTTAGACTACAAAACTAAATTTTAAAAAATATCCTAAAAAAACAAAAGGAGTATGCTTTAGGTATCATATAAAACTGTTGCTTTTGTTCTCTGAAGCCACTTGGATTATATAGCAGTAAATGGCATGGCATTTGAGGACCAGGTAGTAATAAAATTATTAATAGATAACTATTTTCAAGCTGTTGAGTGTGGTGACTTTGTCTCTCAGTAACCATGGTCAATAATTTCATATAAAATCTCCTCTAAGGCAACACTATGAGCCCTGGAGAATCCTGGGACCTGCTGTCCTGATGGAGGAGGTAGCCCTACCTGAAGCTGTGCCTGGAGCTCAGCTGGAATCCAAGAGTCACATTCCCAGCAATACCTCCTCCAAGTCCCTTTATCCTCCTATTCTTCCTTCTCCTCTTAGAAAACTGCATTCCAGGGGTGAGCCCTGATAATCTGGGTGGGCCAAGATGCTCTAGCAGGATCAATTGGATTTTTTTTTTTTTAACAACTGAAGGCACCACTGAATAAGAGGAGAGTTGGTCAGAATTAGGGAAAATAGATTATATAAATGCTTAATTAATTTGTATTAATTGGGTCTTGTATTAGTCCGTTCTCATGCTTCCATGAAGAAAGAGCTGAGACTGGATAATTTATAAAGGAAAGAGAAATTATAAAAGACTTAACCGACTCACAGTTCTGCAGGACTGGGGAGGCCTTAGAAAACTTACAATCGTGGTGGAAGGAAAAAGCAAACATGTCCTTCTTCATATGGTGGCAGGAAGGAGAAGAATGAGAGGCAAGTTAAAGGGGAAGCCCCTTATATTCAGCGTTCACAAAGCTCATTTAAGACAAAACCCACATTCCTTTACAGAATTTAGATCTACAGAGTTCAAGTCTTGGTTCAGCTCTCTAAACTCTCTGTTAGTCATTAGTTTGTTTTGCTCACGACTAAAACACTACTTTGTATTTTGAAAATTTCTCACTTTATTACTGTGTGTGGAGAAATAGGCTTTCTCTTCTTGGGAATGCAATTTTAAAACAGACTAGAAATCATAAGAGTTATGATGACAGACAGATACCGAAAACACCGGGGTATTTTAATGAAAATGGCATCTTAAGTTATTTATCAAACGTGTGGAAAGTAGCTAAAGTTACTTCTAGAAAAATTGAATACCATTAAATACTTATGTCAGAAAAGTAAAAGGTACAATATTAAGTAAAGTTCTCATCTTATAATTTTAGAGAAGGCAAAGGAAAGTAAATGCTAAGGTAAAAAATAATAAAGATGAAAATAGAAAGGAAAGAAGTACAAAGCACACTTTGGAGAAAATAAATAAATCAAAGTGTCATATATCTGATTAGATTGAAGGTCACCATCAGGAATGAAAAAGGAACATATAAAGGGAGCAGAAATTATAAAGATAACAGGAAGATATTAAGAACAATTTTATGATAATAGATTAGAAAATTTATATAAAATAGACAATTTAATTAAACAGCTAACTTAAAAAAATGAACTCAGAAAGAAACAAAATACTGAACTACCCAGTAACTAAATATAATTGAAGTAGTACTAAAACATACTTTTGTATGGAAAATTCTGGACCAGAAGGTTTTACCATTGATCTACCACATATATTAAAAGAAGAAATAATTTCAAACTTTCAATTAATTATAAATTGTTATGTAAAAGTAAAAAAAGCATATTCAACAATTCCTGATATGGGGCTAACAAAACTGCGATTCCATGCCTGACCAGGATGTTTTTCAGAACATAAAAGATGAAAGAAAAAAAATCAGATGATCCTTTCATGCAGTAGAATAAAATGATTGGCTAGGTGCAGTGACTCATGCCTGTAATCTCAGCGCTTTGGGAGGCTGAGGCGGGCAGATAACTTGAGGCCAGGAGTTCTAGACCAGCCTGGCCAACATGGTGAAACCCTGTCTCTACTAAAAATGCAAAAAATACAAAAATCAGCTGGGCCTGGTGGCAGGTGCCTGTAGTCCCAGCTACTCAGGAGGCTGAGGTAGGAGAATTGTTTGAACCCAGGAGGCGGAGGTTGCAGTGAGCTGAGATTGCACCACAACAGCGTGAGACTCTGTCTCAAAAAAAAAAAAAGAATGAAATGATTGATAAAAATCAACCTCTATTCATGGTTTAGCCAAAAAAAAAAAAAAAAAAAAAGAAAAAAGAAAAAAGTGCTTAGTAAACTAGCACTGGAAAAGATTTTATTTAATCTAAACAAGAGACACCTACAAAAAGCCTATCACAAATATTATTCTTATTGGTCATCTAGTGAAAGCTTTATCCACATGGGTGTTCTCCCTGTGTCTACTCAAAATTGTGCTGAAGGTGCTCAACAATGCAGTTAAGGTAAGAGAAAAGAAATGCAAAGAATAGGGATT
Organism: Homo sapiens; assembly: GCF_000001405.40. Taxonomy (NCBI): domain Eukaryota; kingdom Metazoa; phylum Chordata; class Mammalia; order Primates; family Hominidae; genus Homo; species Homo sapiens. The sequence continues at coordinate 153,128,355 of NC_000001.11, read as the reverse complement.
AGAAAGGTAAACAATAATAGCAACCAAAAACAACAAAATAAAAATAATTATTACTATTTGTAAAAGATAATCTGTAGATTAAAATGTAAAAGAATTACAAATAAACTATTATAATTAATATGAGGGTTTAAAAAAGTGCTGGATTCAAAATCAGGAACCAAAACAACTCTGTTCCTGCATGTTAGAGCAAACACTTAGAAAATAAAATTGTATAATATGAATCAATGTGTAAAAATATGTGAAGGACATAGAAATAAATCTAACAAAATTTGTGCAACATTTTCTTGTGTAGAAATAGAGTGACAACCATGTGTGTGAATTCATGACTCAAAATTGTGGAAGCATCAACTTTCTCCCACGTTGATGTCTGGATTTAAACCAAATCCTAATTAAAAACCCAACTAAATAAACTGATTTAAAAATATGTGTGAAAATGGGAAAAGGTCAAGATTGAGTCAAAATGTTTCCTTATAGTTAATATATTTTATTCTGTGCTTGATTTCTAGCTGACACAGGTCTACCCTTAGATCAGCTTCCCCTGGATGGTCAGGTGATTTGCCCATTCCAAAAGCATTTTCATACTATTCTAAATCAACTCCATTAAGTGTCTCGTTAAGTGTTGGAAACTATAAGAAAATAAAAAAGCTGAGAAATACAAGTTATAATAGGTGCCTGAGGGGAAATTAGTTGGAACCTATTGTTTTGGAATAGTTGCAACCGCAGTGTTAGGTGTTGGGAGAAAGCCCATGACAAAAGAAGGATTGATCAGGAGTTATTAGCTGAAAGCAGGAAGATCACATTCTCCAGAACGGAAGCAGAGAGCAGAGGTCCCTAGCAGCCATCTCAGGAAATACTTGTTATAACCTGTGCTGTTGTGGTCTGTCTCTCTCACTAGCCTGCAAGTATGTGAAAAGGCAGGGATATAGTCATGATCTTTGTTGTAGAGCACATGTGGCTTATCAATTTGTCAATGAAGGAATGCTTGGGATTTTGGTTTACATTTTATTTTTCTATACAAGAATGAAAAATAGTTAAATCTTGAAAAAAAAAGAACTCTAGTCTTCATTCTGAGGGCAGCAAAGTAGAAGAGTGCTGAAAAGCCAGAATCCCATTCTGTAATGAATCCTAATGAGAGATGCTCTCAAGGTTTAGGCAAGAAATGAGCATTTAAAGAAAAGGGATCATAGACTATAGAGAAGGCTCTGTGAGAGGAAGAAAATGTGTAGAGTCATTGAGACTGGAGCAGGGTCAGTGAAAACTCCTGTGTCATCCTCACCTACACCTCATCTCCATTGCTCAGAAAAAGATCCTGGGCAAGACTGGCCAAGGAGACCCTGCTTCTCAATGATTGACCTGGGGCCAGAACTAAGGTCTCTTGAGGACCTGCCTGATATTTTCTCTGTTCTATCTGCTGCTCTATTTTATGGAGAAAATAAAAATTACACAGATGACACTTAATCCCTTCAAATTGTGTGCTAACTGGGAACAATGTTAACAAATATGAACATCAATAACATTTTGAAGCAATGATAATTCATAGTGAACTTCTTAAATGAAAGGTAGTTAATAATAATGCAAAGTTAATCACAACCTAATGAAGAACATCTCACCATTATTAATAACCAAAATATATTTAACCAAAATAACCAAAATATATTCAAAAAATAGTTAATAAAAGTACATAAATATAATTGCTCATTGGCATACTAAATGATGAGGTTAATGGATAGAACTTTTTGAAGATAGCATGAGAAAAGATGGGAAGTAATAAGCCAAACTCTATTTGCCCTTTAATGTTTGGAGCAATCAAGATAAGTCAGCTTGTGGAAGACCTGTAAGACTTAATACTGTACCATACTTCAGCAGATACGAACAGAAAACCTCCATCTTACCAGCCAAAGACCAAGCCCCTTGCAGACCTAATTAGATGGAGAATTTCTTGAGATTCTGGAAGATTCTTGGTGGTATAAGACAGTGCAGTTTTTATCAAAGCTCCAAGGGTCCTGGTTATGACTGTAAGGCAGGGTGCTCTTATGTTTACTAATGTGAAGAAGGCTAAGGGAAGGCATTTCATCCCCAGCTAAAACCATTTGTGACCTTTAAAGAAGCCAAATCTATGTAGGTTACAAATGGGAGCAGTTTTATCAGCAGCCTGTCTACCTGACTGCTGATAAAACTGCTCCCATTTGTAACCTACATAGATTTGGTCTAAAATCTGCCATTCTGTATCTTTTAAGTGGAGCATTTAGGCCATTTACATTCTATGTTAGTATCGAGATGTGAGATACTATTCTATTCATCATGCTATTTGTTGCCTGAATACCTTTTTTTTCTTCATTGTGTTGTTTTATATGTCCTGTGAGATTTGTGCTTTAAGGAGATTAGATTCTATTTTGGTATATTTTGAGGATTTGTTTCAAGATTGAGAGCTCCTTTTAGCAGTTCTTGTAGTGCTGGCTTGGTAGTGGTGAATTTTCTCAGCATTTGTCTGCAAAAGACTTCACTTATGAAGATTAGTTTTGCTGGATACAAAATTCTTGGCTGATAATTATTTTGTTTAAGGAGGCTAAAGATAGAACCCCAATCCCTTCTAGCTTGTAGTGTTTCTACTGAGAAATCTGCTGTTAACCTGATAGGTTTTCCTTTGTAGGTTACCCGATGCTCTTGCCTCACAGCTCTTAAGATTCTTTCTTGTTTTGACTTTAGATAACCTGATGGCTATGTGTCTAGGTGATGATCTTTTGGCAATCAACTTCTCAGGTGTTCTTTGAGCTTCTTGTATTTGCATGTCTAGATCTCTAGTAAGGCCAGGGGGGTTTTCCTGGATTATTCCCTCAAATATGTTTTCCAAATTTTTAGATTCCTCTTTTTCCTTGGGAGCACAAATTATTCTTAGGTTTGGTAATTTAACATAATCCCAAACTTCTTGAAGGCTGTGCTCATTTTTTAAAATTCTTTTTTCTTTCTGTTTGTTGGATTGGGTTAATTCAAAAGCCCTGTCTTTGAGCTCTGAAGTTCTTGCTTCTACTTGTTCAATTCTATTGCTGGGAATTTCCATTGTATTTTACATTTCTCTTAATGTGTCCTTCATTTCCAGAAGTTGTGATTGTTTTTTAATTATGCTATATGTTTCTCTGGAGATTTTTTAATCCATATCCTGTAACGCTTTACAAATTTCTTTAAGTTGGTATTCACCTGTCTCTGGTGCCTCCTTGAGTAGCTTAATAATCAAGCTTCTGAATTCTTTTTCTGGCAATTCAGAGATTTTTTTCTTGGTTTGTATCCATTGTTGGTGAGCTAGTGTGATCTTTTGGGGGTGTTAAAGAACCTTGTTTTGATATGTTACCAGAATTGTTTTGATTACTTCTCACTTGGGTAGATCATGTCAGAGGGAAGATCTGGAGCTCAAGGGCTGCTGTTCAGATTCTTTTGTCCCATGGGGTGCTGCCTTGATTTGGTGCTCTCCTACTTCCACTAGAGATGTGGCTTCCTGAGAGCCAAACTGCAGTGATTGTTATCTCTCTTCTAGATCTAGCCACCCAGCAGACCTACTGGGCTCCAGCCTGGTACTGGGGAGTGTCTGCAGGGTCCCGTAATGTGATCCACCTTCAGGTCTCTCAGCCATGGATACCAGCACTTGCTCTAGTGGAGGTAGCAGAGGAGTGAAGTAGACTCTGTGAGGGTCCTTACTTGTAGTTTTGTTTAGCATGCTGGTTTTGTGTTTTGTTGGCCTCCAAACAGGAGGTGGCACTTTCCAGACAGCATCAGCTGCAGTAGTATAGGGGAGATACAAGCTTGCCCCAGGGTTGCCTGGATTGTTACAGGAAGTCAGGGACCCCGAATGGAGGGACCGACTGAAGCCATGGCAGAATAACATAAATTGTGAAGATTTCATGGACATTTATTAGTTCCCCAAATTAATACTTTTATAATTTCTTACACCTGTCTTTACTGCAATCTCTGAACATAAATTGTGAAGATTTTGTGGACACTTATCACTTCCCCAATCAATACCCTTATGATTTCCTATGCCTGTCTTTAGTTTAATCTCTTAATCCTGTCATCTTTGTAAACTGAGGAGGATGTATGTTGCCTCAGGACCCTGTGATGATTGCGTTAACTGCACAAATGTTTTGTAGAGCATGTGTGTTTGAACAATATGAAATCTGGGCACCTTGAAAAAAGAACAGGATAACAGCAATGTTCAGGGAACAAGGGAGATAACCTTAAACTCTGGCTGCCTGTGAGCCAGGCGGAACAGAGCCATATTTCTCTCCTTTCAAACGCAAATAGGAGAAACATCGCTGAATTCTTTTTCTCAGCAAGGAACATCCCTGAGAAAGAGAATGCGTCCCTAAGGGGAGGCCTCTGTAATGGACGCTTTGGGATGGCTGTCTTTTATGGTTGTCGTTAAGGGGTGAAATAAGCCCCGGTCTCCCATAGCGCTCCCAGGCTTATCAGGACAAGGAAATTCCTGCCTAATAAATTTTGGTCAGACTGGTTGTCTGCTCTCAAACCCTGTCTCCTGATAAGATGTTATCAATGACAATGCATGCCCAAAACTTCATTAGCAATTTTAATTTTGCCCTGGTCCTGGGGGTCCTGTGATCTCACCCTACCTCCATTTGCCTTGTGATATTTTATTACCTTGTGAAGCATGTGATCTCTGTGACCCACACCCTATTCGTATACTCCCTCCCCTTTTGAAAATCCCTAATAAAAACTGGCTGGTTTTACAGCTCAGGGGGCATCACGGAACCTGCTGACATGTGATGTCTCCCCCAGATACCCAGCTTTAAAATTTCCCTCTTTTGTACTCTGTCCCTTTATTTCTCAGACAAGCTGACACTTAGGGAAAATAGAAAAGAACCTATGTGAAATATCTGGGGTGAATTTCCCCCGATACCAGATAAGTATTTCGTTTTCTCAGGCAGTGGGCAGGGCCAGAGAACTTCCAAGAGATTATGTCCTTTGTCTTCGGCTACCAGTGTGGGTAGGGAAAGACCATCAGGTTAGGGTAGGATTAGTCATGTCTTAGCTCACACTCTTCTTGGGTGAGGCTTGCTGCAGCTGCTGTGTGGGGATGAGGTGTGGTTCTCAGGCCAATGGAGTTATGTTCCCAGGGGTATTATGGCTGCCTCTGCTGTGTTGTACAGGTCACCAGGGAAGTGGGGGAAAGCCAGCAGTTACAGGCCTCATTCAGCTCCCATGCAGCCTGAAAAACTGGTCTCACTCACTCCCACTGTGCCTCCCTAATAGCACTGGGTTTACTTCCAGGCAGCAGGTGAGCAGGGCTGAGAATTTGCCTCTGGCTACAAGCCTTCCTGCTGAGAAAGTAAGCAGGGCTCTCAGGTTTCACACCTCCCTGTCTGCTGCAGCTGCTGTGCTCACATTCACCCCCTCCCCCGGGTTCCGTCCAGGAAACTTCATGTTCAGTTGAAATTGTTACAAAGTTCAGCTGGAAGTTTCCTTCTGTCTGTGGTCTTTCCCCACTTCCACTGGCAGCCCTCCTCAAGGACTCCTGTGAGACAAAGTCAGAAATGTCTTCCTTGGGGACTGAGAGTGTCCACAGGGCTCTTTCTGCTGCTTCCTCTCCCCTGTATTTCACTTGACTGTTTCTTTATTTGTAAAAAATTTCCCATGCCTTTTACATAATTTTTATTAGGATTTTTTTTCTTATTTATGTGTAGGAGTTGGTAGTATAGAAGAAAACTTTATTGAAGCAAATCTTCATTTTTCTTAATATGTTTATTAGCTCTAATGGGGATTTTGGGATAATATTTTAGAGTTTTTTTACATGCAAGATTATATTATCTGTCAACAGAAATATTTTATTTCTTCTTTTCCAACTTGGATGCCTTTTATTTTTTCTTACTTAATTGCACTGACTAGAACTTTCAATAGTATGTTGACTAGAAGTTGAGAAAGTGGGCATCCCCATCTTGTTTTTGATCTTAAAGGAAAAGCTTTTGATCTTTCACCAATAAGTTTGATGTTAGCAGGGCTTTTTCATATATGGCCTTTATCAGTTTGAAGAAGTTTCTTTCTATCTCTAGTTTATTGACTATTTTTTTTTTTTTTTTTTTTTTTTTGAGACGGAGTCTCGCTCTGTCGCACAGGCTGGAGTGCAGTGGTGGGATCTCGGCTCACTGCAAGCTCCGCCTCCCGGGTTCACGCCATTCTCCTGCCTCAGCCTCCCAAGCAGCTGGGACTACAGGTGCCCGCCACTACGCCTGGCTAATTTTTTGTATTTTTAGTAGAGACGGGGTTTCACCGTTTTAGACGGGATGGTCTTGATCTCCTGACCTCGTGATCCACCCGCCTCGGCCTCCCAAAGTGCTGGGATTACAGGCTTGAGCCACCGCGCCCGGCCTTTTTTGTTTGTTTTAAGACAGGGTCTTGTTCTATTGCCCAGGCTGGAGTGCAGTGGCACTATCTCAACTCACTGAAGTCTTGACCTCCTGGGCTCAAGCAATCCTCCCACCTCAGCCTCCTGAGTAGCAGAGACTACAAGTGTATGCCACCACCCCCTGGCTAATTTTTGTATTTTTGGTAAAGATGAGGTTTCACTATGTTGCCCAGGATGGTCTCAAAGTCCTGGCCTCAAACAATCCACCCACCTCAGTCTCCCAAAGGGCTGGGATTAAGACGTGAGCCATTGTGCCTGGCAGTTTTTTTTTTTAATTATGAAACAAGGTTGAATTTTATGAAATGCTCTTCCTGCACTGATTGAGAGGATCATCTTTTTTTTTTCTTCTGCTGATAATTTGGTATATCACCTTAATTGATTTTCTTATGCTGAGCAATTCCTGGATTGGGGAGTGAATCACAGTTGGTCATGTTGTATAATCCTTTTTAATTATGTTGCTAAATTTGGTGCATGAAATTTATTTGAGGATTTTTTGCATTAATGTTATGAGAAACATTGATCTGTAGTTTTCATTTCTTATAGTGTCTTTTTGTATCCAGGGAAGGCTGGTCTCAGAACAAGTCAGGAAATATTCCCTGCTTTGAGTTACAATTGATACATAATTCACCAGTAAATCTTTCTGCTTTAGATCTTTTTTCCTGTGAGGTTTTTGATTAGAGATTCAATCTTCTTACATGTTATAAGTCTATTCAGATTTTCTATTTCTTCATGATTTGGTTTGATAAATAGTGTATTTCTAAGAATTTGTTCATTTCAACTGGGTTATCCAATATGCTGACATAGAATTTTTCAGTCTTCTCTTAAAATCCTTTTCATTTCTGTAAAATCAGTTGTAAATTTCACACTTGCAAAATTTTTATTTATTTGAGTCTTACATCTGTTTTTCTCTTAATTTACCTAAAGATTTGTCAGTTTTGTTGACATTTTCAAATAAATAGCATTTAGTTTTGTTGATTTTCCCTATTGATTGCTTGTCCTTTGTTTTATGTATCTTCACTCTCTTCCCTCTTATTTACTTGCTTTGGGTTTATTATGCTTTACTTTTTAAAGTTCCTAAGATATAATATGAGGTTAATGATTTGAGGTGTTTGTTTTCATTAAAATATGCATGTGGTTATGGCTACAAATTTCCGTTAGCACTGTTTTGCTGCAACCCATAAGTTTTGGTATGACATGCTTTTGTTTTTAGTAGTCTCAAAGTATTTAATTTTCCCTGTGAATTCTTCTCTGACCCATTGATTGTTAAAGAGTGTGTTGTTTAATTTCTACAAATTTGTGAATTTTCCAGTTTTTCTTTGATTATAGATTTCTAGTTTCATTCCATCATGACTGGAAAAGTACTTTGTATGATTTTAGTCTTTTAAAATATATTAACTTGTTTTGCAGCATAATATAATATATGATCTATCCTGGGGAGTGTTCCATGTTCTCTTGAGAAAACTGTAATGTGGATTCTGCTGTTGGTGGGTGGAGTATTCTCTATTTGCCTCTTAGGTCTAATTGGTCTATACTTTTTCGCAAATCATCTTTTTTTTTTTCAAACTTCTGTCATTCTAGTCATTATTGAAAGTGAAATATTGAAGTTTTCAACTTTTATTATAGATCTGTCAATTATTTAAAAAATTTATTTCAGTGTAGCTTCATATATTAATTGGAGTTCTGATATTTAGTGAATGTATGATTATAATAGCTATATCTTCTTGGTAAATTGATCCTTTTATCAATATATGATGTCTTTTTTTGTCTCTGATAATGGTATTTAACTTGAAGTATGGCTTTACAAAATATTAGTTTAGCCACCTCAGCTCTCTTTTGGCTTCTATTTGCATAGAATTTACTTTTCCATCCTATTACTTTCACCCTGTTTGTGAGGTGGGAAATTAAGGAAGGAAAGAAAAATAAAATTAAAAAGAAAAAGAAATAAGCTTTCCTGTATTAGGCTGACTTATCTCAGAGGCAGCAACAGGCACAGCCCAGACCCAGGAAAAGCCTTGATAAACATTATCTAAGAAGCTAGTACACAAAGAAATCTACTCTGGAGACCCTCCCAGCACTCTTTCAACACAGGGAGGAGAAAAACAAATTTTCCTTTCTTTTATGGTATAAGTTTATAGATTCCTGTTCTCTGTATCTAGTAACTTCAAGTATTCTGTTTTGTCTAAGTGGAACAGTGAAGGACATGAGCTGTCTGAGCAGGCCTGAATTATGGCCACCTGGGCGCTGTAGTGAAGGTCATGGAATAAGCTGTGCTAGGCACTAGGGCAAACCTAGATAACGGCCATCTTGGTTACATAGCAACAGTCATGTGTAATCCTGAGTTATGAACCTGTTAAAATTTGATTAACTGTCTTTGTTCTGCCTCTGTATCCTCACTTTCACGCCACTGTAAGCCTGCTTCAAGCTAGCCCATCCCCTTTTAAAAGTGTGTATAAAAGTTAAGTGCTGTCTTTGTTCTTGGCACATCTTCTGACGTTAATCTTCTGGGTCTGAGTGCATTCAATAAATCCTCCTCCTTTTACCCCGTGGTCTTTCTGGTTCTCCTGATTCTGCAACCGTTGTGTCTTCCATGTAAAGTGAGTCTCTCTTAAATAGCATAGAGTTGGATCTTTTTTCTTTTTTATCCATTCCACCAATCTCTGTTTGTTGATTAGAAAGTTTAATTCTCCATTCAAGGAATTCCATTTAAAGTAATCATTGATGACGAAGGTCTTCCTTCCGCATTTACTGTATATTGTTTGTCCTTCATTTCTTCCATGATTGCTTGATTTTGTGTTCAGTTGATCCTTGTAGAAAAACTTTTTGATTGTGTTTATTTTTCCTTTTGTATATGTTCTATAGATATTTATTTTGGGGTTACAATGGGGATTATATATAACATCCTAAAGTTACAGTTATCTAGTTTGAATTAACACCAACTTAACTGTAAATGCATAAAAAATTCAACTCTGACAAAAGTCTATCCCCTTTTTATGTTATTGATTTCACCAATTACATCTTTCTACGTGGCATGTCCACTAACTTTGGCTTATAATTATATTTTATGAATTTGCATTTTAAATCCTGTAGAAAATAAAAAGTGGAGTTACAAGCTAAAATTACAATAATGCTGGCTTTTACGTTTGCCCATGTACTTTTACCAGAGACCTTTATATCTACATACAGTTTCAAATTTCTCTCTAGCATCCTTTTACTTCAAATCAAAAGGCTCTCTTTATCATTTCTCACACAGGAAATCTAGGAGCAATGAACCGCCTCAGGTTTTGATTATTAGAGAATGTTATAATTTCGCCCTCATTTTTTAAGTACAATTTTGCCAGAAGCGAAATTCTAGGTTGCCATTTTTTCCTTTCAGCACTCTCATTATATCATCCCACTGCCTCCTGATCTCCAAGACATCTGATGATAAATTGGTCAACAGTCTTATTAAGGATCACTTATATATGAAGATTCACTTATCTCTTGATGCTTTGAATATTCTCTCTTTGATAGTTTGATTATAATGTGCCTCCGTGTGGCTCTCTTTGAATTTATTTTACTAGGAGTTTGTTGAACTCTTTGGATGTGTAAATTTATCTTTTACTGAAGTCACATATATGGAACCTTAAAGTATGTAGTCTTTAAGACGGCCTTCTGTTACTTATCAATTTGCATTTAAAATTCAACCATGTCTTTGTGAGTCTTGATAGGTCATTCCATTTTGTCACTGTACAGTATTCCACTCTATGGGTGTGATATACTACAGTTTATTTATCTATTTATCTACTGAAGGACACCTTGGTGGATCATAATTCTTGGAAATTATGAATAAAGCTACTATAAACATTTGAATCCAGGTTATTTTTTGTGGGCATATTTTGAAATCTGTTACATGAATTTCTAGGAGTCATGATGATGGATGCTATGGTAAAATTATGTTTAGTTCTGTGAGATCATGAGTCAGTTTTGATTTTTCTGTTTATATTTTATTTAACTTCTCTTTAACTTATGGTACAATGCTGTCAGCCCTCTTCTATGTTAGAGTTTAAACTGCTTTTCCACTCCAGAGTTTTTCACAATTTTGTCCGGTTTACTTGCTTTCCTTTATTTATTTTTGTGTGTGTGAAGGGAGGCAACTTTAAATCCATGCACATTCACTGTCTTAAAAAGATTCTTAAGAGGAGAAGTGTCAGATTTATTCTATTTCTTAGCCCATGTTTTTAATCTCCCTAACACAAAGCATACAAAATCATCTGTATTTCTGATAGCTCTTGAAATTATTCTTTTAACTAGTCTGATCTAACATTTAGAGAAAATAGAACTAGAATTTACAGGCCTTATTTTCTTTGGGAAGGTTAATGCTAATGAATGATTCAGTTCCTTATAAGGACTTAGACTGAAATTTAAGTAATCTGCCACCAGAATAAATATGATATTTAAGTGAGAGAATTTTTTATTGTCCTGAACAGCTAATCATAGTAATAGTAAACTAGATTAGAGATTACATTATATATTTTTATACAGAATGCTAAATATTTACAATGTCAATTTTCTGCAAACTAACACAGTTAACATATTGCATTTATTGTATTTAGTTATTTTTGTACTTAACAGTAGTCAGAAGACAATCTTAGTCCAAATAACTAAGAACAATTAAATTATCTTGTTTCTGTACTTTATTCTACATTTCTTCTTTGATTAACTCCCATTTTCACCACATAAGAGTAAGTGTCACGGTTAGCCCATCTTATTATTTCACCACACCTCATTCAAATAAAATATTTTCATTTGCTTCCCCCTAAAATCTTCTGGCTCTGACCTAAAAGAAATATGATATAAAATATCTTAAAGATAAAGCAAATAACTTACCATCAAACACATCTCAAACTTGAAGTTTTGGCTCTATTTCTTTGATTAACAATGTATTACATTACTATTATGAGTACTATCTGTAGTCATAAGTCTAAGTACATAATGTACTAAGTACTTTATGTGCAATTTCTGATTTAATTTTTTTCTTTTGACAATTTAATGGTAGGTACTATTATTATCACTTGGTCTTTTATCCTTACCACCTGTCTTAATAACTATCAATTTCTTCCAATTTCATCATAATCGGACAAATTTTATGATTACTGTCTTTCTGGCTCTCAGATAGTAGACAAACTCATTCCTGATGTTTTTACCCTGGTATGATCTCTCAATTTTGGTGAACTGTTTCATAGACATGTATGGCTATTGGGTGCCTATGGCTTCTCTGTGTTTATGTCACTGGTAGGAGGAATGGTGATTATTATTAGGAATTTTCTTCAAGAAAGATTATAATAGGGAGGTAATTAAATGTTGGGGTATAATAATAAAACAATTCCTACTCACGTCCAGCCCCACCTTTGGTGTTTGGCCAGAGATGCTTAAAAGGAAAAAGATCATTATCTCACTAATTGAGCTATGGACAGACTTGTCTCTTGTTAGCTTTTCAAAGCAGAATTTTAAGTCTTTACAAAATAATAGGTAACATTTGGAGAATATTTTGAAAAGGAAAATAAGAAAATAAAAATCATCTGTAATTACACCAACCAAACAGAATCACATTTAATAAAATGTTTTAGGTATTTCTTATCTTTTCATACATAAATGTTAAAATGTTGTCATGCTTTATATATGCTTTTACTATAATTTGAATGTTTTAAATAATATTAAATAGTCTTCTAAAACATCCTCCCTAATGATCTTAAGAATTCTGCAACATTAATGTCCCATAATTTATCTGATTAAGCAAAATTATGGAATAATGATGGAATGTAAGCCTATATTCAGGAATAAAACAGAAGCAGAAATTCACAGAGACTTAGAGTGATTTATTTAAGGCTAGGAAAATCTTCCCACAATTCCTGTTTCTTCTTGCATGTTTGATGGCAGAATATTAATTTGCCAGGACTATTTTGTTTAATGGTGTAAAATGCATAGTAGTAAAATGTGAGATAGAAGTTGAATCAAGAATAACACAAAAGTTCAAAAGCTTTTGTTCTTTCTTGTCATTTTTATGTAGTAATGATTTAAACTTAATAATCCCTTCAAAAATTATGGAGTAAAAGTAGGAGAAATGGACCTAAGGCTATCAGACTGTTAAAGAACATAAAGCTAACTTCTTTATATATGTGGAGAGATAATAGAAAGGTAGATGGATAGATAGATGACACATTAGATAGATAGAAGATAGATAGATAGATAGATAGACACACACCCATGGTGGGTATGTGTGTGTGTGTAAAGTATGCCTTGCTGCATGTCTCAGGGCCTGGATGTCCTAACTTGGGGAAGCTGTGACTGTTAGCTGCCCCTCTTCATGTTGTGGCCATTCCTCATGTAGCTGGTCTGTGAGAAACTCTGAATTTCAAGTTCACTTGTAAAGTGAGCCTGTCTGAGATGCTGGGGGCACTAGGGCTGCTGCCACTCTGGTGCCTGCACTGCTGTGATAAACAGCCTGTTTGAGTGGGGTGTTCTCAGAAGGGGAGTCTCAGGGCATGACTCAAACTGTATTATCTTACACAGTGATCTCATTTGGCAGCCAATTCTCCAATTTTGCATGTTAGAAATCAGACATTTCTCTAAGGATTTGTGTTTTAGATGTGATGTGAGGCTGTTGGGGAGTAGTAAGTGACCTATTGAATAAAGGCCCTTTACTTTGTCCCCTGATGTGCTTAGCATGCGTAATAGTCTGTAGGGGTAATTTGGTGAGAACACCATTTGTAAATACCTGGCCTTAAGGTGCTGACGTGATGTCTTTATTTCTGTACTGTCCTGGCCAGTAGTGATCTTGCCCCAAAGCCCTTCCTTATTGACGGGAGCAATGGCAGCTCTGGGAACCTAACCTGCTTAACTGAGGGATGTGATGCTGGGTTGATTCAGCACTCCTACCCTTCCTGGAGCATAGCTGGTGACTGCTCCAATGATTTTGAGTCTTTCCTCTTCCTCTTCCTCATTTTCCTTTCTTCTTCTCCAACTATAAACCACATTCTTGGAAAGCTTTCTGACTACTGGTCTAAGGAAGCTCTAGCAACATCAACTTAAATATTTAATATACCATGTTTAGTAAGCCTCACTAATTGCTGGAAGAGTTTACAAAAGATATGAAAGAGGAGTCACTATATGCATTGACAATATATATGTTGAGTGAACAATATGTACCAAAATGAATAGATGAGAGGTGTACATTGGGGTGTGACTTGATAATCTAGCAGGTCATGAGACTAGGGGGCTTATGGAAAAGACAGAGAAAGAACATGCAAACAAATTAAAAAACACTGAGAAACACCTAAAACCTGTTTAGAAACAGAGGGGAAGAATACATATTAGATTATACTTAATTTGTATTTTCCCCCAGATTTCAGACTTTAGGTGCGCTGACCATCTCCACTCTGCAAACCTACTTCTAATTATTCACATATGATAATGTGAGTCTATGCAGATTGTGCTCTATAGGGTGGTTTCAGGGAATCATATAGGCATGGTTCAATACATAGATTTTGAATGAATGCTTGTAATTTTGTTTCATGTCTCTCCGTTTCCTTAATGTGGTAGCAAAGAATACATTTTTATAAATAAAAAGGCGCTAGTATACATCCTTAATGGCAGCAAGTAGCAAATGTGCTGGGGAGACTGGCTGTCACTCTGGAATCTGTCCCAGGTGACAATTGCCTGTACAAATTGGGTGGAGAAGACAGCTTCAAAGAGGAAAGGAAAATCGTAAAATCCAGGGTTCTATGAGAGAGAAAGATAGAAGTGGAGGAGAAAGTTTCTGGCTTGAACAGGGTCAGCAGATGGCACAATGCGGTCAGCTCCCATCTCCAGAGGTAAGTATGATTCTCCCCTGCTTATAATCACAGGGAGGAGAGGTGACCTGCCTGTGGTCACACAACTTAGCAACAAAAAAAAAAAAAAAAAAAAAAAAAAAAAATCTGGGACCAGAACCCAGGCCTTTGTTAGGTCTCTCCTTCCTTTTAGCGCATTGGCAAATTGTACAAGGAAAGTAGAGGTGGAGATGGGTTCATGTACAACAATATGGCATTCAGTAAAGTGGATCAGGACAGGAAGTTTTATGATTTAGGGAAGGTGTAAGACAGGAAAGGATCATTGCCCCCAGTCAAAAAAGAGAGCCCTTGACCACCAGTTAGAGAATCCCCCAAGTCCCTCTTTGCCATAGGTCACTGAAACTGAGATCTAAGGCAGGGCCTCTGTGAGTCAGGAGCACTTAACCCAGTGGGGAGATCCCAGAACAGGATATTTCCTAGTTTGATAATCACTGTCAGGCCAGTTGTGGATAAATTTGCATTTGGCTTAAGAAATTACTGGATAAGTGTAGCTTTTGGCAGTTACACTTTCTGCTGGGAGGGGTAGCAGGCCCTATAAAGAGGTTTTCTGCTGCACGACTCCTAAACTCCTGGTACCTAAGCACCGATCTGCCTTGGAGAACCTGGTGAGTCGGCTTCCTGGAGTTCCTCTGTTCTTTGTGCCCTGAAATGTTGAATTTAATCTGAATACAGCAAGTTTGGTTGATCCAATCCTATGAATGTTGATTTGATGCTACTTAGTGGATGGAAATTTAGGATTAGAGCACAATGATATGCTATTTTAGCTTTCTTTTAGTACAGAGTTAGGTGTTCATATGGACAGAGAAGTTAGTTAAGGGGAAAGCTTTGATTTGAAGAAGAAAAAATAACAAAGTATTTTTCTTTTTTTCTCTGCTTTTCTGGTGTCCTTTTCAAAGGTTTATGTCGTAGCAGGTGTGAGAGCATGCAATTCTTCCCAAACAGTCGTTTTCTGTGTGCCTATGTCAACCCACTGGGATTTTACAACAGATAATGATAACAGGAATAGCTTGTGAGATAGCCCTGGGTATCTGAACTTGTGACTGCCTTTCTTGAAGATGTTATTTTCATAGAAATAACATGCTTGGTTGTTTACTACAGAGATATTTTCTTTGGAAAAATTATATGAGAAAACACAAGAGTTCCCAGGGACAATGAAGTAATTCGCTGAAGTGGAAGTGAGAAGCCAGGGACTCTTGAAAAGGGAATTAAGAGTTTAAATAATTTCTTGGAGATTGGAGAAATAATATGCCATGGTATTACATAAGCTTTGGCTTCTCTCTCTGGAGGATTCCCTTCCCGTGAACACTGTCATATAATTTCTTTCAGATTCTGAGACTCCAGCAGGATGTCTTATCAACAGCAGCAGTGCAAGCAGCCCTGCCAGCCACCTCCTGTGTGCCCCGCGCCAAAGTGCCCAGAGCCATGTCCACCCCCGAAGTGCCCTGAGCCCTGCCCACCATCAAAGTGTCCACAGTCCTGCCCACCTCAGCAGTGCCAGCAGAAATGTCCTCCTGTGACACCTTCCCCACCCTGCCAGCCAAAGTGTCCACCCAAGAGCAAGTAACAGCTTCAGGATTCATCAGGAGCATGAAAGGATAAGGATAATTGGCTCACCTCGTTCCACAGCTCCACCTGCATCTTCTCATCAAAGCCATCCAGGGATACACAGGGAGCTTCTTTCCTCTTAGCCTGTGATCGGCCTGTGATGATCTCTGATAGCAAAAGGTTTTCTTTTTGAGGCTGCCATACTGCCACTGTCCAGGTGGAGACTGAGCAAAGGAAGTCCTGGGCTGTGCCAGCTCCCAGAGCTTCAGAAGAAAGAGCAGCTCTCTCCCTGGGAACCATTAGAGAATTCTGTTGATGTTTTCTGTGTCTGTCTGTCCCCTGGGCATGAGCTTCCACCACCTGTGCAGTTGTCACTTTCCTTTCACTCCCTGAATAAAGAATCTATGCATATATATTTGTGAATGGATCTTTTGTTTCTTTTCAAATATGCTTTATTAGCAATATTTTATAATCATTTGGGTATATTTCCACTTTTCTTTCATCCACAGACAGGATCTCACAATTTGGGACATATCAAAGATTATTTCTGTATTTTTTTATTTTTATTTTCCTTAATTAGTGTTTGATTGATTTGAGGAACATATTATTCAACTTCTCTGAATGTCAATCTCTTTACTGCAAAGTGAGCAAAATAACATTTACTTAACAAACTTGTCTAAGGCATAAAATTGAATTACTATCTGAAATTTTAATGGCACAATGCCTAACACATGATTAGCTGTCATTTGATAGAGGTTTATTCGCAGCAACATATCATCATCGTTTCCACCATTATGATTATCATCATCATCATCATCATGATCATCAAGATCATCATCATCATCACTCCCCACGACAACCACTACCATATTTGTTCCAGCAATAGAATGGCTTGGTTGTAACTAATATAGAAAATAAGAAGACTCTCTTTGCTATTTTTTATTGATTCTTAATACCTATACACATTTTGGGGTACATGTGATATTTTGTTACATGGATCAAATGTATAATGATAAAGTCATGATATTAGGAAATTTAGGGCATTCATTACCTTGAGCATTTATCATTTCTTTCTTTGTTGGAAACATTTTAATTCCTCTCTTCTAGCTATTTTGAAAAATACAATATGTTGTTGTAAACTGTAGTCACCCTACTCTGCTATCAAATATTAAAACTTACTCCTTTTTAAAAATTTTTTATTATACTTTAAGTTCTGGGGTACATGTGCAGAACGTGTAGGTTTGTTACATAGGTATACATGTGCCATGGTTGTTTGCCGAACACATTAACCCATTATCTATATTAGGTATTTCTCTTAATGCTATCCCTCCCATAGCCCCTCACTCCCCAACAGGCCCCAGTGTGTGATATTCCCCTCCCTGTGTCCATGGGTTCTCATTGTTCAACTCCCACTTATGAGTGAGAACATGCGGTGTTTGGTTTTCTGTTCTTGTGTTAGTTTGCTGAGAACGATGGTTTCCACCTTCATCCATCTCCCTGCAAAGGACACGAACTCATCCTCTTTTATGGCTGCATAGTATTCCATGGTGTATATGTGCCACATTTTCTTTATCCAGTCTATCATTGATGGGCATTTGGGTTGGTTCCAAGTCTTTGCTATTGTGAATAGTGCCACAATAAACATACGTGTGCATGTGTCTTTACAGTAGAGTGATTTATAATCCTTTGGGTATATACCCAGTAATGGTATTGCTGGATCAAATGGTATTTCTTTTTTTTTTTTTTAAAGAGGGTTTTTTTTAAATTTTTTTAATTATTTATTTATTTATTTATTATTATTATATTTTAAGTTTCAGGGCACATGTGCACAATGTGCAGGTTAGTTACATATGTATACATGTGCCATGCTGGTGTGCTGCACCCACTAACTTGTCATCTAGCATTAGGTATATCTCCCAATGCTATCCCTCCCCCCTCCCCCACCCCACAACAGTCCCCAGAGTGTGATATTCCCCTTCCTGTGTCTATGTGCTCTCATTGTTCAATTCCCACCTATGAGAGAGAATATGCGGTGTTTGGTTTTTTGTTCTTGCGATAGTTTACTGAGAATGATGATTTCCAATTTCATCCATGTCCCTACAAAGGACATGAACTCATCATTTTTTATGGCTGCATAGGATTCCATGGTGTATATGTGCCACATTTTCTTAATCCAGTCTATCGTTGTTGGACATTTGGGTTGGTTCCAAGTCTTTGCTATTGTGAATAATGCCGCAATAAACATACGTGTGCATGTGTCTTTATAGCAGCATGATTTATAGTCCTTTGGGTATATACCCAGTAATGGGATGGCTGGGTCAAATGGTATTACTAGTTCTAGATCCCTGAGGAATCGCCACACTGACTTCCACAATGGTTGAACTAGTTTACAGTCCCACCAACAGTGTAAAAGTGTTCCTATTTCTCCACGTCCTCTCCAGCACCTGTTGTTTCCTGACTTTTTAATGATTGCCATTCTAACAGGTGTGAGATGGTATCTCATAGTGGTTTTGATTTGCATTTCTCTGATGGCCAGTGATGGTGAGCATTTTTTCATGTGTTTTTTGGCTGCATAAATGTCTTCTTTTGAGAAGTGTCTGTTCATGTCCTTTGCCCACTTTTTGATGGGGTTGTTTTTTTTTTTTCTTGTAAATTTGTTTGAGTTCATTGTAGATTCTGGAAATTAGTCCTTTGTCAGATGAGTAGGTTGTGAAAATTTTCTCCCATTTTGTAGGTTGCCTGTTCACTCTGATGGTAGTTTCTTTTCCTGTGCAGAAGCTCTTTAGTTTAATTAGATCCCATTTGTCAATTTCGGCTTTTGTTGCCATTGCTTTTGGTGATTTAGACATGAAGTCCTTGCCCATGCGTATGTCCTGAATGGTATTGCCTAGGTTTTCTTCTAGGGTTTTTATGGTTTAGGTCTAACGTTTAAGTCTTTAATCCATCTTGAATTGATTTTTGTATAAGGTTTAAGGAAGGGATCCAGTTTCAGCTTTCTACATATGGCTAGCCAGTTTTCCCAGCACCATTTATTAAATAGGGAATCCTTTCCCCATTGCTTGTTTTTCTCAGGTTTGTCAAAGATCAGATAGTTGTAGATATGTGGCGTTATTTCTGAGGGCTCTGTTCTGTTCCATTGATCTATATCTCTGTTTTGGTACCAGTACCATGCTGTTTTGGTTACTGTAGCCTTGTAGTATAGTTTGAAGTCAGGTAGTGTGATGCCTCCAGCTTTGTTCTTTTGGCTCAGGATTGACTTGGTGATGTGGGCTCTTTTTTGGTTCCATATGAACTTTAAAGTAGTTTTTTCCAATTCTGTGAAGAAAGTCATTGGTAGCTTAAAGGGGATGGCATTGAATCTGTAAATTACCTTGGGCAGTATGGCCATTTTCACAATATTGATTCTTCCTACCCATGAGCATGGAATGCTCTTCCATTTATTTGTATCCTCTTTTATTTCCTTGAGCAGTGGTTTGTAGTTTTCCTTGAAGAGGTCCTTCACATCCCTTGTAAGTTGGATTCTTAGGTATTTTATTCTCTTTGAAGCAATTGTGAATGGGAGTTCACTCATGATTTGGCTCTCTGTTTGTCTGTTATTGGTGTATAAGAATGCTTGTGATTTTTGTACTTTGATTTTGTATCCTGAGACTTTGCTGAAGTTGCTTATCAGCTTAAGGAGATTTTGGGCTGAGACAATGGGGTTTTCTAGATGTACAATCATGTCGTCTGCAAACAGGGACAATTTGACTTCCTCTTTTCCTAATTGAATACCCTTTATTTCCTTCTCCTGCCTAACCGCCCTGGCCAGAACTTCCAACACTATGTTGAATAGGTGTGGTGAGAGAGGGCATCCCTGTCTTGTGCCAGTTTTCAAAGGGAATTTCTGTTTCTAGATCCTTGAGGAATCGCCACACGTCTTCCACAATGGTTGAACAAATTTACACTCCCACCAACAGTGTAAAAGCATTCCTACTTCTCCACATCCTCTCCAGCATCTGTTGTTTTCCTGACTTTTTAATAATCACCCTTCTAACTGGCCTGAGATGGTATCTCACTGTGGTTTTGATTTGCATTCCTCTAATGACCAGTGATGATGAGCTTTTCTTCATATGTTTGTTGGCTGCATAAATGTCTTCTTTTGAGAAGTGTCTGTTCATATCCTTCTCCCACTTTTTGATGGTTTTTTTTTTCTTGTAAACTTGTTTAAGTTCTTTGTAGATTCTGGATATTAGCCCTTTGTCAGATGGGTAGATTGCAAAAATTTTCTCTCATTCTGTAGGTTGCCTGTTCACTCTGATGATAGTTTCTTTTGCTGTGCAGAAGCTCTTTAGTTTAATTAGATCCCATTTGTCAATTTTGGCTTTTGTTGCCATTGCTTTTGGTGTTTTAGTCATGAAGTCTTTGCCCATGCCTATGTCCTGAATGGTACTGCCTACAAAATCAATGTGCAAAAATCATAAGCATTCCTATACACCAATAATAGACAGAAAAATCTTGAGTGAACTCTCATTCACAATTGCTACAAAAAGAATAAAATACCTAGAAATACAACTTACAAGGGATGTGAAGGACCTCTTCAAGTAGAACTACAAACCACTGCTCAAGGAAATAAGAGAGGACACAAACAAATGTTAAAACATTCCATGTTCATGGATACAAGAATTAGTATCATGAAAATGGTCATACTGCCCAAAGTAATTAAGAGATTGAATGCTATCCCCATCAAGTGGAAAAAACTACTTTAAATTTCATATGGAACTAAAAAAAGAGCCTACATAGCCAAGACAATCCTAAGCAAAAAGAACAAACCTGGGGGCATCACGCTACCTGACTTCAAACTATACTACAAGGCTACAGTAACCAAAACAGCATGGTACTGGTATCAAAACTGATATATAGACCAATGGAACAGAACGGAGGCCTCAGAAATAACACATCTATAACCATCTGATCTTTGACAAACAAAACTTACTCCTTTTATGTATCTCTATGTTTGTACTCATTAACCAGTGTTTTTTCATTCTCCATCCCCTGAACACCCTTCCCTGCTTCTGGTATCTATCATGCTACTCTCTACCTTTATAGATCAGCTTTTGTAGCTCCCACATATAAGTGAAAACATACAATATTTGTCTTTCTCTGCTTGATTTATTTTACTTATCATAATGACCTCCAGTTGAATCCATGTTGCTTCCAATGACAGGATTCTATTCTTTTTATTACAATGGAATACTATTTCTTTGCATGTATACACAATATTTTCTTTATCCATTTATTTGTTAATGCATGCTTAGGTTACACATCTTTGCTATTGTGAATAGTGCTGCAATAACCGTGGGAGTTTAGGCATCCTTTTCATAATCTGATTTCTTTTTCCTTTGGATAGATACACAGCAGCTGGATTGTTGGATTGAATGATAGTTCTATTTTTAGTTTTTTTGGAGAAATCTTCTTACTGTTTTCCATGGTGGCTGTACTAACCTATATTCCCCCCAAGAGCATGTAAGACTTTTTCTTTACATCCTCTTCAGCACCTGCTATTTTGTTTTAAACTTTTATTTTAAGTTCAGGGGTAAATGTGCAGGTTTGTTATATACTTAAACTTGTGTCATAGGGGTTTAGCATACAGCAATTTCATCACCTAGGTATTAATTCTGGTACTCATTAGTTATTTTTTGTGATCCTTTCCTTCCCCATAACCATCACCCTGTGGTAGGCTCCATTGTCTGCAGTTCCCCTCTATGTGTCCATGTGTTCTCCTCATTTAACTTGCTGTTATAAGTGAAACATGTTGTATTTGGTTTTCTCTTTCTGCATTAGTTTGCTAAGCATAATGGCCTCCAGCTCCATCCATGTACCTGTAAAGGACACAGTCTCATTTCTTCTTATGGCTGCATAGAATTTCATGGTGTATATGTACCACTTTTCCTTTATCTATTCTTTTATCAATGGGCACTTAGTTTGATTCTATGTCTTTGCTATTATGAATAGTGCTGCAATGAACATAACACATTCATGTGTCTTTATGATAGAATGGTTTATATTCCTCTAGGTATATACCAAGTAATGGGATTGCTGGTTTTAATGGTAGTTCTTCAATTTTAATTCCTTGAGTAATTGCTACCCTGTATTCCACAATGTTTGAACTAATTTACACTTCCACCAACAGTGTATAAGCATTTATTTTCTCTACAACCTCTCTAGCACCTTTTATTTTTTTTGACATTTTAATAGCCATCTGACTGGTGTGAGACTCTATCTCATTGCAGTTTTGATTTGCATTTCTCCAGTGATCCGTGACATTGAACTTTTTTTCACATGCTTCTTGGCCATATGTATGTCTCCTTTTGAAAGTGTCTGTTCTTGTCTTTTGTTCACTTTTCAAAGGGGCTGTTTATTTTTCATGTAAGTTTGTTCAAATTCCTTATAGATGCTGGATATTAGACGTTTATAAGATGTGTAGCTTGCAGTATTTTCAGTAGAGATGGGGTTTCACCATGTTATAGTGCTATAAATTTCCCTCTTAACACTGCTTTAGCTGTGTCCCAGAGATTTTGGTATTTTGTAGCTTAAGAACTTATTGATTTTTTTCCTTAATTTGATTATTTACCCAAAAGACATTCAGAAGCATGTTGTTGAATTTCTAAGTAATTGTATGTTTTTGAGTGAATTTCTTAGTCTTTATTGGTAATTTCATTGCACTGTGGTTTGAGAAATTGGTTGTTATGATTTCAGTCCTTTTGTATTTGCTGAGGAGAATTTTATATCCTATCATGTGATGGATTTTAGACTATGTGCCACGTGGCAATAAGAACAATATGTATTCTGTTGTTTTTAGGTGGACAGTTGTGGATTATTAGCAGGTAAATTTGATCCAGTGCTGTGTTTTGGTAGTGAGTAGCATTGTTAATTTTCTGTCTCTTTGATGTGTCTAATACTGTCTCTGTGATGTTTCAGTCTCCCACTATTATTATGTGGGAGTCTAAGTATCTTTGAAGGTCTCTAAGAACTTGATTTATAAATCTGAGTTCTCCTGTGTTGGGTGCACATATATTTAAGATAGTTAGGTCTTCTTGTTGATTTGATTCCTTTACCATTATGAAATGTTTTAGTCCTTTTCTGATGTTTGTTGGTTTAAAGTCTCCTTTGACTGAAATTAGGATGGCAACACCTGCTTTTTTCTGTTTTTTGTTTGTTTGTTTGCTTGGTAGATTTTTCTCCATCCCCTTACTTTGAGCCTATGTGGGTCATTATATGTGAGTTTGGTCTCTTGAACACAGCACACCAATGGATTTTGGTTCTTTTATTAGCTTGCCACTCTGGGTTTTAATTGGGGCATTTAGTCCATTTACATTCAAGGTTAGTATTGATACATGTGGATTTGATTGTGTCATGATGTTAGCTGGTTATTCTGAAAACTTGTTTATGTGGTTGCTTTATAGTGTCACTGGTTGTATACTACAGTGTGTTTCTGTAGTTGCTGGTAATTGTCTTTCTATATTTACTGCCCCCTCTAGTAAGGTAGGTCTGGTGGTAACAAATTCCCTTAGCCTTTGCTTGTCTGAAAAGGATCTTTTTTCTCTTTAAGTTATGAAACTGAGTTTGAGTAGTTATGAAATTCTGGGTTGGTATTTCTTTTCTCTAAGAATGTTGTATATTGGCTCCCAGTCTCTTCTGGACTATATAGGTTCTGCTGAGAGGTCTGCTGTTAGTCTGATGGGCTTCCCTATGTAGGTGACTTGACCTTTCTCTCTAGCTGCCTTTAGCATTTATTCTTTCATTTGACCTTGAAGAATCTGATGATTATTTGTCTTGCAGATGATGTTCTTCTGTAGTATCTTACTAGAGTTCTCTGCATTTTCTGAATTTGAATGTCTGCCTCTCTAGCTGGGTTGGGTAAGTTCTCACGGATGATATCTTGAAACACATTTTCAAGTTGGTTACACTCTTCCCATCTCTTTCAGCAACACCAATGAACCACTAATTTGATTTCTTTACAAAATACCATATTTATCTGAGGCTTTGTTCATTTCTTTTCATTCGTTTCTCTCTCTCTTGTCTGACTGTCTTATTTCAGAAAGTCAGTGTTTGAGCTCTGGGATTCTTTTCTCTGCTTGGTCCATTCAGAAATTAATGCTCATGATTGCATTAGAACATAACAAATAATAAATTTTGTAGTGTTTTTCAGCTCTATCTGGTAGGTTATGTTCTTTTCTATACTGGCTATTTTGTCTGTCAGCTCCTGCGTCGTTTTATTGTGATTCTTAGCTTCCTTGGATTGGGTTTCAACATAGTCTTCCACATCAATGATCTTCCTTCCTATCCATATCGAAATTCCATTTCTGCCACTTCAGCCATCCTGGCTCAGTTCAAAACCCTTGCTAGAGAGATTGTGTGGTTGTTTGGAGGAACAAAGACACCCTGGCTTCTTGAGTTGTCAGAGTTCTTGTGCTGATTCTTTCTTATCTTCATGTGCTTATATTCCTTCAATCTTTGAAGTTGCTGACATTTGGATGGGTTTTAATTTCTTTTATCTCATTTGATAACCTTGAGGTTTTGATTGTGGTATAATGTCAATTCAGATGACTGGCTTCATCTCTGAAAGATTTTAGGGTCCCAACATTCAGCTCCCAATTCCTGGACTGCATGCCATAACTCTGAGTGAAGTGTGTCAGGCTTGACTTTGTTCTTTGGCTCCTCCAGGTTAGGAATCCACTGTGCTATGGAGGCTGAGGTGCTCCCTGACCCCTGTTCACTACACTCTGATGGGTGGTGTCAGTCAAAGTGTTTTGCAGTGTGGTGGCAGTGGGGTCCATTCTTGTTTGTATGTGTCAAGAGCAGTGTCAGCATGGCAGGGTGCATACTATTGGGCTGGGGGCAGGGTTCTTGCAGGTGCTAGGGTACCTGCCTCTGTGGGGATGTTCACGACAGTGGTGAAGGCATTGTGGCTTGGGGCTGTAGGGGGTCCCTGCTGGTTACTGTGTGTGCTGTCACACTTGTAGTGTTGTTGGTATATGGGTAGGGTGCTGGTGGGTGCGGGTCTGTGTCTTTTTTCTGTGTGCTGCAGTTAAGGGTGGTTGTTTGGGGTGCAGGAGTTTCCATTGTTTTCATTGCCTGGTTTCACTCCCATTGTTGGCATGGGGTATACACTGGCATGGGCGGTGCATTGGCAGGGATGGGGTTGGCTGGCTATGTGACTGCAATGGCTATCACCAGGGAGAATGGACTGACTGTACTGTCACTGCAGCAGTGACAGGGCAGGATGCACACTCTCACATCTACTGATGAGAAGAGGAAAGCAAAACCCACTCATGCACTCACATGCTGGCAAAGTGATATGGGGTGTTGCTCTGGGCCCCAGGGAGGCTGCAGTGTTAGGAGTGAGCAGGTGGGCTTGTGGGTGACCCTGGGTGGCTGCCCCACTGGAGTTCTCCATTTGTTAGTTGTGTTCTCCCAGCACAGACGCTAAAATGTGGGTCCCAAGGTCGCCCGAGTTTGCCCTGCAAGGAAGTGCATCCAAGCTGGCACCCCAGGAGAGACCAGCTGACCAGGAGGTGCTCAGGTCAGACTGTCCCCATCTGAAGGGTAAGATTGCCATGCAGAGTTCAGGTCCAACAGCTCCCCAAGGGCTAAAGTCTGCTATGTGAGTAAGTTGAGCCTAGGGAGATGGCCATCCCTGGCCCTGCTCCATTACAGACACTCCCCTACCAAACCCTTTAGGCTCCACATCAGCTGGCATGCTGCCCCTGTCACTTCCCTAAGCAGCTCTCCCTGCCAACTGGAGCATCCCTGGTGGTTAAGGGTGTCTCCCCCTGCTGGGATTCCAGAGGCCCATGGCGAGAGTGGGTTGTTCCCTGTCGGTTCAACTCAGCTGTTCCCCTGGAGTCACTGGAGGCCAGGAACCAGTCCTGGTGTATAGTGTCCCTGTGCAGGGCTCCTAACTTTCTCTCTTTTCAGCCTCATTTCTGGGTCTTCCCTTGGTTCACTCTCAGTGCCTTCCCTCTGAATATCTGTTAGAAGTGCACTTGTTACCTCGGTCCCTTAGTGGCAGCTGTTCCACCTGGCTGCATCCAGTTGGCCATCTTGCCCAGAGACAAAGGAATTATCTGGGATGTTAAATGTTTTTGAGTGTTTTTTACTTCAATATTCATGAGAAATATTGTTCTGTAGTTTTCATTTCTTGTAGGGTCTTTGTCTGGTTTTTGTATCAGGGTAGTGGCGGGCCTCATGGAACAAGACAGGAAGTAGTCTCTATTTTCAGTTTTCTTTTTTGAAGATTTTGAGAAGGATTTTTTTACATTTATCCAGTAAATCTTTCTGGTTCAACACCTTTCTTTCTAGTGAGATTTTAGATTAGTGATTCAATCACCTTGCTTATTGTATATCTATTCAAATTATCTATTTCTTCATGATTTGATTTGGTATACAGTATATTTCTAAGAATTTGTTCATTTTAACTGGGTTATTTAATAAGCTGACATAGAATTATTTATAGTTTCCTCTTCAAATTGTTTTCATTTCTGTAAAATCAGTAGTAGCCTTCCTCCTTTCTTTTAAGAATTTAGGTATTTGAGTCTTACATCATTTTTTATTCCTGTAGTTAATCTGTCTAAAGATTTGTCAAGTCTGTTGATCTTTACAAAGAAATAAAACTTAATGTTATTGATTTTTCTCTACTGTTTGCTTGTCCTTTATTAGTATCTCTACGCTAGGCTCATATTTTCTTTTTTGGGGTTCATCTTACTTTACTTTTTGTAGTTTCTTAAGTGTAACATGAGATTATTGATCTGATATTTTTTTTTACATTAAAAATGTATGTGGTTATGGCTATAAATTTTCCTGTTAGCACTGCTTTTTGCTGCAACCCATAAGTTTTGGCATGATGTGTTTTGTTGTCAGTAGTCTCAAGTGATTTCTAATTTTCCCTATGATTTCATATTTGACTTGTTGGTTAAGTGTGTTGTTTAATTTCCACAAATTTGTGAAATTTGCTGTTTTAATTTGATTATGTTTTTAGTTTTATTTCCTTGTGATTGGAAAAGTCCATTGCATGATTTTAGTCTTTTAAAATATATTAACTTGTTTTGTAGCCTAATATGTGGTCTATCCTGGAGAGTGTTCTTCCATGTTCTCTTGAGGAAACTGTAAGGAGTATCCTGCTGCTGTTGGGTAGAGTGTTCTATATTTGTCTGTTTGGTCCGATTGGCTTATATATTTAAGTCCTCTATTGTTTCGAACCTCTATTATTCTAGCCATGAGAATTCACTAATGAGAATTCACTAAATATTCACTGACAGTGAATTATTTGAGTTTTCAACATTTATTATAGACCTATCAACTTCTTTTAATTTCTCTCACTGTATCTTCATATATTTTGTAGTTCTGATGTTTAGTAAATGTATGTTTATAACTTCTCTATTTTCTTGGTGAACAAATCTCTATCAATACATGTGTCTTTTGTTGAGTCTTATAACAGTTCTCAACTTAAAGTTAATTGTGTCTGATGTTAGCGTAGCCACCTCTGGTCTCTTTTGGCTACCATTTACATGAAGTATCTTTTTCCATCCTATTACTTTCACCTTCTTTGTGTCTTTAGCTGTAAAGTTAGTCTCTTTTAAACAATAAATAGTTGAATTTTTTTCTTTTTGATTCATTCTTCCAATTTGTATTGTTGGGAAGAATTTAATTCATTCACATTTAAAGTAATTACTGATAAAGAAGGTCTTCTTTCTGCATTTAGTCTTTTCTGTATAATGTTTGTTTTTCAATACTGTCTGATTTATGTTTATTTGATTTTTTTGTAGTGAAACTATTTTATTGCCTTTTATCTTTTGTGTATACTTGAAAATATTATTGTGGTTTCAATGGGGATAATATATTATATCCTAAAGTTATAGTAATCTACTTGAATTAACACTCGTTTAACTTCAATTGCATCGAAATGTTGACTCATACCCAGCCTGGCCAACATGGCGAAACCCTGTCTCTACTAAAAATACAAAAATTACCTGGGTGTGGTGGCGCATGCCTGTAATTTCACTACTAAGGAGGCTGAGGAAAGAATTGCTTGAGCCCAGAGGTGGAGGTTGCAGTGAGCCAACATCATGCCACTGCATTCCACACTGGGTGATGCATTGAGATTGTCAAAAAGAAAAAAAAGTTGACTCATACAAACCTATCCTGTTTTTATGTTGAGTCACAAATTACGTCTTTATACATTGTGTGTTCACTAACACAGACTTGTAATTATATTGTATTTATTTGCATTTTAAATCTTGTAGAAAATAAAAAGTGGAGTTACAAGCTAAAATTTCAATAATGCTGGCTTTTATGTACCAGTGTACATTTATCAGAGATTTTTATATCTTCATATAGTTTATCTCCAGCATCCTGAAATTCAACCTGAGAGTCTCTCTTTATAATTTTTCATACACAAAATCTAGGGCCAATGAAGTGCCTCAAGTTTTAATTTCTGGAAATGCCATAATTTTGCCTTCATTTTAAAGGACAATTTTGCCGTGTGTAGAATTCTAGGTTGAAAGTGTTTTATTTTAGGGCTTTAAATATGTCATCCCACTACCTGCTGATCTCTAAAGTTTCTGATGAGCATTTGGTCACCTACTTCTTAAGGATTTCTTCGATATGATGATTCACTTCCCTCTTACTGCTTTCAAGATTCTCTTTTGATAATTTGATTGTAATGTGTGTCACGGTGGGTGTCACCGAATTCATTGAACTCGGAGTTTGTTGCACTTTTTGGATGTGTAATTTTGTCTTTTACAGAAATCATATAAATGGGCCTATAGCCTTTGAGACTGACTTTTCTTACGTATCAGTTTGCATTTCAAATTCAACCATGTCTTTGTGAGTCTCGACACGTCATTCCATGTTATCACTGTGCAGCATTCCATTGCATGGGTGTGATGTACCACAGTTTATCGATTCAATTATTGAAGGATATCTTGGTAGATCACAGATAGTGGATTTTATGACTAAAGCTGCTATAATTATTTGAATGCACATTATTTTTTATTTTATTATTATTATTATTATACTTTAAGTTTTAGGGTACAAATGCATAATGTGCAGGTTAGTTACATATGTATACAGAATGCACATTATTTTTTGTCAAGATATTTTAAAATGTACTAGATCAATTTTTGAACGTGTTATTGCGGGATCATATCATAAAGTTATGCTTATCTTTTAAGATTGTAAGTTAGTTTGGATTTTTTTCATAGTGTTTATATTTTATTTAACCTTTCTCAAACTTACAGTAGAATTTTCAGGTCTCTCATCCTATGTTAGAGTTCAGACAGTCTTTTCTCTCCAAATTTTTTCACAATTTTATTTGTGTTTCTTTGTTTTCCTTTTGAGTTTTTTTTTTGAGGGAGACCACAGCCTATGCACGTTCACTTTCTTCAAAAGATTCTTACAAGGAGAAGTGTCTGATTCATTCCATCATTGACCACATAGCCTTCTTAATCTCATTAACACTAAGCATATAGGAGTACTTTATATTACTAATAGCTCTTGAATTTTGCTCTTAAATATTCGGGTCTAACATAAGGAGAAAATAAAAGTAGAATTTATAAGGTTTATACACTTTGGAAAGATTAGTGCTAATGAGGTATTCAGTTTTTTATAAGGATTTAGCCTAAAATTTAGGTAGTTTGCCAGCTGAAGTTTGTGATATTTAAATGAGCAATATTTTTATTGTGCTAAACAGCTAACCACAGTAACAGTAGACTAAATGGGAGGTAACATTATATATTTTTTTGACACAGAATAAACCATTATATATATTTTCACACAGAATAAAAATATCTATACATGTTAATATTTTGCAAATCAATAAATCAACATACTGCTATTTATTGTTTTTAGATTTATTTTTTCTTGTACTAACTGAATTGAGAAGAAGTCCGTAGACAGTTCAAATAACATGGACAAATTAAAACTTTTTTTGTATCCTTTGTTCTAAGTTTCTGCTTAGGTTAACTCTCATTTGTAACACATAAGAACAAAAGTGCAGAACAGTCTATCTTATTTCTGCACACTTCATTCAAATCATACATTTGCATTTGCTTTTTCCTAAAAACTTCTGGCACACACTTAAAACAAGGATTATATAAACAATCTTAAAGAGAAAGCTGATACCTTTCTTAACCATAAACAACTTGAAATCGATGTTTTGCCTCTATCTCTTTGATTAACCATGTGTTTCTTTACTATTTTGAGTATTATCTGTAGCCTGTGCTAAGTACTTTATATGAAGTCTCTGATTTAATTTTTTTTCTCATGACAATTTAGTGGTAGGTACTATTGTTATCACTATGTTCTATTATATTTATTACCTGTCTACTCATCATCCATTACTTCCAATTTCATCATATTATGGCCAATTTTATGATTTGTATCTGTCTGGGTCTTGGATAGTAGACAAACCCATTCCTGATTGTTTTTTACCCTAGGAAGATCTGCCAATTTTGGTGAACTGTTTTATAGATACATATGGATATTGGGTGTCTGTGGCTTCTGTGTACATATGTCACTGCTATGAGGATGGGGAATATTATCGGGGTTTTCTTCAAGAGAGATTTTAGAAGCGATGTGATCCAATGTAGAGCTATAACAATAAAGCAACTGCTACTTACATCCAGCCCCACCCTTGGTCTCTGGCCAAAAATGCTGAAAAGAAAAAAGACCATTATCTCACTAATTGAAAAATGGACAGGCTTGTCTGTTGTCAGTTTTTCAAAGTAGAATTTTAAGATTCTTACCTCAATAATAGGTAACATTTGGAGAATATTTTGAAAAGTAAAACAAGAAAATAAACATCATCTGTAATTTCACCAGCCATATAAAATCACATTTCATATATTGTTTCATATGTTTCCTATCTTTTAATAAATGTTGACAAAAATGTTGTCATGCTTTATGTATGTTTTAGTACAATTAGAATATTTTAAATTATATTAAATAATCTTCCAAAACATCCACCTTAATGATCTTCGCTATTCTACCTTATGTATGTTCTGTAATTTATCGGATTCAGCAAGGAAGGACAAATGCTAGGCTTAGCCTTTCATTCAGAAATAAAAGCAGAAGGCAGATATGCATGGGTAGTTGCAGTTACCATATCTCTGAACATACCAAGAATATTTTACCATAATTCCTGTTTTTTAATTTTTTTCTATTTAATTTTAAAACTTTATTTGCCAGTACTATTTTGTTTAGTGGAATGTATAGTATTAAAATGTGAGATAAAATGTTGAATCAAGCATTAGACAAAATTAAAAGTGTTTGCACAAAGTGAATGGACTTCTATGAAATTATGTTATGTGAAAAAAAGAGCAATTCTCAAAAGGTTACATGATGTATAAATTCACTCAAATATTCTTAAAATAATGAAATCATAGAGATGGATAAAAGAGTAATATTTACTAGAGGTAAATATTTGGGAAAGGAGGGGTGGTTATGGCTATAAGTGGGGAGCAGAGGAGCCTTGTGGTAATGGAACAGTTATGTATCTTGACTGTAGTAGTAGCCAATGCTACGTACGTGATGTAAATTTCATAGCATTATAAACACAAACACACATGAGTGAATATATAATTAATAAAATTCAAATATACTTTCTGAATCGCAAAATGTTAAAGGTATCTGTTCTTTCCTGTCATTTTTAAGTACTAATAATTCATACTTAATGATCCCCTAGAAAATTATGGAGTAGAAGTAATAGGAATGAACCTAACTAAGGCTATCAGACTCTTAAAGAAGATAAAGCTAACCTCTTTAGACATGTAGATAGATGACAGATAAAGACTCATGGTATGTGAGTGTGAGTGTGTGTATGTGTGTGTGTGAAGTATGCCTCACTCTATGTTTCAGGGCCTGGATGTCATAACTTGGGGAAGCTGTGACTAGTAGCTGCCCCTCTTCATGTTGTGGCTGCTCTTCATGTACCTGGACTGTGAGGAACTCTTAGCTTCAAGTTCATCACCTCAACTTGTAAAGTGAGCCTGTCTGAGATGCTGGGGGCACTAGGGCTGCTGCTGCTCTGGTGCCTGCACTGCTGTGATAAACAGCCTGTTTGAGTGGGGTGTTCTCAGAAGGGGAGTCTCAGGGCATGACCCAAACTGTATTATCTCACACAGTGATCTCATTTGGCAGCCAATTCTCCAATTTTGCATGTTAGAAATCAGACATTTCTCTAAGGATCTGTGTTGTAGATGTGATGTGAGACTCTGGGGAGGAGTAGGTGACCTATTGAGTGAAGTCTGTTTACTTTACCCACTGTGCTTGGCATGTGTAATAGTCTATAGGAAGCATTTGGTGAGAACACTATTTGTAAACACCTGGCGCAAAGGTGCTGACATGATAGTTGTATTTCTGCAGCATCTGGCCACAGTGATCTTGGCCAAAAGCTCTTCCTTAAAGACTGGAGCAATTGCAGATCTGGAAACCTAACCTGCTTAACTGAGAGATGTGATGCTGGGTTGATTCAGTGTTCTTGCTCTATCTGGAGCATAGCTGGTGAGTGCTCCAAAGAATTTGAGTCACTCCTCTTCCTCTTTTTCCTTATCTTCCTCTTCCTTCTTCTTCTCCAATTATAAAATCACATTCTTGGAAAGCTTCCTGATCATTAGCCCAGATAAGAAAGCTCCAGCAGCACTGTTTTAAATGTTTAATATACAATGTTTAGTAAGCCCCATTGATTGCAGGAAGAGTTTTAAAAAGATGTGAAAGACATTCACATTGACAACATACGTATCGAGTGAACAATGTGTACTAAAATGAACAGATGAGAGGTATACATTGGGGTGTGAGTTGATAATCTAGCAGGTTGTGGGGCTAGAGAGCTTTTGGAAAAGACAATGGAAGAACATACAAACAAATTAAAAAATACCATTTTTCAAAGACTAAAACCTGTTTGGAAAGAGAGGTAGAGAAAGCAAACACATAGGATCACACTGAGTTTATATTTTCCCCTAGATTTCAGACTTTAAGTGCTCTGACCTCTATTCTGGAAAACTTCTAATTATTTACATAAGATACTGTGAGTCTATGCATCTTGTTCTCTATATGATGTTCACAGGGAAACATACAGGCATGGTTCAATACATAGATTTAAAATGAATGCTTGTAACTTTGGTTCCCTTTTCTCCATTTTCTTAATGTGGTGAATAAGAGTACAGTTTTACAAATGAAAAGCCTGTAGTACACTCCCTTGATGGTAGCAGTGGCAAATGTACTGGAGAGACTGGATCTCACTCTGGTATCTATCTTGGGACACAAGTGCCTCTTTGAGGGTTGTAGAAGACAACCCTCAAAGAGGAAAGGAATATAGGTAAAATCTGGGTTTCTGCAAGAGAAAGAGGTGGAGCAGAAAATTTCAGGCTTGAACAGGATCAACAGATGGCACAATGTGGTCAGTGCCTCCAAACCCAGAGGTAAATAAGATGCTCTTCTGTTTACAGTTCCAGGGAGGAGAGTTGACCTGGCTGTGGTCATACAGCTTAGCAAAAAAATCTGGGGCCAGAACTCAGGCCTTTGTTAGGTCTCTCCTTCCTTCTAGCACATTGGCAAATTGTACAAGGAAAGTAGAGGTGGAGATGGGTTCATGTACAAACAATATGGCATTCAGCTAAAGTGGATCAGGGCAGGAAGTTTTATGATTTAGGGAATGTGTAAGACAGGAAGCATTCATTGCCCCCAATCAAGAAAGAGAGCCCTTGACCACCAGTTAGAGAATCCCCCAAGTCCCTCTTTGCTGTCACTGAAACTGAGATCTAAGGCAGGGCCTCAGTGAGTCAGGGCACTTAATCCAGTGGAAAGATCCCAGAACAGGATATTTCCCAGTTTGAGAATCCCTGTCATGCCAGTTATGGATAGATTTGCATTTTAGTTGGGACATTGCTGGGCCAGCCCAGTTTTGGGTAGTTCCACTTCCTGCTGGGTGGGGTAGCAGGCCCTATAAAGAGGTTCTCTGCTCTACAACTCCTAAACTCCTGGTACTTGAGCACTGATCTGCTTTGGAGAACCTGGTGAGTCTGCTTCCTTGAGTTCCTCTGTTCTTTGTGCCCTGAAGTGTTGAATTTAACCTGAATCCAGCAAGTTTGGTGGATCCAAACCTGTGATCATAGGTTTGATGGTACTTAGTTGATGGAACTACAGGATTAGATTACATGATACAGTGTTTTACACAGATTTTTAAAAAATGTACAATTATATGTCCATATGGACAGAGAAGTTAATAGGAAAGTTTTGGTTTGAAGAAAGGGATGAAGTATTTTTCTCTTTTCCATATTTTCCTGGTATCCTTTTCAAAGGTTTGTGTCTTAGCAGGTGTGAGAGCCAGTACTTCTTCCTGAACAGCCCTTGCTCTGTGCCCAAGTCAACCCACTGGTGCTTTACAACAGATAATGATGATAGGAATAGCTTGTGAGATTGCCCAGGAGGTCTGAACTTGTGACTGCCTTTCCTGAAGATGTCATTTTCATGGAATAACATGCTTGCTTCTTTATTATAGAGATGTTTTCTTTGGAAAAATTGTATGAGGAAAGGCAGGAATTCCTAGGGCTGATGAAACAACTTGCTAAAGTGGAAAGGAGAAGACAGGAAGTCATGAAAAGAGAGCTAAGAGTTTAAATAAATTTTTGGAGATTGGAGAAATAATATGCCATGGTATTACATAAGCTTTGGCTTCTCTCTCTGGAGGAGTCCATTCCTGTGAACACTGTCATATCATTTCTTTCAGATTCTGAGACTCCAGCAGGATGTCTTATCAACAGCAGCAGTGCAAGCAGCCCTGCCAGCCACCTCCTGTGTGCCCCACGCCAAAGTGCCCAGAGCCATGTCCACCCCCGAAGTGCCCTGAGCCCTGCCCACCACCAAAGTGTCCACAGCCCTGCCCACCTCAGCAGTGCCAGCAAAAATGTCCTCCTGTGACACCTTCCCCACCCTGCCAGCCAAAGTGTCCACCCAAGAGCAAGTAACAGCTTCAGAATTCATCAGGAGCATGAAAGGATAAGGATAATTGGCTCACCTTGTTCCACAGCTTCACCTGCATCTTCTCATCAAAGCCTACCATGGATACACAGTTAGCTTCTTTCCTCTTAGCCAGTGATCTGCCCATGATGATCCCTGATAGCAAAAGGTTTCCTTTCTGAGGCTGCCATATTGCCACTGTCCAGGTGGAGACTGAGAAAGGAAGTCCTCAGCAGTGTCAGTTCCCAGAGCTTTGGAAGAAGGACCAGCAGCTCTGTCCCTGGGAACCATCAAAAAATGCTGTTGATGTTTTCTGTGTCTGTCTGTCACCTGGGCATGGGCTTCTAACACCTGTGCAATTGTCACTTTTCTTTCACTCCCTGAATAAAATATCTTTGCATACGTATTTGTGAATGGATCTTTTGTTTCTTTTCAAATCTGCTTTATTAGTAAAATTATATAATCATTTGGGTTTATTTCCACCTTTCTTTCAACCACAGTCAGAATCTTAAAATTTGGGTCATATCAAAGATTATGTCTGTATTATTTAAACCACTTTTATTTTCCTTAATTAGTGTTTGATTGATTTGAGGAACATATTATTCAACTTCTGTGAATGTCAATCTCTTTATTGCAAAGCGACCAAAATAACATTTACTTAACAAACTAGTCTTGGGATAAATCTAATTACTATCTGAAATTTTGTTGTCGCAATGCCTGACACATAATTAGCTGTCATTTTAGAAGTTTATTGGCAGTAACATATCATCATTGTTTCCACCATTACCACCACCACCACCATCATCATCATCATCATCATCACTCCCCATGACAACCACTACCATATTTGTTCCAGCAATAGAGTGGCTTGGATGTAACTAATATAAAAAATAAGAAGACTCTGTTTTTTTTTAAATTTTATTATTATTATACTTTAAGTTTTAGGGTACGTGTGCACAATATGCAGGGTTGTTACATATGTATACATGTGCCATATTGGTATGCTGCACCCATTAACTCGTCATTTAGCATTAGGTATAACTCCTAATGCTATCGAAGACTCTGTTTTTATTGGTTCCTAATACTTATACACATTTTTGGGATACGTGTGATATATTGTTACATGGATCAAATGTGTAATGATAAAGCCGGGATATTAGGAAATTTAGGGCATTCATCACCTTGAGCATTTATCATTTCTGTCTTTGTTGGAAACATTTTAATTCCTCTCTTCTAGCTATTTTGAAAAATACAATATGTTGTTGTAAACTGTAGTCACCCTACTCTGCTATCAAATATTAAAACTTACTCCTTTTATATATCTCTATGTTTGTACTCATTAGCCAGTGTTTTATCATTCTCCATCCCCTGAACTCCCTTCCCTGCTTCTGGTATCTATCATTCTACTCTCTACATTTATAGATCAAATTTTGCAGCTCCTACATATGAGTGAAAACACACAATATTTGTCTATCTCTGCTTGATTTATTTTACTTAACATAATGACCTCCATTTGAATATATGTTGCTTCCAATGATGGGAATTCATTCTTTTTATTACAATGAAATAGTATTTCTTTGCATGTATATTCTATCTTTTCTTTGTCCATTCATTCATTAATGGATGCTTAGGTTATACATCTTTGCTATTGTGAATAGTGCTGCAATAACCATGGGAGTTTAGGCAACCCTTTCATAATCTGATTTCTTTTCCTTTGGATAGATACACTGTAGTTGGATTGCTGGATTGAATGATAATTCTATTTTTAGTTTTTTGGATAAATCTTACTGTTTTCCACAGCAGCTGTTCTAATTTACATCCTTACCAAGAGCATATAAGACATTTTTCTTTGCATCTTCTTTGGCATCTGCTTTTTTTAAGTTTTTATTTTAAGTTCAGGGGTACATATGCAGGTTTGTTATATACTTAAACTTGTGTCATAGGCGCTTATCATACAGCTATTTCATCACCCAGGTATTAATTCTGGTACTCATTAGTTATTTTTTGTGATCTTTTCCTTCCCCATAACTGCCACCCTGTGGTAGGCCCCATGGTCTGCTGTCTCCTTCTATGTGTCCATGTGTTCTCATCATTTAACTTGCTGTTTTAAGTAAGAACATGTCGTATTTGGTTTTCTGTTTCTGCATTAGTTTGCTAAGCATAATTGCCTCCAGCTCCATCCATGTACCTGTAAAGGACACAGTCTCATTTCTTCTTATGGCTGCATAGTATTTCATGGTGTATATGTACCACTTTTTCTTTATCTAGTCTATCATCAGTGGGCACTTAGTTTGGTTCCATGTCTTTGCTATTATGAATAGGGCTGCAATGAACATAACACGTTAACATGTCTTTATGGTAGAATGGTTTACATTCCTTTGGGTATATACCAAGTAATGGGATTGCTGCTTTTGATGGTAGTTATTTAATTTTAGTTCTTTGAGTAATTGCCACAGTGTATTCCACAATATTTGAATAGATTTACACTCCCACCAACAGTGTATAAGCATTTATTTTTGTCTTCAACCTCTCTAGCACCTCTTTTTTTTTTTTTTTACTTTTCATAATAGCCATCTGACTGGTGTGAGACTGTATCTCATTGTGGTTTTGATTTGCATTTCTCCAACGATCCTTGACATTGAGCTTTTATTCATATGGCATGTATGTCTCTTTTTGAAAGTGTCTGTTCCTGTCTTTCATGCACTTTTCAATGGCGCTGTTTTTTTTCTTGTAAATTTGTTCAAATTCCTTATAGATGCTGGATATCAGACCCTTATAAGATGTGTATCTTGCAAAATTTTTCTCCCATTCTTTAGGTTGTCTGTTAACTTTCTTGATAGTTTCCTTTGCTATGCAGAAGTTCTTTAGTTTAATTAGATCTCATTTGTCAATTTTCTTTTCTTTGCAATTGCTTTTGGCATCTTCGTCATGAAATCTTTGCTAGTTCCTATGTTCAGAAACGTATCGCCTGGGTTGTCTTCCAGGGTTTTTATAGATTTGGGTTCTATATTTAAGTCTTTAATTCATCTTGAGTTGATTTTTGTATATGATGTAAAGAAGGTATCCAGTTTCAATCTTCTGCATATGTTAGTCAGTTATCCTAGCACCATTTACTGAACAGGAAGTCCTTTTCCCATGCTTGTTTTTAAAAAGTTTTTAGAAGATCAGGTAGATACAGGTGTGTTGTCTTATTTCTGGGTTCCCTATTCTGTTTCATTAGTGTATGTGTCTGTTTTTCCACTAGTATCACGCTGTTTCATTTATGGTAGCCTTGCAGTATAGTTTATAGTTGGGTAGCATGATGTCTCCAGCTTTGTACTTTTTGCTTAGAATTACCTTGGCTATTTGGGCTGATTTTTGATTCCATATGAATTAAAAAAAATTTTTTTCTGGTTCTGTGAAGAATGTCATTGGTAGTGTGATAGGAGTCACATTGAATCTGTAAATTGGACAATATGGCCTTTTTTCTTTTGTTTTGTTTTGTTTTCTTTTTTTTTTTTGAGATGGAGTCTCACTCTGTTGCCCATGCTGGAGTACAGTGGCCCAATCTTGGCTCACTGCAAGCTCTGCCTCCTGGGTTCACGCCATTCTCCTGCCTCAGCCTCCTGAGTAGCTGGGACTATAGGTGTCCACCACCAGGCCCAGCTAATTTTTTGTATTTTTAGTAGAGATAGGGTTTCACTGTGTTAGCCAGGATGGTCTCAATCTCCTGACGTCGTGATCTGCCTGCCTCGGTCTCCCAAAGTACTGGGATTACAGGTGTGAGCCATTGTGCACAGCCAATATGGCCCTTTTAAGGATATTGATTCTTCCCATTCATGAGTATGGAATGCTTTTCCATTTGTTTGTGTTACCACTGATTTATTTGAGCAGTGTTTTAGAATTCTCCTTGTAGAGATCTTTCACCTCCCTGGTTAGCTATATTCCTAGGTACTTTATTATTTTTGTAGCAATTGTGAATGGGATTGTGTTCCTAATTTGACTCTTGTCTTGGTTGTTGGTGTACGGGAGTACTAGTAATTTTTGTACATTGATTTTGAATCCTGAAGTTTTGCTGAAGTTTTTTATCAGCTGAAAAACCCTTTTGGTCTTTGAACATAGGGTTTTCTAGATATAGTATCATGTCGTGTATAAACAGAAATAGTTTGACTTATCCTCTTCCTATTTCGATGCCCTTTCTTTCCTCACCTTCCATGATTGCTCTGGCCAGGACTTCCCATACTATGTTGAATAGGAGTGGTGAGAGAGGGCATTCTTCTCTTGTGCGTAGGGAAAAGAAAGAGAGATCAGACTGTTACTGTGTCTATATAGAAAGGGAAGACATAAGGATTCCATTTTGAAAAAGACCTGTACTTTGAACAATTGCTTTGCTGAGATGTTGTTAATTTGTAGCTTTGCCCCAGCCACTTTGCCCCAGCCACTTTGCCCCAGCCTGGAGCTCACAAAAACATGTGTTGTATGAAATCAAGGTTTAAGGGATCTTGGGCTGTGCAGGATGTGCCTTGTTAACAAAATGTTTACAAGCAGTATACCTGGTAAAAGTCATTGCCATTCTCTAGTCTCAGTAAACCAGGGGCACAATGCACTGCAGAAAGCTGCAGGGACCTCTGCCCTTGAAAACGGGGTATTGTCCAAGGTTTCTCCCCATGTGATAGTCTGAAATATGGCCTAGTGGGATGAGAAGCATCTGACCGTCCCCCAGCCTGACACCCATAAAGGGTCTGTGCTGAGGCGGATTAGTAAAAGAGGAAAGCCTCTTGCAGTTGAGATAGAGGAAGGCCGCTGTCTCCTGCCTGCCCCTGGGAACTGAATGTCTCGGTATAAAACCCGATTTTACATTTGTTCAATTCTGAGATCAGAGAAAAACCACCCCATGGTGGGAGATGAGACATGTTTGCAGCAATGCTGCCTTGTTATTCTTTACTCC
Source organism: Homo sapiens (assembly GCF_000001405.40). NCBI lineage: Eukaryota > Metazoa > Chordata > Mammalia > Primates > Hominidae > Homo > Homo sapiens. Next base: position 153,088,613 of record NC_000001.11, on the reverse strand, counting down.
ACTGAGATGTTTGGGTGGAGAGAAACATAAATCTGGCCTACATGCACATCCAGGCATAGTACATTCCCTTGAACTTAATTATGACATAGATTCTTTTGCTCACATGTTTTTTGCTGACCTTCTCCTTATTATCGCCCTGCTCTCCTACTACATTCCTTTTTGCTGAAATAATGAAAATAATAATAAATAAAAACTGAGGGAACTCAGAGACTGGTGCTGGTGCAGGTCCTTGGTGTGCTGAGTGCCGGTCTCCTGGGCTCACTGTTGTTTCCCTATACTTTGTCTCTGTGTCTTATTTCTTTTCTCAGTCTCTTGTCTCTCATTCTGTATGATGTTGGCTGTGGGTCTGTCATAGATGGCTGTTATTATTTTGTGGTCTGTTTCTTTAATACCTAGTTTGAGAGTTTTTAACATGAAAGGGTGTTGAATTTTATGGATAGCCTTTTCTCCATCTATTGAGATAATCTTGTGATTTTTTGTCTTTAGTTCTGTTTACGTAATGAATCACAGTTTTTGGTTTGCCTATGTTGAACCAACCTTGCATCCCAAGGGTAAAGCCAACTTGATTGTGGTAGATAAGCTTTTTGATGTGTTGCTGGATTCAGTTTGCCAGTATTTTTTTGAGGATTTTTGCATTGACATTCATCAAGGATATTGGCCTGAAGTTTTCTTTTTTTGTTGGGTCTGTGTCAGGTTTTGTTATCAGGATGATGCTGGCCTCACAGAATGAGTTAGGGAGGAGTTCCTCCTCAATATTTTGGAATAGTTCCAGCAGAAATGATATAAGCTCTTGTTTGCACATCTGGTAGAATTCAGCTATGAATTTGTTTTGTCCTGGGCTTATTTCGGCTGGTAGGCTATTTATTACTGATTCAATTTTGGAGCTCATTATTGGTCCTTTCACAAATGCAAATTCTTCCTGGCTCAGGGTTTGGAGGGTGTATGTGTCCAAGAATGCATTTGTTTTTTCTATATTTTCTAGCTTATGTACATAGAGATGTTTGTAATATTCTCTGATGTTTATTTGTATTTCTGTGGAGTCAGTGGTAATATCCCCTTTGTTTTTTCTAATTGTGTTTATTTGGATCTTTTTCTTCTTTATTAGTCTAACTAGTAGTCTACTTAGTTCATCATTTTTCTCAAGAACCACCTCCTGGATTTGTTGATCTTTTGAATGGTTTTTTGTGTCTCAATGTCCTTCAGTATGCCTCTGATTTCAGTTATTTCTTATAATCTTCTTGCTTTGCAGTTAGTTTTCTCTTGGTTCTCTAATTCTTTTATTTGTGATGTTATGTTTTTGCATTGAGATCTTTCCAGATTTTTTTTTTCTTTTTGAGATGGAGTCACTCTCTGTTGCCCAGGCTGGATTGCAGTAGCGTGATCTCGACTCACTGCAACCTCCACCTCCCTGTTTCAAGCAATTCTCCTGCCTTAGCCTCTCGAGTAGCTGTGACTACAGGTGCCCACTACCACGTTTGGCTAATTTTTTGTATTTTTAGTAGAGATGGGGTTTCTTTGTGTTATAGTGCTATAAATTTCCCTCTTAACACTGACTTAGCTGTGTCCCAGAGATTCTGGTATGTTGTAGCTTAAGAACTTCTTGATTTTTTTCCTTAATTTGATTATTTATCCAAAAGATATTCAGAAGCAGGCTACTGAATTTCTAAGTAATTGTATGTTTTGGAGTGAATTTTTTAGTCTTAATTTCTAATGTTATTCCAATGTGGTTTGAGAAATTGGTTGTTATTATTTCAGTTCTTTTGTATTTACTTAGGAGTATTTTATTTCCTATCTTGTGATGGATTTTAGACTATGAGCCATGTGGCAATGAGAAGAATATATATTCTGTTGTTTTTAGGTGAACAGTTGTAGATTATTAGCAAGTACATTTGATCCAGTGCTAAGTTTTGGTAGTGAATAACACTGTTAGTTTTCTGTCTCTATGATGTGTCTAATACAGTCCTTGTGATGAATCTTATGACTATGTGTCTTGCAGATGATGTTCTTCTGTTGTATCTTACTTTTCAGTCTCCCACTATAATTACTGGGGAGTCTAAATCTCTTTGAAGGTCCCTAAGAACTTGATTGATAAATCTGAGTTCTCCTGTGCTGGGTCCACATATATTTAAGATAGTTAGGTTGTCTTGTTGCTTTGAATCTTTTACCATTATGTAATGCTGTTTTTGGTCTTTTTTTGGACGTTTGCTGGTTTAATGTCTCTTTTGACTGAAATTAGGATGGCAACCCCTGCTTTTTTCTGTTTTTCATTTGTTTGGTGGATTTTTCTCCATCCCTTTACTTTGAGCCTATGTGGGTCATTGTATGTGAGATTGGTCCCTTGAAGACAGCATACCAATGGGTCTTTGTTCTTTTTTCAGTTTGCCACTCTGCGTTTTAATTGGGGCATATAGCCCATTTACATTCAAGGTTAGTATTGATACATGTGGATTTGATTGTGGCATGATATTAGCTGGTTATTCTAAAAACTTGTTTATGTGGTTGCCTTATAGTGTCACTGGTCTGTGTACTAAAGTGTGTTTCTGTAGTTGCTGATAATTGTTTTTCCTTTCTATATTTAGTGCTCCATTTAGGAGCTCTAGTAAGGTAGGTCTGGGGGTAACAAATTCCCTTAGCCTTTGCTTGTCCGAAAAGGATCTTTTTTCTCTTTAACTTATGAAGCTGAGTTTGACTAGATATGAAATTCTGGGTTGGTATTTCTTTTCTCTAAGAATGTTGTATATTGGCTCCCAATCTCTTCTTGCTTGTACGGTTTCTGCTGAGAGGTCTGTTTTTAGTCTAAATGGCTTCCCTATGTAGGTGACCTGATCTTTCTCTCTAGCTGCCTTTAGCATTTATTCTTTCATTTGACCTTGAAGAATCTGATGATTATGTGTCTTGCAGATGATGTTCTTCTGTAGTATCTTACTTGGGTTCTCTGCATTTTCTGAATTTGAATGTCTACCTCTCTAGCTGGGCTGGGGAAGATCTCATGGATGATAATATCTGGAAATACATTTCAAGTTGGTTACACACTTCCCTTCTCTTTCAGCAACACCAATGTATCACTAACTTGATTTCTTTATGAAATACCATATTTTTCTGAGGCTTCATTCATTCCTTTTCATTCATTTCTATCTTTTCTTGTCTGGCTGTCTTATTTCAGTGTTTGAACTCTGGGATTCTTTTCTCTGCCTGGTCTATTCAGATGTTAATGCTTGTGATTGCATTATGACATAACAAAAAATGAATTTTGTAGTGTTTTTCAGCTTTTTCAGGTCAGTTATGTTCTTTTCTTTACTGGCTATTTTGTCAGTCAGCTCCTGTGTTGTTTTATTGTGATTCTTAGCTTCCTTGGATTGGGTTTCAACATACTCCTACATCTCAGTGATCTTCCTTCCTATCCATATTGAAATTCCATTTCTGCCACTTCAGCCATCCTAGCTCAGTACAGAACCCTTGCTAGAGAGGCTGTGTGGTTGTTTGGAGGAACAAAGACACCTTGGCTTTTTGAGTTGTCAGAGTTCTTGTGCTGATTCTTTCTTATCTTCATGTGCTTATATTCCTTCAATCTTTGAAGTTGCTGACATTTGGATGGGTTTTAATTTCTTTATCTCATTTGATAACCTTGAGGTTTTGATTGTGGTATAACATCAATTCAGATGACTGGCTTCATCTATTTTAGGGTCCCAACACTCAGCTCCCAAATCCTGGACTGCATGCCATAACTCTGAGGGAAGTGTGTCAGGCTTGACTTTGTTCTTTGGCTCCCCCGGGTTAGGAATCCACTGTGCTATGGAGGCTGAGGTGCTCCCTGACCCCTGTTCACTACACTCTGATGGGTGGTGTCAGCCAAAGTGTTTTGCAGTGTGGTGGCAGTGGGGTCCATTCTTGTTTGTATGTGTCAAGAGCAGTGGCAGCATGGCAGGGTGCATACTATTGGGCTGGGGGCAGGGTTCTTGCAGGTGCTAGGGTACCTGCCTCTGTGGGGACATTCACCACAGTGGTAGAGGCAATGTGGCTTGAGGGCATAGGAGGTCCCTTCTGGTGACTGTGTGTTGTCACACTTGTAGTGTTGTTGGTATGTGGGTAGGGTGCTGATGGGTGCAGGTGTGTGTGCTTTTTCTGTGTGCAACAATTTGGGGTTTTTGTTTGGGGTGCAGGAGTTTCCACTGTTTCCAGTGCCTAGTTTCACTCCCATGGCAGTGTTGGCACAAGGGTATACATTGGCATGAAAGTTGGGGCTGGCTGGCTATGTGACTGCAATGGCCATCACCAGGGAGAAGGAAGCTGACTGTACTCTCACTGCAGCAGTGACAGGGCAGGATGCACACTCTCATATGTACTGGTGGGGAGAGGAAAGCAAAACCCACTCATGCACTCACATGCTGGCAAAGTGATATGGGGTGTTGCTCTGGGCCCAGGGGAAGCTGTAGTTTGTGGAGCGAGCAGATGGGCTGGTGGGTGACCACGGGCAGCTGCCTCGCTGGAGTTCTCCATTTGTTAGCTGTGATCTGCCAGCACAAAGGCTAAAATGTGGGTCCCAAAGTCACCAGAGTTTGTTCTGCAAGGAAGTGCATCCAGGCTGGTACCCCAGGAGACACCAGCTGACCAGAGAGTGCTCAGGTCAGACTGGCCCCATCTGAAAGGCAAGATTGCCCTGCAGAATTCAGGTCCAACAGCTCCCCAAGGGTTAAAGTCTCCTATGCGAGCAAGTTGAGCCTAGAGAGATGGCCATCCCTAGCCCTGCTCCATTACAGACACTCCCTTACCAAACCCCTTGGGTTCCACGTCAGCTGGCATGCTGCCTCTGTCACCTCTCTAAGCAGTTCTGCCTGCCAACTGGAGTGTCCCTGGTGGTTGAGGGGGTCTTCTCCTGCTGGAATTCCAGAGGCCCATGGCGGGAGTGGGTTCCTCCCTGCTGGTTCAGCTCAGCTGTTCCCCTGGAGTCACTGGAGGCCAGGAACGAGTTCTGGTGTGTAGTGTCCCTGTGCAGGGCTCCCAGCTTTCTCTCTTTTCAGCCTAACTTCTGGGTCTTCTCTTGGTTCACTCTCAGTGCCTTCCCTCTGAATATCTGTTAGAAGTGCACCTGTAATCTCGGTTCCTTAGTGGCAGCTGTTCCACCTGGCTGCATCCAGTTGGCCATCTTGCCCAGAGCCACAGGAATGATCTGGTATGCTAAATGTTTTTGAGTCTTTTGTGCATCATATTCATGAGGAATATTGTTCTGTAGTTTTCATTAGTTGTATTGTCTTTGTCTGGCTTTTGTATCAGGGTATTGGCGGGCCTCATGGAATAAGACAGGAAGTAGTCCCTATTTTCAGCTTTCTTTTTTGAAAGATTTTGAGAAGGATTGTTTTACATTTCTCCAGTAAATCCTTCTGGTTCAACATTTTTCTTTCTTGTGAGATTTTACATTAGTGATTCAATTTCCTTACTTATTATACATCTATTCAAATTATCTATTTCTTCACGAGTTGGTAGACAGTATATTTCTAAGAATTTGTTCATTCCAACTGTGTTATCCAATAAGCTGACATAGAATTATTTATAGCTTTCTCTTCAAATTTTTTTATTTCTGTAAAATCAGTGTAATGTTCCTCCTTTCTTTTAAGATTTTAGCTATTTGAGTCTTACATCGTTTTTATTCATGCAGTTATTCTGTCTAAAGATTTGTGAAGTTTGTTGAACTTTTCAAAGAAATAAAACAATGTTATTGATTTTTCTCTACTGTTTGCTTGTCCTTTATTAGTATCTCTATGCTAGGCTCATGTTTTCTTTTTGGGGGGTTTAGCTTAATTTACTTTTTGTAGTTTCCCAAGTGCAATATGAGGTTATTTATCTGAGATCTTTTTTTTTTCATTAAAAATGTATGTGGTTATGGCTATAAATTTCCCTGTTAGCACTGCTTTTTGCTGCAACCCATAAGTTTGGTATGATGTGTTTTGTTGTGAGTAGTCTCAAGCGATTTCTAATTTTCCCTATGATTTCATATTTGACTTGTTGGTTGTTTAAGAGTGCGTTGTTTAATTTCCACAAATTTGTAAAATTTGCCATTTTAATTTGATTATAAGATTTTAGTTTTATTTCCTTGTGATTGGAAAGGTCCATTGTATGATTTTAGTCTTTTAAAATATATTAAATTGTTCTGTAACCCAATGGATGTTGTCTATCCTGGAGAGTGTTCTTCCATGTTCTCTTGAGAAAACTGTAAGGAGTATCCTGCTGCAGTTGGGTGGAGTGTTCTATATTTAAATTTTTTTGATTCTTTCTTCCAATTTGTGTTTTTGGGGAGAATTTAATTCATTTGCATTTAAAGTAATTACTGATAAGGAAGGTCTTCTTTCTGCATTTACTATTTTCTGTACACTGTTTGTGTTTCAATACCGTCTGATTTATGTTTATTTAATTTTCTGTAGTAAAGCTATTTTATTGCCTTTTATCTTTTGTGTATACTTGAAAATATTTTTGTGGTTTCATCGGGGATTATGTATAGTATCCTAAAGTTATAGAAATCTAATTTGAATTAACACCCGTTTAACCCCAATTGCATCAAAAAGTTGACTCATATCCAGCCTGCCCAACATGGCGAAATGACAGGGCAGGATGCACTGTCTCTACTAAAAATACAAAACTTAGCTGGATGTGGTGGCACATGCCTGTAGTTCCACTACTAAAAAGGCAAGATAATTGCTTGAGCCCAGAGGCGGAGGTTGCAGTGAGCCAAGATTCTGCCACTGCATTCCAGCTTGGGTGATGGAGTGAGTCTGTGTCAAAAAAAAAAAAAAAAAGAAAAGAAAAGAAAAGGAAAATTGACTCATACAACCTTATCCTGTTTTTATGTTGAATTCACAAATTACATCTTTATATATTGTGTGTTTGCCAACACAGATTTGTAATTATATTGTGTTCATTTGCATTTTAAATCTTGTAGAAAATAAAAAGTGAAGTTACAAGCTAAAATTTCAATAATGCTGGCTTTTATATACCAGTGTACATTTATCAGAGATTTTTGTATCTTCACATAGTTTTTCTCCAGCATCCTTTTATTTCAACCTGAGAGTCTCTCTTTGTTGTTTCTCATACAGAAACTCTACAGGCAGTGAACTGCCTCAAGTTTTGATTTCAGGAAATGCCATAATTTTGCCCTCATTTTAAAGGACAATTTTGCTGGCTATAGGATTCTAGGTTGAAAGTGTTTTATTTTAGGGCTTTAAGTATGTCATCCCACTACCTCTTGATCTCCAAGGTTTCTGATGAGCATTTGGTCAATTACTTCTTAAGAATTTCTTAGATATCATGATTCATTTTCCTCTTGCTGCTTTCAAGATTCTCTCTTTTGATAATTTGATTATAATTTGTGTCACGCTGGGTGTCACTGAATTCATTGGATTCTTAAGGATTTCTTAGATATGAAGATTCACTTCCCTCTTGCTGCTTTCGAGATTCTCTTTTGATAATTTGATTATAAGGTGTGTCACGGTAGGTGTCTTGAATTCATTGAACTTGGAGTTTGTTATGCTTTTTGAATGTGTAAGTTTGCCTTTTACAGAAATCATATAAATAGGCCTACAGCCTTTGAGACTGACTTCTCTTACTTATCAGTTTGCATTTCAAATTCAACCATGTCTTTGTGAGTCTTGACAGGTCATTCCATGTTATCACTGCACAGCATTCCATTGCATGAGTGTGTACCACAGTTTATCGATTCAATTATTGAAGGACATGTTGGTAGATCACAGATAGTGGATGTTATGACTAAAGCTGCCATAATTATTTGAATGCACCTTATTTTTTGTCGAGATATTTTAAAATGTACTAGATCAATTTTTGAATGTGGTGTTGCTGGATCGTATCATAAAATTATGTTTATCTTTTAAGATTGTGAGTTAGTTTGTATTTTTTTATAGTGTTTATATTTTATTTAACCTTTCTCAAACTTACAGTAGAATTTGCAGGACTCTCATCCTATGTTACAGTTCAAACAGCCTTTACTGTACAAATTTTTTTCACAATTTTGTGTTTCTTTGTTTTCCTTTTTGACTTTTTAAGAGTGTGTTGTTTAATTTCCACAAATTTGTAAAATTTCCCATTTTAATTTGATTATAAGTTTTTAGTTTTATTCCACTGTGATTGGAAAAGTTCATTGCATGATTTTAGCCTTTTAAAATATATTAACTTGTTCTGTAGCCTAATGGATATGGTTTATCCTGGAGAGTGTTCTTCCATGTTCTCTTGAGAAAGCTGTAAGGTGTATCCTGCTGCTGTTGGGTGGAGTGTTCTATATTTGTCTATTTGGTCCAATTGGCTTATATATTTAAGCCCTCTATTTTTTCAAACTTTTATTATTCTAGCCATTTTTGAGAGTGAATTATTTGAGTTTTCAACATTTATTATAGACCTATGAACTTCTTTTAATTTCTCTCACTGTATCTTCGCATATTTTGTAGTTTTGATGTTTAGTAAATGTAGGTTTATAGCTTTCTATATTTTCTAGGTTTTCTTGGTGAATAAATCTCTATCAATACACACATCTTTGAAGGACCTCTTCAAGGAGAACTACAAACCACTTCTCAATGAAATAAAAGAGGATACAAATAAATGGAAGAACATTCCATGCTCATGGATAGGAAGAATCAATATTGTGAAAATGGCCACACTGCCCAAAGTAATTTATAGATTCAATGCCATCCCCATCAAGTTACCAACGACTTTCTTCACAGAATTGGAAAAAACTACTTTAAAGTTCATATGGAACCAAAAAAGAGCCCGCATTGCCAAGTCAATCCTAAGCCAAAAGAACAAAGCTGGAGGCATCATGCTACCTGACTTCAAACTATACTACAAGGCTACAGTAACCAAAACAGCATGGTACTGGTACCAAAACAGAGATATAGACCAATGGAACAGAACAGAGCCCTCAGAAATAATGCTGCATATCTACAACCATCTGATCTTTGACAAACCTGACAAAAACAAGCAATGGGGAAAGGATTCCTTATTTAATAAATGGTGCTGGGAAAACTGGCTAACCATATGTAGAAAGCTGAAACTGGATCCCTTCCTTACACCTTATACAAAAATTAATTCAAGATGGATTAAAGACTTAAATGTTAGACCTAAAACCATAAAAACTCTAGTAGAAAACCTAGGCAATACCATTCAGTACATAGGCATGGGCAAGGACTTCATGCCTAAAACACCAAAAGCAATGTCAACAAAAGCCAAAATTGACAAATGGTATCTAATTAAACTAAAGAGCTTCTGCACAGCAAAAGAATCTACCATCAGAGTGAATAGGCAACCTACAGAATGGAGAAAATTTTTGCAATCTACTCATCTGACAAAGGGCTAATATCCAGAATCCACACTGAACTCAAACCAATTTAGAAGAAAAAAAAACAAACAACCCCATCAAAAAGTGGGCGAAGGATATAAACAGACACTTCTCAAAAGAAGACATTTATGCAGCCAAAAGACACGTGAAAAAATGCTCACCATCACTGGCCATCGGAGAAATGCAAATCAAAACCACAATGAGATACCATCTCACACCAATTAGAATGGTGATCATTGAAAAGTCAGGAAACAACAGGTGCTGGAGAGGATGTGGAGAAATAGGAACACTTTTACACTGTTGGTGGGACTGTAAACTAGTTCAACGATTGTGGAATTCAGTGTGGTGATTCCTCAGGGATCTAAAACTAGAAATACCATTTGACCAGCCATCCCATTACTGGGTATATACCCAAAGGATTATAAATCATGCTGCTATAAAGACAAATGCACACATATGTTTATTGCAGCACTATTCACAATAGCAAAGACTTGGAACCAGCCCAAATGTCCAACAATGATAGACTGGATTAAGAAAATGTGGCACATATACACCATGGAATACTATGCAGCCATAAAAAGTGATGAGTTCATGTCCTTTGTAGGGACATGGATGAAGCTGGAAACCATCATTCTCAGCAAACTATCGCAAGAACAAAAAACCAAACACCGCATGTTCTCACTCATAGGTGGGAATTGAACAATGAGAACACATGGACACAGGAAGGGGAACGTCACACACTGGGGCCGGTTGTGGGGTGGGGGTAGAGGGGAGGGATAGCATTTGGAGATATACCTAATGTTAAATGACGGGTTACTGGGTTCAGCACACCAACATGGCACATGTATACATATGTAACTAACCTGCACGTTGTGCACATGTACCCTAAAACTTAAAGTATAATAAAAAAACAGAAAGTAAGCTCCTTAAAAGAAATATATATACATGTCTTTTGTAGTCTCTTATAACAGTTCTCAACTTAAAGTTAATTATGTCTGATGTTAGTGTAGCCACCTCTGGTCTCTTTTGGCTACTATTTACATGAAATATCTTTTTCTATCCTATTACTTTCACCTCCTTTGTGTCTTTAACTGTAAAGTTCGTCTATTGTAAACAACAAATAGTTGAACTATTTTTTTTAATTCATTCTTCCAATTTGTGTTGTTGGGGAGAATTTAATTCATTTACATTTAAAGTAATTACTGATGAGAAAGGTCTTCTTTCTGCATTTACTCTTTTCTGTACAATGTTTGTTTTTCAATATTGTCTGATTTATGTTTATTAGATTTTTTTTGTAGTAAAATGATTTTATTGCCTTTATCTTTTGTGTATACTCGAAAACATTTTTGTGTTTTCATTGGGGATTATGTATAATATCCTAAAGTTATAGTAATCTAATTTGAATTAACACCCGTTTAACTCCAATTGCATCAAAAAGTTGACTCATATCCAGCCTCGCCAACATGGCGAAACCCTGCCTCTATTAAAAATACAAAAATTAGCTGGGTGTGGTGGCACATGCCTGTACTTCTACTACTAAGGAGGCTGAGGCAAGATAATAGCTTGAGCCCAGAGGCAGAGGTTGCAGTGAACCAAGATCATGCCACTGCATTCCAGCCTGGGTGATGCAGTGAGACTGTGTCGAAAAAAAAAAAGAAAAGAAAAAAAAAGAAAATTTGACTCATACAACTCTATCCTTTTTTTTTTGCGTTCACAAATTACATCTCTATACATCGTGAGTTTGCTAACATAGACTTGTAATTATATTGCATTCATTTGCATTTTAAATCTTGTAGAAAATAAAAATTGAAGTTACAAGCTAAAATTTCAACAATGCCAGCTTTTATGTACCAGTGTACATTTATCAGAGATTTTTGTATCTTCACATAGTTTCTCTCCAGCATCCTTTTATTTCAACCGGAGAGTCTCTCTTTATCATTTCTCATACACAAAATCTACAGACAATGAAATGCCTCAAGTTTTGATTTCTGGAAATGCCATAATTTTGCCCTCATTTTAAAGGACAATTTTGCCAGCTATAGAATTCTAGGTTGAAAGTGTGTTCTTTTATGGCTTTAAATACGTCATCCCACTACCTCCTGATCTCCAAGGTTTCTGATGAGCATTTGGTCAACTACTTCTTAAGGATTTCTTAGATATGATCATTCACTTCCCTCTTGCTGCTTTCAAGATTCTCTCTTTTGATAATTTGATTGTAATGTGTGTCATGGTGGGTGTCACTGAACTCATCGAACTTGGAGTTTGTTGCGATTTTTGGATGCATAAGTTTGCCTCTTATGGAAATCATATAAATGGGCCTACAGCCTTTAAGACTGACATTTCTAACTTATCAGTTTGCATTTCAAATTCAACCATGTCTTTGTGAGTCTTGATAGGTCATTCCATGTTATAATTGTGTGGTATTCCATTGCATGGGTGTGATGTACCACAGTTTATCCATTTAATTATTGAAGGACATCTTGGTAGATCACAGATAGTGGATATTATGACTAAAGCTGCTATAATTATTTGAATGCACATTATTTTGTGTTGACATATTTTAAAATGTACTAGATCAATTTTTGAATGTGCTGTAGCTGGATCGTGTCATAAAATTATGTTTATCTTTTAAGATTGTGAGTTAGTTTTGATTTTTTTCTTAGTGTTTATACTTTATTTAACCTTTCTCAAACTTACAGTAGAATTTTCAGGACTCTCATCCTATGTAAGAGTTCAAATAGTCTTTTCTCTCCAAATGTTTTCACAATTTTGTTTGTGTTTCTTTGTTTTCCTTTTTGACTTTTTTGGAGGAAGACCACAGCCTATGCACATTCACTATCTTGAAAAGATTCTTACAAGTAGAAGTATCTGAATTATTCCATCATTTACCATATATTCTTCTGAATCTCATTAACACTAAGCATACAGGAGTACTTTATATTACTAATAACTCTTGAATTTTGCTCTTAAATATTTGGATCTAACATATGGAGAAAATAAAAGTAGAATTTAAAAGGTTTATACACTTTGGAAAGATTAGTGCTAATGAGCTATTCAGTTGCTTACAAGGATTTAGCCTAAAATTTAGGTAATTTGTCTGCAGAAGGAATGTGATATTTAAATGAGCAATCTTTTAATTGTCTTAAACAGCTAACCACAGTAACAGTAGACTAAATTAGAGGTAACATTATATATTTTTTCAGAAGAATAAAACATATATTTTTCACATAGAATACATATATCTATACATGTTAATATTTTTCAAATCAACAAATCAACATATTGCTATTTATTGTTTTCAGACTTTTTTTTATTATCTGAATTCAGAGGAAAGCTGTAGAGAGTCCAAATAACACAGAAACATTATCCGTTGTTCTAAATTTCTGCTTAGGTTAACTCATTTTTATCACATAAGAATAAATGTCAAGATCAGTCTACCTTATTATTTCTGCACACTTCATTCAAATCATACATTTGCATTTGCTTTGTCCTAAAAACTTCTGGCACACACTTAAGATAATGGTGATATAAAAGGTCTTAAAGAGAAGCAAATGTCTTTCTCAGCCATAAACAACTTGACTTCAATATTTTGCCCCTATCTCTTTGATTAGCCATGTGTTTCTTTACTATTTTGAGTACTCTCTGTAGCCTGTGCTAAATACTTTAAATGCAGTCTCTGATTTAATTTTTTTCTCATGACAATTTAGTAGTAGGTACTATTATTATCACTTTGTTCTATTATCTTTATCACCTGTTACTAATCATCCATTTCTTCCAATTTCATCATATTATGGCCAATGTTATGATTTCTATCTGTCTGGCTCTTAGATAGTAGACAAACTCATTCCTGATTTTTTTTACTCTAGTATGATCTGCCAATTTTGGTGAACTGTTTTTTTTTATTTTTATTTTTTGAAATTTATTTATTTATTTTTTTTGAGATAGAGTCTTGTTCTGTCACCAAAACTGGAGTGCAGAGGTGTGACGCCACCTCACTGCAACCTCCGCCTCCTGGGTTAAAGCAATTCTGTGCCTCAGCCTCCCGAGTAGCTGGGATTACAGGCCCCTGCAATCACGCCTGGCTAATTTTTGTATTTTTAGTAGAACTGGGTTTCACCATCTTGGCCAGGCTGGTCTTGAACTCCTGACCTCGTGATCAACCCACGTTGGTCTCCCGAAGTGCTGGGATTTCAGGCATGAGCCACCGTTCCCGGCCTGGTGAATTATTTTATAGATACATATGGTTATTGCATGTCTGTGGCTTCAGTGTATGTATGTCAGTGCTATGAGGATGGGGAATATTATCAGGGTTTTCTTCAAGAGAGATTTTAGAAGGGATGTGATCAAATGTAGAGCTATAACAATAAAACAACTGCTGCTTCCATCCAGCTCCACCTTTAGCGTCTGCCCAAAAATGCTGAAAAAATAAAAAAGACCATTATCTGACTAACTGAGCAATGGACATGCTTGTCTCTTGTCAACTTTTCAAAGTAGAATTTTAAGATTCCTTACTCAGTAATAGGTAACATTTGGAGAATACTTTGAAAAGTAAAACAAGAAAATAGGTATCATCTGTAATTTCACCAGCCATATATAATCACATTTAATATATTGTTTCATATGTTTCCTATCTTTTAATAAATGTTGATGAGAATCATGTCATGCTTTATATGTTTTTAGTACAATTCCAGTGTTTTAAATTATACTAAACAAATTTCCAAAACATCCACCTTAATGATTTTCACTATTCTACCATATGAATGTTCTGTAATTTATTGGATTCAGCATGGAAGGACAATGGATGCTTAGCCTTTCATTCAGAAATAAAAGCAGAAGACAGATATGCATGGGGAATTGCAGTTACCCTTTCTCTGAGCTTATCAAGAATATTTTACCATAATTTTGTTTCTTTATTTTTTCATATTTAATTTTAAATCTTTATTTGCCAGCACTATTTTGTTTAGTGGAATGTATAGTATTGAAATGTGAGATAAAATGTTGAATCAAATATTACACAAAATTAAAAGTGGACAAAGTGAATGGATCTCCGTGAAATTGTTATATGAAAAAAAGAACAATTATTAAAAGGTTGCATGATGTATAAATTCACTAAAATATTCTTAAAATAATGAAATCATAGAGATAGAAAAAAGAGTAATATTTACTAGAGGTAAGTATTTGAGAAAGCAGGGGTGGCTATAAGTGGGGAGCAGAGGAGCCTTGTGGTAATGGAACAGTTATTTATCTTGACTGTAGTAGTAGCCAAAGCTACATATGTGATGTAAATTTCATAGCATTATGAACACACACACGCACAAATGAGTGAATATATAATTAATAAAATTCAAATATACTTTGTGAATCACAAAAAAGTAAAGTATTTGTTCTTTCCTGTCATTTTTAAGTACTAATCATTCATACTTAATGATCCCTTAGAAAATTATGGAGTAGAAGTAATAGGAATGAACCTAAGGCTATCAGACTCTTAAAGAAGATAAAGCTAACCTCTTTAGACATGTAGATAGATGATAGATAAAGACTCATGTTGTGTGTGTGTGTGTGTGTGTGTGTGTGTGTGTGTGTGAAGTATGCCTCGCTCTATGTCTCAGGGCCTGGATGTCCTAACCTGGGGAAGGTGTGACTGTTAGCTGCTCCTCTTCATGTTATGACCACTCTTCATGTAGCTGAACTGTGAGGAACTCTGAGTTTCCAGTTCACCATCTCAACTCGTAAAGTGAGCCTGTCTGAGATGCTGGGGGCACTAGGGCTGCTGCCGCTCTGGTGCCTGCACTGCTGTGATAAACAGCCTGTTTGAGTGGGGTGTTCTCAGAAGGGGAGTCTCAGGGCATGACCCAAACTGTATTATCTCACACAGTGATCTCATTTAGCAGCCAATTCTCCAATTTTGCATGGCAGAAAAAAGACATTTCTGTAAGGATTTGTGTTGTAGATGTGATGTGAGGCTCTGGGGAAGAGTAGGGGACCTATTGAGTGAAATCCCTTTACTGCACCCACTGTACTTGACATGTGGACACATTTGGTGAGAACACTGTTTGTAAACACCTGGACTCAAGGTGTTGACATGATAGTTCTATTTCTGTAGTGTCTGGCCATGGTGATCTTGGCCAAAAGCCCTTCCTTAGAGACTGGAGCAATTGCAGATCTGGAAACCTAACTTGCTTAACTGAGAGGTGTGATGCTGGGTTGATTCAGCGCTCTTGCTCTATCTGGAGCGTAGCTGGTGAGTGCTCCAAAGAATTTGAGTCACTCCTCTTCCTCTTTTTTTCTTATCTTCCTTGTCCTTCTTCTTCTCCAATTATAAAACCACATTCTTGGAAAGGTTCTTGATTATTGGCCCAGATAAGGAAGCTCCAGCAGCAGTATTTTAAGTGTTTAATATATGATGCTTAGTAAGCCCCATTGATTGCAGGAAGAGTTTTAAAAAGATGTGAAAGACATTCACATTGACAACATACGTATCGAGTGAACAATGTGTACTAAAATGGACAGATGAGAGGTATACATTGGGATGTGAATTGATAATCTAGCAGGTTGTGGGGCTAGAGGGCTTTGGGAAAAGACAAAGGAAGAACATACAAACAAATAAAATAATACTGTCTTTCAAAGACTAAAACCTGTTTGGAAAGAGAGGTAGAGAAAGCAAACATATAGGATCACACTGAGTTGATATTTTCCCCTAGATTTCAGACTTTAAGTCCTCTGACCTTCTCTACTCTGAGAAGACCCCTTCTCTTCTCTATTTACATAAGATACTGTAAGTCTATGCATTTTGTTCTCTATAGGATGTTCACAGGGAAAGATATAGGCATGGTTCAATACATAGATTTAAAATGAATGCTTGTAACTTTGGTTCCCTTCTCTCCATTTCCTTAATGTGGTGACTAAGTACATTTCTATAAATAAAAAGGCTGTAGTACACATCCTTGATAGCAGCAGTAGCAAACATACTGGGGAGACTGGATCTCACTCTGGTGTCTGTCCTGGGACACAAGTGCCTCTATAAGAGGTGTGTAAGACAACTTCAAAGGGAAAAGGAATATAGGTAAAATCTGGGGTTCTGTGAGAGAAAGACAGAGGTGAAGTAGAAAATTTCAGGCTTGAACAGGGTCAACAGATGGCACAATGTGGTCACTGCCTTCAAAACCAGAGGTAGATATGATGCTTCTCTGTTTACCATTCCAGAGAGGAGAGTTGACCTGGCATACAACTTAGCAAAAAAATCTGTGGCCAGAACTCAGGCCTTTGTTAGGTCCTTCTAGCACACTGGCAAATTGTACGAGGAAAGAAGGGGTGGAGATGGGTTCATGTACAACAATATGGCATTCAGCTAAAGTGGATCGGGGCAGGAAGTTTTATGATTTAGGGAATGTGTAAGACAGGAAGCATTCATTGCCCCCAATCAAGAAAGAGAGCCCTTGACCACCAGTTAGAGAATCCCCCAAGTCCCTCTTTGCCATAAGTCACTGAAACTGAGATCTAAGGCAGGGCCTCCATGATGTTTCCCAGTTTGAGAATCCCTGTCATGCCAGTTATGGATAAATTTGCATTTTGGTTGGGACATTGCTGGACCAGCTCAGTTTAGGCAGTTCCACTTCCTGCTGGGTGGGGTAGCTGGCCCTATAAAGAGGTTCTCTGCTGCCCAACTCCTAAACTCCTGGTACTCGAGCACCGATCTGCTTTGGAGAAACTGGTTAGTCTGCTTCCTTGAGTTCTGTTCTTTTTGCCCTGAAATGTTGAATTTAATTTGAATCCAGCAAGTTTGGTGTATTCAAACCTATGATCATGGGTTTGATGGTACTTAGTGGATGGAAATACAGGATTAGACTATGTGATAGAGTGTTTTACACAGCTTTAAAAAATATATACAGTTATATGTTCATATGGACAGAGAAGTTAATAGGAAAGCTTTGGTTGGAAGAAAAGGATAAAGTATTTTTCTCTTTTCCATATTTTTCTGGTATCCTTTTCAAAGGTTTGTGTCTTAGCAGGTGTGAGAGCCAGCACTTCTTCCTGAACAGCCCTTGCTCTGTGCCCAAGTCAAGCCATTGGGACTTTACAACAGATAATGATGATAGGAATAGCTTGTGAGATTGCCCAGGGGGTCTGAACTTGTGACTGCCTTTCATGAAGATGTTAATTTCTTGGATTAACATGCTGGATTTTTTATTACAGAGATGTTTTCTTTGGAAAAATTGTATGAGGAAAGGCAGGAATTCCTAGGGCTGATGAAGCCACTTGCTAAAGTGGAAAGGAGAAGACAGGAAGTCATGAAAAGAGAGCTAAGAGTTTAAATAAATTTTTGGAGATTGGAGAAATAATATGCCATGGTATTACATAAGCTTTGGCTTCTCTCTCTGGAGGATTCCCTTCCCACGAACACTGTTGTATCATTTCTTTCAGATCCTGAGACTCCAGCAGGATGTCTTATCAACAGCAGCAGTGCAAGCAGCCCTGCCAGCCACCTCCTGTGTGCCCCACGCCAAAGTGCCCAGAGCCATGTCCACCCCCGAAGTGCCCTGAGCCCTGCCCACCACCAAAGTGTCCACAGCCCTGCCCACCTCAGCAGTGCCAGCAGAAATATCCTCCTGTGACACCTTCCCCACCCTGCCAGCCAAAGTATCCACCGAAGAGCAAGTAACAGCTTCAGGATTCATCAGGAGCATGAGAGGATAAGGATAATTGGCTCACCTCGTTCCACAGCTCCACCTTCATCTTCTCATCAAAGCTTATCATGGATTCATAGGGAGCTTCTTTCCCCTTAGCCTGTGATCTGCCCATGATGTTCCCTGATAGCAAAAGGTTTCCTTTCTAAGGCTGCCATACTGCCACTGTCCAGGTGGAGACTGAGCAAAGGAACCTTGGCTTTGTCAGTTCCCAGAGCTTCAGCAGAAAGAGCTGCAGCTGTGTGCCTGGGAACCATCAGAGAATTCTGTTGATGTGTTCTGTGTCTGTCTTTCACCTGGGCATGAGCTTCTACCACCTGTGCAATTGTCACTTTTCTTTCACTCCCTGAATAAAGTATCTATGCATATATATTTGTGAATGGGTCTTTTGTTTCTTTTCAAATCTGCTTTATTAGCAATGTGATATGACCATTTAGATTTATTCCTATCTTTCTGTGATCCTCAGGGAAGATCTTACAATTGTTGCTATATGAATTTTGGGTCATAGCAAGTATTAGTTCTGTATCATTTTATACCCCTTTTATTTTTCTTAGTGTTTGATTGATTTGCAGAACATATTATTCCAGTTCTCCAAATGTCTATCTTTTTACTGCAATGTGAACCAAACAATATTTACATCATAAAATAATCTAAGTCATAAAATCTAATTTCTATCTGAAATTTGGTTGGCACAATACCTGACACATAATAGCAGTCATTTTATTGAATTTGCTGCTAAGAAGCAGCAATATATCATCGTTTCCCCCAGAAGCATCATCATCATCATAATCATCATCACCCCCTGCTACAACCACCAAGATATTTGTTCCAGAAAGAGAGTGGCTTGGATGTAACTAATACAGGAAATAAGAAGACTCCCTATTGTTATTTTTAATTGATTCATAATACTTGTACATATTTTTGGGGTACATGTGATATTTTGTTACATGGATCAAATGTGTAATGATCACGTCAGGATATCAGGAAATTTAGGGAATCCATGACCTTGAGCATTTATCATTTCTTTCTTTCCTGGGAACATTTTAATTCCTCTCTTTTTGCTATTTTGAAAAATACAATACATTGTTGTAAACTGTAGTCACTGTACTCCGCTATCAAATATTTAAAGTTACCTCTTTTACGTCTCTCTATGTTTGTACTATTTAACTAGCATCTCTTCATTCTCCACCCCCTGAACATCTTTCCCTGCCTCTGGTAACTATCATTCTACTCTCTACCTTTATAGATCAACTTTTGTAGCTCCCACAGATGAGTGAGAACATGCAGTATTTGTCTTCCCCTGCTTGACTTATTTTACTTAACATAATGACCTCCAGTTCCATCCGTGTTGCTGCACATGACATGATTTTATTCTTTTTTACAACAAAATAGGATTTCATTGTGTGTCTATACAATATTTTCTTTTTCCATTTATTCGTTAATGGACACTTAGGTTACATATCTTTGCTATTGTGAATAGTACTGCAATAACCATGGGAGTTCAGGCATCCGTTTGATGGACTGATTTCTTTTCCTTTGGATAGATACACAGTAGTTGGATTGCAGGATTGAATGGTAGTTCTATTTTTAGTTTTTGGAGAAATCTTTGTATTGTTTTCCACTGCGGGTGTACTAATTTACATTCCCACCAGAAGTATATAGGCTTCTTTTTTCTTTGCATCCTGTCCAGTATCTGCTATTTTTAAAAATTTTTTATTTTAAAATCAGGGGTACATGTGCAGGTTTGTTATATCGGTTAATGCATGTCACCGGGGTTTATTGTACAGCTTGTTTCATCACTCAGTTATTAATCATAGTACCTATTAGTTATTTCTCCTGATCCTCTCTGTCCCCCAAACCTTTACCCTCCAATAGGCCCTATTGTCTGTTGTTCCCCTCTATGTGTCCATGTTTTCTCAGCATTTAGCTCCCAGTTATAAGTGAGAACATGTGGTATTTGATTTTCTGTTCCTGCATTAGTTTTCTGAGGGTAATGGCCTGTAGCTCTACCCATGTTCCTGCAAAGGACTTGATCACTTTTTTTATGGCTGCATAGTATTTCATGGTGTGTATGTATCACATTTTCTTTATCTAGTCTATCATTGATGGGCACTTAGTTTGATTCCATGTCTGCTATTATGAATAGTGCTGCAATGAACATAACATGTGCATGTATCTTTATGACACAGAATGGTTTGTATTCCTTTGGGTATATACCAAGTAATGGGATTGCTGGTCGGAATGGTAGTTCTGTTTTTAGCTGTTTGAGTAATTGCCACACTGTTTTCCACAATGGTTGATCTAATTGACGCTTCCCCCAACACTGTATAAGCATTCGTTTTTCTCTGCAACCTCTCCTGAACTTTTTATTTTTTGACTTTGTAATAATAGCCATTATGACTGGTGTGAAATAGTTAGTATCTCATTGTGGTTTTGATTTACATTTCTCTAATGATCAGTGATGTTGAGCTTGTTTTTCATATACTTATTGGCTACATGTATGTTTCCTGTGAAATGTGTCTATTTCTGTCCTTTGCCCACTGTTTAATGGGGCTGTTTTTTTTTTCTTGTAAATTTGTTTAAATTCTTTATAGATGCTGAATATTAGAACTTTATCAGATGCATGCTTTACGAAACTTTTCTCCCATTCTGTAGGTTGTCTGTTTACTTTGTTGATAGTTTCCTTTGCTGTGCAGAAGCTCTTTGGTTTATCCTATTCATCAATTTTTCTTTTGTTGCAATTACTTTTGGTGTCTTTGTCATAAAATATTTTCCTGTCCCTATGTCCAGAATGGTATTGCCTAGGTTGTCTTCCAGGGTATTTGTAATCTAGCGCTCTACGTTTAAGTCTTTAATTCATCTTGAGTTGATTTTTGTATATAGTGTAAGGAAGGCATCCAATTTCAGTCTTATACATAGGGCTAGACAGTTATCCCAGCACCATTTATTGAATAGGGAGTTCTTTCCACATTGCTTGTTTTTGTCACATTTTTAGTGATCAGATAGTTACAGGTGTGTTGCTTTATTTCTGGGTTTCCTATTCTGTTCCATTAGTCTCTGTGTCTGTTTTGTACTAGTACCATGCTATTTTGGTTATTGCAGCCTTATAGTATAGTTTGCAGTCAGGTAGCATCATAACTCCAGCTTTGTTCTTTTTGTTTAGGATTACCTTGGCTATTGAAGCTAATTTTTGGTTTCATAGAATTGTATAATTGTTGTTTTTTTTTTTTGGTTCTGTGAAGAATGTCATTGGTAGTTTGATAGGAGAGGAATCACATTGAAATTGCTAACTGCTTTGAGGAGTTTGGCTATTTTAACTGTATTGATTCTTCCTGTTCATGAGCTTGGAATGTTTTTCCATTTATTAGTGTCATCTCTGATGTTCAGCAAGCTTTGTAGTTCTCTGTGTAGAGATCTTTCACCTCCCTGGTTAGCTGTTTTCCTAGGTATTTTATTCTTTTTGCCACTGTCGTGAATGGGATTGTGTTCCTGATTTGGCTGTTGGCTTGGCTGTTGCTGGTATATAGGAGTGCTAGTGATTGATTGACTGATTTTTGTATGTTGTTTTTGAATCCTGAAACATTGCTGAAGTTGTTTATCCGCTGAAAGAGCTTTCGTTCCGAGACTATAGGGTTTTTTAGATATAGAATCATGTCGTGTGCAAACAGGGATAGTTTGACTTCCTGCTTCTTATTTTGGTCGCCTTTCTACCCTTATCTTTCTTGATTGCTCTGGCCAGGACTTTCCATAGTATGTTGAATAGAAGTAGTGAGAGAGGGCATCCTTGTATTGTGCCAGTTTTCAAGGGGAATGCTTCCAGCTTTTCCCTATTCAGTATCATATTGGCTGTGGATTTGTTACAGATGGCTCTTATTATTTTGAGGAATATTCATTTGGTTAATATCTAGTTTACTGAGCGTTTTTAACATGAAGCAGTGTTGAATTGTATGGAAAGCTTTTTCTGCATCTATTGAGACAATCATGTGATTTTTGTCTTTAGTTCTGTTTATGTGATGAATCAAATTTATTGATTTGTGTATGTTTAACCATTCTTGCACCCCAGGGATAAAACCAACTTGATTCTGGTGGATAGGCTTTTTGATGTGCTGCTGGATTAGGTTTGCCAGTATTTTGCTGAGAATTTGTGCATTGATTTTCATTGAGGATATTGGCCTGAAATTTACTTTTTAGTGTTTGTGTCTCTGCAAGGTTTTGGTATCAAGATGATGCTGGCCTCATAGAATGAGTTAGGAGAAGTCCTCCTCTTCAACTTTTTGGGATAGTTTCAGCAGGAATGGTACCAGCTCTTATTTGTACATCAGGTAGAATTCATTTGTGAATATCCCTTTTGTCTTTTCTAACTGTGTTTATTTGAATATTTTCTCTTTTCTTCTTTATAGTCTAGTTAGCAGTCAATTTGTTTTATTATTTTTTAAAAGTAATTCCTGGATTTGTTGATATTTTGATTTTTTTTATATCTCAGTCTCCTTTAGCTTAGCTCTGATTTTGGTTATTTCTTGTCTTCTGATTGCTTTGAGGTTGGTTTTTTCTTGGTTTCCTCGTTCTTTTAGTTGTGATGTTAGGTTGTTACATTGATATCTTTCTAACTTTTTGATGTGAGCATTTAGTGCTATAAATTTCCTCTTAATACTGCATTAGCTGTGTCCACAGATTCTGGTATGTTGTATGTTCATTCTCATTAGTTTCAATGAACTTCTTGATTTCAGCCTTAATTTGATAATTTACTCAAAAGTCATTCAGGAGCAACTTATTAAATTTCCATGTAATTGTATGGTTTTGAGTGAATTTCTCAGTCGTGATTTCAAATTTCATGGTGCTGTCTTCTGAGAGATTGGTTGTTATGATTTCAGTTCTTTTGTGTTTGCTGAGGAGTGTTTTATTTCCCACCATGTGATTGATTTCAGAGTTTGTGCCATGTGGCTAAAAGAAGAATGTATAGTCTCTGTTTTTGGGTAGAGAGTTTTGTAGATGTCTATCAGGTCCATTTGGTTCTGTGCTGACTTCAAGTCCTGAATACACGTGTTAAATTTCAGCCACTATGATCTGTCTAATACTGTCAGTGGGGTGTTAAAGTCTCCCACTATTACTGTATGGGAGTCTAATTCTCTTTGAAGGGCACTGAGAAATTGCTTCATGAATGTGAGTGCTCCTGTGTTGGGTGCATTTATATTTAAGACAGTTGGGTATTCTTGTTGAATCCTTTACCACTGTGTAATGCTTTTTTTGGTCTTTATTGATTTTTGTTGGTTTAAAGTCTCTTTGTCTGAAATTGGGATTGCAATCCCTGCTTTTTTCTGTTTTGTGGTTGCTTCACTCTCAGTGCCTCCCCTCTGAAAATCTGTTAAAAGTGGGCCAGTCGTCTCTGTCCCTCAGTGGCAGCTATTCTACCTGGCTGCATCTAGTTGGCCATCTTGCCCAGAGCCACAGGAATTATCTGGTATGTTAAATGTTTTTGAGCATTTTTTGCATCAATATTCATGAGGAATATTGGTGTGTAGTTTTCATTCCTTGCAGTGTCTTTGTCTGGATTTTCTATCAGGGTAATCCTGGCTTCATGGAATAAGGCAGGAAGTATTCTCTATTTTAAGTTTTCTTTTTTGATAGAGTTTGAGAAGGATTGGTATATACTTCTCCAATAAATCCTTCTGGGTCAACACTTTTCTTTCTTGTGAGATTTTAGATTAATAATTCAATCTCCTTACTTTTTATACATCTCTTCAAATTTTCTATTTCTTTATGATTTGGTTTGGTAGACAGTATATTTCTAAGAATTTGTTCATTTCAACTGGGTTATCTGATAAGCCGACATAGAATTGTTTCGATGTTTTCCCTTAAAATTCTTTTCATTTCTGTAAAATCAGTAGTAACTTCCCCACTTTCTTTTAAGATTTTAGCTATTTGAGTGTTACATCATTTTTCTCTTCTGTGGTTAATCTAACAATTTGTCAGTTTTGTTGCCTTTTCAATGAAATAAAAGTTGGTTTTACTGATTTTCTCTATTGTTTTCTTGTCTTTTATTTTATTTATCTCCATTCTAGTCTCTCATATTTACTTTTTTTGGGTTTAGTTTACTTTTCTTTTTGTATTTCCCTAAGGTGTAACATGAAGTTATTGATCTGAGAATTTTTTAAATTAAAAATATATGTGGTTATGGCTGTAAATTTCCCTGTTAGCACTGCTTTTTCTGCAATCCTGAAGTTTTGGTATGATGTGTTTTTGTTGTCAGTAGTCTCAAGCTATTTCTAATTTTCCCGTGATTTCTTATTTGACCTGTTGGTTGTTTAAGAGTGTTTTTTTGTTTGTTTGTTTCCACAAATGTGTGAATTTTCCAGTTTTAAGTTGGTTATAGATTTTTAGTCTTATTCCAAAGTGATTGGAAAAGTACTTTGTATGATTTTAGTCTTTTAAAATATATTAACTTATTTTCTAGCCTAATATGTGGTCTATCCTGGAGGGTGTTCCATGTTCTCCTGAGAAAATTGTAGGGTATATCCTGCTGTTGGTGGGTACAGGGTTGTGTATTTTTCTGTTTGGACTAATTGGTTTATATTTTTAAGTCATCTATTTTCTTTTTGAACTTCTATTATTCTAGCCATTTTTGAAAGTGAAGTATTTAAGTTTTCAATATTTATTATAGAACTATCAATTTCTTTTAATTTCTCTCAATGTATCTTCATATGTTTTAGAGTTCTGATGTTAGGAAATGTATGTTTATAACTTCTATGTTTTCTGAGTGAATAAATCTCTTTATCAATATATATGTCCTTTATAGTCTCATGTAACAGTACTCAACTTAATTGTGTCTCATGTTATTGTAACCACCTCTGGTCTCTTGTGGCTACTATTTACATAAAATATCTTTTTCCATACATTACTTTCAACCTCTTTGTGTCTTTAGTTGTAAAGTTAGTCTCTTGTAAACAGCAAATAGTTGAATCAATTTTTTAATTTAAGATCCATGCTTTCAATTTCTGTTGCTGGGGAAAGTTTAATTCACTTACAGTTAAAATAATAACTCATGAGGTAGGTCCTCTTTTTGCATTTACTCTTTTCTCTATGTTATCTTTCATTAGTGCCTGATTTGTGTTTAGTTTTTTTTAATAGTAAAACTTTTTAAATTGTCTTTTTTCTGTCGTGTGTATTCTAAAATATTTATTTTGTGGTTACAGTGAAGACTGTATATAATATCTTAAAGTTATACTAATCTAATTAGCATTAACACCAACAATTCCAACTGCATAGAAAAATTAACTCATACAACCACCCCATCTTCTTTTTATGTTGAGTTCACAAATTACATCTTTATACACTGTATGTTCACTAACATATATTTGTAATTGTATTGTATACATTTGCATTTTAAATCTTGTAGAAAATAAAAAGTGGAGTTACAAGCTAAAATTACAATAATGCTGGCTTTTATGTACCTGTGCATGTCTATCAGATACCTTTATATCTTCATACAGTTTCTCTCCAGCATCCTTTTTTTTTGTGAGACAGTGTCTCTCTCTGTTGCCCAGGCTGGAGTGCAGTGGTGCGATCTCGGCTCACTGCAACCTCCACCTCCTGGGTTCAAGCAATTCTCCTGCCTCAGCCTCCTAAGTAGCTGGGATTATAGGCACACACCACCACACCCAGCTAATTTTTGTATTTTTAGTACAGATGGGGTTTCACCATGTTGGTCAGGCTGCTCTCGAACTCCTGACCTTGTGATCCGCCCACCTCGACCTCTCAACGTGCTGGGATTACAGGTGTGAGCCACCGCGCCTGGCCCAGCATCCTTTTATTTCAACCTGAGAGGCTCTCTGTATCATTTCTCATACAGAAAATCTAGGAGCAATGAACTGCCTCAAGTTTTGATTTCTGGAAATGTCATAAGTTTGCCCTCACTTTTAAGGAAATTTTGCCGGCTGTACAATTTTAGGTTGAAAGTGGTTTCTTTCTAGAATTCTACAGCGTTGAAAGAAATCACTATCAACATAGAATTCCACTGCCTTGGAGATCAGGAGGCAGTAGGATGATATATTGAAAATTACTTATTCAGAAAACTACTTCTGATAAGAATTTGGTCAACTACTTATTAAGGATCCCTTAGATATGATGATTTACTTCCTTCTTCCTGCTTTCAAGATTCTCTCTTTTGATAATTTAATTATAATGTGTCTCAGTGTGGGTGTCATTGAATTCATTGAACTTGGAGTTTGTTGTGCTTTTTGGATGTGTAATTTTGCATTTTACAGAAATCATATAAATGGAACCATTTTAGAAACAGTGTGTAGCCTTTGAGACTGACTTTTTTTAAACTTACCAGTTTGCATTTAAAATTCATTCATATCTTTGTATTTCTTGATAGATCATTCCATGTTATCACTGCATAGTGTTCCACTGCATGGGTATAATCCACCGTGGTTTATCGATTCATTTATTGAAGGGCATCTTGGTAGATCACGCTTCTTGGAATTTATGAATAAAGCTGCTGCAATCATTTGAATGCAGGTTATTTTTTGTTGAAATATTTTGAAATGTACTAGATCAAAATTTGCTGGATCATATTGTAAAATTGTGTTTATCTCTGTAAGACTGTTAGTTTTGATTGTTCTAATAATGTTTATGTTTTATTTCATATATTTCTAACTTACAGTAGAATTTCAGCTCTCCCCATATTAGATTTCAAACAGTTTTTTTCCTCTTCAAAATTTTTCACAATTTTGTTCGTGTTTCCTTATTTTCCTTTTTGACTTTTTTTGGAAGGAAACCACAGCCTATGCACATTCACTATCTTGAAAAGATTCTTATGAGGAGAAGTGTCTGATTCATTCTATCATTTACCATATGTCCTTCTTAATCTCATTAACATTAAGCAACAGGAGTACTTTACATTACTAATAGCTCTTGAAATTATGCTCTTAAATATTCTGATCTAACATATAGAGAAAATAACAGTAGAATCTATAAGGTCTATTCACTTTGGGAAGGTTAGTGCTAATGAGCTATTCAGTTTCTTATAAGGATTTAGCCTAAAATTTAGGTAATTTGCCACCAGAAGAAATGTGATATTTGAATGAGTGTTTTTTATTAATGTCCTAAACAGCTAACCACATAACAGTAAACTAAATTGGAGGTAACATTATATATATTTTCACATGGAATGCTAAATATCTATGTATGTTAATATTTTACAAATGAACACATCCACATATTGCTATTTACTGTATTTAGATTTATTTTCTTGTATTAACTGAATTCAGAGGAAAGTCTTAGAGAGTACGAACAACTAGGAACTGATCTAAATTTCTGCTTAGATTAACTCTCATTTTTATCACATAAGAATAAACGTCAGGATCAGCCCATCTTATTATTTCTGCCCACTTCATTCAAATAATATATTTGCATTTGCTTTGTCCTAAAAACTTCTGGCACACAGTTAAAATAAGGATAATATAAAAGATCTTAAAGAGAAAGCAAGTATCTTTCTTAACCATAAACAACTTGAAATTGATATTTTGTCTCTATTTCTTTCATTAACAATGTGTTACTTTAGCATTTTGAGCACTATCTGTAGCCTGTGCTAAGTATTTATATGCAGTCTCTGATTTAATTGTTTTCTCATGACAATTTAGTGGTAGTTACTATTATTATCACCACGTTCTACTATCCTTACTACCTGTCCTGCTAATCATCCATCTCTTCCAATTTCATCATATTATGGCCAATTTATGCTTTCTATCCACCTGGCTCTTGGATAGTAGACAAACTCATTCCTGATTTTGTTATCCTAGAATGATCTCCCAATTTTGGTGAATGATTTCACAGACACATACAGCTATTGGGTGTCTGTGGTTACTACGATTCTCACATTTGGAGAGAACACCATTTGTAAACATCTGTGTGTATATGTCAATACTCTGAGGAAGGGGGATTATTATTGGAGTTTTCTTCGAGAGAGATTTTAGAAGGGATGTGATCAAATGTAGAGCTATTACAATAAAACTACTGCTACTTACATCCTGCCCCACCTTTAGTGTCTAGCCAATAATGCTTAAAAAAAACCCAAAAAACCCACTATCTCACTAACTGAGCAATGGACAGGCTTGTCTCTTGTTAGCTTTTCAAAGTAGAATTTTAAGATTCCTTACTCAATAATAGGTAACATTTGAAGCATACTTTGAAAAGTTAAATAAGAACATAAACATCATCTGTAATTATACCAGCCATATATAATCACATTTAGTATGTTGTTTTATGTTTCCCATCTTTTAATGAAAATGTTATCATGCTTTACATACATTTTTTAGTATAATTTGAATATTTTAAATAATATTACATAATCTCCCAAAACATTCTTCTTAATTACTTTCAGAATTCTACCATATGTTTATCTAATTCATCGAATTATGGAAGGACAATGGAGACTAAGCCTGCTATTCAGAAATAAAAGCAGAAGGCAGATATGCATGGGGACTGGTAGTTACCATTTCTCTTAACATATCAAGAATATTTTGCAACAATTCCTGTTTCTTTGTTTTTTCATATTTTATTTTAAATCTTCACTTGCCAGCACTATTTTGTATAGCAGAATGTATCATAGTAAAATGTGAGATAAAATGTTGAATCAAATATTACACCAAATAAAAGTTTTTGTTCTTTCCTGTCATTTTTATGAACTAATAATTCGTACTTAATGATCCCTTACAAAATTAGGAAGTAGAAATAATAGGAATGAATCTAAGGCTATCAGACTGTTAAGAAACATAAAGCTAAGCTCTTTAGACATGAAGATAGATGATAGATAAATAAAGACCCATGGAGTGCGTGTGTATGTGTGTGTGTGTGTGCATGTGTGAAGTATGCCTCGCTCCATGTATCAAGGCCTGGATGTCCTAACTTGGGGAAGCTGTGACTGTTAGCTGCCCCTCTTCATATTGTGGCCGTTCCTCATGTGGCTGCTCTGTGTGGAACTCTGAGTTTCAAGTTCACCACCTCAACTTGTAAAGTGAGCCTGTCTGAGATGCGGGGGGCACTAGGGCTGCTGCCATTCTAGTGCCTGCACTGGTGTGATAAGCCTCCTGTTGGAATGCGGTGTTCTCAGAAGGGGTGTCGCAGGGTGTGACTCAGACTGTGTTATCTCACACAGTGATCTCATCTGGCAGCAAATTCTTCAATTTTGCATGGCACAAATCAGATATTTCTTTAAGGATTTGTGTTTTAGATGTGATGTGAGGCTGTTGGGGAGTAGTAGGGGACCTATTGAGTAAAGGCCCTTTACTTTGCCCAGTGAAGTGCTTGACATGTGTAATAGTCTATAGGAAACACTTGGTGAGAACACCATTTGTAAACACCTGGCCTCAAGGTTCTGATATGTTGGCTCTATTTCTGTAGTGTCCTGGCCAGTGATGATCTTAGCCAAAAGCCCTTCCTTACTGACAGGAGAAATAGCAGTTCTGGGTACCTAACCTGCTTAACTGAGGGATGTGATGCTGGGTTCATTCAACACATGTTCTTCCTGGAGCATAGCTGGTGACTGCTCTGATGATTTTGTCTTTCCTCTTCCTCATTCCCCTTTCTTCTTATCTACTTACAAAACCACATTCTTGGAAAGCTTCCTGATTAATGGTCCAGATAAGGAAGCTCTAGCAATATCACTTTAAATGCTTAATATACAATATTTAGAAAACCTTATGATTGTAAAAGAGCTTAAAAAAGATGTGAAAGAACAATCACTAAATGCATTGACAACATATGTGTTAAGTGAACAATATGTACCAAAATGGACAGATGAGAGGTGTACATTGGGGTGTGAGTTGATAATCCAGCAGACTGTGGGACTAGAGGGTCTACGGAAAAAACAAAGGAAGAACATACAAACAAATTTTAAAACACTGTCTTTCAAACACCTAAAACCTGTTTGGAAATAGAGAGCAAGAATACATATTGGATTACACTTAGCTTTTATTTTCCTCTAGATTTCAGACTTTAAGTGCTCTGAACTTCTGCACTCTGCAAACCTACTTCTAATTATTTACATATGATAACATGAGTCTATGCAGCTTGTTCTCTATAGGATATTCACAGGACACTACAGAATGTTTTGGGAGATTATGTAATATTTAAAATATTCAAATTATACTAAAAATGTATGTAAAATGTATTGAACATAGGCAAGTTTCAATACATAGATTTTGAGTGAATGCTTGCAACTTTGGTTCCATTCTCTCTACTTCCTTAAGGTGGTGTCCAAGAGTACATTTTTATAAATAAAAAGTTATAGTACACATCCCTAAGGGCAGCAAGTAGAAAACGTGCTAGGGAGACTCGATCTCACTTTGGAATCTATCCTGGGAGACAAATGCCTCTACAAATGGATTAGAGAAGACAGTTTTAAAGAGGAAGATAATACAGGTAAAATCTGGGGTTTTATGAGAGAAAGAAAGAGGTAGAAGAAAAAATTTCAAGCTCGAACAGGGTCATCAGGTGGCACAATGCGGTCAATGCCTGCAAACTCAGGGGTAAGTATTATTCTCCCTGTTTACAGTTCCGTGGAGGAGAAGTGACTTGCCTGTGGTCATACAACAGAGCAAAGAAAAGGCTTGAGCTAGAACTCAGGCCTTTGTTAGGTCTCCCCTTCCTCCTAGCACATTGGCAAATTGCATGAGGAAAGTAGAGGTACAGTTGAGTTCATGTACAACAATAAGGCATTCAGGTAAAGTGAATGAGGGCAGAAGTTTTATGATTTAGGGAAGGTGTAAGACAGGAAAATATCTTTGTTCCCAATTAAGAAAGAGATCCCTTGACCATCAGTTAGAGATTCCCCCAAGTCCCTCTTTGCCATAAGTCACTGAAACTGAGATCCAAGGCATGGCTTCTGTGAGTCAGGAGAGCTTAACCCAGAGGAGAGATTTCAGAACAGGATATTTCCTATTTTGAGTATCCTGCTCATGCCAGTCATGGATAAATTTGCATCTGGCTTAAGAAATTACTGGATCAGCATTGTTTTGGGTAGTTTCACTTCCTGCTGGGTGGGGTAGCAGGCTCTATAAAGAGATCCTCTGCTGCACGACTCTTAAACCCCTGGTACCTGAGCACTGATCTGCCTTGGAGAACCTGGTGAGTCGGCTTCCTTGAGTTCCTCTGTTCTTTGTGCCCTGAAATGTTGAGTTTAATCTGAATATGGCAAGTTTGGTGGATCCAATCCTATGAAAATTGACTTGATGCTACTTAGTGGATGAAAATTTAAGATTAGAGCACAATTATATGCTATTTTAGCTTTCTTTTGTTATACAGGTAGGTATCCATATGGACAGAGAAGTTAAGGGGTAACCTTTGATATGAAGAAGAAAAAAGAACAAAGTATTTTTCTTTATTCTCTGTCTTTCTAGTGTCCTTTACAAAGGTTTGTGTCTTAGCAGGTGTGAAAGACTACAATTCTCCCTGAGCAGCCCTTTGCTCTATGCCCAAGTCAGCCCACTTGGACTTTATAACAGATAATGATGATAGGAATAGCATATTAGATTGCCCAGGGTGTCTGAACTTGTGACTGCCTTTCTTGAATTGGTTATTTTCAGGGAAATAAGATGCTTGATTCTTTATAACAGAGATAATTTATTTGGAAAAATTGTATGAGAAAACACAGGATTTCCTAGGGACAATGAAGCAATTTGTTAAAGTGGAAGGGAGAAACCAGAAAGTCTTGAAAAGGTAATTAAGAATTTAAATAATTTCTTGGAGATTGGAGAAATAATATGCCATGGTATTACACAAGCTTTGGCTTCTCTCTCTGGAGGATTCCCTTCCCACGAACACTGTTGTATCATTTCTTTCAGATCCTGAGACTCCAGCAGGATGTCTTATCAACAGCAGCAGTGCAAGCAGCCCTGCCAGCCACCTCCTGTGTGCCCCACGCCAAAGTGCCCAGAGCCATGTCCACCCCCGAAGTGCCCTGAGCCCTGCCCACCACCAAAGTGTCCACAGCCCTGCCCACCTCAGCAGTGCCAGCAGAAATATCCTCCTGTGACACCTTCCCCACCCTGCCAGTCAAAGTATCCACCGAAGAGCAAGTAACAGCTTCAGAATTCATCAGGACCAAGAAAGGATAAGGATATTTGGCTCACCTCGTTCCACAGCTCCACCTTCATCTTCTCATCAAAGCCTACCATGGATACACAGGGAGCTTCTTTCTCCTTAGCCAGTAATCTGCCCATGATGATCCCTGACAGCAAAAAGTTTCTTTTCTGAGGCTGCCATACTGCCACTGTCCAGGTGGAGACTGAGCAAAGGAAGTCCTGGGCTGTGCCAGCTCCCAGAGCTTCGGAAGAAAGAGCAGCAGCTCTCTCCCTGGGAACCATCAGAGAATTCTGTTGATGTGTTCTGTGTCTGTCTGTCACCTGGTCACGAGCTTCTACCACCTTTGCAATTGTCACTTATCTTTCACTCCCTGAATAAAGTATCTATGCATATATATTTGTGAATGGATCTTTTGTTTATTTTCAAATCTGCTTTATTAGCAATAGTATGTAATCTTTTGGATTTATTTCAATCTTTCTTTGATTCACAGCAGGATCTCACAATTGGAGTCATACCAAAGATTATTTCTGTATCATTTTAAACCCCTTTTATTTTCCCTAATTAGCATTTGATTGATTTGAGGAGGATATTATTCAACTTCTCTGAATTGACAACTTCTCTTTACTGCAAAGTGAGCAAAATAACATTTACATTACAAACTAGTCTAAGGCATAAAATTTGATTACTATCTGATATTTGGTTGGCACAATGCCTGACACGTAATTAGCTGTCATTTGATAGAGTTGTATTCGCAGCAACATATTATCATTGTTTTCACCATCACCATCCTCCTCCTCCTCCTCCTCATCATCATCACTCCCCACTACAACCACTACCATATTTGTTCCAGCAAGAGAGTGGCTTGGGTGTAACTAACATAGGAAATAAGAAGACTCTCTAATGTTATTTGTATTGATTCATAATACTTGTACACATTTACTGCATACATGTGATTTTTTACATGAATAGAATGTGTAATGATCAAGTCAGGATATCAGGAAATTTAGGGCATTCATCCCCTGCAGCATTTATCATTGTTCTTTATTGGGAACATTTTAATTCTAGCTATTTTGAAGAACACAGTACATTGTTGTATACCGTAGTCACCTTCCTCTGCTATCAAATATTAAAACTTACTCATTTTATGTATCCATATGTTTTTACTCGTTAACCAGTATTTCTTCATTCCCCATCCCCCTGAACACCCTTCCTTGCCTCTGGTATCTCTCATTCTACTCTCTACCTTTATAGATCATCATTTGTAGCTCCTACATATGAGTGAGAACATGCAATATTTGTCTTTCTCTGCTTGATTTATTTTACTTAACATAATGACCTCCAGTTCCATCTGTGTTGCTGCCAATGACAGGATTTCATTCATTTTATTACAATGGACTAGTATTTCATTGTGTGTATATACATATTTTCTTTATTCATTCATTCATTAATGGACACTTAGCTTACACATCTTTTCTGTTGTGAACAGTACTGCAATAACCGTGGGAGTTCAGGCATCCTTTTTGCGTACTGATTTCCTTTGGATAGATACACAGCAGCTGGATTGCTGGATTGAATAGTAGTTCTGCTTTTAGTTTTTTGAGAAATCTTCTTACTGTTTTGCATAGCAATTGTACTAATTTACATTCCCACCAAGAGTACACAAGGCTTCTTTTTTCTTTACACCCTCTTCAGCGTAGCTTTTTTTATCTTTTATTTTAAGTTCAGGGGCACATGTGCAGGTTTGTTATATAAGCAAGCTCATGTCGCAGGGTTTAATCGTAGCACCCATTAGTTATTTTTCCTGATCCTCTCCTTCTCCATACCCTGTGGTAGGTGCCAGTGTCTGCTGTTCTCTTTAAGGTGTCCATGTTTTCTCATCATGTAACTCACACTTATAAGTGAGAACATGCAGTATTTGAATTTCTGTTCCTGCATTAGTTTGCTAAGGATAATGGCCTCCAGCTCCACCTATGTACCTGTATTCCATGGTGTATATGTACCATATCTTCTTTATCTAGTCTATCATTGATGGGCACTTAGTTTTATTCCATGTCTTCACTATTATGAATGGTGCTGCAATGAACTTAACACACGCATGTGTCTTTATGATATAGAATGGTTTATAATCCTTTGGGTATATGCCAAGTAATGGGATTGCTGGTTGAAATGGTGGTTCTGTTTTTAGTTCTTTGAGTAATTGCCACACTGTTTTCTTCAATAGTTGATCTAATTTACATTCCTACAAGCAGTGTATAAACATTCCTTTTTCTATACAACCTTGCTAGCACCTTTATTTTTGACCTTTTAATAGCCATCTGACTGGGGTGAGACTGTCTCTCATTGTGGTTTTGATCTGCATTTCTGTAATGATCAGTGATATTGGGCTTTTTTAATATGCTTGTGTACCACACATATGTGTTCTTTTTAAAGCGTCTGTTCCTGTCCTTTTCCCACTTTTTAATAGGGCTGTTTTTTTTCTTGTGGATTTCTTTAAATTCCTTATAGATGCTAGATATTACACCTTTATAATATGCATAGTTTGCAACAATTTTCTCCCATTCTATAGGTTGTCTGTTTACTCTTTTGACGGTTTCCTTTGCTTTGTAGAAGCTCTTTAGTTTAATTAGATCCTACTTGCCAATTTTTGTTTTTGTTGCAATTGCTTTTGGCATCTTATTCATGAAATCTTTGCCTGTCTCTATGTCCAGAATGGTATTGCCTAGGTTGTCTTTCAAAGTTTTTATGGTTATGGGTTCTACGTTTTAGTCTTTAATCCATCTTGAGTTGATTTTTATATATGGTGTAAGGAAGGCATCCAGTTTCAATCTTCTGCATATGGCTAGCCAGTTATCCCAGCACCATTTATTGAATAGGGAGTCCTTTCCCCATTGTTTGTTTTTGTCACCTTTTTAGATGATCAGATAGTTACAGGTGTGATGCTTTATTTCTGGCTTCCCTATTCTGTTGCATCAGTGTGTGTCTGTTTTTGTACCAGTGCCATGCTGTTTTGGTTACTGTAGACTTGTAGTATAGTTTGAAATCAGGTAGTGTGATGCCTCTAGTTTTTTTCTTTTTGCTTAGGGATTGCCTTGGCTATTTGGGCTCAGTTTTGGTTCTATATGAATTTTAGGATAGTTTTTTTTCTAGTTCTGTGAAGAATGTCTTTGGTGGTTTGATAGGAATCACATTGAATCTGTAAATTGGGCAATATGGTCATCTTAATGATATTGATTCTTCCTATTTATGAGCACGGAGTGTGCTCCCTACATTTGTGTCATCTCTGATATTGTTCAGCAATGTTTCGTAGCTTTCCATGTAGAGATCTTTCACCTCCCTGGTTAGCTGTATTCCTAGGTATTTTATTCTTTTTGCCACTATTGTGAATGGGATTGTGTTTGTTAATTGGCTCTTGGCTTGTCTTTTGTTGGTGTATAGGAGTGCTAGTAATTTTTGTGCATTGATTTTGAATCCTGAAACATTGCTGAAGTTATCAGCTGAAAGAGCTTTTGTTTTGAGACTATGGGGGTTTTTTTAGATACAGAATCATGTTGTGTGTAAACACAGTAGTTTGACTTTCTGTCTTCCTATTTTGATGCCCTTTCTCTCTTTGTCTTCCCTGATTGCTGTGTCCAGGACTTCCCATACTATATTGAATAAGAGTGGTGAAAGAGAGCATAATTGTCTTGTTTTGGTATTCAAGGGCAATGCTTCCAGCTTTTCACCATTCAGTATGATATTGGTTGTGGGTTTTTCATAGATGGCTTGTATTATTTTGAGGTAAGTTTCTTTTGTATCTAGTTCATAGAGAGTTTTTAACATTAAAGTATGTTGAATTTTATGGATAGCCTTTTCTGCATCTATTGAGACAATCATATGATTTTTGCCTTTAGTTCTGTTTATGTGATGAATTGCACTTATTGATTTGTTTATTGTTGAACCAATCTTACATCTCAGGGATAAAGCCAACCTGATGGTGGTGGGTAAGCTTTTTGATGTGCTGCTGGATTTGGTTTGCCAGTATTTTGTTGAGAATTTTTGCATTGATGTTAATTAAGGATATTGACCTGATGGTTTGTGTGTGTGTGTGTGTGTGTGTGTGTGTGTGTGTGTGTGTGTGTCCCTGTCAGGTTTTGGTATCAGGATAATGCTGGCCTCATAGAATGAGTTGGGGAGGAGTTCATCCTCCTCAATATTGTGGAATAATTTTAGCAGGAATATTTGTTTGGCAGAAAACAAGAGCAGATACTAGCTCTTGTTTGTATATCTGGTCGAATTCAGCTGTGCATTTGTCTTGTCCTGGGCTTATTTTTGTTGGTAGGCTATTTATTACTGTTTCAATATTGGAGCTCATTACTGGTCCTTTCAGGGATTCAAATTCTTTCTGGCTCAGGCTTGGGAGGGTGTATGTGTCCAACAACGTATTTGTTTCTTCTAGATTTTCTAGCTTATGTGCATAGAGGTGTTCATAATATTCTCTTATGGTTATTTGTATTTCTCTGGGGTCAGTGGTAATATCTCCTTTGTCATTTCTAAATGTGTTTACCTAGATTTTCTCTCTTTTCCTCTTTATTAGTCTAGTTAGCAGTCTATTTATTTCATTAATTTAAAAAACCCACCTCCTGGATTTGTTGATCTTTTGAATGATTTTTCATGTCCCAGTGTCCTTCAGTTCAGCTCTGATTTTAGGTATTTCTTATTTTCTCCTTGCTTTGGGGTTAGTTTTCTCTTGATTCTCTAGTTCTTTTAGTTGTGATGTCACGTTGTTAAATTGAGACCTTTCTAACTTTTTGATGTGAGCATTTTGTGCTATAAATTTCCCTCTTAACACTGCTTTAGCTGTGTTCCAGAGATTCTGGTATGTTGTATCTTTATTCTCATTAGTTTCAAAGATCTTCTTGATTATGGTCTAATGAAATATGTGGATTTGATCCTGTCATCATGAAGTTAGCTGGTTATTTTGCAAACTTATGTATGTGGTTGCTTTATAGCGTTACTGTTCTGTGCACTGACGTGTGTTTTTGTAGTGGCTGATAATAGTCTTTCCTTTTTATATTTAGCTCTTCCTTCAGGAGCTCTAGTAAGGTAGGTCT
Organism: Homo sapiens; assembly: GCF_000001405.40. Classification (NCBI taxonomy): domain Eukaryota; kingdom Metazoa; phylum Chordata; class Mammalia; order Primates; family Hominidae; genus Homo; species Homo sapiens. The sequence continues at coordinate 153,051,423 of NC_000001.11, read as the reverse complement.
TATGGTAACACATTCCTTCAGCATTTGCTTGTCTGAAAAGTATCTTATTTCTCCTTCACTTTTGAAGTTTAGTTGGGCTAGAATTGAAATTCTAGGTAGCAATTTCCTTTCTTTAAGTGTGTTGAATACTGGCTCCCAATCTCTTCTGGCTTGTGTGATTTCTGCAGAGAGGTCTGCTCTTAGTCTTCTGGGTTTCCCTATGTAGGTGACGTGACCTTTCTTTCTAGCTGCTTTTAAGACTTTTTCTTTCATTCAACCTTGAAAAATCTGATGATTATGTATCTTGGGGATGATGTTCTTCTGTAGTATCTTACAAGGGTTCTTTGCATTTTCTGAATTTTATGTCTGTCTGTCTAGCTAGGTTGGGGAAGTTCTCATGGATGATATCCTGAAATATATTTTCAAGCTGGTTACACTCTCCTTATCTCTTTCAGGGACACCAATGAGTCACAGATTTTGTTTCTTTAGAAAATACCATTTTTTTAGGTTTTGTTCATTTCTTTTAATTCTTTTTTCTCTATTCTTGGCTGACTGTCTTATTTCAAAAAGTTAGTCTTCAAACTCTGGGATTCTTTTCTCTGCTTGGTCTACTCTATTACTAATACTCGTGATTGCATTAGAACATAACCGACCTGATAGAGCTGAGAAACACTCTACAAAATGTATAGTTTCTAGTGTGTTTCTTAGCTCTATCAGGTCAGTTATGTTCTTTTCTATACTGGCTATTTTGTCTGTCAGCTCCTGCGTTGTTTATGGTGATTCTCAGCTTTCTTGGATTGGGTTTCAGAACACTCCTGCATCTTATTGATCTTCCTTCCTATCCATATTTTGAATTCCATTTCTAGCATTTCGGCCATCTCAGCCCAGTTCTGAGCCCTGGCTGGAGAGGTCGTGTGGTCATTTGGAGGAAAGAAGGCACTCTGGCATTTTGAGTTTTCAGAGTTCTTGCGTTGCTTCTTTCTTATCTTTGTGTCTTATATTCCTTCAATCTTTGAAGTTGGTGATGTTTGGATGGGTTTTATTTTTTTAATCTCATTTGATAACCTTGAGGTTTTGATTGTGGTGTAAGGTCAATTCAGATGACTGGCTTCATTTGTGAAAGATTTTGGGGTCCCAACACTCAGCTCCCAACTCCTGGACTGCATGCTGTAACTCTGGGGGAACTATATCAGGCTTGACTTTGTTCTTTGGCTCCCCCAGGTTAGGAGGCTGAGGTGCTCCCTGATCCCTGGTCACTACACTGTGATGAGTGGTGTCAGCCAAAGTGTTTTGTAGTGTGGTGGCAGCGGGGTCCATTCTTGTTTGTATGTGCCAGGAGCAGAGGCAGCATGGCAGGGTGCATACTTTTAGGCTGGAGCAGGGTTCTTGCAGGTGCTAGGCTACTTGCCTCTGTGGGGACATTCACCACAGTGGTGGAGGCAATGTTTCTTGGCAGGGTACAGGGTCCCTGCTGGTGACTGTGTGTGTGTGGTGACACTTGTAGTGTTGTTGGTGTGTGGATGGGGTGCTGGCTGGTGCAGGTCTGTGTGCTTTCTCTCTGTGCCATGGGCAGGGGTGGTTGTTTGGGATGCAGGAGTTTCCACTGTTTTCAGTGCCTAGTTTCACTCCCACGGCAGTGTTGGCACAAGGGTATACACTGGCATGGGTGGTGCACTGGCAGGGGTGGGGCTTCCTGGCTCTGTGCTTGCCATGGCTCTGTGACTGCAATGGTCATTGCCAGGGATAATGGGCTGACCATACTCTCACTGCAGCAGTGGCAGGGCAGGATGCACACACTCACATGTACTGGTGAGGAGAGGAAAGCAAAACCCATTCATGAACACACATGCTAGCAAAGTGACATGGAGTGTTGCTCTGGGCCCAGGGGAAGCTGCAATGTGTGGAGTGAGCAGATGGGCTGGTAGGTGACTGTGGGTGGCTGCCCCGCTGGAGTTCTCCACTTGTCAGCTGTGATCTGCCAGCACAGAGGCTATGATGGAGTCCCAAGGTCACCCGAGTTTGCCCTGCAAGCAGGTACAGCCAGGCTGGCACCCCAGGAGAGACCAGCTGACCAGGGGGTGCTCAGGTCAGACTGGCCCCATCTGAAGGGCAAGATTGCCCTGCACAGTTCAGGTCCAACAGTTCCCCAGGGGCTGAAGTCTCCTATGCAAGCAAGTTGAGCCTAGGGAGATGGCCATCCCTGGCCCTGCTCCATTACAGACACTCCCCTACCAAACCCTTTAGGCTCCACATCAGCTGGCATGCTGCCTCTGTCACTTCCCTAAGCAGCTCTCCCTGCCAACTGGAGCATCCCTGGTGGTTAAGGGGGTCTCCCCCTGCCGGGATTCCAGAGGCCCATGGCGAGAGTGGGTTGTTCCCTGTCGGTTCAACTCAGCTGTTCCCCTGGAGTCACTGGAGGCCAGGAACCAATCTTGGTGTGTAGTGTCCCTGTGTAGAGCTCCCACCTTTCTCTCTTTTCAGCCTAGCTTCTGGATCTTCTCTTCATCCACTCTCAGTGCCTTCCCTCTGAATATCTGTTAGAAGTGCACCTGCCATCTCGGTCCCTTAGTGGCAGCTGTTCCACCTGGCTGCATCCAGTTGGCCATCTTACCTACGGCCACAGGAATGATCTGGTATGCTAAATGTTTTTGAGGCTTTTTTGCATCAATATTCATGAGGAATATTGTTCTGTAGTTTTCATTTCTTGTAGTGTCTTTGTCTGGCTTTTGTATCCGGGTATTCGTGTGCCTCATGGAACAAGACAGGAAGTAGTCCCTATTTTCAGCTTTCTTTTTTGAAAGATTTTGAAAAGGATTGGCATATACTTCTCCAGTAAATCCTTCTGGGTCAACACTTCTTTCTTGTGAGATTTTAGATTAAAGATTCAATTTTTTTTACTTATTATATATCTTTTCAAATTTTCTATTTCTTCATGATTTGGTTTGGTGGATAGTGTATATCTAAGAGTTTGTTCAACTGGTTATCTGATAAGCTGACAGAATTGTTCATAGTTTCTGCTTAAAATTTTTTTATTTTTGTAAAATCAGTAGTAACGTCCTCACTTTCTTTTAGATTTTAGCTATTTGAATGTTATATCGTACTTTTTCCCTGTAGTTAGTCTAAAGATTTTTCAATTTTATTGACCTTTTCAAAGAAATAAAACTTAATTTCATTGATTTTTCTCTATGGTTTGCTTGTACTTTATTAGTATCTCTACTCTAGGCTTATATTTACTTTTCTGGGGTTTAGTGTACTTTAATTTTTGTAGTTTCCTAAGCTGTAACATGAGGTTATTGATCTGAGATATTTTTCTGTCATTAAAAATGTATGTGGGCCAGGCACGGTGGCTCATGCCTGTAATCCCAGCACTTTGGGAGGCCGAGATGGGTGGATCACGAGGTCAGGAAATTGAGACCATCCTGGCTAACATGGTGAAACCCCGTCTCTGCTAAAAATACAAAAAATTAGCCAGGCGTAGTGGCAGGCCCCTATAGTCCCAGCTACTCGGGAGGCTGCGGCAGGAGAATGGCGTGAACCCAGAAGGCAAAGCTTGCAGTGAGCCAAGATCACGCCACTGCATTCCAGCCTGGGAGATAGAGAAAGACTCTGTCTCAAAAAAACAAAAAAAAAAATGTGGTTCTGGCTGTAAATTTCCCCGTTAGCACTGCTTTTGCTGAAAACCATAAGTTTTGGTTTGATGTGTTTTGTTGTCAGTAGTCCCAAGCAATTTCTAATTTTCTTTGTGATTTCTTTTTTGACCTGTTGGTCATTTAAGAGTTTGTTGTTTAATTTCTACAAATTTGTGAAATTTCCAGTTTTAATTGGGCTATAAGTTTTTAATTTCATTTTATTGTGATTGGAAAAGTACTTTGTATGATTTCAGTCTTTTAAAATATATTAACTTGTTTTCTAGACTAATATGTGGTCTATCCTGGAGAGTGTTCTTCCATGTTCTCTTGAGAAAACTGTAAGGGGTATCCTGTTCCTTTTGGTTGGAGTATTCTATATTTGTCTGTTTGTTCCAATTGGCTTATATATTTAAGTCCTCTATTGTTTTTAACTTCTATCATTCTATCCACTTTTGAGAGGGAAGTATTCGAGTTTTCAACATGTTTTAGACCTATTAATTTCTTCTTTTAATTTCTCTCACTGTATCTTTTTATATTTTGGAGTTCTGATGTTCAGTAAGTGTATGTTTATAACTCCTATAATTTCTTGGTGAATAAATCTCTTTATCTTTGTAGTATTTTATAACAGTTCTCAACTTAAAGTTAATGATGTCTAATGTTAGTGTAGCCATGTCTGGTCTCTTTTGGCAATTTACATGAAATATCTTTTTCTTTCCTATTACTTTCACCTCCTTTGTGTCTTTAGCTTTAAAGTCAGTCTCTTTTAAACAGCAAACAGTTGAATCTTTTTTTTTTCTTTTTGATTCAATTCTCCAGTTTGTGTGGTTGGGGAGAGTTTAATTCAATCACATTTAAAGTACTTACTGATAAGGGAGTTCTTCTTTCTGCATTTACTCTTTTCTCTATATTGTTTGTCTTTCAACACTTTCTGATTTATGATTTTTTTCTACTAAAACTATTTTATTGCCTTTTTTCTTTTGTGTGTACTTGAAAATATTATTATGTGATTTCAATTGGGATTATGTATAATATTTTAAAGTTATAGTAATTTAATTTGAATTAACACTATGTAACTGCAATAGCATAGAATAGTTGACTCATACCCAGCTGGCCAACATGCCGAAACCCTGTCTCTACTAAAAATACAAAAATTAGCTGGGTGTGGTGGCACGCGTCTGCCTGTAATTTCCGAGGCACGAGAATCGCTTGAAACCAGGAAGCGGGGGTTGCAGTGAGCCAAGATCATGCCACAGCATTTCAGCCTGGGTGATGGAGTGAGGCTCTGTCTCAAAAAATGAAAAAATTAATAAAAAATAAAAAAAAGAAAAGTTGACTCACACAATCCTATCCTCTTTTTATGTTGAGTTCACAAATTATATCTTTATACATTGTGTGTTCACTAACACAGATTTGCAATTATTTTGTACACATTTGCATTTTAAATCTTGTAGAAAATAAAACGTGGAGTTACAAGCTAAAATTACAATAATGCTGGCTTTTATGTATCTGTGTACATTTACCAGAGATTTTTGTGTTCTCATACAGTTTCAAATTTCTCTCCAGCATTTTTATTCAACCTCAGAGGCTCTCTTTATCATTTCTCATACAGAAAATCTAGGGGCAATGAACTGCCTTAAGTTTTGATTTCCAAAAACGTTATAATTTTGCCATCATTTTTAAGGATAATTTTGCCAGCTGTAGAATTCTAGGTTGAAAGAATTCTAGGTTTTCTTTATTTTCAATATATCATCCTGCTGCCTCCTGATCCTAAAGGCTTTTGGTAAGAATTTGGTCAACTATTTATTAATAATCCCTTAGATATGATGATTTACTTGCCTCTTGCTGCTTTTGATATTATCTCTTTTGATAGTTTAATTATAAAGTGTCTCAGTGTGGGTGTCATTGAATTAATTTAACTGGAAGTTTTTTGTGCTTTTTGGATGTGTAATTTTGCATTTTTCAGAATTTGTATACATGGAACCATACAGTATATAGCCTTTGAGACTGACTATTTTTTACTTATCAGCTTGCATTTTAAATTCAGCCATGTCTTCGTGAGTCTTGATAGGTCATTCCATGTTATCACTGCATAGTATTCCATTGCTTGGGTGTGATGCACCACAGTTTATCAATTGAATTGTTGAAGGGCATCTTGGTAGATCACAGATCTTGGAGATTATGAATAAAGCTGCTATAATCATTGGAATGCAGGTTATTTTTTGTCAACATATTTTGAAATCTGTTAGATCAATTTTTGAATGTGCTTTTGTTGACTCATATAACAAAATTATGTTTATCTCTTTAAGATTGTGAATTAGTGTCGACTTTTCTCATAATGTTTATATTTTATTTAGCCTTTCTCCCACTTGCAGCAGAATTCAGGTCTCTTGTCTTATATGTTAGAGTTCAAACAGTTTTTTCTCTGCAAATGTTTTCACAATTTTGTCCGTGTTTCTTCGTTTTCCTTTTTAACTTTTCTGGAGGGAAACCACGGCCTATGCACATTCACTGTCTTGAAAAGATTCTTACAAAAAGAGGTGTCTGATTCATTCCATTATTTACCACATATCCTTCTCATTCTCATTTTAACACTAAGCATACGGGATTACTTTATATTACTAATAGCTCTTGAAATTATGCTCTTAAATATACTGATCTAACATATAGAGAAAATAAAAGTAGAATATATAGGGTCTATTCACTTTGAGAAGGTTAATACTGATGAGCTATTCAGTTTCTTATAATGATTTAGCCTAAAATTTAGGTAATTTGCCACCAGAAGGAATGTGATATTTAAATGAGTGATTTCTTTATTATCCTAAACAGCTAACTACAGTAACAGCAAACTAAATTGGAGGTAACATTGTATATTTTTTTCACACAGAATGCTGAATCTTTATAAGTGCTATTTGTTTTTACACATGAACAAATCCACATACTGCTATTTTTTGTATTTAGATTTATTTTCTTATATTAACTGAATTCAGAGGAAAGTCTTAGAGAGTCCAAACATCAAGGAACAATTAAAGCATCTGGTTTCTGTCCTTTGCTGTAAATTTCTGCTTAGGTTAACTCTCATTTTCATCACATAGGATAAGTGTCAAAATCATCCCATCTTATTGTTTCTGCACACTTCATTTAAATCATATATTTGCATTTGTTTTGTCCTAAAAACTTCTGGCACACACTTCAATAAGATAATATAAAAGATCTTAAAGGTGAAGCAAATAACTTTCTCAACCATAAACAACTCGAACTCGATATCTTGTCTCTATCTCTTTCGTTAACAATGTGTTACTTTAGCATTTTGAGCACTATCTGTAGCCTGTGCTAAGTACTTTAAATGCAGTCTCTGCTTTAGTTGTTTTCTCATGACAATTAGTGGTAGGTACTATTATTATCACTATGTTCTATTATAGTTACTACCTGTCCTACTGATCGCCCATTTCTTCCAATTTCATCATATTATGGCCAATTTATGCTTTCTATCCACGTGGCTCCTGGATAGTAGACAAACTCATTCCGATTTTTTTAACCTAGTATGATCTCCTAATTTTGGTGAGCTGTTTCATAGATACATATGGCTATGGAGTGTCTGTGGCTTCTGTGTGTGTGTGTGAATGCTATGAGGATGGGGATTATTATTGGGGTTTTCTTCAAGACAGATTTTAGTAGTGATGTGATCAGATGTAGAGCTATCACAATAAAACAACTGCTACTTACATCCAGCCCCACCTTTAGTGTCTGGCCAAAAATGCTGGAAAGAAGGAAGACCGTTTTCTCACTAATTGGACAATGGACAGGGTTGTCTCTTGTCAGCTTTTCAAATTAGAATTTTAGGATTCCTCACTCAATAATAGGTAACATTCGGAGAATATTTTGAAAAGTAAAACAAGAAAATAAACATCATCTGTAATTATACCAGCCAAATATAATCACATTTAATATGTTGTTTTACATATTTCCTAACTTTTAACAAATACATGTTAATGAAAATGTTATCATCCTTTACATAAGTTTTTAGTAAAATTTAATGTTTTAAATAATATTAAGTAATCTTTCAAAACATCCTTCTTAATTATCTTCAGAATTCTACTATATCTTTATCTGATACATTGAATTATGGAAAGACAATGGAGACTAAGCCTTCCATTCAGAAATAAAAGCAGAAGGCAGATATGCATGGGGGCTTACAGTTACCATTTCTCTGAGCATAAGAAGAATATTTTGCCATGATTCTTGTTTCTTTATTTGTTTACATATTTAATTTTAAATCTTCATTTGCTAGCACTATTTGGTTTAGTGGAATGTATCATAGTAAAATATGAGATAAAATGTTGCATCAAATATTAGACCAAATAAATTTTTTGTTCTTTCCTGTCATTTTTATGTACTAGTAATTCATACTTAATGATCTACTAGAAAATCAGGAAGTAGAAGTATTAGGAATGAGCCTAAGGCTATCAGACTCTTAAAGAACATAAAGCTAAGCTCTTTAGACATGAAGATAGATGATAAAGACCCATGAGGGGTGTGTGTGTGTGTGTGTGTGTGTGTGTGTGTGTGTGTGAAGTATGCCTCGCTCTATGTCTCAGGGCCTGGATGTCCTAACTTGGGGAAACTGTGACTATTAGCTGTCCCTCTTCATGTTATGGCCATTCCTCATGTAGCTGGTCTGTGAGGAACTCTGAGTTTCCAGTTCTCCACGTCAACTTGTAAAGTCAGCCTGTCTGAGATGCTGGGGGCACTAGGTCTGCTGCCACTCTGGTGCCTGCACTGCTGTGATAAGCAGCCTGTTTGAGTGGGGTGTCCTAAGAAGGGGAGTCTCAGGTTGTGACCCAAACTGTGTTATCTCACACAGTGATCTCATTTGGCAGCGAATTCTTCAATTTTGCATGGCAGAAATTAGACATTTCTCTATGGATTTATGTTTTAGATGTGATGTGAGGCTCTTGGGGAGTAGTGGGTGATTTATTGAGTAAAGGACTTTTACTTTGGCTGGTGAAGTGCGTGGCATGTGTAATAGTCTATAGGAAGCATTTGGTGAGAACACCATTTGTAATCACCTGGCCTCAGGGTGCTGACATGATGGCTCTATTTCTGTAGTGTCCTGGCCAGTGGTGATCTTGGCTAAAAGCTCTTCCTTACTGACAGGAGCAACAGCTGTTCTGGGAACCTAACCTACTTAACTGAGGGATGTGATGCTGGCTTGATTCAACACTCTGCCCTTCCTGGAGCACAGTTGGTGACTGCTCCAGTGATTTTGAGTCTTTCCTCTTCCTCATTCTCCTTTCTTCTTATTCACTTATAAAACCATGTTCTTGGGAAGCTTCCCGATTAATGGTCCAGATAAGGAAGCAGTAGCAACATCACTTTAAATGTTTAATATACAGTACTTAGAAAGGCTCACTGATTGTAGGAAGCATTTAAAAAAGTTGTGAAAGGACAATCACTAAATGCATTGACAACATATGTGTTAAGTGAACAATATGTACCAAAATGGACAGATGACAGGTATACATTGGGTATGAGTTGATAATCTAGCAGTTTGTGGGACTAGAAGGTTTATGGAAAAGACAAAGGAAGAACATGCAAACAAATTAAAAAACACTGAGAAACATCTAAAACCTGTTTGGAAATAGAGAGGAAGAATACATATTGGATTACCCTTTGTTTGTATTTTCCCCTTGAGTTAAACTTTAAGTGCTCTTACCTTCCTCACTCTGCACACCTACTTCTAATTATTTACATATGATAATGTCTATGCAGCTTGTTCTCTATAGGATGTTCACAGGGAACCATATATGCATGGTTCCATACATAGATTTTGAGTCAATACTTGTAACTTTAGTTTCCTTCTCTCCATTACTTTTTATAAATAAAAAGGCTGTAGTACACATCCTTGATGGCACCAAGTAGCAAACGTGCTGTGGAGACTAGATCTCACTCTCAAATCTGTCCTGGGATGCAAGTGCCTCTACGAATGTGGTGCAGAAGCTACAAATGTGGTGCAGAAGACAGCTTCAAAGAGGAAAGGAATATAGGTAAAAATCTGAGGTTTTATCTGAGAAAAAGGTGGCAAAGAAAATTTCAGTCTTGAACAGGGTCAGCAGATAGCACAATGTGGTCAGCCTGCAAACCCAGAGGTAAGTATTATTGTCCCCTGTTTATAATCCCAGGGAGGAGAGGTGACATGCCTGTTGTCATGGAACTTAGCAAAGAAAAAGCTTAGCTCAGGCCTTTGTTAAGTCTCTCCTTCCTTCTAGCACATTGGCCAACTGTATGAGGAAAGTAGAGGTAGAGTTGGGTTCATGTACAACAATATGGCATTCAGCTAGAGTGGATCAGGACAGGAAGTTTTATGACTCAGGGGAGGTAAGATAGGAAGGGATCATTGTTCCCAATCAAGAAAGAGAGCCCTTGACAACCGGTTAGAGAATCCCTCCAATTATCTCTCTGACGAAAGTCACTGAAACTGAGATCTAAGGCAGGTTCTCTGTGACTCATGAGCACTTAACCCAGTGGGGAGATCCCAGAACAGGATATTTCCTAGTTTGAGAATGCCTCTCATGCCAGATATGGATACATTTGCATTTTACTTTGGACATTGCTGGACCAGCCCAGTTTTAGGCAGTTCCACTTCCCACTGGGTGGGGCAGAACGTCCTATAAAGAGGTTCCCTGCTGCACAACTCTTAAACTCCTGGTACTCTAGCACCGATCTGCTTTGGAGAACCTGGTGAGTGTGAGTCCTTGAGTTCCTCAGTTCTTTGTGACCTGAAATATTGAATTTAATCTGAAAACAGCAAGTTTGGTTGATACAATTCTGTAACCATGGGTTTGATTCTACTTAGTAGATGGAAATTTAGATTTAGAGTACAGTGATATGCTATTTTAGCTTGTTTCTTGTATACAGTTAGGTGTCCATACGGACAGAGAAGTTAATAGGAAAGCTTTGAATTGAAGAAGAAAAAAGAACAAAGTATTTTTTCCCCATGTTTTCCTGGTGTCTTTTTCAAAGGTTTGTGTCTTAACAGGTGCCAAGAGCCTGCAATCCTTCCCAAACAGCCCTTTGTTCTGTGCTCAAGTCAACCCACTGGGACTTTACTACAGATAATGATAAGAGAAATGGCTTGTGAGATTGCTCATGGTATCTGAACTTGTCACTGCCTTTCCTAAAGATGTTATTTTCACAGAAATAACATGCTTGGTTCATTACTACAGAGATATTTTCTTTGGAAAAATTGTATGAGAAAACACAAGATTTCCCAGGGCCAATGAAGCAATTTGCTAAAGTGGAAGGGAGAAACGAAGTAGTCTTGAAAAGGCAGTTAAGAGTTTAAATAATTTCTTGGAGATGGGGAAATAATATTTCATGGTATTACATAAGCATTAGCTTCTCTCTCTGGAGGAGTCCCTTCCCACAAACACTGTTGTATCATTTCTTTCAGATCCTGAGACTCCAGCAGGATGTCTTATCAACAGCAGCAGTGCAAGCAGCCCTGCCAGCCACCTCCTGTGTGCCCCACGCCAAAGTGCCCAGAGCCATGTCCACCCCCGAAGTGCCCTGAGCCCTGCCCATCACCAAAGTGTCCACAGCCCTGCCCACCTCAGCAGTGCCAGCAGAAATATCCTCCTGTGACACCTTCCCCACCCTGCCAGCCAAAGTGTCCACCCAAGAGCAAGTAACAGCTTCAGGATTCATCAGGAGCATGAGAGGATAAGGATAATTGGCTCACCTCGTTCCACAGCTCCACTTGCATCTTCTCACCAAAGCCTTCCATGGATGCACAGGGAGCTTCTTTCTCCTTAACCTGTGGCCTGCCTGTGATGATCTGTGACAGCAAAAGATTCCCTTTCTGAGGCTGCCATACTGCCACTGTCCAGGTGGAGCTAAGAAAAGGAAGTCCTCAGCTGTGCCAGCTCCCAGAGCTTCGGAAGAAAGAGCAGCAGCTCTCTCCCTGGGAACCATCAGACAATTCTGTTGATGTGTTCTGTGTCTGTCTGTCACCTGGTCATGAGCTTCTACCACCTTTGCAATTGTCATTTATCTTTCACTCCCTGAATAAAGTATCTATGCATATATATTTGTGAATGGATCTTTTGTTTCTTTTAGAATCTGCTTTATTAGTAATATTATATGATTATTTGGATTTTGTTCTACCTTTCTCTGATCCCCAGGACCAGGATTTCACAATTATTGTTATCTGAATTTTGGGCCATAACAATGATTATTTTTATATCATTTTAAACCCCTTTTATTTTCCTTAATTAGTGTTTGATTGATTTGAAGAACAAATCAATCAGAATTTTAATCTCTTCATTTTAAAATGTGGAAAATAATATTTATATCACTAACTTATCTTAGGCATAAAATGGAATTAATATCAGGAATTCAGTTGACACAATTTCTGACATATCATTACTACTCATTTGATAGTAGTCTATTAGCAGCAGTACATCATCATTAAAACAGAACTATTATTTGACCCAGCAGTCTCACTATTGGGTATATACCCAAAGGAATATAAATCATTCTACCATAAAGACACATGCATGTGTATATTTATCGCAGCCGTGTTCACTATAGCAAAGGCATAGAATCAACCCAAAAGCCCATCAATAGTAGAGTGGATTTTAAAAATGTGATAAATATACGCCATGAATTCTACACAGCTATAAAAAAATTAGATCATGTCTTTTGTAGCAAAGTGGATCAAACTGGAGGCCATTATGCTAAGCCAACAAAATCAGAAACAGAAAACCTAATACCACCTGTACAGCCATTGCGGAAACCAGTATGAAGTTTCCTCAAAAGTTAGAAATAGAAGTAATATATGATCTTGCAAACCCACTACAGGGTGTATACCCAAAAGAGACGAAATTAGTATATCAAAAAGATATTTGCACTCCCCTGTTTATCACAGCACTTTGCACAATAGCCAAGAAATGGAATCCACCTAAGTGTTCAGTAACAGATGAATGGATAAGGAAAATATGGTTTATATACACAGTAGAACACTATTCAGCAATGAAAAGAATAAAATCTTATTTGTGACAACATGGATGAACCTACAGAACATTATGTTAAATGAAATAAGTAAGACACAGAAAGGCAAATATTGTATGTTCTCCTTCATATGTTGGAGCTAAAAAAGTTGCTTTCATGAAGGTGGAGGGTAGAACAGTGGTTGTCAGGGATTGGGGAGTGTGTAGGGGAGGGAGGGAAGGATGGGGAGAGGTTAGTTAGTGGGTACAAAGTTACAGTTAAACGGGTATAAAGTTACAATTAAATAAATATAATGAATTATAATTTTTATTTATAATTAAATAATACAATTAATTGTATTATAATAATACAATACAAGTAATACAATTTAATTATGATTAAATAATAATTAAATGGGTACAAAGTTACAAGTAAATTAAAAAGTTACAATTGAATACATACAATTACATATACATCATGGAAAGCTACATAGCCATGAAAAAGAAAGAAATCATGTCCTTTGCAGCAACATGAATGAAGCTGGAGGCCATTATCCTAAACAAATTAATGTGAGAACATAAAACCAAATACTACATGTTCTCACTTATGAATGGAAGCTAAACATTGGGTACTCATGGACATAAATATGGCAATTAAAAGGAATGAAATACTAATACACGCTACAACAAAAATCAGTATTTAAAATATTATGCTAAGTTAAAGAAGCCAGATACAAAGGACCACATATTGTATAATATTATTTATATGAAATGTCCAGAATAGGCAAATTTATAGAACCAGAAAGTAGACTAGTGATTTCTAGGGGTCTAGGGGCAGGGGAATGAGGATTAACAACTTGTCAGTATGGAGTTGTTTGGAGGAGTGATTAAAAGATTCTGAAATTAGTGGTGATAATTGTATAACTGTGAACCTACTAAGGACTATTGAGTGTACACGTCAAAAGGGTGAATTTCATGGTATGTAAATTCTGTGTCAATAAAGGTATTTTAAAAACAAAGAAAATGGGCTCTTTTGTAAACATAAATGCAAGAGAATAGAGGGAAACCAAAAATCTGCAGAGTTGGGAAACTCAATTACTTTTAAATAGAAAGAGATAAAATCGAGAATAATTTTGAGAGACAAAAGTTCATTAAAACTCAGGTTTGCACTTAAGATTAGATTAAGTTTTAATGTCATCCCACCTACGTTTATTTTTCCAAAGAGTGTCAAAGAAGCCACAGTTGAGGAAGACAGACATGGAAAAAAGAAGGAATAAATAAGCACAAGAATTTCATCTGCGAAGGAAATGAAGAAATGTGGGTATAGTTACTAGCATATAGAACTGGCTAGAAGAAAATAGATTAGAAATCTACTAAATTTTTGAGGAATCATATTCCCAAAGTAATCAAAAGCTAGATCTTAAAACAAAACAAAAAGAAATGAAGCAAAACAGCTTTCCAAGAGCCTTAAACCACACTTGGTTAGAAAGTGAGCTGATTCTTCCAATCCACAGACATGGAATTTTTCATTTGTTTGTGTTATCTATGATTTCTTTCAGAAGTGCTTTATAGTTCTCCCTGTAGAGATGTTGTATATTCTCCCTTTCGCCTCCTTGATTATATGTATTCCTAGTTATTTTTTTTTCGGTGGCTATTGTAAATGGGATTCCATTTTTGATTTGACTCTCAGCTTGAACCTTATTGATGTATACAAATGCTACTGATTTTGTACATTGTTAAATTGCCATACTGCCCAAAACAATCTACAGATTCAACACTATTCCTTTCAAACTATGAACGCAGTTTCTCACGGAATTAGAAAAACCTATTCTAAAATTCATATAAAACCAAAAGAGAGCTCAAATAGATAAAGCAATCCTAAACAAAAAGAACAAAGCTGGAGGCATCACATTACCTGCCTTTAAGCTATATTATAATGCTACAGTAACCAAAACAGCATGATACTGATACAAAAACAGACACGTAGACCAACGGAACAGTATAGAGAACCCAGAAATAAAGCTGTACACCTACAGCCATCTAATTGTTGACAATGTCAACAAAAATGACGAACATGTAAGGAGCTGTCTATTAAATAAATGCTGCTGGGATAGCTGGCTAGCCACGTGCAGAAGAATGAAACTGGACCTCTATCTTTCACCACCTGCAAAAATTAACTCAAGATGGATTAAAGATTTAAATATAATGTCTCAAATATAAGAATCCTAGAAAAAAACATAGGAAACACCATTCTGGACATTGGTCTTGGGAAAGAGTTTATGAGCAAGTTCTTAACAAGAATAGCAACAAAAGTAAAAATTGACAAGTGGGACTTAGTTAAACTAAAGAGCCTCTTCATAGCAAAAGGAACTATCAACAGAGCAAACAGACAACTTACTCAATGGGAGAAGATATCTGTAAATCATCTGACTAAGGTCTAATATCCTGAATCTAAAAGGAACTTAAACAACATAACAAGCAAAAACCAAATAATCACATTGAAAAGTGGGCAAAAGATATGAACAGACACTTCTCAAAAGAAGACATAGGAGTGGCCAAAAAACATGAAAAAATGTTCAACATCACTAATCACCACAGAAATGTAAATCAAAACCGCAATGAGATACCCTCTCTCACCAGTTAAAATGGCTATTATTTAAAAAGTCAAAAAACAGCAGTTGCTGGCAAGGCTGTGGAGAAAACAGAACATTTATACACAGTTGATGGGAATGTAAATTAGTTCAGCCATCGTGGAAAGCAATTTGGAGATTTCTCAAAGAACTTAAAATGGAGCTACCATTTCACCCAGCAATCCCATTACTGAGTATATATACAAAAGAAAATAGATTATTCTACCAAAAAGACACATCCGTTTGTATGTTCATTGCTGTGCTATTCACAATAGCAAAGTCATGGAATCAAACTAGGTGCCCATCGACAGTGGACTGGATAAAGAAAATGTGGTACATATACACCATGGAATGCTACATAGCCATAAAAAAGAATGAAATCACATTCTTTGCAGTAACATGGATGGAGCTGGAGGCTGCTATCCTAAGCAAATTAATGTGAGAACAGAAAACTACATACCACATGTTCTCACTTACAAATGGGAGCTGAACCTTGGGTACTCATGGACATAAAGATGGCAACAATAGACACAGGTGAGTAACAGAGTGAGAAGAGACAGAGGGGGTTAAGGGTTGAAAAACTGCCTGTTGGTTACTATGGTCACTATCTGGGTAATGGACTCATTTGTATTCCAAGCCTCAGCATCACACAATACACCCATGTAACAAACCTACAATTGTATACCCTTGTATTAGTCCGTTCTTGCATTACTATAAAGAACTACCTGAGACTGGGTAATTTATAAAGAAAACAGGTTTCAATGACTCACAGTTCCATAGGCTGTACAGGAAACATGTCTGGGAAGGCCTCTGGAAACTTATGATTATGGCAGAAGGCAAAAAGGAAGCAGGCACATCTTCACATGGCAGAGCAGGAGAGAGAGCAAAGGTGGAAGTGCTACACACTTTTAAACAACCAGATCTTGTGAGAACTCACTCACTATCATGAGAACAGCAAGGGCAAAGTCTGCTGCCATAATTCAATCTCCTCCCACCAGGCCCCTCCTCCAACATTGAGGATTATCATTCCACAGGAGATTTGGATGGGGACACGGAACCAAACCATATCGACTCCTGAATCTAAAATAAAAGTTGAAATTATAGAAAAGAAAAAAATAAAAAACTTAAAAAAGAAAAGTGAGCTGCAAAGCTTACCTAACCAAGAAGGGCGCAATCCACAATGCACACTTGAGGTTTGATTATAGAGAATAGTACTAAGAAAAGGACAATTCTACGGGTGGCAGAACAACGAATAGGAAAGTTAAAAGGAGTTCCTTTCAGAGAACAGAATCAATACCTTAAAAGGAACTTCTACCACTTCTGGTATATTGGAGTGGGAAGAGTGTGGCTTCACAATGCCTGCCCAGTTGGATTTCAGAGTACTAAGGCCTAGTGGCTGCCATGTGTCACCATTATCTTCCTTTGAACATGGTAGTTTTGATTTAGCTCTCCTGTACCTGCATTGCCATTGGATGCTGGGTAACAGGAAGAAATGGCCCATTTGTTTGTTTCATAATTTGCTGAACAAAAGGAGCCATAGGAAAATGTAATGGAGAGAATTTCATGTCATCTAGAGATCCTAGATTTTGAGCTGATGGGGACCATAAGGCTTTTTTTCCTTACGGGATTGTGTTCTGCTTATGAGACAAAGGAGCAGATGGATATTTGAGAACAAGAAGGCTATTCTGTGGCTGAAGCTTGAGGAGCTCACCCAAATCTCTGTCTTCCTCTTATTTCTAAGCACAGCAGTAAACGACATTTCTTAACTTTGTGAGGTTGACAGGGCTATGTGACCAAGTTCTAGCCAAGTCCATAAGAACTGAGGGGATACATGCCATTTCTTGTTCCAAGTGGATAAGTGCAGGGACACCTTCTCTATATTCAGTCTATTTCCCTGTTCTTGTGCTTGGATTCATAAAGCACAGCACTCAGAGATAGTGAGACCATAGGAAGGAAGGACTGTGTGTCTTCATGACTATGTGGAACAAAGACTTTACAAACCCATATTGGACTTTTATATGAGTGGAAAGTAACTTTTACTTGATGGAGCCCCAACAATATAGGGGGTGTTGTTATAGCAGCTGACCTATGCTGACTAATAATCGCATGATTACAACACTTTTTTTTCTGCTTGGTTAATTGGTTAGGTGCTAGAGGCACTTATATTTGGATATGATGGTAGATTTTACCTACTAATTAAACAAAAAAACCCTTAGGGCAATACAACATTTAGGGCAAATATTTTTCATATAGGCTTTGTAATTTTAAATAATGCAATCAAGTAAAAATGCCGTGATCAAAAATATCACAATTTCTTGAGTTATACCAATGGCATGTAATTTTTTTATTATTTCATTTTGCATCCTAAGAAAAAGAATCTCTTTTATGCTACTGCAGAACAACTTGCTTTGTCTCCCAGTTACATACAAGAGCAACCTATTTTTCCATCAATATAAAAATATATGCATATATATATGAATACACTGTTGATAACTCTATCTTGTTTAATTTGACTTGAAACATGTTGATACTACAGGGAGAGGGGTGAGGGTGGGTTTTACAGTTCTCACTTCCATGGTTCCCACCTATGTGAAAGAAACAGTCTCCAAACTGGATCAGCTTTTGTGCATTACTCTGTGAGGACTCCAGATCTTGTGTGTGTGGTTGTATATGTGTGTATGTGTGTTTGAATGAGGGGTGGGGTAGGGAGTGAAGTATATCCCTCCAGGGCACTGTAAATGCCCCTGGCAAGCACCTTAAATCCCCTTTGTTCTGTTTCAGGTCCAGAGTTGGCACTCAGAAACTAGAAATGACTAACTGAGATAAAGAACGGAGTCTGTGCATCTTTGGAGGTGTTTGGAAATCTAGGTTGTAGATATCAGAGAAATGAGTGAGAAGGAGCAGGTTAGCATATGTAGGAACAACATTACTTGAAATAAACAGGAATTGGCTGGTAAGTTAGCAGTCTAAAAGCCAGATTTGGAGAGAAGGCAATCAGGATTAGTGAGTCAGAGTCAGCTTAGACAAGTGCTAACTAAACTCTAGCATGACTCACTGAGTTGCAAGAGGAGAGCCCTTTTCCAGCCCTGGATGCCCAAAGCAACAGCCTCTAGGTGGCATTACACAACCTCCCATAGGCAGCCCAGGAATGCTTGTGGGGGCAGCCCTTCACCCTCCTAATGTGAGCATCAGATGCCTTCTGGACAAAGCCCTTCTTCACCAACTCATCTCTGTGTACAGCTCCCGCTTCACGAGGGAAAGGAATGAAGTTGTAGAGTCAATGACACACAGTCAAGAGTGGAATTGAAAGTGAATTTAATGGGGGTATAAGGGAGCTGAATCATTTGCTTTCATCTTAAGTCTCTCTTCAGATGAATTCTGAGCAGCTGAAAACTAGCTCTGGTACTAAGACCTTCAGCTTCATTCAGAGACTCAGAGTGTGTAGGAAAGAAAGCTTCATAGCACATTCTTTTTTGGGGGAGACAGAATGCTAATTGCAAGGCAAATGGGACTCATACGCAGAATGGGATAGGGGATTCAGCATCTGGTGGCCGGCTCCTCAAGGGCATGGCTGTGGACCACATTACTTCTGCTTGGTCTTCTGCTGGGCTGGTGCTGGAGTGACTATTGAAGGGCAGGGCTCAGGCACCTTGGGGTGGCATGGCTCTGGAACCTTGGGCTGGCAGGGCTCGGGCACTTTGGGGTGGCAGGGCTCAGGCACCTTGGGGTGGCAGGGCTCCTTGGTTTTGGGGATGCATGGTTCCTGAGGTGGAGGCTGGCAAGGCTGTTTCACCTGCTGCTGCTGAAGCTGAGGGGGTGGGGTGCAAGGCTGCTTCTGCTGCTGGGAACTCATGCTGCAACAGTGACTGGTCCTGGACACAGAACAGATGATTTAAGCAGAGAATAATAGGGAAGAAGCCATGGTGAATACCACTTCTGGTCTCTTAAAAAGCTATGTTCTTTCCCCTTCTTGACCACAAAGAATACTTAATTTAATTTCTGAGCCTTTGAAGAAGAGGAACCTAAAGATGATTTGCTCTTGCTCCACTGGAGCAGGGCCTCTCCTGGTGCTCTCTTTCTTCCTACACAGCACAATAACAGGCTTCTAGCAGGAATATGAGACTCATAATACTGGACCATTGGAAATGTGAGGTTCTTTGGAAAAAAAAAACCCTAACAAATTAAATCTACTCACTCATTTCTGATAAATAGCATGGCTTATCATCTATTGTATAACTCTGACCTCTCTAGAACCCCAAGCAATCCCACCTGTGGCCTGGCTCAAGTTCTCCTCTGTCTTAAATGTTTTCCTTGTTCCTACTCATTCAAGCACTAACCAAACTCCACAGATCGCTTCATATGGGACTTTTAGTGGCTTCTCTAGAAAAAACCTTCCAGAAATCTCTCTATTCCCAAACTGTCACAGAACTTGCCCTAATCACCTGGCACTGATAAGTTACTGTTATACAATGCATTTTAGCTCTTATTTCCTGATTAAATTGTAGTATCATAGATGCTTAAATTATTTCTTTGCAAACAAATTGCCAAATATAGTAAGCTCTCACAAAAGTATCTGTTGAAAGAATAAAATTCTCTGTATTAAAATTATAAATAAGAAGGAATTATAATGCCAGGGTAAGTGCTGTGGACCTGGGTTCTAGTCATTATCCCATTACAAACTTACTATGGATCCTTGAATAAACCAACCCCCTTCTTGCTGACACAGAAAGAGTGAATGAAGAACTGATAATGTCTAAATTCTCTTCAAGCCTACAGTATGAACACTTTTAAAATGAAGATATTCCTAGAGGTTATAATTCAGTTGAACAGTCTGCATGGCTATGATCAAATTCAATAATGAGGGAAAAAAATACCAAGAATGCCAAGGAGACTCTAATAAAAATTAAATACCTAGAATGGATGCTAAAGAGTTCCAAGTAAAGAGACTCACCTGGTGTGAAGAGAGGAATACTCTGTATGGTCCCTTAGAACTGGTGTAGTGTTCCCAGCCAACTGGCTTTTTATGCATGGAACAAGCCCTGCCTCAAGGAAACAGGATCCATCTGGGCTGCTGTGCCTACATTCCTTACCTGTCAGATGTGATTCACCCCTCTTCCCTCACCCACCTGTTGACTCAACTTTTGTGATGAAACTTGTGGCACTTGCTGTCTGACAAGGATGTCACCTGGGCTTTATCCCCCTGAACACCCTTTGCTCCCAGGTGTAGTGTTTACAGGAAGGGTGGTGTGGGCTGAAAGAGAGAGAAGGAAGACATTCTGGGGCTGCTGGAACCAGAAACTGTCCTATCTTCTGGAAGAGTCTAATCCTCAGCACAGGTGACACTTGTAGGGCTGTTTAATATATGAAGTGGATGTAGAGATAAACAATAGGTATTTCTGGTTATTCTGGGAGGCCAAGGGCATGGTGGCTAGGTGAAAAATAGTAATATTCTGTTAATCCATCACTCAGTATACTCGTGCCTGGCAGGGGAAAGGAAAAACTAAAATGATTATTTCGGTTCTAAAAAGCCTTTTCTCCAAGGAGGAACTCAGGGTAAACAACATAGGGGCAGGCTGACCTCAGTCTGTGAAGGAGAGTTCGGAGCAGTGAAACTCTGGGAAGAATGGTCACGTTCGGAAGCTCTGGAGCAACCTGGCCCTTTTAGTCCATCCATTTATTCTGTACATTGTGACAGTAGGCCCTGAAGACCCTGGCTATCATGGGGAATCCCTTCTCTGCAGCCAACATGGGAAGGAACAAAGGAGCTGGGATTCCCTGAGCCCTTATATCAAAGTTCACTCTCCTCAAGATAAGATGAAACTTAGGTCACTAATCCAGGTCTACCTGCAGTACACAACCTGTTGCAAGTGTGGTTTTTGGAAAATCCAAACTATCCTTCAAATCCAGGTGTCGGATGGTCCCTCCCTCATTATTTTCACTCATCTAAATGTTTGTAGAGCAACTGCTGGCTGCACAGCTGTGTCACCTCTCATGAACTTGAGCCCAGGACCAGCCAGCTACCACCAGAAGTTCCTCTGCTTAGCCATTGTTCTACCTTCCATCTTCACGTGATGCCTGGTGTGTAGTAGCTGCTCAGAGAATTGACAATTATAGAATAACTGAATGAATGGAAGGATGGAGAGATGGGTGGATGATGTTATTCGTGAAGAGACGCCAGAGGCTGTTTTGAGAATTATCAGGAAATTTTTTTATAGGGGAAATCCTTCCTTGTGGCAGGCCTCATGGTATAAGCTGAGAAAAGCTGTAAGAGCTTAGCAAGAGACAGATATTTCTGTCATTTTATCCATTATGATTTGGCTGTTGCCCCACCCAACTCTCAGTTTGAATTCCCACGTGTTGTGGGAGGGACCCGGTGGGAAGTAATTGAATCATGGGGGAAGGTCTTTCCAGTGCTGTTCTCATGATAGTGAATACGTCTCAAGGTATCTGATGGTTTTGGAAAAGGAGGAGTTCTCCTGTACAAGCTCTCTGTTTGCCTACTGCCATCCATATAAGATGTGATGTGCTTCTCCTTGCCTTCTGCCATGATTGTGAGGCCTCTCCAGCCATGTGGAACTGTAAGTCCATTAAACCTCTTCTGTTGTAAATTGCCCAGTCCCTGTTATGTCTTTGTCAGCAGCATGAAAATGGATGAATACATCCACTTATCTATTTCTCTCTCTCCTTGTTTAAGTAGTCACCTCACTTTGGTCTGTGGCCACTGTCATCACCATGCCTCTTGCATCAGTTGAGCTCTTTTCTAGACTTGGACACAAGCCTTTCCTCAAACCTGCTCCCTGTAGACCCTACGAAGGAAATTATAAGCACACTTTGTTTGCAATATGGTGGGATTATCAGGTCCAAGGCAACCTGCTTCCTGCTTCTCGGTCCTCCATGCCGCCAGGCCCAGGACCTGGCTGACCTGAACCTCAGCTCTGAGGCTGGGCCCCTGCCTCCCATGTCTTTCCTAGACCCACATGTCTTGGGGGAGCTTTCATTCAATATGCTGTTTAGGTGTTGACCTGATGCACTCACTTGACATATCTCCTCTCCCTCAGTCAGCACTGTTCTCATTCTAGCTTCTAGACTTTCTCATTTTACTCTTCTGCTGTTTTTTTCTAAATTACATTGAATAGCTAGGTGTAAAGATCCCCCTGCTGCTTTTTTTTTTCACTGTACAAGAAAGCTCAATTTCCTCATCAGTAGTGCTGGATCAGCCACGGATTTACTGGGAAGCCATATGGCTGCAGATTGCAACTAACATCTCCCCATATGCCTCTGACTTTTATGTCTGTCCTTCTCAGGATGAAATAATGCTGCTGATTGTTTTTATTAACATCAAAGCCTGACCTTTCTGATTAACTGTACTTGACACCTCTTGGATATCCCTACAAATTCTCTCTGCCCTGCCTTTTATCCATACACAGTCATGTGGCTCTTTTCATATAGGCTTGGATGGGCTTTGTGCAGGAGATACCTGATAAAGTTGCTCTGCAGACCATACTACATACCTCTTTCTTCTTGATCTGGGGCTCCTATGATACTGCAGTGCAGGGCACTCATGGAATGCTTTTGTGTGTACAACTGGGAAGTGTGGGGGAGTCAATACATATGGGCCCAGATTTGACAAATGATGATAGTGAGGGGAAGTGAAATAAGACAATGGATAAATACTTCCTGCCTTCATCTCCAGGACAGAGAGTTCTGAGACTACTTCTTAAAGATCATCAGAAAGTCCCATCCATGGACCTTTTTTATGGTTGTATAGTATTCTATGATGTATGTATATGTACCACATTTTCTTTATTCAGTTCACTGTTGCTGGGCATCTTCATTGATTTCATGTCTTTGCTAAAATATGTTCTTTGTACAATATAGCTGAAGCTGAAGGCCATTATCCTAAGGGAACTAATGCAAGAATAAACCAACTACTGCATGTTCTTACTTATAAGTGGGAGCGAAGCATTGAATGCACGTGGACACAAAGGTGGGAACAATAGACACTCAGGAGTGCTTGGGGGGAAGGTGGAAGATGGGAATGGGTTGGAAGGCTACCTGTCAGGTACTGTGCTCACAACTTGGGTGATGGAATCATTTGTACACCAACCCTGAGCAGGACGTTATTTACTCATGTACAAGCCTGCATGTGTGCTTCTGGAACAAACAAGACGAGGAAGGAGAAGGAGAAGGAGGGAGGGGGGAGGGGGGAAGGGGACTACTATATGACCCAATAAAAAAAGAGGTAAGACACAAGTTTCAGCATTCAATTTTGAATGGCTTTGTAGTAATTATAATAAAATATTTCAGGAAGAAAGCACATGGTTGGGAGGAACTAACCATTGTTGAGCTATCAGTACAGCACCCATATTAGGTACTTTATGTTTGAGAAGTGAGTGTAAAATAATGGTTACAAGTGTGAACTCTGCAGCCAGACTTACTGAGTTCTGGTCCCAGCTGAACTATTGGTGACTCTGGGCAAGTTATTACCCTAACCTGTGTTTCAGTTTCTTTGTACATAAAATGAAGATAGTAGTAGGTATCTCACAGTGTTTCTGGGAGGAATAAATGGGTTAATAACAGTAGAGTGTTTACAACAGTAACTGGTACAGGGATTGTTCAATAATCATTAACTGACATCATATATGCTAATTAAGTTACATAGTCACTTTCTCTCCCTTTTCCCATTATCCAAGGACCGATAAGGCAATGTCTTTGCAATTATAAATGACTAAGTGCTAAAATGAAAACAATTCTATTGTTACAGTCTTAAAATAAGTCAATAAATTTACTGAGTTGCTATTAAAAAAAGTCCCATGGACTTGACTGTCAGCTGTTCTGGGTGATGTGCAAAATGGTAATGCCTTCTTGAATGGACATTCCTTCCCTCTTGTATTTCCCTTTGTCCATTATTCCTCTTCCTTGGGATTGCATTCCCAAATAAACTTCCTGCCTATGAGGCATTAGTGTCAGGCACAACTTACTGTAGGAATCAGGTTAAGACAATCATGAAAGAGGCACATAATTCAGGAAGTGGATATATAAACACAATCATTATAAGGATGGAAATCAATGCCCAGAGCACAGAAAGTTGGACAGATCACTGTAAGAAAGTTGAACTTGATTTAAGTTCTTTCTTTGGAGACTCCAGAAAAGTTGATGTGGCTGGGGCTTGTCCTTTCCTCGCTTACCCTGGAATGCTGCATGACAATAAATTCAGGAAAGAATCCTTCTCTTAGTTTAGCCTCATCCCAGGGAGATCAGAGACTGAAGCTTGGTGAAGAGGCCTTCTTCACCATTTCAGGCTTTGAAGAACATTTGATGGAGAGTCATGAGAAGGAGGATCCATTTGTCTTTGTCATGTTTTCCCCCTGCCAGCTTCTGAGACTGCTTTGGGGAATGTGTTGCTGCTGGCCAGATGAAGAAGGTTTCAAAGTAGACTTGGGCAGACACTGTCTAGGTGGTTACTGAAGAGGTAGACACTGAGGAGAGACAATGTGGTGGTGGACAGTGGTGAGGCGGGCTTTGTGGAAACGTGAAAAGTTCTGGACACTTGAAGGCTATGTCTCTCAACCCCAGGAAGAATATGTAACAGGATATGCAGGTAAGATTACAGGAGCTGGCTGGCAAGGCTACTGCTAGAAGAACGTTATTCTTGTTACTTAGCAATATCTGAAAGAAAGGGAGGCAGAGGTTGCAGCGAGCCAAGATTGAGCCCCTGCACTCCAGACTGGGTGATAGAGCGAGACTCCATCTCAAAAAA
This sequence comes from Homo sapiens, assembly GCF_000001405.40. Classification (NCBI taxonomy): domain Eukaryota; kingdom Metazoa; phylum Chordata; class Mammalia; order Primates; family Hominidae; genus Homo; species Homo sapiens. The sequence goes on along the minus strand of NC_000001.11, from coordinate 153,026,438 downwards.
TAAAAAAAAGAAAAAAAAATTATTATATAATTAATAATGTATAAAACAGATAGCTATTAAATGAACACTAACATTAAACAGCCAGAAATAACCACTGTTTATATTTTGCTATAGTAAGTATCGGGATTTTTTTAATCTTCCACCAACCCACATGCATACACATACACACACATATATATATATATAAACAAAGACATACAACATCGTAAATGGAATGAATGCCAAAAAAGCCCACATAAAAATGCCTTAAATCACAATTTTTATGTGACAGATGTATTTTCCACAATAAATTTGTATTTTTAAAAAGCAGCCCCAAACAATGGGAACAAGTAAGTACATGACTTTACATTCGTAATAGCTCTGTATCATAGAGTCCACTTCCCCACCCAGAATCATCCTACTTAATTGTGATTGGTCCTGAAATTATCTCTAGACTTTCTATCATAGAATCAGCAGTAATTTGAAGCCACCTCATCATGTGCATACCTAACAGGCCCAAGTGACATCATTCTCTCTTGCCAGTTTGACAACTACTCATCAACTTGTAATGATTCTTTGGACAATTTTTGTCTTATCATTTGCAAATATCTCTGAGGTCTTGTAAAACCTATTTGGAGTACCTGTGTATCATGCAGGTGTAACCTGTCACTGGCTTCACACTTCTTTGATATTATGAACCATGCAACCTATCAAGAAATAGAGTTTGTTCCCCGGTGGTTACTGTAGCCCTTCAGAAGTTTTGTCATCCTTTCTACTGTTAGAGACCATTCTACAATATCCCAGAGCCACTCAACACAGACCTGCAAACCTGTTGGTCACCCCTGAAATAAAAAAGACAAGGCTGCAGGAGAGAGTTGGGAGCTGGGAGTCTGAGGAATTATGCTCCAGGGTGATGCAGAAACATAATTTCAGGGTTACCTTAATTAACTTTTTGGGTATCAATTTCTTTATTTAAGAAATGGAGCAACTCTACTGGGTGCTCTTTAAGTCTCCTATAACTCCTGAGGTTTTATACCTTAATTACCTACTCTTTCCTAACTTGGTGGCCAGTTATTCACCTCACCTAAATTGTGTAATCCTAATCCCTGTTTAAAACCCACATCTTGTTTGGAATTACTGGATAAATCTGTTTCTGTGGGTTATTCTGAGGGAGAGAAAGAAAAAGGGATGGGGGAGAGAGAGAGAGACTGTATAGTGAGTATTTGTGTGAAAAAGATATGAATGTCCTAACTTCTAGACAAAACTGCGAAATTATGCAAGGGAGGCATTGTGTATCCTCCACTCCCTCTTGCTCCTCCAACTTCAGGCCTCTCTGTACATGGCGAATACCCAGCTAAAGGTAACATTGCCTGAGCCAATGAGGATAGAGCTTGTGTGAGTGATTATGTGAGTGTGTGACTATTTAAAATGAATCTGCTTTTTAGTGAGTGTTTGTGTGTTTATGTCTGTATGTGTTGGGGTATCTGGAAGGTAAAATGAATAAAGCAAAATAGAATATCAAGTTCAAATATGTAGGAGTAAAGTTTTCTAGGAACAGGAAATTAGTGGGAAGGATACTAAGGATGAGAGGTGGCCTGGAGCAGGCAACATGGAACTCAGGCATGACTCAGTTCAGTGCAAAAGGAGAGCCTGTGGCTGCCCAAAGTGACAATCTCTATGCACCATCACAGAATACCCATTGTCATTCCAGGAACACCCCCAAGTGTACCCCCCCACACACATAGAAACATATAGTACTGGGTTTAGATAGATGAATTCTACACCAACTCCTTTTTGTCTATAGGTCCTGACTCACAATGGGGAAACAAGGAAGGAGGAAGATTCAGCCAATGACACACACAGCCAAGACTGGAGTTAAAAGTGATTTAATGAGGGCAGAGCAGGATATATGCATTTTTTTTCATTCGAATGTTCAGATGAACCCTGAGCAGCTGAAGACCAGAAAAACCATGAAGACTTTCTGCTTAACTCAGGGGTTTACAGAATTCTTCAGAGTGTGTGCAAGCAAAAGGAGCTTCATAGTGCATATTTTTAGAATACAAATAAGAGAAAGACTATGACTTGGGGTGACAATGTATTGGTTACAAGGTCTACAGACAATTAAGATACAGAAGCAGATAGGAAGAGTGTGTCCAGCATCTGGTGGTCAGCTTCTCAAGGGCTTGTCTGTGCACCACATTACTTCTACTTGGACTTCTGCTGAGCTGGGCCGGAAGTGACTGTTGAAGGATGTGGCTCTGGTACCTTGGTGGAGATTGACTCAAGGACCTTGGTGCAGCCTGGCTCAGGGATCTTGGTGCAGCCTAACTCTGGAATCTTGGTGTTTCCAGGTTCCAGGTTCCAAGTTTTGGGTAGCATGGCTCCTTGGTTATGGGAACAAATGGTTCCTAAGGGAGAGGCTGGCTGTGCTGTTTCACCTGCTGCTGTTGAAGCTGAGGGGGTGAGGTAAAGGGCTGCTTCTGCTTGTGGGAACTCATGCTTCAAAGGATGCTGGATCTAGAGACAAAAAAGCAGATTCAGTGCTTTGATTAAATAGGAATGAAGCCAAAGTCAATGCCAAACATCTTATTGCATGTCCCCAGAGGAATGAGAACCTTGAACTCCTGGGCTCTTCTCTTTCTTCCTGTTTTCTGAATGTAATATCAAAGGAAACTTTGATAATCCCCAAGCAGTTTCAAAGGGAGAGAGTAAAAGTTGATTTGTTCTGCTCCATATAAGTTGTGTCCTCTTAGCTTCCATTTTTCTTGGTATATCTAAGAGCATACACTAGTGAGGGAACCTAACAAGCCTCCAAGGACTGATGGGAGGCCCCAGATTTGCAATAATTTGGAAAGGTCAATAGTCTAAAGTCTACTCACTCATGCCTACCTTATACAGTGCCATAGTTCTCATAGGAAAACTCCATCTAAACCTCCTCCTGAGGCCCATACAATCCAACTGTGACCCTGTTTTCACACGTTGCCCACTGCACATGTTTTCTGGAAGGCTCTCCGTGCCAACACTACTTGTCCACACCTGCCCACCCCTCCTGGTTGTCCTCCCTGATGGTCTCATTTGTGAGATTCTCCCATGGGCCTGAAAGCTTAAGGAGATGAATAACTCCTGCCTTCTCAGGCCCAGTCCCAAGGTGCAAGGCCACTTGCATCAGCAGCATGCGTCAGCAAGATAGCAGAAGCAGGAAGAGAGCTGGCTGAAGGACACCTACCCCGGCTGGAAGACACGTACCCCTGAAGATCCTGAAAGAGGCCATCCAGGTACAACATAGCAGTTGCGTCAGACTAGGACACATCCTGTTTACAGGAGACTGTAAAACCTTTGCCCCGTCCTCACTTGGGACTGACGCCATTTTAGGCCTCAGCTTCCCTGCACCCAGGCGCTCATTAAAACAGCATGTTTTGTCTCGTGTTGTCTGTTGGCATGTTCTCGGAGTTTGAACTGATACAAGAACCTTACACTCATCTTCCTTATTTAGCCACAGCATGGTACATGATTTGTCCTCTTTACTGATCTCATACTCCCCATGCTGTATGTTTGCAAAGTTTGTGCACGTGTTGTGTTCTCTGATAGATCATAGGTTTGTGTAGCAAGGAAGAATTTAACTTTTTTTTTTTCTTTTTAAGAAATGGGGTCTTGCTATGTCACCTAGGCAGGCCTCAAACTCCTGGGCTCAAGTGATCCTCCAGCCTCAGCCTCCAATGTTGGTGGAACTACAGAATGTGCCACTGCACCTAGATTTAAGTTTTGAACATCCAAATTGTCTAATGCAGTGCCTTTGATGCTGACAATTCTAAAAATCATACAGATGATTAAAATATCACTAAAAGTGCCCTGGGCATGGAGTCTAGTTCATTCCTCCTGCTCAGGGAACAGCACTCTAAAATAAGTCACTTCCCTTTTCTGAGTCTCAGTCCCACAGCTGTAATCTGAGTGGGAAGTCAAAAAGAACTGCTTTAGTACTGTTGTACCCGAGGGAGTTAGAAAAACGCCACACTTTGAGACGAATTAAGAGTCCTTTATTAGCCGGCGACCGAGAGACGGCTAATGCTCAAAATTCTCTCGGCCCCGAGGAAGGGGCTTGATTAACTTTTATATCTTGGTTTAGAAAGGGGAGGGGGTGTCTAGTTAAAACAATTTTACAGAATTTAAGTAGTCAAAAAGTTAAAAGGATAAATGGTTACAGGAAAGTAAACAGTTCCAGGTGCAGGGGCTTTAAGACTATTACAAGGGGGTAGACACGGGGCTTTGGGCATTATCAATCAGACGAATTCTTGGGGACTGTGGATATAGCTTGCCACAGTATCTTATCAGTTAATTGCATTCTTGGATGTGCTGGGAGTCAGCTTGCACAAGTTAAGTCCTTGAGGAAGGGGCTACAAGTGAAAGAGCCAAGATGGAGTTTGTCTGGTTCTCTCAGCTAAGGGAGAGTCTATTCAGGTGGAAACAAGGCTAGGTGAAAAAGGAAAAACAAGGTTGGGCATTACAGTACCCTTAAGTACAAACTGCAAATCCATTTCAAATAACCATAGCCTTAGCATTGCAAGGAGACCCCAATCAAAATAAGATACAATTAGGTGAATATTAAACAGTTTCAGGTTGGAACTCTTACTTCAGAAGATTGAGCTCCCTGGCCTCTCAGGTCTGGTTAGGAGTCTCTGGCCAACTGGGCTTTTATATGCAAAATGAGCCCTGCTATAAGGAAGTGGATTTGGGGAGGGCTGTTTTACCTTCATTCCAGCTGTGAAACCAGACAGGTCTCAGTTAATTTAGAAAGTTTGTTTTGCCAAGGTTGAGGATGCATGCCCGTGACACAGCCTCAGGAAGTCCTGACGACATGTGCCCAAGGTGGTCAGAGCGCAGCTTGGTTTTATACATAAGACATCAATCAACACATGTAAGATGAATATTGGTTCGGTCAGGAAAGGTGGGACAACAGGAAGCAGAGAGGGGGCTTCCAGATCACAGGTAGATAAGAGACAAATAGTTGCATTCTTTTGAGTTTCTGATTAGTCTCTCCAAAGGGGGCAATCAGATATGCATTTATCTCAGTGAGCAGAGGGGTGACTTTGAGTAGAATGGGAGGTAGGTTTGCCCTGAGCAGTTCCCAGCTTGACTTTTCCCTTTAGCTTAGTGATTTGGGGGCCCTGAGATTTATTTTCCTACCATTCTTCCCCCCTTTTCTTTTAAAAAATCTTTTGGAGAAAGCATTTTAGAAGAAATTGAGTCTCTTTTCCCAGGTTTCATCTGATCTCTCATGGCTAGGATGGTTTATTCCTAGATGGGTAGGTCCTGAGTTATTAGGAAAGCCCATTTTAGCAGGTTGTGAAGTCTCATGTTGTATGAAGAGAAAATAGGGGGAGGAAGGGAGAAAAACAAACAAAAGGAAAACCCTAGAAAATCGATGTAGGACACATTACTCTGAAGTCCATATATTAGTAGGCAGGTATGAAAGTGGCTTATGTATGTAAATAGGTTGCTATTATTTTCTTCCGAAGTTTAAGTTGTCCACCTTCAGTTCGTAGGGCTTTAAGAAAGCACAGCTTAGTTTTCAGTGACTCTCAATTAGGAAAAATGGGGGGAAAAAGAAGGAAAAGAATTGAAAACATTATTTTGAAGACTTGTAGCCAAGAAAATTAGAATTTGGTCCAAACTGTAGAAAATAATAACAGTTGAAAAACATTAGGCAAGACTGGAATCTAACAACAGGTGTACTGTAGTTTTTGAAGCATAATAAGGATACTTAATTTTCAAAACAATAAGCCCTAATAAAAATAGCAAGAAGTCAATTAAATTTGTTTTTCAAAATTCTACAATCTATAAAATTTTAATCTTGACCATAAGATATGACTTCCAGAAGTCTTTTATAACCTTAACAACATTTATTAAGAAGTCAGTTAATGCCTTTTCCTTTTTATCCAGCTTTCCATTCTGTGTCTTTTAATTGGGGTATTTAGCCCATTTACATTTAAGGTTAATATTGTTATGTGTGAATTTGATCCTGTCATCATGTGCTGGCTGGTTAATTTTGTGGACTTGTTAATGTAGTTGCTTCATAGTGTCATTGGTCTATGTACTTCAGTGTTTTTGTAGTGGCTGGTAATGGTTTTTCCTTTCCCTGTTTAGTACTTCCTTCAGGAGCTCTTGCAAGGCTGTTCTGGTAGTGATGAAATCCCTCAGCATCTGCTTGTTTGAAAAGGATTTTATTTCTCTTATGCTTATAAAGCTTAGTTTGGCTGGATATGAAATTCTGGGCTGAAAATTATTTTCTTTAAGACTATTGAATATTGGCCCCCAATCTCTTCCAGCTTGTAGGGTTTCTCCTGAGATGTCTGCTGTTAGTCTGATGGGCTTCCCTTTGTAGGAGACCTGGCCTTTCTCTCTGACTGCCCTTAACATTTTTTCCTTCATTTTGACCTTGGAGAATCTGAAGATTATCTGTCTTGGGGCAGATCTTCTTGTGGAGTATCTTATTGGGGTTCTCTGGATTTCCTGAATTTGAATGTTGACCTCTCTTGCTAGGTTGGGGAGGTTCTCCTGGATGATATCCTAAAGTGCATTTTCCAACTTGGTTCCATTCTCCCAGTCTCTTTCAGGTACTCCAATCAATCATAGGTTCTGTCTTTTACATGTCCCATAGTTCTCGGAGGTTTTATTCATTCCTTTTCATTCTTTTTTCTCTAATCTTGTCTGCCTGCCTTATTTCAGCAAGGTAGTCTTCAAGCTCTGATACTCTCTCTTCTGCTTGGTCAATTCGGCTATTGATACTTGTGTTTGCATCATGAAATTCTGGTGCTGTGTTTTTAAGCTCCATCAGATAATTTATTTTGCACTCTAAACTGGTTATTCTAGTTAACAGCTACTGTAATCTTTTATTATGGTTCTTAGCTTCTTTGCATTGGTTTAGAACATAATCCTTTAGCTCAGTGAAGCTTGTTAGTACACACTTTCTGAATCCTACTTCTGTCAGTTCATCCATCTCAGCTTCAGCCCCATTCTGTGCCCTTGATGGAGAGGTGTTGCGATCATTTGGAATAGAAGAGACATTCTGGCTTTTGGAATTTTCAGGCTTTTTGCATTGCTTTTCCCTCATCTTTGTGGATTTATCTGCCTTTGATGTTTGAGGCTGTTGACCATTGGATGGGGTTTTTTGGGCTCTTGTTTGTTGATGTTGTTCTTGCTTTCTGTTTGTTTGTTTTTCATCTAACAGCCAGGTTCCTATTCTGCAGGTCTGCTACAGTTTGCTGGGAGTCCACTCCAGACCCTGTTTGCCTGAGTATCACCAGTGGAGGCTGCAGAACAGCAAAGATGGCAGCCTACTTCTTCCTCTGGAAGCTTCGTCCCAGAGGGGCACTGACCTGATGCCAGCTGGAACTCTCCTGTATGAGATGTCTGGCAACCCCTCTTGTGAAGTCTCACCCAGTCATGAGGCATGGGATCAGGGACCTGCTTAAGGAAGCAGACTAACTGTCCCTTAGCAGAGCTGGTGTGCTGTGCTGGGAGAATCCCTCTTGTCCAGATCAGTCGGACTCTTCAGAGCTAGCAGGTAGGAAAGATTAAGTCTGCTGAACCTGAGGCCATGGCTGCCATTTCCCCCATGTGCTCTGTTCCAGAGAGATGAGAATTCTGTCTATAAGCCCCTGGCTGGAGTTGCTGGAATTCCTGCAGGGAGGCCCTGTCTGGTGAAGGGGGATGGATCCAGGTTCCACCTAAAGAAGCAGTCTGGCCATGATCTGCCATTGCTGCTGTGCTGTGCTGTGGGGAGTATTGCCCAGTCCAAACCTCCCAGTTTCCCTAGTACTGACGGGGAAAACTGCCAACTAGAGCTACAGTAATGGCAGCCACCCCTCCTCCCAGGAATTCAGTCGTCTTAGGCAGACTCTAGGATGCTGTGCTGGCTGGCGGGGATTTCAAGCCAGTGGGTCTTAGCTTGCAGGGTTCCTTGGGAGTGGGACCTGCTGAGTGAGGCTATTTGGTTCCCTGGTTTCAGCCCCCTTTCCATGGGAGTGGATGGTTCTCCTGCCTCACTGGAGTTCCAGGTGCCGCCGGTGTAGGTAAAAACTCCTGCAGCTCAGTGCCTGCCCAAACAGCCACCAATGGGAGTAGCTGCTGTGGGTCTGCCCAGTTTTGTGCTTGAGACCCAAGGCCCTGATGGTGTAGGCTCATGAGGGGGATCTCCTGATTCTTGGACTACAGAAATCTGTGGGAAAAGCATGGTACCCCCGGTGGGTAACAGTCCCTCACCACTTCCCTTGACTGGGGGAGGGTGGTCCCTTTGTCCCATGTACCTCCTAGGTGAACCATCACCCCAGCCTGCTTTTCCTTGCTCTCTGCGGATCATGCCAGACACCTAGTCAGTCCCAATGAGATGCACTGGGTACCTCAGTTGGAAATGCAGAAATCACTCACTTTTTGTGTTTGTCTTGCTGGGAGTTGCAGACTGGAGCTATTCCTATTTGGCCATTTTGGCCCCTCCTCTCCAGTAATTGCTTTAAATGTCTGTGCATCATATACACCATGGAATAGTATGCAGCCATAAAAAATGATGAGTTCATGTCCTTTGTAGGGACATGGATGAAACTGGAAACCATCATTCTCAGCAAACTATCACAAGGACAAAAAACCAAACACCGCGTGTTCTCACTCATAGGTGGGAATTGAACAATGAGAACACATGGACACAGGAAGGGGAACATCACATACCGGCGACTGTTGTGTGGTTGGGGGAGGGGGGAGGGATAGCATTAGGAGATATGCCTAATGCTAAATGACGAGTTAATGGGTGCAGCACACCAACATGGCACATGTATACATAGGTAACAAACCTGCACGTTGTGCACATGTACCCTAAAACTTAAAGTATAATAATAATAAAATAAAATAAAAATAAATAAAATAAATGTCTGTGCATTAAATTCTCCAATCAAAAGACAGAGATGGGCAAAATGACTTAAAAAACATGATCCAATTATATACTATCTAGAAAAAATTCTCTTTAGATTCAATTATACAAATTGGTTGAAAGTGAAAGAATGAAAATGATATTTTATGCAAATAGTAACTAAAAGAGAACAGAAGCAGTTATATTGCTATCAGATAAAACAGACTTTAAATGAAAAAACTTATGAGAAAAAGAGGTTACATATATATATACATATATACGTATATACGTGTATATATATACACGTATATAAGTGTATATGTATATATATATACACGAAGGTTTAATACAGCTAGAAGATACAACAATTACAAACCTTTATGCACCTAATATCACACCATCAAATATACAAAGCAAAAATTGACAGAATTGATGGGAGAAATAGACAATTCTACAACAATAGCCAGAGACTTCAGCATATCACTCTCAATATGAATAGAGCTAGCAGACAGAAGATAAGTAAGGAAATAGAGGACTTGAACAACACAGTAAACCAACTAGATCTAACAGATATACACAGAACACTCTATCCAACAACAGAATGCACATTCTTCTCAGGTGTATGTGGGACATTTCCTAGGATAAAATATATGTTAGGGCAAAAATTAAGTCTCAGTAGATTTAAAAAATATATATCACACAAGGTATCTTTTTCAATAAGCAGAATGAAGTTAGATGTCAATAACAAGAAAAACTGGAAAATTCATCAATTTATGGAAAGTAACACAATTTTAAACAAACAGTGGATCAAAGAAGAAATAACAATGTAAATTAGAAAATATTTAGAGATGAATGAAAACAAAAACACAACATACCAAAACCTAAAGCATGAAAGCAGTGCCATGGGGGAAATTTATAGCTATAAATGCTTACCTTATAAAAACAAGTAAGATCTCAAATCAACAGCCTAACTTTACAACTTAAGATACTAGAAAAGGAACAAACTAAACACAGAGCTAGCAGAAGGAAAGAAATAATAACGATTAGAGCAGAGATAAGCAAAACAGAGATAAACGATAAAGAAAATCAATAAAAACAATAGTTATTTGAAAAGATTAACAACATTGACAAACTTTTAGTTAAATGGAATAGGAAAAAAGATAAGAGACTCAAACCACTAAAATGAGAAATGAAAATGGGGACCTTATAGTTATTCTCCATAAATGAAAGGATTATAAGGGAGTGTTATGAACAATTGTACACCCACAAATTGGGTAACCTAGATGAAATGGATAAATTCCTAGAAATACAAAACCTACTGAGACCAAATCACAAAGAAACAGGAAATCCAAATAGATCTATAACTAGTAAAAATATTGAATCAGTAATTGAAAATATCCCCATAAAGAAAAGTCCTGGACTTGATGCTTCACTGGGGAATTCTATCAAAAACTTTAGGAAGAATTCACAGCGATCTATTTCAAACTTTTCAAAAAATTAAAGAGGAGGGAACACTTTCTAACTCATTTTATGAAGTCACCATTATCTCGACGCCAAGCGCAGATATAGACACTGACAGAAAAGAAAACTACAGACCAATATCTCTTAAGAACATTGATGCAAATATCTTTAACAAATGTTAACAAGTTGAATTCAGCAGTATATTAAAAGGACTATATGCCATGACCAAGTGGGATTTATTCCTGAATGCAAGAATGGTTCAACATATGAAAATTGACCATTATAATATATCACATTAAAATAACAAAGAAAAGCATCACATAATCATCTCAACTGATGCAAAGAAAGCATTGGACAAAATTTGACATTCTTTTATTATAAAAACACCCAACAAACTAAGAATAGAAGAAAACTTTCAACATTCTAAAAGTCATGTGAAAAAACCACAGCCAACATCACACTCAATGGTGAAAGACTGAAAGCTTTTTCCTTAAGATGAAGAAAAGGCAAGGATGTCTTCTTTTGCCACTTCTACTCAATGTAGTCCTGGACATTTTAGCCAGAGTAATTAGACAGGAGAAAAAACAAAAGGTATCCAAATTGGAAAAGAAGTAAAATTATCTCTATTAATAGATGATATGACCGGAAGATTCTATAAAAAGTTGTTAGAACTAATAACACATTATAGCAGGATACAAGGTCAATGCACAGAAATCAATTATGTCTCTATGTACTAATAATAAAAAATCTGAAAGAAAATTAAGAAAAAATTTTATTTATAATGGAATGAAAAAGAATAACATACTTAGGAATTAACAGAGGTAGTTATAGACTTTACAATAAACTATAAAACATTGTTGAAATAAATTAAAGAAGACATAAAATAAATGGAAAGACATCTGTGTTCATGACCTGGAAGACTTAACATTGTTAAGATGTCAATGCTACCCAAAGCGATCTACAGATTCAGTGTAATCTCTATCAAAATCCCAATGATGTTTATTGTAGAAATATGAAAACCCATCCTAAAATCCATCTGGAATCTCAAGGGATCCTGAATAGCCAAAAGAATCTTGAAAAATAAGAGCAAAGCAGAAAGAGTCACACCTGTTAATTTCAAAACTTACTATGAATCTCTAATAATCAAAAGTGTGGTATTGGCATGAATACAGACATTTAAACCAGTAGAATACAACTGAGAGCCCAGAAATAAACTATCAAATACATGATACAGTTATTTTTGAAAGGACAGCCTTTTCAACAAATGGTGCTGGGAAAACTGGATATCCACATGCAAAAGAATAAGGTTGGACTCTTGCCTAAGACCGCATATAAAAATTAAACTCAAGGTGGATTCATGACCTAAATGTAAGACCTGAAACTATAAAGCTCTTCAAAGAAAACATAGGGTAAAAACTTTACAACACTGAATTTAGCAATGATTTTTTTGGATATGACACCAAAGGTAGAGACAACAACAAATAATAGATAAATTGGACTTAGTAAATTAAAAAGTAATGTATACTAAAAGAATGTCTTCAACACTGAAAAAGGGAACTCACTGAATGGGAAAATATATTTGCAAGTCATATATATCGTATGGGATTAATATCCAAAAGGCATAGAGAAGTCCTGAAACTCAACAACCAACAAAACCAAATGTCCCAATTAAAAAAATAGGAAAACTAGGTAAATAACTTGCCTAAGCATTTATTTAAATAAGTTCAGAAAACATTGGCCAAGGTATACCATGGCCAATAAGAACATGAAAAGATACTGAACATCACTAACCATTAGAGAAATGTAAATCAAAACTACAATGAGATACCACCTCATATCCATTAGGATGGCTACCATCAAAATGCCAGAAAATAGAAAGTGTTGGTGAGGACGTGGAGAATTTGGAACCTTTGTGCACTGTTGGTAGTAGTTTAAAATGGTACAGCTGCTCTGGAAAACAGTATGACCTTTTCTTAAAAAATTAAAACTAGAGTTACAATATGAACTATAAATTCCATATCTGGGTATATACTTCAATGAATTGAAAGCAGGGACATGAAGAGATATTTATATACCCATGTTCATAGCAGTATTATTCATAATAGCTTAAATGCGGAAGCAACGCAGGTGTTCATTAATGGAAGTATGAATAAGACAAATGTGGCATATACCTATGGTGGAATATCATTTGGCCTTAAAAAGGAAGGAAATTCTTACATATGCTATGACATAGATGAATCTTGAGGATATTATTCTAAGTGAAATAAGCTTGTCATTAAAAGATAAATACTCTATTATTCCACTTACATGAGGTACATAGAATAGTCAAAATCCTGGAGACATAAAATAGAGTAGTGGTTGCCAGGGCCTGGGGAAAGGAGAAAATGGGTTGTTATTTTTATGGGTATAACATTTCAGTTTTACAAGATGAAAAGAGTTATGGAGATGGATGGTGGTGATGATTACATAGCAATACGAGTGTAATTAATATCACTGAACTATATATTTAAAATGGTTAAAATGATAAATGTTATGTATATTTTATTACAACAAAATATTTTTAAAAAGACATGAAGAACTGATTAATACCAGAACACAAATGAGCCTTGAAAACTTTATTCTAAGTGAAAGAAAGCAGTCACAAAAGACCATGTATTATATAATGTCATTCATTTGAAATGTCCAGGGTAGGAAAATCTACAGAGACAGAAAGTAGATTAGTGGTTGCTTAGGGTTGGGGGAGAGGGTAAAAAAATAGGAGGATGATAGCTGAAGGTGGCATTTTCTTTTTTCAGTGATGAAATTGTGCTGAAATTCACTGTTGTGATGGTTACACATATTTGTGAATACACTAAAGTTAATTTAATCGTATACTTCAAATTGGTGAATTGTACGGTATGTGAATTATAGCTTCATAAAACTGTTTAAGAAAGGGTGAGGAATTTAGATTGTCCCACAATGCTTATATCAGCACCTATGTTCCCTAAAGCCCTTTTCTGTCAGGTGGGCCAATATTGTTTAATCCACCATGCTTATTGTTGCCATTGTGTACTAATGGCCTGAGAGCAGTTAGCCACGTTTTGTACCCAAAATGTTGGACGCCTACATTGGGGTTAAAGGAGTGGTGGTCACATCCAGATGTGATTTAGTCTAAGTATTCCATAAGGCCTCTCAGAGTCTCCCTTGTTTTTGGGTGGGGCATTCTCCAGGATAATTTGGATCCACCATGGAATGCCTACTTCTTTAACCCCAACAGAAACTGGTTGTAATTTTAGATTCTGTTCAATAACTTTCCATCTACAACAAAAAGGGTGATATACATTTGTCCACAGCACACGGTGGCATCTTAAGCACCCTGCTGCCATATTGTGTCTATTATAACCAAGGACCTTCCTTCATTTGATTATCAATGTTTATAGTCGCACAGTGGTCAGTCAGCCAGGAGTTGTAACCCCATGGTTGGATGTCCTGCTCCTTACAAGATTGAAATGCATCTATCTGACATGCCTGGAGCAGGTATTGTCTGCTGCTAAAGTTTCCACCACAGATGCAAGAAGAAAAATGTCCTCATGCTTTTTGTCTGTGATTGTGGCAGCCAAGATTGACTAGAGGAATGCAGAGGGAAAAAAAGAAAAAAAAATAAGAGACTATAAAAGGTTTTGTTTAGTTTACCTTCTGTGTAACTGCCTGGGAAACAAAGGTTCTGTGTCTTATCAGAATGATGTCCTATGCTTTATGTTGACCTTTTCCATGTCCTGACTATTTAAAACAACCAAGTCTTCTCTCTTTGAAAAAAAAACTAAGGTATTTTACAATAAGGTACCTTCCTATAGTTACTTTTGTAGTTTTTTATAGTCACTTTGGTTAACTAGGTAGGCAAGTATGGTTTCATAGTGATCAATAATCTTATTTAGTCAAGTGTTCAAACCTTTTAACATTTTTGGCAGTTTTGCCTTCCCAAAATAAGACCTGAAATGAAATCTTGATCTCAAATTGACCTTAATATTTCCCAGAGGAACCCTGGAAAATCATGAAAGATTTTTTTCTTTCACCTTGTAAAAAGAGAAATTTTAAACAAAGTAATGGTTTTTGATAGTTAAATTGCATTAAATGTGTTGTCAAATGAGAAGAGATGCTTAACCTTCTCTATGTGATATTTGCATGGATAAATATTATTAACATGACTATTTCAGAAATTGTTTGACATTCATAGGAATTTGTCAATACCTCCACTGCTCAGGATATGCCTTGGGATAATTTTAGTCATAAATCTGGTTGTTGTTTTAAATATCTATGACAGAGACAACCAAATTTCCTTGTCAATTACTTAATAATAAACTCTTATTGACAGGTGAAGCCAGCTGGACTTCCTGGGTAGAGTGGGTACTTGGAGAACTTTTCTGTCTAGCTAGAGGATTGTAAATGCACCAATCAGCACTCTGTAAAAACGCACCAATCAGCTCTCTGCATCTAGCTAAAGGTTTGTAAGTGCACCAATCAGCACTCTGTAAAAACGCACCAGTCAGCACTCTGTGTCTAGCTAAAGTTTGTAAACGCACCAATCAGCACTCTGCAAAGACGGACCAATCAGCACTCTGTAAAATGGACCAATCAGTGCTCTGTAAAATGGACCAATCAGCAGAATGTGGGCGGGGAAAAATAAGGGAATAAAAGCTGGCCACCCGAGGCAGCAGAGGCAACCAGCTTGGGTCCCCTTCCATGCTGTGGAGGCTTTTGCTGTGGAGGCTTTGTCTTTTTGCTCTTCACAATAAATTTAGCTCCTGCTCACTGTTTGGGTCTGCACTACCTTTATGAGCTGTAACACTGCGGGGGTCTGCAGCTTCATTCCTGAAGTCAGCGAGACCACAAACCTACTGGGAGGAACAAACAAACAACTCTGGGCATGCCACCTTTAACAGCTGTAACACTCACCGTGAAGGCCTGCAGCTTCACTCCTGAAGTCAGTGAGACCACGAACCCACCAGAAGGAAGAAACTCCGGACACATCTGAACATCTGAAGGAACAAACTCCAGACACACCATCTTTAAGGACTGTAACACTCACTGTGAGGGTCCGCGGCTTCATTCTTGAAGTCAGCAAGTCCAAGAACCCACCGGAAGGACTAAATTCTGGACACATTATCATATCTTTAACCATAGCCGTTTTAAGTCTTGTCATGCACAGATAGTTTTTGTTTTACTCTGATTCCCGTATGAAAACGTTTTTAATAAGTTACAAGCCAAAATGCTTAATCTTAAATAAAAAGGAAAAGTCTCAGGGACACATGGAAAAAAATCTATAACAGATACACTAGAGTGCAGGCTTCTGATTGCATTGCTTAAATGACTTTAAGACCATCCCACTAGACTGAGTAAGGATTTCCAGAACTATATTGGAGAAACTGATTGGTTGATAAAACTGCTAACCCAAGATCAACCAGAACAAAAATTAATTACAGGTACCAGATGAACTGATGAAGTGCAATTATAATATTTATGGATTTTTACTTGAAACATTGTTGATTCTTTTATGTTCTATTTTCTGAATGGATTATAAGACACTTCTTTCTCTTTTACAGTATCCATAACTTGCAACAATAATTAGATTATACTTTTATAAACAGAAATAGAACATTTATCGTTTTCTCCTTGCCTAATCCCTCTAGAATTTGGCACTCATTGAGGATTCTTATTTTCATGACGACATAATTATTTGCATATGTCCAATAGGAATTTATCCTTCTTGTAACTGGATATAACTGAAAATCTTGGTTCTATAACCAAGGCTTTGACTGAAATGTCATATTTGAAAATGACACATAGACCCAGTTGTGACCAGACAGTTTTTAAGAAGCTAAGGTTGATTTTATGGAGTCTGTGCTTACAAAGCACTTTTCGGTAAAGCATTCCAACTAACCTTTGTAGAGAGGCAAGAATGACTAAAGGGAGGAAGGGTGAGAAGATAGGAGAGTAGTTCTGTCCTCTCCATTTACTCTAAAGGTTTAGGGTTCCTTGGCATCAGCCTTCTACCAGGCACGTTGAAGCATTTATCTCCATGGACCCTACTTCAACATGGAAGGGAGGCCCCCACCATTTTACTGTTCATCTGGGATCTGTGTAGAGCCTGAGGAATGTTCTGGATAAGCAGGACACACATTTTTCCTTAGCTCAGCAGCATCTTCACTGACTTCTGTATTTTTAATATCGTGATAAAATGTTTTAAAAATGAAATAACTTTACATATTATATAATAAGAAAAAACAGAGCCATTCAAAAAAGCAAATGAACAATATCATGTGAACAGGAAGAAATAACCAGTTATATTTTGCTGAATTTTGTATCAGGATTTTTTTTATATAAATCGACTTTCATGCATGTATTATTCACAAGATTCTTTTTTGCTTATATTGTTTGGGGCTTGCTTTTTAAATATAACCTGATCATTTTTCAATATGATTAATAATTCTTCTGTAATATTTCCTTTAATAGCTGCTGTGTAATTTTAATACATGGACACTCCATCAATTATGGATGCCGTTATTCACTAGTATGCATTTAGGTTCTTACCAGCTTTTTACTATTAGATACAATGCTGAAATGAATATCTTGATGTATAAATCTTTGTGTACATGCATGAATAATTCTTAATGAATTTCTAGAATAGAATTCATGGCTCAAAGGTCAGGCAGATCTTTAAATCTTTTTGTGCTTCCTGTCCAAACTCCCCTTTAAAATGTTTGAGCTACTTTATATGCATAATAGCTGCATACTATAGAACACATTTCTCCATTCTGGATCAGCCTATTTAATTGTAGTTAGTCCTGGAGTTGTCTCTAGACTTTTCCATCACTGAAATCAGCAATAATATGAAGCCATTTTAACACATACATATCTAGCAGACCTGAGTGACTTTACTCTCTCCTGCCAGTTTGGCAACTACTCATTACCTTGTTGGACAATTTCTACAGTCTACTGTTTCCAGGTGTCTCTGAGTTCTTGCCAATGCTATACTGTGCAGGTGCTACCTATCACCTACCTCACACCTGTTTGATATTATGGCCCACCCACCTTCTTGAAAAATAGGGTTCACCCCTCAGTGACTGCAATGACCCTTCTGAAATTTTATGTTGGCTTCACTGCTTCTGGAAACAGCTCCCTAGTATTCCAGACCAGCTCAACAGAGACCACAAACTTTCTCAGTCACTCCTGAAAACAAGACTAGGCTGCAGGAGAAAGAGTAGAGGGCTGGCTGGGAACCTAGGGAACTGGACTCCAGGTGTGATTCTGAAATAATTTTTGATTGATCTTAATTACTTTTCTCTGCCTTTCCGGAAATCAGTTTTTTATCTTGAAATGCAGGAACTCTATTATGTACTGTTTAACTCCCTTTTTACTCCTGCCTGACATTCTGTAGCTTAATGACCTGCTTTCTAACAAATTTGTTGCTAATAATTCACCTAAATTGGATCAAGCACTCCTTCTCCTTGCAATCTCTTTTAAACTGATCTGTTTTAAAAATCACTTAATAAGTCTCCCATTATTAATGTGTGGGAGTCTAAGTCTCTTTGTAGGTCACTCAGGACTTGCTTTATGAATCTGGGTGCTCCTGTATTGGGTGCATATATATTTAGGATAGTTAGCTCTTCTTGTTGAATTGATCCCCTTACCATTAAGTAATGGCCTTCTTTGTCTCTTTTGATCTTTGTTGGTTTAAAGTCTATTTTATCAGAGACTAGGATTGCAACCCCTGCCTTTTTTTGTTTTCCATTTGCTTGGTAGATCTTCCTCCATCCTTCTATTTTGAGCCTATGTGTGTCTCTGCCCGTGAGATGGGTTTCCTGAATACAGCACACTGATGGGTCTTGACTCTTTATCCAATTTGCCCCACTGTCAACATTAGACAGATCAATGAGACAGAAAGTCAACAAGGATACCCAGGAATTGAACTCAGCTGTGCACCAAGCAGACCTAATAGACATCTACAGAACTCTCCACCCCAAATCAACAGAATATACATTTTTTTCAGCACCACACCTATTCCAAAATTGATCACATACTTGGAAGTAAAGCTCTCCTCAGCAAATGTAAAAGAACAGAAATTATAACAATCTCTCAGACCACAGTGCAATCAAACTGGAACTCAGGATTAAGAATCTCACTCAAAACTGCTCAACTACATGGAAACTGAATAACCTGCTCCTGAATGACTACTGGGTACATAACGAAATGAAGGCAGAAATAAAGATGTTCTTTGAAACCAACGAGAACAAAGACACAACATATCAGAATCTCTGGGACACATTCAAAGCAGTGTGTAGAGGGAAATTTATAGCACTAAGTGCCCACAAGAGAAAGCAGGAAAGATCCAAAATTGACACCCTAACATAACAATTAAAAGAACTAGAAAAGCAAGAGCAAACACATTCAAAAGCTAGCAGAAGGCAAGAAATAACTAAAATCAGAGCAGAACTGAAGGAAATAGAGACACAAAAAACCCTTCAAAAAATTAATGAATCCAGGAGCTGGTTTTTTGAAAGGATCAACAAAATTGATAGACCGCTAGCAAGACTAACAAAGAAAAAAAGAGAAAGAATCAAATAGACGCAATAAAAAATGATAAAGGGGATATCACCACTGATCCAACAGAAATACAAACTACCATCAGAGAATGCTACAAACACCTCTACGCAAATAAACTAGAAAATCTATAAGAAATGGATAAATTCCTCGACACATACACCCTCCCAAGACTAAACCAGGAAGAAGTTGAATCTCTGAATAGACCAATAACAGGAGCTGAAATTGTGGCAATAATCAATACCTTACCAACAAAAAAGAGTCCAGGACCAGATGGATTCACAGCCGAATTCTACCAGAGGTACAAGGAAGAACTGGTACCATTCCTTCTGAAACTATTCCAATCAATAGAAAAAGAGGAAATCCTCCCTAACTCATTTTATGAGGCCAGCATCATCCTGATACCAAAGCCGGGCAGAGACACAACCAAAAAAGAGAATTTTAGACCAATATCCTTGAGGAACATTGATGCAAAAATCCTCAGTAAAATACCGGCAAACCGAATCCAGCAGCACATCAAAAAGCTTATCCACCATGATCAAGTGGGCTTCATCCCTGGGATGCAAGGCTGGTTCAATATACGCAAATCAATAAATGTAATCCAGCATATAAACAGAACCAAAGACAAAAACCACATGATTATCTCAATAGATGCAGAAAAGGCCTTTGACAAAATTCAACAACCCTTCATGCCAAAAACTCTCAATAAATTAGGTATTGATGGGACATATCTCAAAATAATAAGAGCTATCTATGACAAACCCACAGTCAATATCATACTGAATGGGCAAAAACTGGAAGCATTCCGTTTGAAAACTGGCAGAAGACAGGGATGCCCTCTCTCACCACTCCTGTTCAACATAGTGTTGGAAGTTCTGGCCAGGGCGATTAGGCAGGAGAAGGAAATAAAGGGTATTCAATTAGGAAAAGAGGAAGTCAAATTGTCCCTGTTTGCAGACGACATGATTGTATATCCAGAAAACCCCATTGTTTCAGCCCAAAATTTCCTTAAGCTGATAAGCAACTTCAGCAAAGTCTCAGGATACAAAATCAATGTACAAAAATCACAAGCATTCTTATACACCAGCAACAGACAAACAGAGAGCCAAATCATGAGTGAACTCCCATTCACAATTGCTTCAAAGAGAATAAAATACCTAGGAATCCAAGTTACAAGGGATGTGAAGGACCTCTTCAAGGAGAACTACAAACCACTGCTCAAGGAAATAAAAGAGGATACAGATACAAACAAATGGAAGAACATTCCATGCTCATGGGTAGGAAGAATCAATATCGTGAAAATGGCCATACTGCCCAATGTAATTTACCGATTCAATGTCATCCCCATAAAGCTACCAAAGACTTTCTTCACAGAATTGGAAAAAATTAATTTAAAGTTCATATGGAACCAAAAAAGAGCCTGCATCACCAAGTCAATCCTGAGCCAAAAGAACAAAGCTGGAGGCATCACACTACCTGACTTCAAACTACACTACAAGGCTACAGTAACCAAAACAGCATGGTACTGGTACCAAAACAGAGATATAGATCAATGGAACAGAACAGAGCCCTCAGAAATAATGCCACATATCTACAACTATCCAATCTTTGACAAACCTGCGAAAAACAAGCAATGGGGAAAGGATTCCTTATTTAATAAATGGTGCTGGGAAAACTGGCTAGCCATATGTAGACAGCTGAAACTGGATCCCCTCCTTACACCTTATACAAAAATCAATTCAAGATGGATTAAAGACTTAAACGTTAGACCTAAAGCCATAAAAACCCTAGAAGAAAACCTAGGCATTACCATTCAGGACATAGGCATGGTCAAGGACTTCATGTCTAAAACACCAAAAGCAACGGCAACAAAAGACAAAATTGACAAATGGGATCTGATTAAACTAAAGAGCTTCTGCACAGCAAAAGAAACTACCATCAGAGTGAACAGGCGACCTACAAAATGGGAGAAAATTTTCGCAACCTACTCATCTGACAAAGGGCTAATATCCAGAATCTACAATGAACTCAAACAAATTTACAAGAAAAAAACAAATAACCCCATCAAAAAGTGGGCAAAGGACATGAACAGACACTTCTCAAAAGAAGACATTTATGTAGCCAAAAAACACATGAAAAAATGTTCACCATCACTGGCCATCAGAGAAATGCAAATCAAAACCACAATGAGATACCATTTCACACCAGTTAGAATGGCAATCATTAAAAAGTCAGGAAACAACAGGTGCTGGAGAGGATGTGGAGAAATAGGAACACTTTTACACTGTTGGTGGGACTGTAAACTAGTTCAACCATTGTGGAAGTCGGTGTGGCGATTCCTCAGGGATCTAGAACTAGAAATACCATTTGACCCAGCCATCCCATTACTGGGTATATACCCAAAGGACTATAAATCATGCTGCTACAAAGACACATGCACACGTATATTTATTGCGGCATTATTCACAATAGCAAAGACTTGGAACCAGCCCAAATGTCCAACAATGATAGACTGGATTAAGAAAATGTGGCACATATACACCATGGAATCCTATGCAGCCATAAAAAATGATGAGTTCATGTCCTTTGTAGGGACATGGATGAAATTGGAAATCATCATTCTCAGTAAACTATCGCAAGAACAAAAAACCAAACACCGCATATTCTCACTCATAGGTGGGAATTGAACAATGAGAACACATGGACACAGGAAGGGGAACATCACACTCTGGGGACTGTTGTGGGGTGGGGGGAGGGGGGAGGGACAGCATTGGGAGATATACCTAATGCTAGATGATGAGTTAGTGGGTGCAGCGCACCAGCATGGCACATGTATACATATGTAACTAACCTGCACATTGTGCACATGTACCCTAAAACTTAAAGTATAATAATAATAATAATAATAATAAAATAAAAATCACTTAATAGATTTCTGAGGGTTATTTTGGAACACCACTGGGAGTGTGTGTGTGTGTGTTTGTGTGTATGGTTGTGTACTCATTTGTATTAGAAGGGCATGAATATCCTAACTCGTAAACAAGACTGCAAATTCTACAAGGGAGGTGCTGCGTATCCTCCTCTCTCTCTCTTGCTGGTCCATCTTTAGGGATCTCTGCACATAAGAGTTACTTAGAAAAAATAACATTGAGCTAGAGAGGGTAGAGCTTGTGTGAATGATTATGTGACTGTGTGGCTATTTAAAATGAATGTTTCTCTTTGTGAATGACTCTGTGTGTGTGTGTGCGTGTGTGTGTGTGTGTATGTGTGTGGTGGGGTATCTAGAAGGTAAAACAAATGAAGAAAAATAGACTGTCCAGTCAAAATATGTAGGAGTAAAGTTTTCTTGGAACAAACAGGAGATTTGTTGTCAGGATACTGAGGATCAGAGGTGTCTTGGAACAGGTGGCTTGGAGTCAGGCATGACTCAGTCCAGTGCAAGAGGAGAGCCTGTGGCTGCCCAAAGTGACAACTTCTATTCAACATCACACCAGGCCCATTGCCATTCCAGGAACACCTCAACTGTAACCCCATACACCCATAGAAACAAACAGTACTGGGGTTAAATAGATGACTTCTACATCAACTCCTCTCTGTCTATAGGTCCTGACTCACAATGGGGAAACAAGGAAGGAGGAAGATTCTGCCAATGACACACACAGCCAAGACTGGAATTAAAAGCAATTTAATGAGGGAAGAGCAGGAAACATGCATTTCTTTTCATTCGAATCTTCAGATGAACCCTGAGCAGCCGAAGACCAGAAAAGCCATGAAGACTTTCTGCTTAATTCAGGGGCTTACAGGATTCTTCAGAGTGTGTGTGAACAAAAGCTTTATAGTACGTATTTTTAGGATACAAATAAGAGAGAGACTATGGCTTGGGGTGACAATGTGCTGATTACAAGGTCTACAGACAATTAAGACACAGAAACAGATGGGAAGAGGGTGTCCAGCATCTGGTGGTTGGCTTCTCAAGGGCTTGTCTGTGCACCAAATTACTTCTGCTTGGTCTTCTGCTGAGCTGGGCCTGGAGTGACCGTTGAAGGACATGGCTCTGGTAGCTTTGTGTAGCCTGGCACAGGAACTTTGGTGTATCCTTGCTCAGGAACTTTGATGGCACCTGGCTCAGGAAACTTGATGAAGCCTTGGTCAGGGACCTTGATGCTGCCTGGTTCAGGGACCTTGGTGTAGCCTGGCTCAGGGACCTTGGTACAACCTGGCTCAGGGACCTTGGTACAGCCTGGCTCAGGGACCTTGGTACAACCTGGCTCAGGGACCTTGGTACAGCCTGGCTCAGGGACCTTGGTACAGCCTGGCTCAGGGACCTTGGTACAGCCTGGCTCTGGAATCTTTGTGTTTCCAGGTTGTGGAACCTTTGAGTGGCATGGCTCCTTGGTTGTGGGAACAAATATTTCCTGAGGTGGAGGCTGGCTGGGTTGTTTCACCTGCTGCTGTTGAAGCTGAGGTGGTGGGGTAAAGGTCTGCTTCTGCTGGTAAGAACTCATGCTTCAAAGGATGCTGGACCTAGAGACAAAACAGCTAATTCAGTGCTTTGATTAAGTAGGAATGAAGCCCAGTTTAATGACAAATATCTGTCATTTCATTCTCCTTCAGAACTGAGAGCCTCTCTTTTCTTTCTTTTTCCCTGAATTTGAGATCATGGGATGCTTTGGTGATCCCCACTTATCTTCCAGAGAATAAGGTAAAGTTGATTTCTTCCACATCGTGTAAATGGAGCCTTTCTTTATGCTTCTTTTCTTCCTGGTACATCTAAAAACCTACGTACAACATGAAAACACATACAAATATGCAAATATATACTCTGAAGCTTTCGCTTACACACTCTTTGAAGAATCCTCTAAGCTCCTGAATTAAGCAGAAAGTCTTAGTGGCTTTTCTGGTCTTCAGCTGCTCAGGGATCATCTGAGGAATTGAGTGAAAAGAAATGCATGTTTCTTGCTCTTCCCTGATTAAATCACTTTTAATACCACTCTTGGCTGTGTGTCATTGGCTGAAGATTGATGTGACACCTCAGTTTTTCCATAAGTTGGAAAGATTTTAAGGTCAGCAGTCTAGAATCTACTCACTCATGTCCTCCTTATAGAGTGCGATAGTTCTCCCAGGAGAACTCTTATCTAAACTTCCCCCTAAGGCTCCCACAATCCACCTGGGAGCCTCTGTTCACACTGTGCCTGCTGCACATGCTCTCTGGCAGGCTCTCCACATCATCGCTGCCTCCCCACACATGCCCACCTCTCATGGCTGTCCTTCCTGATGCTCTCACCTTCCTCGTTTTGCCACAGCATGATACTTGCTTTCCCTCTCTGCTAATCACTCCCCATGCTGTATGTTTGCAAATTTTAGTCAAGTATATGTTTTCTAATGGATTATACATTCATGCAATAAAGAAAAACTTATCTTTTGATCATCAAAATTGCCAATGTAGTGCCTTCTATATTAAAAATTTTCAATACATGTTGACAGGAGAGTGCTCTTGAAGTGGGTATATTGTCTTGCTAACTTAGCAAGCCTTTACAGAAATCACTCCCCTTTTCTGATCCTAAGTTCCACACCTGTAATCTGAGTGGAAAGTCAAAATATGTATAAGGTCACCTTAAACAAAAGTCGTTATTGCATTTAAAATAAATATATTCATTGCATAGCAAAGAGATCTCAATCAAAATAAAGAAACTATTGGAGAATATTAAGGTGTTCCTAATGCGGAGACTCACCTGCTGTGCAGAGAAGGTCGAGGTGTTCAGCCTCTGGGATCTGGTGAAGAGTCTCTTGTTAGCTGGTATTTATATAGAAAATGAGCCCTGCCTTAAGAAAATTGGATTTTTTAAAAGACTGCTCTAACTTCATTCCAGCTTTTGTGATAAGTATCTCTGGCTTAACATTTTTTGTCACTTAAGCTCTGACAGTGATGTCACCTGGGCCTGACTCACTGTCCACCCTTTGTGGTGTGGTTGCTGTGGGCAAAGGTCTTCTTGAATGGCAATGGATTAAATTAGGAGGAAGTACCATGCTCCTAGGACTAGAACGAGCCAGGCCTCTTGGCCTGGGCCCTAATCTTTAGCCAGATTAGTCCTATTGGGCTTCCTCATGGTTGAAGTGGACATGGAAATAACAATAGGCATTTCTGGTTCTGCGAGGCCATGGGGATGGTGCAGAATAAGTGAATCATCTGATTTTCAGTCTCTTACTGGATTTGGACCTGGGAGGAGCAATGGAAGGCAAAATGCCTGCTTTGGAAATAAGTTGCTTTCACTGTGAAGGGCGCCTTAAGGTGCCGTGTTGATCAGGGATAGTAGATGTCATTGAGATGGACAGGCAGGATTGACTGGATCTGTGTGACATTGTGGCTCAGCCCTGAAGACCCTGCCTCTTGTGGTATCTTTCTTCTCCAGGAGTGACATAGGAAGAGGAGCGTGCTGATTCCCTAGGTTCATACACCAGCCATTTCCTCTGATCACTACAGGATGAACCTCAAGTCACTAACTCAGAGTTGCCCTCAATACACACTCTCTTACTAGACGCGGCCCTTGGAAAATCCAGACATCCTTACATCTCAGGCATGTGAATAGCTCCTCCTTTCCCAATGTTCCACGACTGTGTTACTCCCTTGAACCTGATGCCCAGCTCCTTCCACCAGGTTCTGAAAGCCCCTTGTTCTACTTCAGCGTCACACAGTGCCTGGTTATCATGGGTGTTAAGTCAATGGACAGTCATTGTTCTCCTGAATAGAGCTGTAGGTTCATGGAAGGGAGAAAGGAAGTGAGAAAGAAACAGAGATAGATAAAGAAGAAAGGAAAGAAAGAAAGAAAGAGAGAGAGAGAGAAGGAAAGAAAGAAAGAAAGGAAGGAAGAAAGGAAGGGGAGGGGAAGGAAAGGAAAAGAAAAGAAAAGAGAAAAGAAAAGAGGAAAGATAGGGAGGGAGGGAGGAAGGCAGGAAGCCACAAGGCAGTTTCTTGGGCATGATTCACTGTCCTGTGCCAGGCCTCCTGGTGTGAGCTGAGAAGAGGTGTGAGCTGATAATTCATGAAGGAGAAGAGGCTTACCCTCCCTTCCACACCCATGTCCTTCCCTCTCTGCTAGCATTTGTTTGACCGGCCACTTCCCTCTGGGATGGGCCAGGGCCACTGCCATGCCTAAACTCTGGGCTCTGTCATCACATTAGCTCTTTTTCAGTGTTGGGTCCAGGTTTCTCTCCTCAGCAAATCCACCTCTCAGGAGCCACAGACCCTGGGGGCTTCGGCTAGACCCTGCTGCTCCACCTGGGATTTTCCTCCCCAGAGGAAGGAAGCTCCTCTATGAATCCTGGTCTCCCTCATTTTCTTCCTCGATTCTGCACCTTGGTTCTAGAGGAAATTCCTTTCTGATTTCCTGTGTCCCTTCCCTGGGCGGGCTCTCTCCTGCCCTTCTCTAACTCTTGCCTCATTCACCCCAACAAAAGCTTCTCTGCCATCAGCTTATTGAAATTCTCGTTTTACCCCAACCCTGTTATTCCTGTTTAGTCAAACACACTCAGCGCCTGAACGTTAAGCCTCTTTCAGAGAAGCTTTGTTTTCTCATGAGCAGTGTTGGGTGTGCTGGTAAGTCTGGCCTCAGTTTTAGAGAGGATACATTGAGTGGCTTCTGAAGGCGAGTCCCACTTCCCCAGGTACCTTAGTCTTTCCCACTGGCTCCCTTCTCTGGTGGCAGGAGGCTGTGAGTCATCCAACTGCACTGTCCTGGGACTTTCTTGGGACTTGTGTGTGGATGGTACTGGGTGCCTCTTAGGCACTCTCCAAATCTTCTGGATCTTGCTCTTGTTTTCTACCATGGCTATGTGGACCACTCACACACATTGCCTAGAGTTCTGCCTCTTCTTTCCTCACCTGAGGGCCTCTGATGCCCCAGCGTGAGCTGTCTGTAGGAATCTGTAATGCACTTGTGGATATGCAAGCTTGAAGTTCAGTGTTAGCATCTAGTGGCCACACTCCACCAATGGAGGACATGAACTGGTAGATAATGCTTTCCTCTTTCATTTCTAGGGGAAACCCTTCTGTGACATAGTTCTCTGTCAGCTGAGATCCTGGGGATCAAGTTCCAGTCACCCTTCCTGGTTGCCTACTTAGTAACATATTCTTTGTATATATTGATTTTTCCTTTTGCCTAGCTTCACCCCTGTTTATTTCACATTCCTCTTTTCTATGATTACATTCTCAAAGAAACTAGCTTCACATAAGATATTGTCTTAGGCTCAGTTTTGGGGGAACACAAGCTAGGGTATATAATGAAATACATGCTCCATTTAAGATACAGAAAGAGAAAAACATTGCCCAGTGATGGAAATCAGTGCCTAGGCCAAGGTCAGAGGAATCATCTGGTGGGTTAATATAAGAAATTTGGAACTGATGTAAGGCCTGTCTTTGGAGACTGTGGAACTGAGCCGTCCAATAAAGTAGGCACTAGTCATATGTAAATATTTAAGTGTAAATGTATTAATAGATATTTGGAATCTGGATTGTGGAAGAACAGTGTGGCCACTCTGAGCAACTGGAACTCTGGTGTAGATCCTGTTATCAGACATTTATGTATATTCCTCTGAACAGGATTTTCTGATCCTGATTTATTTTTGTGGAGTTTAAAACCCTGGAACCGGCCTGGTAAAAGTAGTGCAAGTTAACATCATGATTTAAAGGAGATAAGTGCACTGGCAACTTTAGGTCTGGGTTATGTGCAGATGCCCCAGGCATGAGGCTGGCTCAGGGAGCTAGGCCTTGGTTCTCTGTCTCTGAAGCATGCTCTGCGGTCTAATATCACTATCTCTGTTACCATCAGAATCTTCCTACTGTTCTTAGTGAAAACGGCTCCCACCACCCAGCAGGATTCTGATCACCAGCGCATGGCTGCCCCGCAATGATGGATGCACAGCTGTCACAAGGTGATGTGTCCACCAGGATTCCATGTTTCAGATGTCAGTGGAAATTGAACAACATCTGATAACAAAGTGGATTATACAAATAACTTTTTTTTTTGAGGCAGAGTCTCACTGGAGTACAGTGGCATGATCTTTGCTCACTGCAGCCTCTGCCTCCTGGGTTCTAGTGATTCTCATGCCTCAGCCTCTCGAGTAGCTGGGATTACATGTGTCTGCCACCATGTCCAGCTAATTTTTGTATTTTTAGTAGAGATGGGGTTTTGCCATGTTTGCCAGGCTGGTCTTGAACTCCTGACCTCAACTGATCTACCTGCCTCAGGCTCCCAAACTGCTGGGATTACAGGTGTGAGCCACTGCGCCCGGCCTGTACCAATAACTTGAATGCTTCCTGCACTGCTTGCTCCGTAGGACTTGTAAATCAGATGTAGATAAAATAACGCCCTGCATTGTTTACTAGTACAGTTTCATGTTACTGTCTTGGTTCTTGCTAAAGTGCCAGATATTTGACTCCTTTCCCACGTTTTTATGGAGCCATCTGTGCTATATGAGCGAAGTAAAAAGACAGACGGTCTTATTGTTATCTTGTTATCAGTCTTGACATCACAGCCTCCTTGATAGGATCTCAAGCATCCCTGAAAGCCTGCAGACCACACTTTGAGAAACACTGATCTAGCATAACAGTATCAGTGTGTCTAGATTTGTAGAATGAAGCCAATTCCCATTGTTGGCCCAGCCACACTGGACCCTGAGGCAAGGTAACATACAAAATCTTGAGATGGGGAACACCTAGAAACTATACAATTACTGTCTCAATAAAGTATCCTGCCAGGCTGTATTACTCTAGAGAAGGATTAGTTGGAAGGAGGGCTAAAATGACTACTGAGGATTTGAGAAATAAGACCAAATTACAAAGAGAAAAAAGTTCATCTTATTATCTACTTGCATGCCCTGTCCTCACAGATATTAAGAACCGGTTATTTGTCTGTCATTTTTGAATGCAGAAATCTGATATTTACAAAAAAGCTCATATCCTCAAATAGGCATGGCAGCTTCAAAAAAATATTGAATCTGAGAACCATAGAGACCCTCACTGTGCAGATCACTTGCCCTGTTCAATCTTCCTGTTTGAATAAAAGTCATTAAAAAAATCTTCACCCTTTAGAAATTATTTGTTATCAAATGGGAAACACACATAAAGTTATTTTGCTGCATTTCAAAGTACAATGGCTGTCTCTAGAAAAAGCATTTGTGAGACTGAATTTTGATCTGAACTAGCTGTTTTTTATCAAACAAAATTTTACTTGAAAGAACAACTGCCAGGCAAACTGTGTTTACTCAGACTTGGGTATTTGGCAGACATTTCCTTGAAAACGAACTGAATGAGCCTTTCATTTCAAGGAAAACAACAGACAGTATTTGTGTCAGTAAGACCCTAAGGGAGCCCCAGTGGCCTCCTTCCTGGCATTTATGCCCTTATATAATCCTGTGTGTGACCTGCTGTTTTTTTGTTTGTTTGATTGTTTGTTTGTTTGTTTGTTTTTTCAGACAGGGTCTTGCTCTGTTACCCAGGCTGGAGTGCCGTGGCACAACCACAGCTCACTGCAGTCTCAAACTTCTGGGCTCAGATTGTTCTCTAGCCTCAGGCTCCCAAAGCACTAGGATTATAGGCATGAGCCGCTGAGGTTGGCCTCCTTCTAATCAACAGGCTGTAACAAACGTGACAGGGTATCACTCCATGATTATGTGATCTAGGCAAGACTGACAGCAGGCAGGCTGGAGGAAGGGACTCTCCTTGCAGGCTTGATGATATAAGGGCCCATAGAGGGGGGATGTTTGCTTCATTGTGGGCTGCCTCTAGGCACCACAGGTGCATTCTGAAACCTGAGGGAGGACTTTAGTCGGAAGCCTGCAAAAAGTTGGAGCCCCTGGTCATTGAGCTGCAAGAGAATGAATTCAGCCAACAGCTTGAATGAGCTTGGAAGTGGATTCTTTCCCAGTGAAGGCTCCAGATGAGAATGCAGCCAGGCTGACACCTTTATTGCAGCCTTGTTGTGAAACCTGAGCCCCTGACCATGGAAACTATGAAATATGTGTTAAGATGCTAAATTTGTGGTAATTCATTATACAACAGTAGAAAACTGGTACAGTATTTATTGCCAGTGAGGTAATGTGAACTTTTACACAAAAGTTATAATATTGAAAAACTCAATTAGTTCATTGCAATGTATCAATTAGTTCATTACCAGTTTCACAGCTTCCCAATATGGAATTAATTTTCTCATGAGATTGGTGGTGGATTAATGAATGCGATCTTTTCCTATTGTATAAAGAACTGTGTCAACATTTGTAAGATCTATATAACTCAGTGAACCAATATTTTCAAAATGACCAATTTGTGATGCTACCAAATTAGGTACAGATGTTAGGTAAGAGTGCAATATGAGCAATTAATTTAAAATGTAAAAATTTTATTTTGAAGTTTTATATCATTTCCACATGTAATACTTCCTCTAATACTTTGTAATCAATTTATTCAATTGTTTTCCATTTTTGCATATCTCATCAATATTTTGCTAGATTCTCATGTTAGTTTCTGCATTCAATCTGTTGCTATAAGTATTTACTTTTAATTTTGAAGTAATTGTAGATTCACAACAGCATAAAAGAAACGTACACCTTCACCCAGCCTACTCCAGTGTTAACATCTTGCATAAGTGTAGAACAACATCAAACCCAGAAAATTAATACTGGTACAATCCATTGAGCTAACTCAGATTTCACCAGTTATATATGCACTCATTTGTGTGTGTGTGTGTATGGCTCTGTGAAATTTTATCACATATGTAGCTTTGTGTAACCACCACCTTCATCAAGAGACAAGACCTTATCATCACCTCTAGACTCCCTCATTTACCCTTTTACAGCCACACTCTCCCTTCTCCCCCTGTATCTCGAACCACTAGTAACTAATAATGTTTGTCATTTCTACAATTATGTTATTTCATGAATATTACATACATGGAATCTTGCAGTTTGTATCTTTTTGAAATTGGTGTTTTTCTCCACTCAGTATAATTTTCTTAAGGTTTATTCAGGCAATCATTTCTATCAATAGTTTGTTCTTTTTTGTTGTTAAATAGTATTCCATGGTATGGATGTACCACAGTTTGTTTAACCATTTCTCCTTTGAAGAACATTTGGCAAGATTCCAGTTTCCAATTATTTCTTTCTTTTTCTTTTCTTTTTGGCAGGGTCTCACTCTGTCACCCAGGCTGGAGGTGCCATGGTGTGATCATAGCTTACTGCAGACCTTCTGGGCTCAAATGAGCTTCTTGTCACAGACTCCTGAGTAGCTGGGACCACATGTGTGTACCACTAAGCCCGGCTAATTTTTTTATTTTTCATAGAGATGAGATCTCATTATGTTGCCCAGGCTGGTCTCAAACTCCTGGGCTCAAATGATCCTCCCACCTACGCCTCCTAAAGTGCTGGATTTATAGGCATGAACCATTATGCCTGGCCTGGTTTTGGGTTATTTCTAATAAAGCTGCTTTAGACATTCATGTGCAATCTTGTATCTGGAAATAAATAAATTTTATTTCTTTGAGATATATGCCCAAGAGTATAATTAATGGGTCCCATACTAAGTCCACCATAATTTTAAAAGAAACTACAAAATTATTTTCCAGAGAGGTTGTACTATTTTACATCCCACAAGCAATGTCTGAAAGATTCAGTTTTTCATGTCCTCACCATAATGATGCATCGTTGTGGTTGTAATGTATGATTTTTAATGGCTGAGGATGTTGAATGTCTTTCTGTGTGTTTATATGCCATCTGTATGTCTTCCATGAAATGTCTGCTCATGACATTCGTACATTTTCTAATGGGATTTTTTATTGTTAAGTTTTGAGGGCATTTTATGTATTCTGTATATAAGTCCTTTGTTGAATAAGTGATCTGGAAATATTTTCTACCTGTCTATAATTTGTCTTTCTATTGTCTTAACAGGGTCTTTTACAAAGCAGAAATTATTTAATTTTGATGGATTCCAACTTATCATTTTTGTTTTCTTTTTGGAATTGTGCTTTTGGTGCCAAGTCTAAAAAGTCTTTACTTAGTCCTAAGTCTCAAAGATTTTTCCTGTTTGTAAAAAATATAGTTTCATGTTTTTAATTAAGCCCATTGTCCATTTTGAGTTAATTTTTGTGTAAGGAGTAATGTTTAGATTGAAGTTAAATATTTTACCTATGGCAGTACAATTGTTCTAACACCATTTATTTATTGAAAAAGTGGCCTCTCCTTCATTGTATTGCTTTAACCTTGTATTAAAAAAATAATTGGAACATTTGTGTGGATTTCAGAGTGTATGTTTTCTGCTCCATTGATCTGTGTGTCTGTCCTTTCCCTAGTGCTGTGCCACCTTGATTAATGGAGGTATAGAGTAATCCTTAATATTGGAAAGAATGAATCTATTCTATTCTTGCTTTTAATGTTTTGGCTATTCTAGGCCATTTTAATTTTTCATAAGAATTGTATTAAAGCTATAGATCAATTTTAAAAGCATTGACATCTTTACCATGTTGAATCATCTAACAGATAAGCACAGTGGTCTCTCCAATTAGGTGTTCTTCACTTTCTTTTACCCATTGAGTTTATATTCACCATATAACTCTTGTACGTATTTTAAAATGTATAGTGTTTAACTTTCTATAGAGAAATTTTAAATAAGCATTTTTTTCAGTTTTTACTTCATCGTATGCATGTAGAAATGCAATTTTTTTTGTGTGTTAATCTTGTATACTGTGACATGCTGAACTTACTTCTTATTTCTAAGATGTTAGACAATCTCTTGGCATTGTCTACATAGAAAATCACATTTTCTGTAGAGATTATTTTATTTTTTATTTTCTGACAAATGGATTTTAATGTAACAGAATATGAACAATTAGTTAATGTGGTTTGAGATTCCATGTTGCAACTAATCTTTAAGAAAGTATGTACTACTTGCTGAATTTGGCATGGTGTCAAAGAATATCCATAATTATGTAAAAAGTTATTAATCCATTTTGCAAACTACATCTTTATGAGACCAGATTTTCTTTGTATACTTCAGCCAAAATAACATAATGCAACAGATTGGATGCAGAGGAAGATATAAAAATCCAACTATCGTAACCTAAGGATGATGTCACCTCAAGCCATAACAGGCTTTGAAGAAAATGTGTTCATTTGGAACTCGCCCAAAGGAAAGCACCATTTCTGTGTGTTGTGTTTTGGTCCTGCAAGTTTTGAGGATTTTCTTGCGTTTTGGAGGGCTGCTAGGCAGACAGAACCGCCTTCCCACTGGCTGGCACTGTGGCGGTGGGTGGTGGGTACTGCTGGGTGAATACTGTGCGGCAGACAGTTTGGGGAGGTGGGCTTTTCAGAGTCGGGCACTCCATAGGTGGATGCTGAATGAACAAGTCCTGACACTGGCAAGGTGAGCTCCGTGGAGGTGTGTAAGGTACTGGGCACTTCGGGTCCATGTCTCTAAGCATTGGAGGGGACCTTGCAGGTAGAATTACAGGTGGCAGTGGAAAAGGCTGCGCTGCCCTTGCTTTTACTCAAACTCAGGTGAGTCTAAAGGAAATAGGTGAAGGCGTTAGTAGAAGTAAGATAAATCAATGCTCGTATAATGCTGGGAAATTCTCTAATCTAAGAGGATAGTCTCTAATCATCTAAATCTATAATTATGACAATAAATGGCTTCTGACTTCTTATTTGGCGTTTTTTTTTCACCATTTTCATTTTTTTCACCATTCTTATCCATCATTCAAAGGAAATTCTGCTTTCCTGAAACAATAAATGTTGGTTCAAATTCTGAATTGTGTTCAGAAGAATTATCATCATTACGTACCATGAAACTAAAGTGGTCTGGAAAATGATCCAGATGCTGCCATAGGAGAACTTTCTTATCTCATATTCTGACATTTTTTGTATATTTTCTTGAGAAAAAAGAAAGACATGGGCTGGGTGTGGTGGCTCACACCTATAATCCCAGCACTTCAGTGGCCAAGGCGGGTGAATCATTTGAGGCCGGGAGTTCGAGACCAGCCTGGGCAACATGGTGAAACTGCATCTTTACTAAAAATATAATTTTTTTTTTTAATTTTTGTATTTTGTGTGGTGGCACATGCTTGTAATCTCAGCTACATGGCAGGCTGAGGTGGGAGCCCTGGAGTTGGAGGTTGCAGTGAGCAGAGATTGTGCCACTGCACTCCAGTCTGAGTGACAGAGCAAAACTTGGTCTCAAAAAGCAAACAAACAAACAAACAAAAATAATAAAAATAAAATGTAAAAAGACATGAATACCAAGAGTTCTGACTTACTTGCTTCTCTAATGCGGATCTGGAATCTGATTTTAAGAGTGGTAGCTATGAAGAATATCCAGTTATACGGTCAGGCAGCCCCAGTTATAAAGAAGTGGAATAGCCTATACTAGGCTGGGTGGTGATTTCCCACCTGACAAAAAAACCCTCTGGAATTCCTAAAAGGATCAGGTGGTCATGTTGCTACACTGGGGCAAAGGCTCAGGATTGGAGGTCCCACTTCACCTGGCAGTTTGAATGATTGTAGCAACTGGACAATTAGAGAATTCTTTAATTTTAGGTCAATGAAGCTCTCTCTTTAATGTGTTGATTCATAAAATTTTCTGTATACCCACAGTGTCCCACTAATTGGAACACATGAGTGAAGAAAAATGACATTCCCTTTCCTCCTGGAGCTTACATGTTAGTGGCAATGATTGGAGGTTGAACGGCAATAAATAATACATAGAATTATAAAGCAAAAAATATATATTACTGCTATGGAAAATAAAGTAGTGTGAGTAATTGCAAGAATGAGAATGGGTGGACTGGGTTGTTATGACTTGAATGTACTGCCAAGTTAGGCCTCATTGAGAAGCTGACATTTTGGCAGAGAAAGAAAGAGGTGAGGGAGTTGAGACATATGGATGTCTGGAAAAATAAATATTTAGGTAAAGAGAATTTCTAATAAAACAACCTGAAGTCAGAAGCATGCCCAGCGTGTACAGAGGCCAGAGTGGAGAGGCAGGAATGAGTGAAGGAGTAAAAGGGATAGGGAAGAATTATGGGGTTTTTGTCTAGAGGCTGAGGGTTCTGCGGTATCTGCCTAGCACAGGGAATATTCAATGATATCTCTCCTATGGATTCTACTTTGAGCTCCGTAGTCTGCAGAAGCAATTAGCTCAAAGTAAAGTACACTACAGAATGTCTCTTCAAGTGCCCAAATGTTCCTACAATCTTCAGATATTTCTATTTTTGAGAGCTTCTGCCCTACAGAGGAAGAGTTACCACATAACGGTTAAAGTCGTGTATAAATGTCTTTCGAGAATAGGAATAGTATTTGTCCAGAATATTGTCCATTAGCAGGCATCAGTTCTTATGTAGACTATAGCAATTAACATGTTATTATTTATCAACTAAGAGTAGTCTGAGTCTTTATTTGATTCCATATCTTGGCTACTGTTGGTAGTGTTGCTATAAACAACTAAGACTATTCTTAGTTGATAAATAATAACATGTTTAATTGCTGTTATGATACGTATTTTAATCTATATTAAAATAATTTATAACTTGCATATCGATGCTCTTATTTCATGGTCATTTTTAACCTAAGGCCAGTCTAATTTTTTCATCAGTTCTTATCAGTTTTGATAAAGCAAAATACAAACTAATTATGAGACATGTGCATTGCGACAATGCACAACTACAGATGTTAAAGTTTGGGAAACAGTACTCTGCTAATATGCTTTATAGCACCCACAAAAGAGCTTCATTTTCACCCGTTCAAGATATACAATCTTCTCAATCAGGTCCTATGTAACTCTTCCTGTTCCAGAAAATTATGATATTAAAAGACCAGTTATCTTCACCCACAGCCCCTACCCAACATGCAAGAATAGAGAAGGTCAGGAAAAACTCAGTAAAAACTTTCAAATTTTTTCAAATTCTGTAAAGTAAATTCTGTCCAAGGGTTCTCTTAAGATATCTAAGCATTTGCAAGCATGGCCATCGATGTTAATGAGCACAGAAGATACTGATATGGCACAGAGAACAGTAGACCAGGGAGTGCCTTCCAGACAGCAAACTCAAGGGGAGGAGGGGCTTGATATCCTTGTTAGGTAGGATTTCACATTCACTGCAGATCGTGATTCCCATTCTTCATCCTTCACATGGAAGTTTTTATTGAAGCTTTTCAGCCCTGTTTCACTATGGCATGTTGCATTGGAGATAGGGGTAGAGATAGTTTGCCTTTTAAAAAATTATTTTTAATTGATATAAATGTACATATTTATTAGATACAGTGTGATATTGTGATACATGTATGCAATATATAATGATAAAATCAGAATAATTAGTACATGTATCACCTCAAACATCATTTCTTTGTGTGAACATTCAAAATCCTCTCTTCCAGCTATTTGAAAATATAGAATAAATAATTGTTAACTATGGTTACCCTACAGTGCTATAGAACAATCGAATTTATTCCATCAATTTAGCTATATTTTTGAATCTATTAGCCAACATCTCCCTATCCTCCCTCTCCCCCACCCTTCCCAGCCTCTAGTTACCACTATTCTAGTCTCTACTTCTATGAGATAAACTTATTTAGCTTTCACCTATGAGTGAGAACATGTGAAATACATCTTTCTGTGCCTGGCTTATTCACTAAAGGTAATGTCCTCCAGGCTCAACTATTTTGTTTCAAATGATAGGATTTAAGTATTATTTTGTGGTTGAATAATGTTCCATTGTGTATATATGCAATATTTTCCTTATATATTCATCTGTTGATGGACACAGGTTGATTCCATATCTTGGCTATTGTGGGTAGTGTTGCTATAAACAAGGGAGTGCAGAGACCTCTTCAATATACTGATTTCCTTTCTTTTGGATATATACCAAGAAGTGGGTCTGGTAGTTTTATTTTTAGTGTTTTGAGGACCTGCCATACTGTTTTCCGTAGTGGCTGTACTAATTTACATTCCACTAATAGTGTACTAGTGCTTGTCTTTATTTTCATCGTCGGAAGCATTTTTTTTGTCTTTTTGATAATAGCCATTCTAACTGGTTTGAAATAATATATCATTGTGGTTTTGATTTGCATTTTCCTGATGATTAGTGACACTGAGCATTTTTAAATATATCTTTTGGGCCATTTGTATGTCTTCCTTTGTGAAATGTCTGCTCATGTCTTTTGCTCAAATCAATTTTTTTTGCTAGCAAATAGTTTGAGCTTCTTATGTATTCTGGTTATTAATCTCTTGTTGGATGGATAGTCTGCAAATATTTCCTCCCATTCTGTAGGCTGACTCTTCATTTTGTTAATTGCTTTCTTTGCTGCTCAAAAGCTTTTTAGCTTGATATAATTCCATTTGTCTATTTTTGCTTTTGTTGCCTATGCTTTTGAGTTCTTCTCCAAAAATCTTTGTCCACACCAATGTCCTGCAGCATTTCCCCAATGTTTTCTTCTTGTAGTTTCATATTATATTTAAGTTTTTAATCCATCTCGAGTTGATTTTTGTATGTGGTGAAAGACAGGAATCTATTTTCATTCCTCTGCGTATGGATGCCATGTTTTCCCAGATAATTTATTGAAGAGATTGTCTTTTCCCCAGTTTATGTTCTTGGGGCCATTTTTGAGAGCCAGTTGGATGTGAATACGTGGATTTATTTATGAGTGCTTTATCTGTTACATTGGTTTTAGTGTTTGTTTTTTTCTGCCAATACCATGCCTTTTTTTGTTACTATAGCTTTGTAGCATATTTTGAAGTAAGGTAGTGTGATGCTTCAAGGTTTGTTCTTTTTGTTCAATATTGCTTTGACAATTTTGGGTCTTCTGTGATTCCATGTGAATTTAAGGATTGTTTTTTCTATTTCTTTGAAAATATCATGGACTTTCGAGAAGGATTGTATTGAATCTATCGATTGCTCTGGGTGGTATGGTCATTTTAACAATATTAATTCTTCTAGTCCATGAACATAAGATATCTTTCCATTTTACTGTATCCTCCTCTCATTTCTTTCATCAGAGCAATACAATTTTCATTTTATAGACCTTTCACTTCCTTTGTTAAATTTATTCCTAGGCACTGTTATGGCTATTTTAAATGGGATTGTTTTCTTGATTTCTTTTCCAGGTAGCTCAGTATTGATGTATAGAAATGCTACTGATTTTTGCATGTTTATTTTGTATCCTGTGACTTTACTGTTCATTTATCAGTTCATAGAGTGTTTTGGTGGAATCTTTAGGTTTTTCACTATATATGATCATGTCATCTGCAAACAGGGATAACCTGACTTCCTTCTTTCCATTTTGGATGGCTTTTATTTCTTTCTCTTACCTCAGTGCTCTAGCTAGGACTTCCAGTATTATGTTTAATAGAAGTGGTGAGGGTGGGCATCCTTGTCTTGTTCCAGATCTTAGAGAAAAAGCTTTCAGCTTTTCCCCATTCTGTATGATGTTAGCTGTGGGTTTGTCACATATGGACTTTATTGCACTGAGGTATGTACCTTCTATACCTAATTTGTAGAGAATTTTCACTATTAAAATATGTTGAATTTTGTGAAATTTTTTTTTCTGTGTCTATTGAAATGATCATAAGTTTTTTGTCTTTCTTTCTGTTAATATGATGTATTACATTTATTGTTTTGCATATGTTGAACCATCCTTGCATCCCTGGAATGAATCTCACTTGATCATAGTAGATGATCTTTTTAGTGTGCTGTTGAATTTGGTTTGCTAGCATTTTTAAGGACTTGCATCTATGTTCATTAGGGATTTTGGCCTGCAGTTTTCTGTTTTTTTCATGTTCTAGTCTTATTTTCATATTAGTATAATGCTAGCCTTACAGAATGATTTTAGAAGAATTCTCTCTCCAATTTTCTGAAATAGTTTGAGAAGAATTAGTATTAGTTCTTCTTTAAGTATTTGGTAGAATTCATCAGTAATTCCATTTAGCACTGGGCTTTTCTTAGTTGGGAAACTTTTTAGAGCTACTTCAATCTCATTACTCATTATTGGTCTATTCAAGGTTTCTGTTTGATCTTGGTTCAATCTTGGTATGTTGTATGTGCCCAGGAATTTATTCATTTCCTCTAGGTTTTCCATTTGTTTGTGTATTGCTATTTATAATAGTCTCTTAGGATGTTTTGCATTTCTGTGATATCAGTTGTAATGTCTCTTTTATCAATTGTGATTTTATTTATTTGAGTCTTCTCTCAAAAAAATCCACTTTTTGTTTCATTAATCTTTTGTAAAGCTTTTTAGTTTTTATTTTATTTATTTCTGCTCTATCTTTATTTTTTTGGGGGTTTGGTTTGTTCTTGCTTACTAGTTCTTTGGTATGCATATTAAGTTCTTCATTTAAAGCTTTTTTTTTTCTTTTTTTGATGTAGGCATTTATTGCTAAAAAAAAAACCCCTTTCCTCTTACTATTGCTTTTGCTATGTTTTACAGGTTTTGGTATCTTGTATTTCTATTTTTATTTGTTTCAAAAAATTTTTAATTTTTAAATTTAAATTTTTTTTTCATTTCTTCATTGACCCATTGATCATTCAGGAGCATATTGTTTAATTTCCATATATTTGCAAAAATTCTAAAGTTTTTCTTATTATTTATTGATTTCTAGTTTTATTTTATTGTTGTAAGAAAATATCCTTGATATGGTTTTGATTTTTAAAATTTGTTGAGATTTGTTTGTGGTATAACATGTGGTCTGTAATATTTTATGTGCTGATGAGACAAATGTGTCTATTCGGCAGTTATTGGATAAAATATTCAACTTTTATGTCTTACAAAAGTACAGTGTGTGCGTGCTCATGCATGTGTGTGTGGAGAGAGGAGCATGTGTGTACTTTTTTGAGAGCTTATGTTTGTATGGGAAGGAGACTGAAGATCACCTCTCTTAGGGTTCTTCTAGGGCAGGTGGTATGGATTCAACTCTCCTTCTTCCTGCTGCAGCATCAGGTATCTTCACAGCAGGCACTCGATGAAAAAACATAGGACTAAGGTGATTAAGTTAGAGAGAGGGAGAGAGAGACAGAGAGAGAGAGAGAGAGAAAGTGCATGTGTGTGTGTATGTCAGTGTTGGGTGGTTTGGGAGATCCAAGTGTGTGAAGGAGTGTGTGTGTGTGAGTGTTGGGATTTTGGAGATCTACGTATGTGTGTGTGTGTTTGAATGTCTGTGCATGCGAGTATATCCCTGTGTGGGAGTGTGGGAGTGAATATGTGTTTGTGGGTATGGTGTGAGTGTTCAAGTCCTTGGCTCCATGTATTGGGGGCATCAGAAAAGGAAGATGAGTGCAGAACAGATCACTAGGCTGGACTATGCACAAGCACTGTTTCTTTGGAATAATTTTTAAAAAGGAATCAACTAAACAAAGATGATGATGGCTTGAAGCGGGCACCATCTACACTCACATGTGACTCACTGCAAGTCATTAAGATATAAACATTAAGGTAAAAGAAAAAAGCCTTGCTCTAGCTCTGCCTACCCAAAGTAACAGATTGGGTTGGTGGCCCTGAACATACTCCCACTTCCAGCCCAGGAGTGTCCTGTGTGTACAGCAGCCATACACATTCACACACATTCTCAGTGTCAGGATCGGCCACCTTCTGACTACAGACCTCACAACCAGCCTTCACAGTGTTAGTTCCTACTTCACGCTGAGAAGGCAACAGAGGTTGAATCAACCAGTGACGCACAGCCAGATGTGGAGTTAAAAGTTATTTATTGAAGGAAGACTAGGGATGGTTCACTTGATCCTTCCCCAAATCCATCCTCAAATGCACCCGAGCAACAAGAAGACTAGCTCAGTCAGTGAGACGTTCAGCCTTACGCAGAGGCTCAGGAGCCCTCCAGAATGAGGGTAAGGGACATCTTTTTAGAGGTGCAAAGGAGCGATTATGATTCAGGGTGACAGCATGCTAACTGCAGGGTCAATAGGCAAATGGGATTCATAAGCAGAATGGAGTAGGGTGTTCAGTATCCAGTGGCCAGCTCCTCAAGGGCATGGCTGTGGACCACATTACTTCTGCTTGGTCTTCTGCTGGGCTGGTGCTGGAGTGACCGTTGAAGGGCAGGGCTCAGGCACCTTGGGCTGGCAGGGCTCTGGAACCTTGGGCTGGCAGGGCTCAGGCACTTTGGGGTGGCAGGGCTCAGGCACCTTGGGGTGGCAGGGCTCCTTGGTTTTGGGGATGCATGGTTCCTGGGGTGGAGGCTGGCAAGGTTGTTTCACCTGCTGCTGCTGAGGCTGAGGGGGTGGGGTGCAAGGCTGCTTCTGCTGCTGAGAATTCATGCTTCAAATGTGTTTTTTTCTAGAGACAGAAAGCTGACACAGTGATTCAATTAAAGAAAGATGGATACAAATTCAATGCCAAACAGATTTTATTTCAGGACCCTTTAGAAGAGAAAGCCTTTCATCTCCCTTAACTCCCCCATTACATTTAAAAATGAAATAAGCTTGGATAATTTTCAGGCCCTTTGAAGAGGAGGAGCTAAAAGGCAATTTCTTCTGCTCCATTTTATTGGAGTTCTCTTCTTGGCTCCCTTCCTACCCAAGGCAACTTATATCTGTTCTGGAAAAATGCCCTACTAAAGCTGGCTTCTGAGGGACATGAGGTCCGCATATTAGGTCTTTTGGAAAATGGCATCAGACCACTTTCCTCTCCTAGTACCATGTAGAAAGCCTGTGACTTATAGGATGGCTTTATATTCATCTAAGCCTCTATGGTTTTGCTTCTGGTCTGTGCTTACACAGTCCCTTCCAAATGCTTTTCTTCCCATCTCTGCTTGTCCAAATACCCCTCCATCATAGCTCACATCACTTGACACCCCTAGGAGGGTCTCCTTGAGCAAGGTCTCCCAAAAGTGCACAGCCCTTCTCTGCCCATCTCCGTCATGCCAATTACTATCTACTTTGCATTTCATTTATTTATATATATGTATTACCTTCCTGCTAGGTTTTATGTTTGTTAAGTAAGTACGTTAGGCATTGATTTGTCCAAAGTGCCTAGCATACTGCCTTAAATGGAATAAATGCTCAGTAGAGATCCATCTAATAAATTAAAATTTCTATAAATATCTTGTCAGGGGGAAATTGCAGTGTTACTGAGAGTGCTCTGGGCCTGAGTTCTAGTTCTGCTATGAACTTCCCATGGGCATTTGAACAATCTTCTCCAGGACTCCCAGTTCAATGACTATCTACTGAGGTGGGAGCCCTAACCATCTCTAAGGTCCTTTCAAATCCAGACTGTAATTTAACTTAAAATAAAGATATTCCACTATTCTCTATCTCCCATTGAAACCCTGGATTAACCTGCTTACACATATTTGCCTTTAGCTAATTTCTAATAATGAAAAAGTACACTAGAATTGCCAGTTTGTTGCAATCAGAGACTTACCTGGTATACGGAGCAGAATGGGCTGTGTGGTCCCTTGGGTTTGGTGTGAAGGCAATGGCCAGCTGGCTTTTATAAGATGAATGAGCCCTGCCTCAAGGAAATAGAAGCTCTCGGGCACTCTGTTTTCATTCCTCACCTGTCACACATGACTCACACTACCATCCTCATCACCGGTTGGCTCAGCTTTTTTGATGAACACCACCTGATATTTTTTGGCACTGGCTGGCTGAAAATGATGTCACTGGCCT
Organism: Homo sapiens; assembly: GCF_000001405.40. Lineage (NCBI taxonomy): Eukaryota > Metazoa > Chordata > Mammalia > Primates > Hominidae > Homo > Homo sapiens. Next base: position 152,983,877 of record NC_000001.11, on the reverse strand, counting down.
AATTTTCACTGCCACCCTCATCCTCAGACCCAGGTGCAGGGCTTGCCTTGAGGGAGGGGTGAGCAGCAGGCTTCATGGAGGGTTTCATGAGTTAACCCTGGGGGGACATCTGAGTCCTGTTGAGGCCTTGCCACCTGCTGTCCTTGTCATTGAGATGGTTGTTCCCCGTGTTCTGTGGGACAGGGCACTCTTGCACACATGAATAGGTGGGAAAGGGAGGGGGAGCAGAGGAGCTGAGGTGGGCCCTCCTTGTCTGCCTTGGTGAAGGTGGAAGCTAGAAATAATGAAATGGACTGATTATAGACCCCTTGTCTCAGAGTCCAAGACCCTTCCATCCATTTCCCCCATCTTTTTCCCAATTCCATTAAACTACACACATTCAGAATAATTTACTTATGACTCTCCCACTCTCACCTTCCTCCCCCTGACTGGTTGCTAATCTGGGAAAACCTGCTTTCCTTCACCAACCACACCTTTACCCTTCTCCTACTTCAGGGACTTTCAGGGGCTAATCCTTCTTCTGGGATCACTTTTTCCCTTCACTCCACCCAGACATCTGGCCCTGGCCTTTTCCTCCTTTCTGATCAGGCTAGACTGCCCCCCACCTGAAAACCCAAAAGCCTTTTCTACCTGCCTCCCTGCAGCCCATCCATGGGGTCCTCAATGCTGAATCCTTCTCCACTTTTGCCCACTGCCAGCTCCAGCCCCAATACCTAGAGATCCTGCTGGCTGCAAGGTTTTCCTCCTCCTTCTGGGTCTGTATCTCCTGGGGGCTTTCCGAGGGTCAGAGCTGTTCCTGCTTAAAGCAACGGTGTCCCCACCACAGTGTTTATTTCCTCATTTATTCAACAAATCTCAGTGGGGAGCCTAACATATGCCCATCATGCCTGTCATTCTAGGAGCTCTCTGATGAGGAAGCCCACTTTTCCTCTACAGATCATGAACTCCCCAGGGTAAGAGACAGAGCACAGTTGAGAGCCACTGAGATTATGGATCTCAGAGAGCCTTTAGTTCACACTCCTCAAGGGATGATTGGGGAATCTGAGGCCACCAGAGGTGAAATAACTCACCAAGGTCAAAAAAACAAACCCTAGGAAGAAAAGAATTTTACACAGAAATCCTGTGTTCTCCTTTGTTTTAATTCCTTGTGACTCCCTAATGTCTATGGAGGAAATTAAGCCCAGGCAGAAAATTGATTAGAGGTGGAAAGGGGAGCCCTTCCTGACTGAGAGCTGGGTCACTTGTAGTTCTGGAAAGTTTTAGGAGTGACAGCGTGAGGACACAGAAAGAGCCTTGCCTTGTGGGTAAGCCTTAATCGGTGCTAAGATAAATCCCTTTAAGTAGAAATAAAGATGCTTAATATTTGAGTGGCTCTAAACAGTGGGTGTTTCTAGCTCTGCTAAAGTAAGAAGGGCATGAATTAGAATAGGTGGAAATAAGGTTCAGTTTATCATTACTCAGGGCACCAGGGTCGGAGAAAGGAAGGGAAAAGCCAAAACTAAAATGTCTGCTTCTATCCTGAGTTGCTTTCGCTCTAGGGGAGCTCTCAGAGTGACATCGTGACACAGCTGAGGTGAAGGCACTGGGGGAGGCAGTAGGTGATAAGCCCCTGAGCACCTGCACATGCTTGCCTTCACTCCACGATGGTCAGATTCTGCCCTGCCAAGGAACTTCTCTTTCCTGGGGACACAAGAACAGGGGTTCCCTCAATCTTTCCATAGGCAATTGCCATAAAACTGAGGTCTCTGATTCAGAGCTGCACTCAAAACACAAACTGTTACTAGGTGTGGCCTTTGGAAAATCCAAATCATCCTTAAAACTCAGGTGTTCAGATGGTTCCTCCTCCTCATCTAACCCCTCCTTTACCCAAACACACACCTAAATGTTTGTGGAGCACCTGCTGGCTCCACAGCCAGTGAACCTGAGGCCAAGGTCAGCCTCCCACTGTGTCCATGCAGCCATTGGTCCCTATCCATCTCCATCCTCACACAGTGCCTGGCGTGCAGAAGCTGCTTGGTGACTGGCATTTATAGACCGACTGCCTGGCTGGCTGGCTGGCTGGCTGACTGAATGAATGAATGACTGAATGGCGTTATTTGTAAAGACAGGCTGAGAGTCTACTTTGAAACCTGCCTAGAAGCTCCGGTACACAGTGTACCTGCTGCCCTCCCCACCCACCTGCCTCACTGTCAAACAGTTTAATGCCCCACCTTGCTCCGGGCTGGTGCCAGCCCCACCAGGACACCTGAGCTCCAAGACTCTTGCCTCACTTAGCTCTCCTCTAGGTTTGTGCCCAGGTCCCCTTCTTCACCAAGTCCCCACCCAGGAGCCCTGACAGCAGGGGCTGCTGGAACCTGTTGCTATGTCTGGTAGGATTCTCAGCCCTGCAGGAACCTGCTGCCTAGTTGTCTGTCCTCTGGTGTCACCCAGCTTGTCTCAGGCCCTGGATGATCTGAAGCCACCTCTGAAGCTGGTGTGTTCTCATGCCCTCCCTGGACCTTAGCCCTGGATGCAAAGGAATTTCCTTCTCCCTGGTTATCAGCTCCTTACTGGACAGTCCTGCGTGCCTCAACATGTGCTTCCTTCACCCCACCCAAGCCTGCTTGGGCTCCAGACTCTGGAACTTTCTCTTGGTCTCTGACATTCTTCTCTCTGTGTATTTGAAGCTTCCACAGTGACTTGTGTTAATCGTTAATCTTCCCTCAGAAGAAACTTTGTTTCTCTGCCACTGGGGTTGGGTTAGCTATTGAATCAGGCCCCACAAACTCCCACATAAAGACAAGGGGAAACTGGGTGGCTTCCGACAGTAAGAACAGCACCCCAGATTTCTCAGCCTTGCAGAAAAGCCCCACCTAGGACACAGGAGCTGCTGCTCTTCTGACATCGAAAACTGGCTCTCATTTGTCCCTGGAACTTCCATTGACTCTGAGCAGTGCCTCAGGTTCATCAGTCATTTCCAGAGCAAGGAAGATTGATGGCCCTAAGTCTAATCAGTGATCAGGCTTTTCCCAGCATAGATTACTCTCTCCCCCACACTTCCCTAAAGCCCAGACCCTGCAAAGAAGGTCATGCAGAATTTGAACTCCAGGCCTTTTCCTGTGGGGATTGCATATTTAAAGCATGGTAACATTTAGAAACATGCAGTATTAACAGGTTTACCCCCTCCCTTTCTCTGATCACCTTGAGAAGCTAGGGAGACCCCCAGAGTGTCAGCTGCTCAATTCAGGCCATGATAATTTTTAAAAAGTCTCTATAACACACAAGCTCTTCATCTGAGAAAGGGCAGGAAAAGGAGAAACACCAGATCCCAGGTGTTAGGAGCCTCCTGAACACTTTGGCCCAGCAGGGAGGAAAAGTTAAGTTTGCAAATGTGGGTGCAGAGGTGGAGGGAGGACATGAAATCATAGCACCAGAGAAACTCTACTCAGCCCCTCATCCAATAGAGAGGGAATGAACTGCTGTGGTGGGGGAAGGAACTCGCTCCAGGCTTCACAGCCTCTTTAGTGACAGAATCAGACCCAAACCTGGGATGCTCAATTCCCTTTCCTTTCTACCATCTCTTTAAGAACAGAGCATGCCCCTCACCCTCACTCTTTTTATTTCTGGTCCTTGAAGGGATGGATAAAAAATTAAACCTGGCTTCTCTTGCTTGAGGTATATAGAAATAAAAGCACCCAGGCTTAATGTCTTGCCCAGTTGTTTCAAAGCCTTGCTATGCCCTTATTAGTTGGATGACCTTGAGCAAGTTGCCTAACCTTTCTGCATGCTACTGTCCTTATCTTTAAAAGGAGAACTTTAAATTCTACTTCACAAAGTTGCTATAAAGATTAAACGCAATGATGCTTCTAACACTTTAAGATGAATGAGCTAAATACGTCTAGCGTAATAATTCTTGCTAGCTTGTCTCATTCTTTCCTCTCCTTCCACTTGAAATCAGTTGAAACTTTTTCCTTTTGACTGTGAGTTTCCTTTTTTCCTTCTCACTCTGTGTGTGTGTGTGTGTGTGTGTGTGTGTGTGTGAGAGAGAGAGAGAGAGAGAGAGAGAGAAAGAGAGAGAGAACAGGGAGAGAGCGCCCAAGGACAGGGCATACTTCTTCAATGGAGCAACATTCTTGGCCTTTGTGATTGCTTTATCTCCCCTCATTTTTTTACACTCGATTTCAGGTTTACATATTTACCAAATTATATCTTGAGCTATTGAACAGTGACAATGACTGCACAGTTCATGTTTTATAGGAGTTGGGGCATGGGAGGAGGCTAAAATTATTGGTGATTATACAAAAACCTGGACACACCTTAGATAAGGAAATTGAGGCAGAAAAACTTTGAGTGACTCTCCCAACATGTCATGAAGGTCTGATGTGCCAGGGTACAGTCCCTTGAGAACTTTGTTGTATTGCTTCTCAAGACTAGTGGAACACTCTATAAATCAGAGGGTGACTCTTAGAAGAGACACTGACTGGATCCCTATAGTCTCACACATCTGAGCTGATCGACTGCCTATCTTCCACCAGAAGTAGAGCTTCTCTGGGTATGGATGATCAAAAGACACAGACGTATTTTAAAATGAAAAGTATTGGAATCTGGGATGATTCAGACGGATGTGCTATCCCTCCTATCAATCATTGCCTCCTGGGCTGTAGAGGGGGGCAAAGGAACAAGTTCATGGCTAAAAATTTTCTGCAGAGAATCTAAACCCTGTGTAGTTGCCGGTCCCTTCTGTTTGCTCAGCTATGCCTGCTTTGTCCCTGGTCCACCTCTGAAAGCACCTTCTCCAGAGTGCAGAGTGATCTCCACAGATTACAGGTTTGGAAACATGAAGTCCTGGATTCAAATCCTGACTCTACTACTTACTAGCTATGTGTGTGATATCAGGAACGTTTTCTAATAATAAAAATAGCTACCATTTTATTAGCTTCTGCAGAGTGTCAGACCATGTTCTAGGTACTTGACACTAGTTCTTACAATAGCAGTGCAAGGACCAGGTCATTAAACGTAGTCTATAGATGTGGAAGCTGTAGCACAAAGAATAAATCACTTGTTCAAGTTTACATGGCAAATAATGTGGCAGAGCCAAGATGCAAATCCAGTAACTCTGAAGGCTTTATGAATCTCAGCGTATCTTACCTGTAAAATTTGTTTTTAGACCTATTATTAAATGAGATTACTTATGCAAAACAACTACTGTAGTGGCTAGAACATAGTAGATGGATCATAGATGTCAAGTGCATTTCTTCTCCTTAGGGTCTGAACTACACCTGTTATTAGAAATTAATCTTCCATGACTTAGAAAAACCTAATCATTTCCTTCATTTTTGAAGTAGCCAGTCAGTCATTCGTTTAACACATATTTGCTGAATGACCCTCAAATGTCAAGCATGAAGTCCCAGCTTTATGAAGTCTAGTAGGGAAGTAGACAATATTCTTTGAGTTTCTGGGATCCAAACCCCATCAGTGAGGAGGGTTTCCCCAACTGACCTAAGCATAAGAATCACTTAGGATGCTCCTTCCAGTGAAATAGAAATAGCTAAGGGAAGGACGTGGGGATCTGTATTTCTAAAGTGCATCAAGTGGTTTTTAAAATCAAACAAGTTGGCCAACAGTAGACTCTAAACACAAGGGCTTTTCTACATTGATTGCGATTGACATCATCTGGTATCTTTAAAAAAATATTCATGTCTAGGCACCATTCCAAAGTTTCATTTAATCAGTTGATTGTTTTTTAATTATCAGATAAAACCAGGATTGAAAAATCACTACTCTGCCAGAATATCTCAACTTGTAGGACCTGAATCCAACTGGAGAGTCCCAGTCCTATGAATAGGTGGAAGGAGGTGCAGGTGGGTGCTAAGATACCTGGGCAGATATTGATGTTGATGCAACTAGATGCTGATGAATGTGGGTGTTTGGCCTGAGGATATTGGGAGCCTTGGGAAATAATTAAGTCCCATCTGAGGAAGGCAAAGTACACACACCCTTGAATGTCACCCTTCCAAGCAGGGAATCATCAAAGCACTAACTCAAGCTGGCATGGTAGGCTGGTCCTGGGGCCAGGAGATGATCCCCTGTCACCTTCCTGGACATCATCATGCACATGGTATGGAGACCTTTTGGTGGGTTAAAGGCTCATGCTTCCTACTTCCAGAACCTCCTGGCAGGGCCAAATTATGACCTTTGGAGGCACAGAGTACCAAGAAAGTATACTGCTGATGAGGAGAAAAAAACTTTTTGTCTATCCTCTTAGGTTCAGTAATGGGGGCCTGCAAATTTGACTGACAGAAGACAGATTAATAGGAGAAAAGGCATATGATTTATGTTGATGTCAATATTTTTACATGCATAGGTGCTTCACAGAAAAGAAATGAAAACCCAAAGAAGTGGTTAGGCTTGAGAGCCTGTATATTCTTCCTATGAAAGAAAAAGGGTTTGGGCTTCAAGAGAGAATAAATTGTGGAAGATGACTAGGGATTATATGGGGGAACTTCTGGAATATAAGGGCTACTTTAGTAAGGTTGGTTCATGCAGACTCATCTCAATGATGGTTCTCCATCTCTAGTAATAAGAATTGGTCCTCTCATCCTGCACAAGACAGGGGATAAATTTGTGCTCTGCCTTTAGGCAGATAAGCTGAAGGCAGAAAACTCTTGATGTCCCTGTTGACCCTCAACTGCCTTCAGCTCAAAATAATCCTTGTGCCAAGTGGGACATTTTAGGGTGGCATATCCTGATCCCCGTCACTGCCCTTCCATCCTCCTCTGCCAATCTATATAAGATAAATCTTTATTTTTCAAAATTACCTTAAACTCATTAGTTGTCATTTGTTTTTAAATGTTCTAGTTACCATAGCCTGAAATGGTTCATGGAATCTGATCTGCATTCATTCATTTACTTACTCTCTTGTTTTTTGAGCTCTGCTGATGCCCCAAACACATGTATGTACTCTGCTTATTAGGAAACCACAAGATTCACCCTGATGGGGTTAGAGAGGGTGGGGTAGGGAACAGGACCCATACATATGCAAAAACTTGAAAGAATTCACAGATCGACCTAATTTTAAGGCATCCAACCCAACCTCTCATTTTATGGATAAAGGACTGAGGTTAAGGAACTTGTTCTAGGTCACAGATTTATTCAATAGCAGATCCAAAACTAGAATCTAAGTCTCCTCTTTTCTAGCCTGGAGCCTTCCCAGGCTGGGAAACAGATAACACTTACTTATTAGCATAGACTCCTGAGCTAGAGTAAAAAGACTTCCATATGGCCACCTTCTACTTCTAGGCAGAGGAGTATCGTTAGCTCATGCTTTGATAGCCATCTTCCCCAGTTGTAGATGAAAATAAAATCAATTACTTAATGAACATATGCTATATGCAGCCACTTTCCAGATATTATCACCAATCCTCCCCAAAATGCTGCAAATAATTGTTAGAACCTGACAGCTTTTTGCATATGAGAAAACAGACTTTGGATCTAAGTGACAGAATGCAATCACACAACCAGGAAATGGAGAAGCTGGGATTCAACTCTGTTCAGTCTGAGAGCCCTTGCCCCTTTTGCAAAAGGAAATGGAATGTCAGAACAGCTCCAATGCAGATGCCCAGGCCTGCTCACTTTGTCTCTGAGGGCCTCCTGGCCAGAACAGGAGGTGGCAGGGAATTTGAGCCTGCTGGGTGTTTGTGACAGATAGATTTGGTGGGGCATTGTTCTGTTTCTGGGGTAGAGAGAATTTTCTAGGTAATAAAATGGTGAGAAGGAGGAATACTGGGAGGATGGTGTATTGAGAGATCCTTTCTCCCCTGGCAGTGTTTGGAGGTTTTGTAAATATATTCTCCTTTCCTCAGAAGAACAGATATGTTTTAATTTTGTTGATATGTTGCAGATGGGCTTTGAAGATACAATGGGGTAGAAAAAGGTTAAAGTATGCACACAAATAGTGAGAAAAATAATTGTTTAAGCCAATCAGGCTTAAATATTGCCTAAGTACTTTTTAAATTTATATAACTTTTTTATAACTCTCTATATAACTTTATATAATGCTTTTTTAAGAAAAGGAAATATGATATTATTATACAGGAAAATGTACACAGCTCAATGAATTTGCGTGACCACATCTGTCTAATCAGTTCCCAGATAAAGACACAAAACTTTGCCAGATCCCTGTAAAGCTTACCGTCCAGTCATTCTGACTTTATAAAAATAAATGGAATTATACAATATGTGCTTTTAATATCTGCTTTCTTTCTCTCAAGACTGTGTTTGAAAGATTCATTCGTGTTATGGGGTAGAGCTTGTCTAACTAATCTCATTGTGTTTTGGTATGCCATTGTATGAAAATTCACAATTAATTTATCCATCCTACTTTTAATGGATATTTGGAATATTTTTAATTGGGGTTATTACAAATACTGCTACTATAACTGTTTTCATATATGTGTTTTAGCAATTCTATGTACACATTTCTGTTGTGTATACAATAAAGAGTGAAATTGCTGGGATGGGGATACATATGATCAACTTTAGAAATACTGCCCAATAGTTCTCTGAAATGGTTGTCCAATTTACACTACCATCAGCAGTTTATAAGAGCTCCTGTTTATCCATATTCTTACCAACACCTGGTATTGTCTTTTTAGTTTTAGCCAATATGTTGCTTTGTGTAGGAGTATCACACTTTCATTCTAATTTGCATATCTTAGATGAAATTAAGGATAATTGACATCTCTACAAAATAATCTTCTAATACATGAACATGAAACATCTCCAAATTTGTGAGTTCTCTCTTAGTTTCTCTCAATAATGTTTTATATTTTTAGTATAAACATCATATCTTTCATTAAACTTATTTAGGATAATTGATACTATTTTAATGATATTTCTATTTTATTGAGGTTAAACTAACAAAAAAAATGCACAAATCAGTTGAGTGTATGTTTTGATATATATATGAACCCAGGTAACTGGCACCCACTAGGCTGAGAACTTTTCCAGAATCTCAGACAGCTTCATCATATCCCCTTCCAGTTGGTACTCTCCCCAGCGATGGCCATGATTTTGACTTCTATCCAACAGAGTAGAATTATCCCTGGCCTTTCAGTTTTTAACTCTCTATCTGGTGTGTTTGCCAGAGGCCCTCCACCTGGCAGGTTGCAAACTCCATTCATTGTTTCATAAACCTACTAAAAACTCCACTTTACATTTCAAAGACTTTCTGCTTAGGTATTTAATATCCTGACCTGACCATTCCTAGAATTCATTACATGTTCCAAGTGGAATATCAACCACTTGCTTAAAGACCGCCCCCTAGAGCACCCATAAATTCTCTGGTCTCTCTGTCCCTAGCAATGATCCTCCACAGTAGAAAGCTTTGGTTTTTATTCTTCTGCTCTTGCCCAGAATCCACAGATTATCCCAGGTAAACATTTGTTGGCTCACCTCTCTGAGGCTCTCCTATCTCTGGAGTTTTAGGGTCCCCAGGTGGGTGCAGCTAGTTTGTAATTTGCTCTAGATGTACACTAGGCTGCTGGCTTGCCACAGGCTGTCCTTTTCCACTCAGAAGCAGTTCTTTCTTCTGTACTTTTGAAAAGCTAGTCATTGCACATTTGGGGATAGTGAGGTAAACAAGACTCCTGTTCTTTAAGGGCTCATATTTTAACTTTTATGAGTTTAATTATGGCTGGGATTTTGACATAAGCCAATGTTGCTTTGTGAACTTCTGAAGGGTAGAATTACATAAAAGAATTTCTTCATAAGGGGGAATGGATGCCCACCTACTCATGCAGAGATGGGACTTTGTCCTTGGCCACTGGTGTGGAAAACATGGGTGTCTCCCCTTCCTCACTGAGTTAATAACCTGAGACACATATCACAGCAGAAGCATTCATTGTTTCAATCACCCCTATCTGTCCAATTAGCTGAAGACTATGCAAATCTATCAGCCTGGTACTCAAAAGTCTGTGGGAAGACTTGCCAAGGCCTTCTTGGGAGACATGAAAATGACATGAAAACTCTGAAAAACAGTGTGTCCAAGAAACTGGATAGGGCTTAGATGGAAGGAAGCCAGGAAGGGGAATAAGACAGACTGGCTTTTCTACTTGACAGAGGGGAGTTATTTTAGGATGCAGGGATTGGGGCACAGAAAGGCTGTCAATGAATTCTTAGGGCTAGAATGAATCTTAATTGTGTTTGCAATACTTTGGCTTTCCTGGTTAATGTCGGTACCCACTAAGTTTTAAGTAACTATGACTTGGAAATATCAGCCATGGATCGCTACTTTAAGGGGAAGTAGAGAAGGTGGTTATTTGTTCCCTTTTAGGCTAGTGTGTTAAGTGAGAAAGCAATTTATGCTTGATGGTGGCAACTGAAATTGAGTGACTAAATCCCAGGAAAAGAATAAAGCTCAAGGGGAGAAAATCGAACTCCATTCAGCTGCTTCTTCCTACTCAGGGTCTCTTCTTCGAATACTTATCTTTCTTTATATCTGAGAGGTTTGCCGCTTCTTTCCAATATAGGCAGCTGGTCTCACACGTGGGTTAGGAGGGTCAGGAAGCCAGTTGTAAAAACAGGTTTCTTTTATAAGCTGTGTAAAGTCAGACTAACTGACAAAACCAGGCCCTGTATACTTTGTACAAACTCTCTGTATGTGGCCATCCCCGGAACAATATTTCCCTGTGTAAGAAAATGACTGCCTTCCAAACAGTACACTGAGACACAGGATAAATTGACTCTGGATAGCTCTGGAAATCCAGCATGGCAGAGTGGAAAACTAAGGTCATTCTAGAACTTGCCAAATATCAGATGAGTTGAGTATGAATATGTAAGTGAATGAGTGTGAGTTAATGAATGAACAAAAACATAAGCAAATACATGAAAAAGTCAGTTGCACATGTTTGTAGAAATGTTTTGCAGGACTCAGGTCATTTATGTATGCTTTGTGTGCTTTTTCAGAATGACAACTTCCAAGAGGAAAAAACTGCATTCATCAGGTGGGCTGGGCTTCTAATGGTAGGAGCTAAATTTTCCTCCCTTTTGATCTTCCCTAGATGGTATTAGTTATGCAAGACTCTATTAGACTTTTGCCAATTAGTTGCTGGGCTTGTTTTCTGTCCTCCTTTACCTGAGATACATCTGGATATGTTTCCCCATTGTTGGTTACCAGAGAGTAACTGTGTCCATAAGAGTGACTTCCTGAACTCCCGGGCATGTGTGTACTTGCACCTTCACTTCCCTAAAATGTTCCCTCTGAATGAATGAATGAATCACAGAATGGGACTGGGAGTGGACAATTAGCCCAGGAAGCAGACACATTTATTACATGAGGCACATATTTATTGGGGAAAACAGGAGAGAAGCCCAGAGCAGGGGGCATCATGGAGAGGAATGAGGCAGAAACTGTGCACCAGCCTCTGTGACCCTACTTGTCAGGGTGGAACCCCAGAAGAAGCCCAGACACTTTCCTCACTTTGGGAAATGGATGGGCCTTAGCTGTGGCCACGCTGGAGCCTGCAGAGAATGAGGTCTCTCTCACACCCACCTGGGAGAGCATCGGGGTGGGATATAGAAGAAGCCAAGGTGGTATGTGTGGGGAAGGGTACGATGGGAAGAAATCCTTACAATGCTTCCTTACATCTTGGGCAGGAGGAGATGTGAGAGGAGGGTAGGCTCAAGAGCTGGAGGGAAGAGGAGAAGGAAGAAGAGAAGGTTCCATCTGGTAGCCAGGATGGTGGATGATGGTAATATCCAGTCCATCCTTACTTCTGTTTGCTCTTGGAGGCTTGCTGGGCTGAGGGACACTTCTGCTGGGCTGGAATGATGGTGCCTTTCGGTGGGCATTGCTTCTTGACCTGGGGAGCACATGGATCCTTGGTTTTGGGTGCACATGTCTCTTGACATTTAACAGGGGGTGGCTGACAAGGCTGCTTCACTTGCTGCTGCTGGGCCCTCTGGGGTGGGCACTGCTGCTGCTGCCGCTGCTGCTGCTGGGAAGACATTGCTCTAGGAACAGGTGAGCCTAAAGGAAACCGGGCAGGGACACCATGAGAAGGGTGTTAAAAAGTAGCCTTTTAACACCCTTTTTAAAAAGATGGTTAAAAAGTAGCCCAGACATTTTACAAGGTCAAAGCATGCCATCTTAGCTGACAGATCTGGACAATGTCAACTGGCTCCCTTTGATAATGCAGACAATGAGAATGGGCAAGGATGTAGGGGCATGAGGAGAGGACAAAAACAGTCTCTGTCTTACAGGTAAGCATCATGGTGTGTGTGTGAGTGTGTGTGTGTGTGTGTGTGTGTGTGTGTGTGTGAGAGATCGGGCTGGAGAAGGGGTGTATAAGAATGCAGAGGCCTGATCTCTAATCCCTGCTCCACCCCTGACTCACCATGGGAGACTAAGGCAAGTCCTATGTGGCTACAGGATAGTGGTTCCAGCCCTCTACAAAGAACTGGGAAGCTTGAGGGCCAGCCAAATAGATCACTGGAGCCAAAGGATGACAGGAGGATGTTCAAAGGAAAGAGCGCTAGCCAAGAAGGCTCAGACATTGGTTCTAGGTCCATCCTGCCATTAACTTCATGGGCAACCTTCCTTCTGTGGGTCTCAGCACCCTTATTAGAAGGATGCTGGTCAGGAAGTTCCCTGAAGCCTTCCCAGCTCTGATGAGGGTCTCTGGCTATCTTTGTAGGCAGTGTTCCTTATGGTCTAAGTTAATGATTATAGATGGGAAGTGCAGGCCTCAGGAAGTAAAGAGGTGGCAATCAGAATAGGGAAGCATGAGAGCTGCATAGGATTGAATAAAATGTTCAATATACCTGTTTGCATACACCTGGAAGAAAAGTTTAAAGCTTACTGGTAAGCAAAATGCAGAATAGGGTGTGAGAAACCTTTAAACAGGGCTCGGAATTGCTACAAAATCCTGTAGCTCTAAATATCTCCTTCTTCAACAATAAAAATCTTCTTTCTGGGGAGTCAAACCCATGATCAGAAAATAAGTCATACTGAGCAATGGTGCGGAATGGAGATTAAACTTTCTAAGTACCGATTAGTGTGCCATTTCCGCAATTGTCAGAAGACTTGTGTCACTTCCCTGATTACCCAAGGATGGAAGAGGATCTTGGCCTAGCGGCTCAAAGGAGTTAAAGGAGAAGGAAAGCGCCCCACAAATCCCAGGAGAACAGATGAGTTCTCACTTACCAGAGGCGACAAGCTGGACCCCAGGAGAGGAGGCTGAGCCCTTGTCCACAGGCAGAGCCACTCCAGGAGCCTTTATAGGGCCCCCAACCTGCCCTGGGCACTTGGTGTGGTCCTGATTACCACCTCCCAGGGAATTCCTCACCCACTTCTCCCACCTGCACTTCCTTCAGGGACTTGCTTTGCTGACCTGTTTTGATGAAAGCCACCCACCATATATTTTCAGCATTCCAAGTCTCTGCACCTGAGCTGATTTAACCCACCAAAGGTGTTTGCTCAAACTCAGGGATTCAAGATCTTTTAAATATAGTACAAATTGAAGGAGCTGTTTGCAGACAGACAGTTATAAGAAATATTGAAGAAAAAAGAGGAAGAGGGAGAGGATGGGGTTTGGGGCAATTCTGACAAAAATGTGAACATCCCTTTTTCTGCAAATTGCTGCCATTTCTTGAGCACTCACTGTGAGGCTAGCACCAGGACCATCCGTCATGCTTATTATTTCATTTCATCTTCATGGCCCCTCTAGGGAAAGTGTCGTTGTTACCATTTTGCAGATGAAAAAAGTGAGGCTGAGAAAGATTAAACAGCAGAGATGGGATTTGAATTCAGATCTGGATGATTCAATGCCTAGCCCCAGGTACCACTCATCCCCCTTCCTCAATACACAGTGCAAGTGTCCTTCCTATTCCAGGGGGACAGTTCACGAAGTGTTCTGTGAGGCTTCTCTGGGGCACAGGTAGAAGATGATGTGAATGGTGCCCCAGCACACGGCGGTGCTGTCCCCATCTGCCCATTGGGAGTTGGGGTGCTGAGGAGTATTCGTGGTGGTTACAGAACATGGGATAGAATTGGCCCCTGTGGTAGACTTGCCACATAAAATACAGGACATTCAGTTAAATTTGAATCTCAGATAACAGAATATTTTAAAAGTATAAGTATATTCCAAATATTGCAGGAAACATACTCAAAAATTACTTGTAGTTCATATGAAATTCAAATTTCACTGGGCAGGCTCTATTTTTATTTGCTAAATACAGCAATCCTACTCAGGGCCTTATCTAGGTGGCAGGAAGGAGCCCTGGTCCTCCATTTAGCCTCCTAGGCCCTGGGATGGAGAAAGGCAGGGCCTCTGGGAAGCTGGTCCACCTCTAGCCCTCTACCCCAAAGATCGACCTCAGGATGCTGCCCAACAAGAGGCCATGCAAGGGCTCACCACTGCCATCACCAGAGGAAGGGGTAGGATGGCCTGAGAAATGATAGGAATACCTTAATGTACTTTCCAAAGCATTTTTCAAATCCCTCACCTCATTTAATCCTCATGACAATTTTACTGACAATTTAAAGAGGCTGGCCCAAAGAAGTTAAAGGACCTGCTCAACCACATGCAGCTGCTCAGGGTGGAGCTGGGTGGGTGCCTGGCCTGGGGCTCATTTCCACTCCATCACCGCAGTCAGCATCTCCATGGTGGACAAGTCACTGTCATTGGGTGGGGACCATGACTAATAACGTCTCCTGAGCTTTCTGTCTTATGTGGATGGAATACTGTTCATTTTTCAGGGTCAGCCTCACTTTAATCAGCCCCTTAATTTTCCCCTCCAGGCCAGACCTCCCCCACTTCCTCTTCCCAAGCCTAGCAACACTAAGAATGTAATATTCTGGGTTCCAGATTCTGGTTCTGCATTCCACCTCCAAGAAGAACACCATCTCCACCTGCAGCCCTCACTTCCACATACCCCCAGTCCTCTGTGCTCTTGCTGATATGAACTCTCCACAAGGAAACTACGCAGCAAGACAGATTTGCATGGACATAGACCAAGGCTTTTCATATACCTGGTGCCTTGAAGGCACTGGTATGTGTGTATTGCCTGTGAACAGATGGGCAGCTCCATCCCTCATGTCCCAGTCACCCATGTGGGTTTACTGCAATGAATTTTACTCCTATTTTTCCCAATTTCATCATTGCCCTTTTATTTTATTAATAAAGGACTCCTGCTTAGTTTTGAAGCATTCTGTCATGTGATAAAACTCGGCTTATAAAACAGCTATCATCTCAGAGGATACCCCAGGGGTGACCCAGATAGAGACCTAAATATGGCTGGCCTTAAAGGGACCATGTGTCATAGATCATAAACATTCAAGACCCAGTCAACCTCATGTGCATTCAACATGTTACACCTTTCAAAACCTCCACACTCGACTTCCCTGTCAGCTACATTATTGCCAGTCTACAGAGAGGGAAACTGAAACTTTGAATGAGGCCATATCTACCCCAAGGTCACATGAGGGCTAATGTCAAAGCCAGGGTTGAATTGCAGGTCTCCTGACACCACAGTCCCTCTCAGTCAGCTGATAGGAGTGAAATACTGGGCAGCTTCTTAGCAGAGGCTGCACTGATGACAAATTACGAAGCTGCTTGAGGTGGTCTCCACCTCTTCTTGCCCCAGTCTTCCTCCCGATTCCCTCCTTGGAAGCCAGGTACTCTTTTTTTTTTTAATTATACTTTAAGTTTTAGGGTACATGTGCACAACGTGCAGGTTTGTTACATATGTATACATGTGCCATGATGGTGTGCTGCACCCATTAACTCATCATTTAGCATTAGGTGTCTCCTAATGCTATCCCTCCCCCCTCCCCCCCACCACAACAGTCCCCTGTGTGTGATGTTCCCCTTCCTGTGTCCATGTATTCTCATTGTTCAATTCCCACCTATGAGTGAGAACATGCGGTGGAAGCCAGGTACTCTTTTCCCCGCTAGCGCTAGCGTGTCCTCCCTACCCCTTCTAAGAGATCTTCACTGATCCCTGTCTCACACTGCCAGACACAGCTGCTTTTTTATTAGTTACTAAACCTTATCAAACACTTCCATATGCGGTTTTCACAACACACTATGAAGAAAGCTAATTGTATTATACATTTTATAGGCGAGAAAACTAGCTCTGATGGTCGCTGGATCCAGAATCCAGGAGGGAGGGTTCACCCAAGTCTCTTAAATGGGTAATAGCTGATTTCCAAACACCCTGGCTGGCTAGGGCAGTGGATTATGCTTTCAAAGGAGAGGGGAGACTTCCTGCCACCCCTCAAATCAACCCCTCCAGATAAGGTGGGCCCTGGGAAGCTGTGTGGAATGGTGACTCTGCAGTCACCCCTCCCAGCCCCACTGCCCCAGCCGAGCCACGGGACTGTGTCCTGGCCAATCTGGAGTTCTGCATCTGCTTTCTTATCTTCAAAGGACCACGCTGTATTAAAAACCAGAAAGCCGGGCTCTGCATCTTCCCGCTCAGGGGAGCAGGCACCTGAGAGCAGGTGCGTGCCTGTGACTCCATCAGGGAAGGGAGGGCGCAGTTAAGACTCATTTCTGAAGCTGAGTCAAAGCTTGAGAAACCCAGCTCCACCCTGCAGGCAAACAATGGGGTAACTGGCAGAGGCCTGAGCACTGGGAGGGGACCTATCAGAGACAGTGTTAATAATTTAACTCTTAATCCAGACACATCTTCCTATTTGTCTCTGGATTTTGGAGAAAAGAAAGGTTGTTAATGACTTCATCTGGAGACAAATGGAACATATTTATTATGCCATTTCCAGGAATGAAAGAAGAAAAGGCAAAAAGGAGCATCCTGGGTGAATCATCAGAGAGTTTTAGGGGAGGAGGACCAAGCTTAGTAGAGAAGACAGTGGAGGTTTGGGGCCAGGGTTCCTGAATTTTAGCTGCTTGTCCTTGTAAGGTGAAAATTCAAAACCGAGCAAGTAGCATCTTATTTTAAAAATTAGATTTAGCTGGGCATGGTGGCTCATGCCTGTAATTCTGGCACTTTGGGAGATCCAGGCGGACAGATGGCTTGTGGCTAGGAGTTTGAGACCAGGCTGGGCAACATGGAGAGATCTTGTCCCTACAAAATAAATTTAAAAGTTAGTCAGGCATGGTGGCACATGTCTGTCATCCCAACTACTCGAAAGGGTGATGCAGGAGGATCACTTAAGCCCAGGAGGTTGAGGCTGCAGTGAACCATGATCGAGCCACTGCACTCCAGCCTGGGTGACCAAATGAGACCCTGTCTCAAAAAATAAAATAAAATAAAATAAAATCAGAATAATGTAATATTTGATTTATCTTAATTTTGGGTTGATAGTTAACCAGCAGTCATGGCTTAGAAAATTTTAGTTTCGTGTTTCTCCCTTCACTAATTACTTAACAATCTGTCAATAGACACTTTGGAAGATGCTACTTAAGGAGACCTTGCAACTTTTTTTTTTAAATGTAGGAAGTCCATTTGCAATATAAGTCATTTCACCCTCTAATTTAGGCTGTCTGCATAGAAGATGTTTTGATACCAATGTTAGATATTCTGTATGATAATACTAAAGGAAGTTCCTTTCACAGAAGGACTTCCTTGGAGGGAGAACAGTGAGAAGATGAATCTCCAGAAATGTGTGGTTAATTTATCTCCTCGCTCCACCCCTCATCCCACTATGATACATTTCTAGAAGACCCTAGGCAGTACTAGGAGTTTAGGGGGAAACGAGCCCTGGACCTTGTGTGATACACTGGTCTCCATGGAACATCCATAGACCATGCACTGTGGAAGCTGAGCACTGGTAGTGGAAGGGTGGGGGTGAGTAGCCAAGTCGCCCATCTGGGAAGCATGCTAGGATCTGCCTCATGGAAGACAAATGGAGCTGAAGCACTAGTCCCCCTTTCCTGTGATGTGACATGGTTGCAGTTAGAGACACAGGGAGGGAGCTGAGGGAGGAGGGAGATAGCTCTAGGAATACTCGCCCCTCACTGGCTGTGAAATCTTGGGTACATCCCCTAACTTTCCTGGGCCTCAATTTTCCTGGTTTCCAATATGAAAAGATTGGCCAACATTATTGCTAAGGTTCCATTGAGGGCTAAGAGTCTGTAAATGTATGATTAGGTCAGGGAAGGCAGCCTTGTTTCATCCTGGTGGAATTGACAGTGAATTGAGGGTGTTGAGGTTGATTTCAGGATCAGTGGGTAAGAGTGCCTTCCTTGGTAAATGGTGTCCGCTATGAGAGAGGTGAGTGGTCACATGCATGCAGGTAGCCACCATTCCCGATTCAGCCTAAAGCAGGGAGCAGTGTGCTAGAGCGTATACATAACAGTCCTTCAGGCACTTGAAGAAGGGGAGGGAATATAAACCGTTTAAAGATCTTGCATAAGCTACCACCACCTATAATTCCTGTTTTAGCTTCCTTAAGACAGTTCCAGACAAAACTATTCATTTCCAGAACTTGCCCATACTTTCCTGCCTCGAACTATTCAATCTGTCATGGTGCCCTACTCCCAGATTTCCCAGTGAAATTCAGTCTTCAGGAACCATCTTAAACACCACTTTCCCCATGGCCCCTTTCCCCAATCTTTCCCAAAAGATGTGCTTCCCTCCTTTGCTCAATATCCACAGCTTTTAATTTATGCTATTTGAGTGTTTCTCATCTATCCCTCACACTAACCAAGCGCATATTATATCCACTTCATACATGTGAACCAGCAAATGGACACATGAATAAATGGGTAGATGATATATAAATGAATCAGCTGAGAGTTTGGCCTTACAGGCAGAACCCATGAAGTCCTAGCATGTGTTTTGGACTAATTTATCTTTTCAGGTTCAGGCCAATGCTTAAGTAGCAATCCCTGTTTATCCGAACCATATACATAGCCCTTCCCTTCTCTTCTTCTACCTTGAAGATCTATGCTGCAATCAACTGTCACCTGTAAGAGGCCTCGTGCCTGGATGTTAATACACTGATGTATGTGTGGTGTCTGTGGAGTGGCTCTTTATATCCACCCAGAGTGCAAGCTCCTTAAGGGTAGGAAGGATGCTCAAGACAGAACTTACACCCTAGTAAAAATGGGTGCTTGGCCAGATAATAGACTAGCTAGTTGGTGAGCAGGTGTCCAATGACTAAAGGATGCTGCTGAGTGAGTCAGTCTGTGAGTGAGCAAGTGAAAGATGGAGGGAGGGAGGAGGTGGGTGCATAAATAAGAAATGAGCTGATAGACTAGCTGCCTAACTGGCCAGTTCACTGAACAACTGACTAGCTGGCTGGTTGAGTGTTTGATCAACTGATACATCGACTGTTTGGCTGGCTGGCTGGCAACTAATTTAGAAAAGCAAGTCCTGGTATAGTAGAAGAAAGAAAGCCCTGTAGAGGGTGAGGGGCTAAGGGTAGAAAACAAAACAAAAAAATGCTTTGCAAAGGATGCCCTAAGAACTGTATCATGTAAGCTGAACAGTTATTTCTTTTCTTTTTTTTTTTTTTTTGAGGTGGAGTCTCAAGCTGTAGCCCAGGTTGGAGTATAGTGTCATGATCTTGGCTCACTGCAACCTCTACCTCCCAGATTCAAGCGATTCTCCTGCCTCAGCTTCCTGAGTAGCTGGGACCACAGGTATGCACCCCCACATCCAGTTAATTTTTGTAGTTTTAGTAGAATGGGGTTTCACCATGTTGCCCAGGCTGGTCTCAAACTCCTGACCTCAAGTGATCCACCCACCTCAGCCTCCCCAAATGCTGGGATTACAGGCATGAGCCACTGCACCTGGCCTGGACAATTATTTCTTAATTTTTTCCTTCTTTCTTTCTTTCTTTCTTTTCTTTCTTTCTTTCTTTCTTTCTTTCTTTCTTTCTTTCTTTCTTTCTTTCGTTTCTTTCTTTCTTTCTTTCTTTCGTTTCTTTCTTTCTTTCTTTCTTTCTCGCTTTCTCGCTTTCTCGCTTTCTTGTTTTCTTTCTTGCTTTCTTGCTTTCTCTTAGGAGTTCCCTGTGATTTTCATTTCTAGTGTCAAAGAAAAAACATTTCAATGACACTTGTTGCATGTGTTGAGGAAAGACTCTATTCAGGACCATTGTGATAGATATAGGAACCATTGCAATGGGATTTTCAGCAGAGGGGAGGTTGAGCTCAACTCCAAATACAGCATGGGCAAATGAGAATCTATAGCCAAGGAGCAGGGTGGGAGTCAGTGGATGAAAAGTGACTAAGAGGAAACAGCAGAGCTAAGAAGAATTGTGGCTAAAAAAACCCAACAGGATTCTTGCTGAAGATAAGCCAGGGTGATCAGACTTCACATGGGGGATGGAGGAGGTCAAGGAACCTGATTATATATCAAGGGTAATCAGACATTGAGGGTGGGTGGTTCTTGGTAAACTTAGTAAGGTTGGTTCTTGGCTAAAACTGAATTTACAAGCAAGTACACAGGTAAGCCTAGAAGAAGTTTCAGGAGCCTGACTAAAGTTTGGTCAAGCAAAGAATCTTTGTCACTGGTCAACCAAGCTCAGTGGATGTAATGTCAACTAAAGACCAGCCACAGTAGCCATGGAGGGAGAGTAGCTCTCTTCCTGGAAGAAGATGGTTGGGCAACAGGACATTTCTGCTGATGACACTAACCAGTGGGGAGCCTGATTATTCCCCAGGCTTTGGGCCCTGGGAATGAAGAGCTGGGGCTCTGATTGTCCCTCAGGTCAGTGATGGTGGCTGAGATAAGAAACCAAATCAAACAGACAAATTAGTTGATACCACAAGCTGGGCCAGTCTGTCAAGTCAGTGCCCTGACCTCTGGCCAGGAAACCTTCTGGGGAATCAGCTGCATCAAGCAAAGTCTGCCAGAATCAGTTTCAGACAGTGCCATGTGAGCACTGAGACACTGAGTTCACGACCAGGACCCAGAGATCTGCGCAGCTGCTACTGGGCATTGAGACTGGCCTTGTATGTAGTCAGTAGGCTGAAATACAAATAGACCATGTGGCATATTCATCCCTCCTGAGCTGGATGAGAAGGGAAGAGGCAGGACTATACCTTGTATCCATGGTAAACAAGCCACTCCAAGCCTAAACCCGTCAGTGACTCCTTCAGGCCTCAGAAAAAAGTCCACAGTTTTTTACATGGTATAAAAGGCCCTTCACACATGGCCCCACTCTGAGAAGACTCACAATTTAAATTAAAATAAAGAAGAATAGGGCCAGGTATGGTGGTTCACGCCTGTAATCCCAGGACTTTGGTAGGCCGAGGCAGGCAGATCATGAGATCAGGAGATCGAGACCACCCTGGCTAACACAGTGAAACCCTGTCTCTACTAAAAATACAAAAAATTAGCTGGGTGTGGTCGCAGGTGCCTGTAGTCCCAGCTATTTGGGAGGCTGAGGCAGGAGAATTGCTTGAACCCAGGAGGCGGAGGTTGCAGTGAGCCGAAATCACACCACTGCATTCCGCTCTGGGTGACAGAATGAGACACTGTCTCAAAAAAAAAAAAAAAAAAAAAGTAGAAGAAGAAGAAAGAAAGAAAACTATAGTTCTCCAACAAGCCATTCCCTCTACCTGGACTGTGTCCCTAATCTGTGCCTGACTGATACTCTTAGCACTTCAGAAATGGAATCATTTCTTCCCTGAACATTTCCCACTCTGTGTTACCCAGGTGCCCATCTCTGTTCAGGAAGCTCCTGTCCTAGCACTGATTGTACTGTTTTAGAATAGGATATCCCCTGGTCTGTCCCTCTGTTAACTGTGAGCTCCTTGAAGGCAGGAACATTCCCTAGTTTCC
Organism: Homo sapiens; assembly: GCF_000001405.40. Taxonomy (NCBI): domain Eukaryota; kingdom Metazoa; phylum Chordata; class Mammalia; order Primates; family Hominidae; genus Homo; species Homo sapiens. The sequence goes on along the minus strand of NC_000001.11, from coordinate 152,962,142 downwards.
ATTGACTCCTATGTGTAGTATAAGTACCTGACCTATAGGAGATACACAATGAATATGTGTTTGAAAAATCAAATATGTGGTAAGTCCAGAGAGTACATATAAGTGTAGACTCTCCCACAATGTGGTTGTAAAGGAGAACTTACACCTGCTTGCCTGATGTGGAACAGTGCAGTTTGCTAGACACTCCTGAGGCCCTTCCGTCTCTGTGGCTCATGGCAAACTTACCTCTAATATGTTTCATTTCATGCCTCTAATATGTTTCTGAGCTTTTCTTCCTTGCTCAGTTATGAGCCTGTTAAAGGCAGGGGCCTATCTTTCTCACTCTTGGTTCCCTCCCTCCACTCAGTGCCTTAGAGCTGCTGGCACACAGGAGAAGTTGACAAAGCTTGCTTGGGTTGCCTAAGATGACGTCTACAGTTCAAAAAAAGGCAATGCTGGGATCGGTAATTCCAAGGGGCAGATAATACAGCAATCTCTGCGGTGGGTGAGGTAAACTGTCGTATTGTTCATAAACAGTTTGCTGCCTGTTCCCCTCTTCCCCAGGGAGCACATTTCCCTGCCGCATTGCTGATGGCAGCCCTGGCCATGTGACTTGCTTTGTCCATAAGATGTAAACCTTAAGAGCCATGGTTCACTATGCCCTCTTTCCTCTCTCCTCAGAGGACTGACCATGTTCCAGACCCAGGCTGCTCTGTCAGTCTGGATCCTGAAATCCAATTAATGTGCAGCAGGGCTGCAGCTGATCCTCAGTGGACATGCAGGATAAAAACAAAGGTTATAAATAAGCCTATGTTTTAAGCCCCTGGGATTTGTGGTTCATTGGTTACCGAGGCGTAACTTAGCCTATCCTGACTGATGTACTGGCACATACAAGCACTGACTTTTTTCTCCCAGGGAGATTTCCCTCCTAGTTTTGCTTGACACTGGCCAAAGGGAAGGTAAGTGCTTAATTCCAGTGTATGCTACCGGCAGTTAAGACAGCGACTTAGGTGTGTGTATGGGCCCACGTGTGTGTGTGTGTGTGTTTGTGTGTGTGCACATACGTCTATGTGACTGCGTGTGTACAGGTGGGGGATACAAGAGGAGAGAGAGGGGAAGGGAATATGGAGAAGCCAGCCTGGGCATACACAGTACATGACAAAAACTATTTGTGGGCAGCTGACATTTTTCTACTAATAACTTTTTGTCTGTGGTTGGGAAGCTAAATAAACCATCTCCTTCCTCACTCTGACCCAGGAAACCTTGCGTCAAACCACGTAAGTCAGCCCTCCAGGCGGTTAGGGCAGAGCGCTACCTGCTGGGCAGGGCTAAGCCGGTGCACCTGCTTCTAATTTCAGCGGAGTTCTTGCCGCAGGAGGCTGTTGGCTGACCCACAGGACCCACAGGACCCACAGGACCTGGGACCCTTGGACCCAGCTGAGACCTTAGTGATCTCTGTACCTCACTGTACAGGCAGAGAAACAGGGCCATAGAGCCCTCAGCTGGCACTCCTCCTATTCCCACAGCCATTCAAGCTGGACTACACTCCTGTCGGAGGAGGTGCCAGTAACCTCCCCATTGGAACCAGTGCCTTGGTCCCTTTGCCAGGTACAGGCATCATTGGGGCTTGATGCAGACGGGCTGGCTTCAGTCATTGCAAGGGGTGGGAAATTAGGAAGGGTTCCGTGGAGTTCAGGCAAGTCAACCTGGGAAGAGAGCAGGAGCTCTCCCTGCAATGGATTCCATTTACTAAACAGCAGCTACATTGTAGCCCCGGTCTCTATAGGAGGAGAAGCACCACCTCTGTTTAGTAAATAAGAAAACTGAAGCCCAGAGAGGGTAACTTGCCCCAAGTTGTGTAGCTGGTAAATGAATCAAGCCTGAGTTAGTTTGGCTCAAATAACTTAGACTGAGTCACACTGTTTCTCTCGGGAACCATAAGCTCTCCATGCCTGTTGACTGCACCTTCCAGCACAGGGCTTGTGAACAGGCAGGGCTCAGGAGGCATAGGCCGCCCGATGCCATGCGGTTCTTTCGGGGAGTGAGTGAGCCGCAGAGATGGTAGAGTGCAGAAGGAGGGGGTTGCTGCACAGACAAATGGTGTGTACAGAGAGCAGGCCTTGGCCGGAGGCTGTGTTGGGGAAAGCGGCCACCCCCAAGCTAGGGTGAGGCCACTTCCTCCGAAACCCAGCAGTAGTTTGAACATGCAGGTTCTCCATCAGTACACCTGTAAGGACCTCTAAGTGTCACTCCCTGTGTTTGGGGAACAAGCAGGTGGTGAGACTGGGACAAGGAGACAAGTGACCAAGTGATTTAGACAGAGTGTGACAATTCCTGGCCAGCTAAGTGCAACTTACCACTAGACATCACCCAGGGAAGGCTGTAGGACACTTAAATCTCCCCTGGGCTTCTGGACAAGGTGATACCTGAGCAAAGATCTCTGCCATCTTTTCCCTTTAAGAACAACCACCATCACTAACCACTGTTGTTGAAGGAGCAGGGAGAAGTATGAAGTGCTGTTCTAGCTTTGGAAGGCCGGGAGATGCTTGCGTGTGCTCCTGGGTTGTGAGGATATGGTGGCTTTGGCCTCGTCAAGGCAGGACAGGGGTTTGCCAGGAAGACACCCTTGCAGTGAAGCCTGTGCTGAAAATGAGTAAACCATGCTTATTGACCAGATAATCTGGCCACATATCACCTCTATGCCCATTGACCTTTGGTTGTGACTGAGCCTTTGGTATGTTTTTTGTTTGAAGGCTACTCTGGCTTCATTTTAGTTCTGAAGCAAGGACTTTTAAAAAAAGAAGCCACAGTTAGCAAGAAATCTCCAAGTGGAGATTTCTTGAGAAGCATGAATTGTGCTGAACTCCCACAGATCCTGTCTCAGGGGTGATTTCCATTGCCAACCTCAGAGGATTATCTTTAAATTATTTAAGGTAGTGGAGAGTTCTCACACAGACTGCTGTAATTACCACTCAGACCCTAGTCGTCTTCTTGCAAAGACTCCTTTGGCTTCTAGCCCTGGGCCAGAGAGCCCTTCTTGGCCCAATCTGGAGATAGAAGGAGCTTGTTATCAGCCCTTGTGAGCTGCAGGTGTCCTTCTATCGGCATCTGCAGGTGAGTCATGAGGCTCTACCTGGCCTTGGTACATCTTTTTACAAGGTGCTGGTGTTACAGGAAAGGGGCCCCGATCCAGACCCCAAGAAAGGGTTCTTTGATCCTGTGCAAGAAAGAATTCAGGGTGAGTAAAGTGAAAGCAAGTTTATTAAGAAAGTAGTGGAATAAAAGAATGGCTACTGCATAGACAGAGCAGCCCCGAGGGCTCCTGGTTGCCAATTTTTATGGTTATTTCTTGATTATATGCTAAACAAGGTGTGGATTATTCATGCTGCCCCCTTTTAGACCATGTAGGGTAACTTCTTAACATTGCCATTCGTTTATAACTGTCATGGCACTGGTGAGAGTGTAGCAGTGAGGACGACCAGAGGTCACTCTTGTGGCCATCTTGGTTTTGGTGGGTTTTAGCCGGCATGTTTACTGCAAGGTATTTTATCAGCAAGGTCTTAATGACCTGTATCTTGTGGTCACCTCCTAGCTCATCCTGTGGCTTAGAATGCCTTAACTGTCTGGGAATGTAGCCCAGTAGGTTTCAGCCTCATTTTACCCAGCTCCTATTCAAGATGGAGTTGCTCTGGTTCATATGCATCTGACACTGGTGCCTGCTGTTTTATTTGGTCTCTCCTACTTTACCCACTGTTCTCTGCTACCTGCCTTACAACCAAGGGGCACCTGCCCCCTGGGATGGCAAAGCCAGCACTATTCTATTGACTGCTCCCAGTCTGTACTAAGGAGAATCAAAATGAGCACCTTAAAAAACAAACAAAAAACCCCCAAGATTCTAATTTAACAACTCTCCTCACAGGGGGCCGCAGTGATAACAGGGCACGATGGAAGACCATTGGGAAACTATTAAGATTATGGTTGCTGGTGACACTTTCCTGATTGTTCACAAAGACAATAGCATGCACATATGCATATGTACACGCAGATGAACACATGTACAGGCATGAAGACATGCGTGCACACACACATATGCATACACACACACTTTGCTCTCAGGGTGCCAAGGCAGAGGACACCACCTAAATCTAGTCTTATGCTAAGAATGGAATAGGGAATTCAATGAAGACAAAAGGAATATGGCTTACTGCTTCCTGTCACTCTTAAAAATCACTGACCTCTCACCCTTTCCCATCAGAGAAGCCCTAGCATGCACACTTGTTTCACCATTTATATTTTATTTCCTCCAGGCTATGAGGAGCAAGATAAAGGCCATATGAGGAGCAAGATATGGCCAGCTCCACGGAGGCCATAACCTGCATCTAGGCATTGCATTAGACATACCCAGAGTTCCCTTTCAACTAGTGCAATGAAATGTAGATGAGAAAAACCTCAGCCCTGCCTGCCTTGGAAAATATTCAGCTTAGCCATGGGAACCATAGTCAAAAGGGTGGGCCTGTCAAAGATCAGATAGTTGTAGGTATGCGGCGTTATTTCTGAGGGCTCTGTTCTGTTCCATTGATCTATATCTCTGTTTTGTACCATGCTATTTTGGTTACTGTAGCCTTGTAGTATAGTTTGAAGTCAGGTAGTGTGATGCCTCCAGCTTTGTTCTTTTGGCTTAGGATTGAGTTGGCGATGCAGGCTCTTTTTTGGTTCCATATGAACTTTAAAGTAGTTTTTTCCAATTCTGTGAAGAAAGTCATTGGTAGCTTGATGGGGATGGCATTGAATCTGTAAATTACCTTGGGCAGTATGGCCATTTTCACGATATTGATTCTTCCTACCCATGAGCATGGAATGTTCTTTCATTTGTTTGTATCCTCTTTTATTTCCTTGAGCAGTGGTTTGTAGTTCTCCTTGAAGAGGTCCTTCACATCCCTTGTAAGTTGGATTCCTAGGTATTTTATTCTCTTTGAAGCAATTGTGAATGGGAGTTCACTCATGATTTGGCTCTCTGTTTGTCTGTTGTTGGTGTATAAGAATGCTTGTGATTTTTGTACATTGATTTTGTATCCTGAGACTTTGCCGAAGTTGCTTATCGCTTAAGGAGATTTTGGGCTGAGATGATGGGGTTTTCTAGATAAACAATCATGTCATCTGCAAACAGGGACAATTTGACTTCCTCTTTTCCTAATTGAATACCCTTTATTTCCTTCTCCTGCCTGATTGCCCTGGCCAGAACTTCCAACACTATGTTGAATAGGAGCGGTGAGAGAGGGCATCCCTGTCTGATCTTTGACAAACCTGAGAAAAACAAGCAATGGGGAAAGGATTCCCTATTTAATAAATGGTGCTGGGAAAACTGGCTAGCCATATGTAGAAAGCTGAAACTGGATCCCTTCCTTACACCTTATACAAAAATCAATTCAAGATGGATTAAAGATTTAAACGTTAGATTTAAACCATAAAAACCCTAGAAGAAAACCTAGGCATTACCATTCAGGACATAGGCGTGGGCAAGGACTTCATGTCCAAAACACCAAAAGCAATGGCAACAAAAGCCAAAATTGACAAATGGGATCTAATTAAACTAAAGAGCTTCTGCACAGCAAAAGAAATTACTATCAGAGTGAACAGGCAACCTACAAAATGGGAGAAAATTTTCACAACCTACTCATCTGACAAAGGGCTAATATCCAGAATCTACAATGAACTCAAACAAATTTACAAGAAAAAACCAAACAACCCCATCAAAAAGTGGGTGAAGGACATGAACAGACACTTCTCAAAAGAAGACATTTATGCAGCCAAAAAACACATGAAAAAATGCTCATCATCACTGGCCATCAGAGAAATGCAAATCAAAACCACTATGAGATATCATCTCACACCAGTTAGAATGGCAATCATTAAAAAGTCAGGAAACAACAGGTGCTGGAGAGGATGTGGAGAAATAGGAACACTTTTACACTGTTGGTGGGACTGTAAACTAGTTCAACCATTGTGGAAGTCAGTGTGGCGATTCCTCAGGGATCTAGAACTAGAAATACCATTTGACCCAGCCATCCCGTTACTGGGTATATACCCAAATGACTATAAATCATGCTGCTATAAAGACACATGCACACGTATGTTTATTGCGGCATTATTCACAATAGCAAAGACTTGAAACCAACCCAAATGTCCAACAATGATAGACTGGATTAAGAAAATGTGGCACATATACAACATGGAATACTATGCAGCCATAAAAAATGATGAGTTCATGTCCTTTGTAGGGACATGGATGAAATTGGAAATCATCATTCTCAGTAAACTATCGCAAGAACAAAAAACCAAACACCGCATATTCTCACTCATAGGTGGGAATTGAACAATGAGATCACATGGACACAGGAAGGGGAATATCACACTCTGGGGACTGTGGTGGGGTGGGGGGAGGGGGGAGGGATAGCATTGGGAGATATACCTAATGCTAGATGACGAGTTAGTGGGTGCAGCGCACCAGCACGGCACATGTATACATATGTAACTAGCCTGCACAATGTGCACATGTACCCTAAAACTTAAAGTATAATAAAAAAAAAGGGTGGGCCTATATGAAAGACAGATCTATATTTGTTTGTTATTTTTAACAAATTTTTATTTTGGAATAATTTTAGGTTTACAGAAAAATTGCAAAATAGTACAAAGCGGTTTTATATATCCTTCCAGTTTCTCTAATGTTGACTTTTTTCTTCTTTTTAAATTTTTAAAGGAATTTTATTTAATTTATTTTTAATTGACAAATGTGGTATATCTTTATTGTGTACAACAGAATGTTTTGAAATATGCATAAATTGTGGAATGGCTAAATTGAGCTAATTAATATATGTGTACCTTCACATACGATTTTTTTTTTTGTGGGGAGAACACACAATCTACTCTTAGTGATTTTCAAGTGTATAATACATTATTAACTGTAGTCATCACTTGTAGGATAGATCTCTTGAACTTATTCCTCCTATCAAACTGAAATTTTATATTGCTTTGACCAATATCTCCCCAGTCCTTCCCCAATGCCCAGCCTCTGGTAACCACCCTTCTACTTTCTGCTTCCATGAGTTTGACTTTCTAGATCCCACACATAAGTAGATCATGTGGTATTTGTCTTTCTGTGCCAAGAATGATCTATATTTGACTCTCAGCTCTTTCAGCTGGCAAAGTTTATAACCTCTTTGGTTCTTGCTTTCCTCATTTGCAAAATTAAATTTTTTACTTATATGGTAGTAATGTATATTATATAAGATAAGTATTAAGATCCCAGTATAGTGTCTTGCTTATAGTAGTAAATTGCTGCTTAAACACACATACACACACACACACACACCTGGCCCCGGAAGGTGGATGTGTTGGTTCCCTGGAGGGAGGAAAGTTAGTCCTAAGCCCGAGTGCTCTTCAAATACAGATGCATGTTTTAGCTAAGCTTTCTCTACGCCTCCATGCAGAAGCATCTGGTGGCCTTCAACCCCAGACTTACCTCTTTTAGGGTTTTCCATGATGATGAATCATTAGGCGAAGAGATTAAACACAAAGATTAGCGTGAGTCACCTCATACAGAGTCAGAACTGAAAGAAGCTTAGAAATAGTTCAGGAAGTCCAACATTGTCATGTACAGGTGAGGACACTGGGAAAAGGGAATGACTTGTCCTGGGTCCCGCAGAAGAACAGCAGAATAACTAAGACAATACTCAGCTCTCATATACTCTGTCCAGTGCTCCTAATTCAGAGCTCCAGTGTCTCCTAAGTCCACCGAAGATGAGCATTCATGTCACACACATCATCGGCCCTTGGTGGCAGAGGAGACTTGAGCCAAAGGGCTGCCTGGAGAGCCCAGGACAGGGAAAATGGTTCCCTTTTTATTTTATTTAAGAGTGAGATGGAAGCTGCATAGTCTAATTCCTGAGAGTTGACATAAAAATTCCAGAAGACAGAGGACCAAATATCAAGGGTCAGGAGTCTGGGGTAAAACAATGACTGTTCTCTGCGTATGAACAAGACCCCCAGACAACAATAACACACTTAAACATGGCATGCCGAACTGATAGCCCCAAAGTGACTGGGAGGAGTTTCAGCATAGGTGGGTATAAGCCACGCCCAGGGCGTCTTCAGTGCCAGGCATCTGTGATTCTCCCAGGAATGTCAGATTGCCAGGGCACACGTACAAACCTGCAGGAGATGGTGGAGCACACTGAAGCTGGCCGCACCCACAGGCAGGGCTTCCTTCAAAGGATGACTGACTGCCGAGTGCTGAAGCTTCATTGCAGAAATCCATTACCAGCTAGGGTCCCCCTGCTCCCCACAACCTGGGCATACACAGCAGGATGTGCATCTAGCAGTGGGGTTCCCTTTCCCTGGGGCTTGTGGAGGAGGGCATGAGGGAAAGATAGAACACCACTGCTGTCAGAAACTCTGAGCTTCAAATTTAGGACTTGAAGTTCAAGTTATTCTCATTTTTTAGCTTAGAAAGGTTAAGTTGGCCAAGATTAATACAAAAGTAAGGAAGAGGAGATTTGAGCCCAGGTCTGTCACACTCCAAGATGTGTAGGTACTCTCTTTCCTGCACCCTACCATGCCATCTTCCATGGAATTTCTTTGTTTGGAGCAGAATAAAGAGAATATGTATACAAGCACTTCTCTGATGAAGGCATACCCCCTTCGAAGCCCTCAGCATCACACTCTTCATCCTGAGACCTCTGTTCTGTGGAAATTTCACTCAAGCCAGATGGTGAGACATCCTTGCTGGAATGTGGCAGAGGCCTGGAGAAAGGGGAGAGGACAAGTCACTAGGTCACAGGAGTAGAGCTGGATTTGATGTTCTGGGGCCATGCTCAACAGTGGGAATTACAGTGTGAGTGTGTGTGTGCATCTGGGTGTCTGTGAGTGTGTGTCAGTGGGTGTAATCATACTTGAGTGTGATTGACCGCATGTGAGTGTGTGTTGGTGTGTGGTGAGCTCTCATGTGAGGGTTAATGAGCTGTATATTTGTGGGAATATGAGTGTATGTGGACAAACGTGTGAATGTGCAAGAGTGAGTGTGCACAGGGCTGATATTCAGAAGTTACATGCCGGTCTGCACAGATGTTACTGAATCCATGGTTTTAAAAATATTAAAAATATTTTGTAATAGGTGGCCAATGGCTGCCACACCAACTTCCCTTCCTGTCATGCCCTGGCACCACCCTGGTTGCTTACGCAGCCCCCCACACCATAAGGATATAAGGAGGCTGATGCATCCACAGCAGGGGGCCTCTAGGACTTGACCCCAGCTTCCACTCTCAACGCTCAATGTCAGTCTGAGAGGCGTAGATATTATTTTGATGTCTACATCAAATGATGTAAAAACATGCATGAGTATATTTGTGTACATACAAGTGTAAGTGTGTGACTGCGAACGTGCCTAGCTCTGCCTTTCTAGTGAAACAGTGGATGGTAAACTCTCAAAGGACAGGGTCCGGGCATTATGCTTCTCCTAGCCACTAGCAATGTAAGACCACTTGCTGTGTTTCAAAGAATAAGACCAGAGAGCCAGAACACACTGAGTTTGAACCTCAGTCCTACCACCTACAGGCCATTACCACTATGAGCAAATAAGTGATTTTGCTGATCCTCAGTCTTCCATCTGTCATGGCAATAATGACACCTGCCTCAATAGGGTGGAACCACCATGCAATAGGCTAATGTGCATAAATGCTGGGCAACTTCCCTGTCGGTCAAATCCCTGCTCCTGTAGGTGCTTCCTTGGCTTGTCAGCCTCAGCATGCCCTTCCTTTCATGTGTTCTCCTGGTGGGCATCATCTCCTCCTGGTGATGTGTTGCATCCTTATTTTCCTTTGAATGTTGTGTGCATCTGTGCTGCAGAAGTCCCCCACATCTTACCCTGGTAGGAGCCTTGTAAATGTCTGGTTATCTCAGAAGCCTCCAGGGAACATAGCCTGCCTCAAAAAGACACAGCTCACTTTACAAAACAACAGGTAAAAGTCACCATGAGCCATAACCACCCAGGACTGCCTTGAGGACATGATTCATTGTGGGCACGTGTCACAAAGGTGAAGATTCTGGAAGAGAAGGGCAACCACCAAATGGGGTACTTATACTGTAGACTAAATCTTGTTTCCCCATGAATACCTGCTCAGACCCTTTGCTCCACTTAACAGATCCTTGTCCCTTCCCTCAATATGTGCTCTGCTCCCTCACACTTTGTGTCACTGAAGATCTGGAGCCCATGTCCTGAGGCTGGTGGGATAAGGGGAGCGTGCCGTCTGCAGGCTTGCTGCTTGATCAGGACCTGGAGAACGGTCATCAAAACGATAGCTGAAATCTATCCAACACCTCCTAGGGTCATGCTATGTTTTCTTCTTCATTTCCATTGTCTCATTGAACACTCCCCACCCCCATCAACCCAAAGAGGCAGTTGTTTTCCCACTATACAGATGAGAAAAGTGAGACATAGAAAAGTTATGTGATTCGTTCCAGGTCACATGCAAAAGAAGGGTGGCTCTGGAATCCAAACTTAGTGTGACAGGATTCAAAGAAGAATCAGCAAGGTCACATACTTGCAGTCTTTTTCTCGTCTAAGGACATTTCTAGATTATGGCTTGCTCACTCTCGTAGCATGTGTGCACACACGGATGTATCCATGCACATGTGCACACCTGGAGATTATGATAATTAGTAGAGGAGAAAATTAAATGAAGCCTAGAGAGGAAAAACGGAACCTCGTGTTAAGTTGCTGAATCAAGTAGGGTAAGAGCCTATATGAGAGAAATCTGGGAAAGATAACATATGGAACTAGAGCAAAGAGACATTTGGAGACTGCTCAATGATATATCTGAATACGGGAAAATGTTTAAAACTTTACATCACTTCCTGGGAGTTCAGTTAAGATTTACTTAACTTTTCGCTGGTTTTCTGTATCTAAGACTTGAGTTTCTGATGAATGCAATATCTTGGGAAAAGAGTTAGGAGAAGTAGGTCACAAAAGTGGAGCCATCCCCCAAATTTCTGTGGTATACAGCAGATGTGAGCAGCCGTACTTTCCAACCACTTGGTCCTGGGGCTTCGATATATACCGGAGGGCTGGCCCTCCTGGGCACACCTGGATCCCACAGCATTGGCTCCTGCTGTATCCAGTTCTGGGATGCTCTCTGTCCTAGCCAAATCCTACTGTCCTTCCACTAGAAACTGCACCTTCTCTAGGTATTCATCACTGAACAGGCAAGTCCCTGGGAGCCCTGTGGTAGGTGCTATGACTACAGAGAGGACCAAGTTCTCCTTCCTACCCTCAACAGCTCTTACTGTTCTCATTCTGTCTGTCTCCTCTGAATTCTGAGGGCATAAGTGAGGTATTGTACCATCCATCATCCCTTCATTAGATGCTTCCTTGTCTAATTGTTCTTTATAATCTTGGGTGAGACCCAGAACCCTGTGTATCTTCATAGTGTCCACCACATTATGAGCAAACAAGAGAGGGTGCTTAATAGGGGTCCATTGATGCATGGTGGATGATGGATAAATGGATGGATGGATGGATGAATAGATGAGACCTGAAAGGCGCAGAAAGAGGTATGATGGAGGAAGAAGAGCACACCCGTCTGGGAAGCAATGGTAAAAGTTTTGGTTTTTAACTTTGCATTCTCCAGTGTCTGTAACATATGTTGGGATAATCTAGATTTTTAGTTTATATTATTGTCTTCTCTGGCTTTGTTTGCGTACTTCTGCTGGTTCTCAGTGGCTTCCCTGGTGCCCAGAGGCATGAAAGGGGAGGCAGGTATAGGAGGAGATTCTAATATATCAATCTGTGGACTATTTTGTAAGAGAGGGGTCTAGTGGAGAAACTTGGGAGAGGGTATTTGAAATAGCAGAAACCAGAAGTTTGGATTCCCTGTGGGTCTGCATTATTTGGTCACTTCAATCCCCCAGTAATTTAGAGAATTGAAAGCAGGATGGCAGTGGGGGGAAATTGTTCAAGAGAATCCCCAAACAGAAATAATGGGAGCTGATATTTTGATCAAATATTTACTGTCGGGTGTGTGTGTTGGGTATGCAGTGTTTGCATAGACTGTCTCCTAATTACATACTTGATTAGCTTGAAGAAACTTTGGCTTTTTCTTTTACCTATGGGAGAATTTTTAAGGCCTTATCTCAACTCTTTTCAGCCCTTAGAGTGTGCTCTCTGAGTTAGAACTTACCTCCCTCAATCCTTTTCCTCTACTGCGCAGGTCTTTTTGGCAGGCTCTGTTGCTCTGTCTGGGCCTAGGAGAATGCTTTTCCTTGCACATGTTCTCTGGGTGAGCACTGTCTCCCCGTGGTTCTTTCCTGCATCTTCATTTTCTGTGAATGTGGTGTGCGTCTGTGTTGCAGAAGTCCCCACCTCTTTTCCTGGTACGAGCCTTGTAAATGTCTGGGCATCTCAGAAGGCTCCTCCCCGTGCCTTCTCCTGCACCTGCATCCCACACTTGGCTCTGCTTAAGTTTTGGGTTGGGGGCAGGATAAAAAAATCTGCAGAAATGCGGTGGGGCGCGGTGATTCACGCCTGTAATCCCAGCACTTTGGGAGGCCGAGGCAGGCGGATCACGAGGTCAGGAGATCGAGACCATCCCGGCTAACACAGTGCAACCCCGTCTCTACTAAAAATACAAAAAAATTAGCTGGGCGTGGTGGTGGGCGCCTGTAGTCCCAGCTACTTGGGAGGCTGAGGCAGGAGAATGGCGTGAACCCGGGAGGCGGAGATAGCAGTGAGCCGAGATCGCGCCACTGCACTCCAGCCTGGGCAACAGAGCGAGACTCCGTCAAAAAAAAAAAAAAAAAAAAAAAACTGCAGAAATGCTACATTTTCAAACAACAAAATCATCAGACCAAGACATTCATGCCAGAGGAATTCTGTTTTAATTGTTTGAAAACAGGAGCTGAGGGGAAGCGTGGTAGGAGAAGATGCCTGTGCATGCCGCTCATGTTTCCAGCAGGGCAATGTAGATGCATGTCAGGAAAGATGATTAGATAGTTTAGAACCAGATCCTTGTCTGAGATGGAAACTGCAGCTGCTAATTAAGAAGAGTAGAGCTCGAGGAAGCCGCCAGCTGCCAGCCTGGTGCTGCCTCTCCTGCAAGTGTGAAGTGTGGCTGCATCCAGAAGCACTGGTGAGCAGGGCTTTGCTTGGCCTGTGGAGTGTAAGATGCTGGCCCAGAAGGAACTTCATGCTCTGTTTTTCCTGGGGGTTCGCCTCTGATCACATGCCCAGGGCTTACTTCTGCTTGGACGTCTGGCACTGCTGAGGGGGTGGGCACTTGGGGGCACAGGGCTCCTGGCACTTGGGTGGGGGCTGGCAAGGCTGCTTGGTCTGTTGGGGTGGGGGGCAGTACTGCTGAGGTGGAGGGCAGCACTGCTGGGGTGGGGGACAGCACTGCTGGGGAGGGGGGCAGCATTGTTGAGGCGGCGGGCAGCACTGCTGGGGTGGGGGGCAGCACTGTTGAGGCGGGGGGCAGCACTGCTGGGGTGGGGGGCAGCGCTGCTGGGGTGGGGGGCAGCACTGCTGCGGGGGAGCACACTGCTTCTGCTTCTGCTGAGACATTCTGGGCTGGACTTGCAACTGGAAACAGAAAGACACAGAAATGAGGAACACTTGAGCCATAGAGAGACCCTAAGCCCAGGTGAACCCCCTGCCACATTCCTGTCCTGCTCTGCTTTTACCTTGCCCTGATCCCTTCACAGATTTAAGAGGAGTGTGTGTGTGTGTGTGCGCGCGCGCATGTGTAAACTTTAAGTGTTTACAAGTTATTTCAACTCTTTTCAAGACAAAGAAACATGGAAGGAAGGAAAGATAGGAAAGGAGGAAGGGAGGGAAAACAGAAATGTTAGGAGGGGTTGAAAAGAAAGAAAAACATAAAAAAAGAAAAGGGAGAGAGAGGAAAAAAAAGAGGAAGAATGAAAGAGCAGACTGTTGTATCCTATTATAGCAAAACCTGTGGCATCTGGAATAAATTGCCTGGGATCTGAGTTCTGGCTAAATCATTTATTAACTATATGATTTTGAGCAACTAAGGTTTTCCATACTTACCTCTCTTAGAGTTGGTGCAAAAATTAAATGAGTATATAAAATACATACTTAAAATATGCATGCATACGTAGGTATGTATGTACCGACACACACATGCAGAGTAGTAGCACAAAATGAACACTATATAAGAGTTGTAATTTGTTAAGTAAATTCATAAACAATTTAAAAGGCGCATCTTAACCACTCTCTAAAGGAGTTTATAAAGAGAAAACTCTAGAGATAGATGAAATGGACTATCTAGCTTGCCTCTCTCAATTACAGTTGAGGAAAGCAAACCTCAGAGGGAAGGAATGGCTTCAAAGCCACTCGGCATAGATGGTGGGAAAAGAGGTCTCCTGATTCCCAGAGCAGAGCCTTCCATGGTGCCACATCGTCTTGTCCCTGCAGCCCTTTGCTCCATGGACATCCACAACTCTGCTGTCCCAAGGGAGTCTGTTCTCTTTCCTTCCTGCCTTCTCTTTTCTTTGAAAGGACAGTCCTTCCAGTTGCTCTGCCCAGAACTGGTCTCTCCTCTCCTACTAATTCCCTCTTAGCACCTGACAAGATGCAACACCCACACCATGCCAGCAGCATCGCTGAGATACTGACCCTCTTGTAGATACCCCCCTCCTTCTCCCTGCTCAGCCCAGCCTCCCACACTACTCTGCTGGATAACTTGCTGGACCCAAGATAGGTTTGTCACAAATGATATGGAAAAAAGAGGTACCCCAAAAGACCCATCCTTTCTGACCACCACCCAGAGAATCAGCCCAGTCCATAGTTGGTTAGGGATGCAGGCAAGGCAAGGCTGCTATAAGAGGTACTACCTTTCCAGACTTACCAAGGTTCACCAGCGACTGGAGCAGATAGGTGTGGAGGGGTTTGGGATGCTCTGAGCCTATCTACCTTTTATATACCTCTCATCCCTGCCTGAGGCCATGAGGTGGCCCAGGATTGGGGTGTCCTAATTAGTCCCTAGTCACAATAGGATCCACCTGTCCTTCCTCAAATTTTAAGTTTTACTCACCCCCAGGGCTGGTATGGCGGGATTTGGAGATGACAGTGCCTTCACCCTCCCCTTGCCTCATCTCCCCATCATTTTACGAGGACTGGCTTCCTTGGATTTCCAAACCCACTCATGACTTTTGACTTAGATCCCTGGCATCTAGGATGGTCCCAAGCAAGCATTCCGACCATGCTGGGTGTGGGGGTGTGAGGGCAGTGTTCTGGGATGTTCTGGTTGGCAGAGAGGAGGGGATGGGACAGGCAGCTTATGCAGGTAACATAAGAAAACAGCTGAGGGGGCAGATGGCTCTCTTGGAAACCCACCACCCTCAGCAAAGTTGTGACTTTGACTTGACCTAGGCTCAGAGTCACATTCAGCTTGAACTGGTGGGAAGACAAGACAAGAGGCTTTCATTTTTTACCTATTGTTATTTATACAAGAAATGGCAGCTGCCACTCTCTGTCTGTTCTGCTATTGGGAAAATCGTTAGGCCCCATTCGGGGAAACTGGTTGGTTACAGTAGATAGTGCTTATCTCTAAATCTCCCTACATATATCACATATCCATATGACTCCAGGGTTCCCAGGGAAATGATTATCATAAGGTGGAGGGGGTGGGGGAAGCTAAGAAGCATTGCATTAGAGTGAGCTCATGGAGGAGTCACAGTGACTGGATTCTGGGTTCTGAGCTCCTGGGGCCCCAGTCCTGGCTCTTCCTCCTAACTTCTGTTAGAAGTTCCAGGACAAAGAAGGGTGGCACGGGATACAGACTTGGATGCTTCCCATACCTGGCAAAGGATGGAGCTCATCTTTAAAAAATTCCCAAGTGGTGCTCAGACTGAGGCTCTGCCTTTTACCAGTTGGGTGACCTTAGGAACCAGATGTTTTTGCACTTCAATTTTCTCACCTGCTAAAGAGGGTAACAGCACCATTCTGCATGTCAGTTGTAAGGATTAAAATGGACAACTTATTTAAAGTATGTGCAAGTGTTTGGCACAAAATGCATGGTCAACAGTCGTTGGGTGCTCCATGGAGATGGGCTTTGAATACTAGGGCAAGACACACTCTTAGAAATATGGAATAGGAAGTTGAAAAAAGTTGGAGGCAAGTAGTGGCACTTGCCACCCAGTGTCATAAGCTCTTGGTTGAAAGAGACAGGAGGAATAAGTTCAAGGAATCCACTGGAAGTCATGTTGACTATAGTTAATAACAATATGTGACATGAAAATTGCTAAATGAGTAGATTTTAAGTGTTTTCGCCACACAAAAATGATACATATGTGAGGTAATACATGTATTAAATAGCTTGATTTAGTCATCCCACAATATATTCATATATCAAAACATCACATTGTACACTGTACATATATATAATTTTTACTTTTCCCCTAAAAATACATTAAAAAAGACTTTTGAGTGAGAGAAATGGAAATAGGCAAGCTAGTCCTGAAGATGGCACATTTTAAATCTCAGCCATGAAATTTAGCCATGGTTCCACTATTTAATAAAAGCCTTAGAACATCCCAAGACCTTGGGGAGTCATGCTGCATCACTAGAAGACACAGGTGTGGAAACCGATGTTCTCTCTCTTAAACCATGGTCCTGACTCTCTGGGATCACAAGATGTGCACGGGCTAGTAACTAAGGAGGGCCAGAGGAGTCCAGCCCTTCCCAGGAGGAGAATCCCTTCAAGCTGGTATCACTCAGACAGAAGCAGCCCCAGAAAGCCTGAGAGAGGGATTTCAGCTCAGGTCCCTAATAGCAGAGAAGAAAGACTATGTGGAGTTGTTATCCTGGGCTAACCATTTATTCATTAAGATGCAATTGTTCCATGTGCCAGGCACTATGTCCATGCTGGGGATGCAGGGGGAAGCAAGGATGGCCAGGCCCTTGCTGTTTCCAAGGCAACAGGACAGAGGGAAGCCTGGCTTGGCAAGTCTGTCCTTGTGAATCAGGCCTTTGTAGATGGGAAGGGGCACTAAAACTGTGTCACGTCCTCTTACCTTCTTACTTCCAACTCTTACAGATACTTTTCAATTGTTAGGTTTGTATTAACCAAAGAAATCAAACCCACATGTCACTGGAATGATGCCTACATGGCTGAAGAAAGTGTGAACATCAGCTAATTTGTGGGGCTTGGGGTGTTAAATCCTGTTAATTATTTTTTGTATGTGCCCCAACCACCTAGGACAGGTTTTTTTGTGTTTGTGTGTGAGTGTGGTGGAGTCAGCTACCTCAAGAATGTATAACACAGAACTGCTTCTGACACCAGAGGACAGAAAATGAATGGGTAATCTAGAAGCCACTAAGAAACCCAATTACTTATCCCAGGTTTTGGAATGGTATTAACCACTGACCTTCATTAGCATTGCTCTCTGTCTTTCTCTTTCTTCAATCCTGACTCACACACACACACACACACACACACACACACACACACGCACACACACACACACACACACACACACACACATGCATGCACATTTACACATAAACACAGGGGTCTTTCCTATACTCTGGCCCCAAGTATTTATGGGGGCATAAGGCCAGCATGCAGTAAAGTTGATGAGATGGAAGGTGGTATCTTCTGCCAATTTTTTTTTTTTTTGACAGAGTCTCACTCCGTTGCCCAGGCTGGAGTGCAGTGGCACGATCTCGGCTCATTGCAACCTCTGCCTCCCGGGTTCAAGCAATTCTCCTGCCTCAGCCTCCCAAGTAGCTGGGATTACAGGCATGTGCCATCATGCCTGGCACACCCGGCTAATTTTTGCATTTTCAGTAGAGATGAGGATTCGCCAAGTTGGCCAGGTTGGTCTCAAACTCCTGACCTCCAATGATATGCCTGCCTCGGCCTCACAAAGTGCTGAGATTATAGGCATAAGCCACCATGCCCGGCCTCTTCTGTCAATTCTCAAAACATGTGAACATACCACCTACCATAGGTTCCTATCTGCCGGGAAATGACTTCCCACATCTGCGTTGCTCCCATATGGCTAAGGCACAACATGGCTCTTGAGGACATCATTTTCCTCTTCAGATTTTCTTAGGAGTTCATCTCCTCCTTATTTCACTTTCATAAACATGAACTTGATGGTGAGGTGGCAGGGATGGAGGTGTATACTAGGGGCAGGGGTGGGTGGCCCTGCCCCCCAGGATGCCTCTGACTTGTGAATAGACACCCACTCGCTTGGCTTCTAGTTCTGGGCACTTGCAGAACATCCAACCTGAGAAAGACCAGGACCTATCTGGGCAGAGGGTAAGGGCAAGAGCTTAGCAGTGTTCCAGTCACTCAGCACATGTGCAGGAGGCAAACCCCACGCCAAGTCCTGTGGGGGATGGGGAGCTGTGTGACACATAGAGCCAACCCTCTCAGAGCTCATGATCTTCTTGGGGAAATAAGGCCAGACCAGCTATGACAGAGGAGCTGGTGCTGGCAGCCAGCATTGTGAGCCAGGACCTGAGGGGTGATATGGAACAAGGGTGGTGAAGGAGCTCAGAGGAGAGGTCAGCCTCTGAGATGGGCCTGATGTTGGCAGAAAGGCACTGGGGAAGACAGAAAATGACCCTTAACTGTGGGCCCTTTGTGGGAAGAAACACTGACTTCATCTTTGTATCCTAGCACCTAGCAAAACTATGGTTCAGAATTGAAGCTAAATTGTTTTCTGTGAAATTAATGAAAGAATGGTCTGAGAAACTGTTTGAGGGTAGAAAGATGCTTTGTGTGTCTGGAAAAAGAAGAAGTCAACATGAGTGTAGTGGCTGAGCAGTGGTGATGAGCACTGGGCAGTGGACATGAGACCAGACCCCAGCGAAGGCCTTGCACTCTAGACTAGCCAGGAGAGCTGAAATTGCAGGGTGGGAGGCTGGGTCCTGTTTCTAAACAGTGCAGAGGTTACCTTTAGGGTGGAATCTTCTACCAATGTTATAATGTATAGTATAATGTATAGTTTTCAAAATTCTATTGATTATAATAAGGAGGTGGACAGGCACTAGTGTATATTTAGAAGGCCTGGGTGTTCTAGCTTCTAGCTTGGCCGGTAATTGTGTGCTTTTGGATGGTTGGTTTCCACTCTCCGGGGCTCAGGTTTTCTATTCTGTAAAGAGAATCATCCCCAAGGTCTGTGCCAGGTTTGAGCACAGTATAATTTTCCCAAAGGAGGGACAAGACTGAAAGTATTCTGGGGATGGATTTGACAGTGGAACTCAGGGTGAGGTGGGGTAGGAGTGAGGATGCACGAGATGGAGGCAGGGAGACCAGTTGGGAGGGAAGAAATGATAGGGCCCTCACCTAGGATGGCAGCAATAGAAGTGGGGAGGGAAGACAGGCTTAAGAATGACTTGAAATGAGAAAACCCAGGACTGGAGGACTGAGAGGAAGGAAGGAAAGGGAAGGAGGAGGCAAGGGGACCTCATGATTCTAAGTGACAAAAATGGGGCATACAGATATTAGGCCTGAGAGGAGGGAAAAAAAAGACATTTGCTTACACACATTGTGTCTGACAGAGCAGAATACCCAGGAGAAGCAGCAGGGCAGCTGGAGAGGAGGGAGTGATGTCAGGGATGTCACCTGCTGGGCACCAGATTTGTGCCAAGCACTAGAAAATAAATGACAGAAGCATAAGCAAAGAAGCTTTAGGCCCCAGAAGGTCCAGTCCTCTGCCCTGGTAGCAGAGGCAGAGGACTGGTCTGTCGGTCAAGGACCACAGAGTGCCCTGGACTAACAGGTGCCAGAGCTGGAAGGAGCCCAGTAATCAGGAAAAAAACATTCCCAACTCTCAACCCAAGCACTGTGCCAACACCGGATGACATTCTCAACAAGCCACAGAGAAATGAGAAATGTTTCTGCCCACAGGGGTCCACAGTCTGGGGGCCTTTCCTGTCTTCCCCAGTGCCTTGCTGCCAACACCAGCCCCATCTCAGAGGCTGACTTCTCCTCTGAGCAGTTGGTATAAGGTTATTTTATAGCAGTTGGTATAAGATTAGTGGCTTTTATTTCTTTGGAAGGTCTTTTGTTTATTTTTTGATGCTATATTCTTTTCACAGTTACTAGTACTAAAATTATCTTTATTTTGTAAAGTGATGGTTGTTACAAAGGGCCTTTGCCCTTACTTGGCAAAATAAAGAGTTGTTCCTTATTGACTATTTTTTTTAAAATTTAGGTTTAGTGAAACCCAAACACCTAAGAACCACTAATGTGGTCTCTCAAGCCTAATCACTAACAAATATGGAATAGGTGAATGAAAAAAGAGAAATGACTTACTTGAGGTCACATTTTATAAGATGCCATAGAGAGGGCTTGACCGAAACCCAAAGCCAACCAACCAACCAAACAAATGAGGACTTTGGGTGATGTCAGAATCTCAGCTGGAAATTCTCCCCTCCTGGCATCCCTGTTCCTAAAAGCCAGGCCTTTGCAGAGGTGGCAGGACCAGGCTTATCATAGCAGCCACACCCCATCCCTCCCGACTCCTCCCAGACTCTCCAGGACACAGTGTGAAGCTCTGGTCCATCCCTCTCAGCCTGGGAGACATGCTGTGGCCTGCATGGTGACTTCACTGAGACAGAACCCAGTCCGGCTCATGCCTCCTCTGCCTTTGCCCAGTCTCTCAGATCCTGGAGGATTAACTCTTTCATATCACCCACTCTCTTACCGACTCCTAGGGAGCCTTTAGTCGTGGGTCAGGAGCAGTTCATCTCCATGGCCCCCACAGCCACCTGGCTTTACCATGCCCAGACCCAGTGACTTGACCATCGTGAGAGAGGAGTACCGGGGTACTTTGATGCCCCAGCAGACCAAGACATACCCTCATCCTGTATGGCCTCATGCTATGGAATGAAGTCCCTGAAGGACTGAAATTCTGCAGTTCTGCCTCCAGGAGGCTCCTGCTTTCTGTGGTGATCTCTTTCATGCCCATGGTGTGAAATGCCACCTTTCCTCGAAGGACCAGCAACTTTTTATCCCTAGATCCCCAGGCTGGGCCTCTACCTTGTCCTTCAGATCCACCATATATCCAGTTGCTGCCTCAATATCTCCGTTTAGGGCACAATGATGTTTTGATCTATGCAAACATATATTACACCCCATAAATTAATAAATATGTGTATGTAATTATTTGTCAATTTAAAAATAAATACATTTATTTTAAAAACCTTTATCTAGTGTTTCAAAGGCTCATTGATTTCAGCATGTCCAGGACTGAACTTCTCATCCCTTCCCCCTGCTCTCGCCACACCTACCATCCTCCTGGCAGCCCTGGCAGCAGCTGGGAACTACCTCTAACTACATCCACTTGCCAAGTCCCATTGACCCATCTCTAGGTCACTGCCCTAGGCTGTCCTGGCTTTACCAGCTCTTGCCTTCACTGCTGAAGAGGTCCCTTGCCCATCCCCTTGTCTACAGTCTCTCTCTCTGCAAACTCTCTTCTACATAGAAGCCAAAATGATTGTTTTAAAAGGCAAACATAAGATAATTTCTTGTTTTTAGGAAATATACACTGAAATATTTAGGGGCAAAGGGGCATCATATCTTCAGTTTACTCTCAAAATGTTCAGGAAAAGAAAAGAAAACATATACCAGTATTCAAAGGGAATGCTTCCAGTTTTCGCCCATTCACTATGATATTGGCTGTGGGTTTGTCATAGATAGCTCTTATTATTTTGAGATATGTCCCATCAATACCTAATTTATTGAGAGTTTTTAGCATGAAGCGTTGTTGAATTTTGTCAAAGGCCTTTTCTGCATCTATTGAGATAATCATGTGGTTTTTGTCTTTGATTCTGTTTATATGCTGGATTACATTTATTGATTTGCGTATATTGAAACAGCCTTGCATCCCAGGGATGAAGCCCACTTGATCATGGTGGATAAGCTTTTTGATGTGCTGCTGGATTCAGTTTGCCAGTATTTTATTGAGGATTTTTGCATCAATGTTCATCAAGGATATTGGTCTAAAATTCTCTTTTTTGGTTGTGTCTCCACCCAGCTTTGGTATCAGGATGATGCTGGCCTCATAAAATGAGTTAGGGAGGATTCTCTCTTTTTCTACTGATTGGAATAGTTTCAGAAGGAATGGTACCAGTTCCTCCTTGTACCTCTGGTAGAATTCGGCTGTGAATCCATCTGGTCCTGGACTCTTTTTGTTGGTAAGCTATTGATTATTGCCACAATTTCAGAGCCTGTTATTGGTCTATTCAGAGATTCAACTTCTTCCTGGTTTAGTCTTGGGAGGGTGTATGTGTCCAGGAATTTATCCATTTCTTCTAGATTTTCTAGTTTATTTGCGTAGAGGTGTTTGTAGTATTCTCTGATGGTAATTTGTATTTCTGTGGGATCGGTGGTGATATCCCCTTTATCATTTTTTATTGCGTCTATTTGATTCTTCTCTCTTTTCTTCTTTATTAGTCTTGCTAGCCGTCTATCAGTTTTGTTGATCCTTTCAAAAAACCAGCTCCTGGAGTCATTAATTTTTTGAAGGGTTTTTTGTGTCTCTATTTCCTTCAGTTCTGCTCTGATTTTAGTTATTTCTTGCCTTCTGCTAGCTTTTGAATGTGTTTGCTCTTGCTTTTCTAGTTCTTTTAATTGGGATGTTAGGGTTTCAATTTTAGATCTTTCCTGCTTTCTCTTGTGGGCATTTAGTGCTATAAATTTCCCTCTACACACTGTTTTGAATGTGTCCCAGAGATTCTGGTATGTTGTGTTTTTGTTCTCGTTGGTTTCAAAGAACATCTTTATTTCTGCCTTCATTTCGTTATCTACCCAGTAGTCATTCAGGAGCAGGTTGTTCAGTTTCCATGTAGTTGAGTGGTTTTGAGTGAGTTTCTTAATCCGGAGTTCTAGTTTGATTGCACTGTGGTCTGAGAGACAGTTTGTTATAATTTCTGTTCTGAAATTATAACATTTGCTGAGGAGAGCTTTACTTCCAACTATGTGGTCAATTTTGGAATAGGTGTGGTGTGGTGCTGAAAAAAATGTATATCAGGTCCGCTTGGTGCACAGCTGAGTTCAATTCCTGGGTATCCTTGTTAACTTTCTGTCTCATTGATCTTTCTAATGTCGACAGTGCGGTGTTAAAGTCTCCCATTATTATAGTGTGGGAGTCTAAGTCTCTTTGTAGGTACAAGACAGTGATGCCCTCTCTCACCACTCCTACTCAACATAGTGTTGGAAGTTCTGGCCAGGGCAATTAGGCAGGAGAAGGAAGTAAAGTGTATTCAATTAGGAAAAGAGGAAGTCAAATTGTCCCTGTTTGCAGACGACATGATTGTATATCTAGAAAACCCCATTGTCTCAGCCCAAAATTTCCTTAAGCTGATAAGCAACTTCTGCAAAGTCTCAGGATACAAAATCAATGTACAAAAATCACAAGCATTCTTATACACCAATAACAGACAAACAGAGAGCCAAATCATGAGTGAACTCCCATTCACAATTGCTTCAAAGAGAATAAAATACCTAGGAATCCAACTTACAAGGGATGTGAAGGACCTCTTCAAGGAGAACTACAAACTGCTGCTCAACGAAATAAAAGAGGATACAAACAAATGGAAGAACATTCCATGCTCATGGGTAGGAAGAATGAATATCGTGAAAATGGCCATGCTGCCCAACGTAATTTATAGATTCAATGCCATCCCCATCAAGCTACCAATGACTTTCTTCACAGAATTGGAAAAGACTACTTTAAAGTTCATATGGAACCAAAAAAGAGCCCACATTGCCAAGTCAATCCTAAGCCAAAAGAACAAAGCTGGAGACATCATGCTACCTGACTTCAAACTATACTACAAGGCTACAGTAACCAAAACAGCATGGTACTGGTACCAAAACAGAGATATAGATCAATGGAACAGAACAGAGCCCTCAGAAATAATGCCGCATATCTACAACTATCTGATCTTTGACAAACCTGACAAAAACAAGCAATGGGGAAAGGATTCCCTATTTAATAAATGGTGCTGGGAAAACTGGCTAGCCATAAGTAGAAAGCTGAAACTGGATCCCTTCCTTACACCTTATACAAAAATTAATTCAAGATGTATTAAAGACTTAAACGTTAGACCTAAAACCATAAAAACCCTAGAGGAAAACCTAGGCATTACCATTCAGGACATAGGCATGGGCAAGGACTTCATGTCTAAAACACCAAAAGCAATGGCAACAAAAGCCAAAATTGACAAATGGGATCTAATTAAACTAAAGAGCTTCTGCACAGCAAAAGAAACTACCATCAGAGTGAACAGGAAACCTACAAAATGGGAGAAAATTTTCGCAACCTACTCATCTGACAAAGGGCTAATATCCAGAATCTACAATGAACTCAAACAAATTTACAAGAAAAAACCAAACAACCCCATCAAAAAGTGGGTGAAGGACATGAACAGACACTTTTCAAAAGAAGACATTTATGCAGCCAAAAAACACATGAAAAAATGCTCACCATCACTGGCCATCAGAGAAATGCAAATCAAAACCACAATGAGATACCATCTCACACCAGTTAGAATGGCAATCATTAAAAAGTCAGGAAACAACAGGTGCTGGAGAGGATGTGGAGAAATAGGAACACTTTTACACTGTTGGAGGGACTGTAAACTAGTTCAACCATTGTGGAAGTCAGTGTGGCGATTCCTCAGGGATTTAGAACTAGAAATACCATTTGACCCAGCCATCCCATTGCTGGGTATATACCCAAAGGACTATAAATCATGCTGCTATAAAGACATATGCACACGTATGTTTATTGCAGCACTATTCACAATAGCAAAGACTTGGAACCAACCCAAATGTCCAACAATGATAGACTGGATTAAGAAAATGTGGCACATATACACCATGGAATACTATGCAGCCATAAAAAATGATGAGTTCATGTCCTTTGTAGGGACATGGATGAAGTTGGAAATCATCATTCTCTGTAAACTATTGCAAGAACAAAAAACCAAACACTGCATATTCTCACTCATAGGTGGGAATTGAACAATGAGAACACGTGGGAATTGAACAATGAGAACACATGGACACAGGAAGGGGAACATCACACTCTGGGGACTGTTGTGGGGTGGGGGGAGGGGGAAGGGATAGCATTAGGAGATATACCCAATGCTAAATGACGAGTTAATGTGTGCAGCACACCAGCATGGCACATGTATACATATGTAACTAACCTGCACATTGTGCACATGTACCCTAAAACTTAAAGTATAATAATAATAAAATAAAAAATAAAAAAAACAAAAAAGAAAAGAAAACATATATATATATATAAAATCTATATTACATGTGTTTGATATACACATGATATATACATGTATCTGTACATGTAAATTCATATACAGAGGGAGAGAGAGAGAAAGATCAACACTTAGGAGTCTGGCTGAATCTGTGTGAAAGGTGTTAAAGAATCTTTATATTAGTCTTGAAACGTTTCTCTAAGTCTGAAATGTCAAAGTAAAAATTTTCAAATGTAAATGAGACCACGTCATTCTCCAACACAGAATCTCTCAAAGGCCCCTCATTTCCTCTACCTACAGAATAAAGTCTGGATTCTGTTAGGATATGGCTTGCCTACCTCTCCTGCCTGATCTTAGCACTCCCTGGTTCAGGCTTTACGCCCCATCAATAAGGACCTGCTTGTCATTCCCAGAAGGTAGCCTGAATTCTTTGCTCACATAATCTTGCTGCTGGACATCCCTGAAAGCCCACCTGGGCCTTGCTGGCCACTGGATGAGAAGCCAGAGGATGCAAACTTAGAATGTTCGAAGGAGGTAGATGAGCTTCCAGTTTCTCCAAAACCTTTTCCTTCTAGATGGTTATTGTTGTTTCCCTTTTTGTTATGGGTGGCTCCCCTATCCCTGGAATACAGACACAAGGGTTTCTGAGGAGAAGCCTGTGATTCTAAATGGAAAAAGACAGGTGCAGAGAACATAAGGAGTGTCTTGGTGACATTAGATCTCCCAATAAGACCACTGGAGCTTTGGTTTTATCTCCCGTCACTCAAAGGACAGGATAGTCGTCATCTAATCTGGCCCTGCTCCCCTCCTGATTTCCTTAAAAGAGATAACTTAACCTCCAGTGAGTCTCCTTTGAAGAGGGAGCAATAAGCCCTTAGACTTCAGTGCATCAGGTTAGTTTAAGCTGGAGGCCAAAGGCATTTGAGCGCTTGTACTTGTGAGTGTCCAGGGTGGGGAGCAGGAGTAAGTCAGATGAGCTGCACCTGCCTTCTTCCTCTAGGACTCCACTTTTCACCCCAGCTCTGGGGTTGCCTACTAGTTACTTATCTTAAAAAGCATTTATGAGACAGCTCCTCCTCCAATCAAGATGACATTCTGCTAAGCTCCAGTGACAGAGGAGGAAGGATATTCAATGGCCTGAAAAGAGTCACAGTCATAGATAAGTCCCAAATGATAGCACATATAGATCTATAGGATGTCCTATAGATGTCCTATAGGGCATCTTCTTGTATATTCTCTGACCTGGGAGAGACCAGTTGAGCTCAGGTCTCTGTTTCCTCAGGAGCATTCGGGAGGACCACATACCTCCTGCTAGATTTAGGTCTGATGACCTAAAATGCAACCTTACAATGTTAAAATACAGTCTTGCTTCCTGGTTCCTGAGAAAATTAGGAGAAACACATGAAATAAGCAATTTGAAATATAATTCCATTTTGGGCAGTAAATAATCAGACATAAGAGCTGGGGTTTGGTCTCTCATAGGCATGAAACAAGACAATGCTACAAAGCATGGGAGAGAGGATCCCAGGTGTGGGTCCCAGGAGCCTTTGGTCCCACTACCCATGGCTCCTGGCTTCTGGCTAACTTCTCTCTGCTCTTAGCAGTGAAACTGGGGCTGAGTAGAAGGAGGCAGTGGTGGCTCCCTCCCTTTTTCCTCCTCCTTTTCCATGCACACCCTTCAGCCAGGACAATACAGGCAAGTGGGTGTGTGGAACCCAGACAAGCAGGTATCATGCTTGCTTCCAGGAAGAGAGATTAGGCTCTGTGTCTGGAATTCTGGGTCATAGCAAGGTTCTGTGAGGGTGGGTCTCTCTATAGTCAGCTACACACCTACACACACACACACACACACACACACACACACTCAGTTCGTCCCCACTACTATCTTCTATGTAGGGGGCTTTCTTCGTGCGCCGTGTCCTTTGCTAGGCACTGGGGGAATAAACAAAATGCACCTCCTGGGTATTTGTTGAGCACCTACCATGTATCTAAGCACAGAATCAGGTGCCATGCAAATGGAAGCCATGTAAAAAGATCCTGTCCTCAAGCTGCTGGAATCTAGCTGAATAAAATGAAAGCAAGCCAATGGGGGAGCTCATTTTTTATGGAAATATAGAATTCTAGGTTTCTATTGAGAATCAGGCTATAGACAGAGGAATAATACTCTCTGAGAAGAGGAAGAGACCTCAAAAATCTGCTCACAAAAGAATGGAATTCTGGAAAGTTGGAGTGAATGAACTGGGGATAGCCAGGGGTGCACTCACAAATTGTTCTGTTTTCTTCCATCATCACGGTAGGTCCAGGAAGAAGAGAGTAGAGCTGACCTCTGGCTGAGGACCTCAGGCTGAGGACCTTAAGGAGGTCGATAAGAAAGCCCTACTAGCGATGGGAGCAGCTGGGGAGGTCATTTGGATATGGTCTAGGGTGGGAAGGATGTGAGTGGAGGAAACCTCACAGGCTGGAACAGGGCTGTGGTTGGAGTTTCCCAGAGGCAGCAGAGCCTAGAGCGATAGACAAAGAGCAAACAGGAGTACTGTCTGGCCAGGAGGTCAAAGATAAGTTAAGAAACATGTTAGTGCTCTTGGAAATGAAGCGTGGATGCCAGAAGAAGGGCTGGGAACATAATGAGATGTCAGCTACCTCCATTTTAAATGAACAGCGTCTGATATTCTGAGTTTCTCACAGATCCAAAAAGAAAAAAAAATGATATTGAAACACAAAATCAGACAGCATCTTCTCCATGAAGCTTTTCTCATCTGCAAGGAATGTATCTGCCTAAATAGAGACTCTCTCACTTCCATAGCCTTTCCCAGATCTACTAGGATATGTAGAATATTCTTGGTTCTTGAGACATTTGGGTATATGATTTGTTAACCCCAATAGTGTTAAACCCTTGAGGACAGACCACAAATGTCCTCCCCAAGACTAACACAGAGCCAGGCCCAAATAAGGTCCCAGAAATGTTCCAGAAGTCAAGTCATGCTGATCTCAATGAATGAGACCAGCAGCTGAGGGGAATTTTGTTTTGGGGAAGGTGAAACAGTAGTTTCAATAGTAGCAAGCTCAAACTAATATGGGGCTAAACATGATCAATATTTGTTGAATGAATGGTCCATATAGAAGGTTATGGGAGGCTGGGGTGAAGGAGATAGTCATATAGGCAACAGCTTCTTTACTCTCTATCCCAGAAGAGGTGCACCTATGCACACACACACACACCCCTACCTCATACTATGCACACATACATCACACACACATGTGACAAACACATATGCAAAACACACACACACACACACATGCACACACACACACACACCAGCCCCCTCACATGCATACTTACAGGCTTGGGTGTGTGAAGACTTTTCTGTGTTTACAGCTAAGTCTGTTTCTCTTCAAGGAAGGCTATAAAAAGAATGCCACCTTCATGACTCAAGTCCCGGATTTGCCTCTCTGGGCTCCTCCTTTTGTTGTGTGGCTACTCAAGAACTTGTTCTCACAGCTGGCCCATGGGTCTATGCAGGGGTGTGGTCTTGAATGCCAACAACATAGAATGGCTATTTGCATGGTAAGTCCACTTCAGGACTGTGGGAAAAGAGTGATATGGAAACAGAGGGCTCAGCTAGATGTACTTCAAAAAATCGATTCACTCAATGAGTAGTGAGACCTGCTATGTTTCAGGCACTGAACTATGCACTGAAAATTCAGAGATACATAAGACTTAAGTTTTTGCTCTATAAGTCAGAATCTAAAGTAGATAACAGACTAAGCAAATGATTTCAATCATATATAGTAAATGCTATGATAGAGTAATTTAGAGGTTGTTATAGCAGGTAAGGGATATAAACCAGCTAGGTGACATTGCCAAAGGCTTCCTGGAGGGGGTAACTCCTGCTAAGTCTTGTCTCCTCAATGGTGACATGGTGAGTTGAAGTCAAGGACACCCTCCCTTTTTCCCTAAGTGTTCCTTGATTTGGGGGATGACTTTACCCATCCCTCTGCCTCAGGAAAGTCTTTTCTTTCCACATGTTCCTCTCCACCCATACCTAATGCTCTAGCAAACCATTCTATTATTTCATCATCATCCAAAAGAGGCTGAGAATTTGGCATCTGTGGGGAGTGCCCAGAAATTGGCCTAAGGCACTGACTGATTTCTAGGCTCATAAACTGCAGGATGGGGCCTGGTCCTCTTGCTACATCTCAAAGGTCTTTGTGAGGCCAGTCAGGTGGGGAGAAGTGAGAGCTACAAGCACACACGACATGTGGAAAACTCAGTTCACAGAGAGTTGGGTATTAGTCAGAAACAAATACTGACTGAGTGCCTACCATGCACTGGCCACCTTCTTTTTTCTTTCATTGAGGTAAGATTACTTAACACGAGATCTACCCTTTTAACAATTTTTCAAGTACCCAATGTACTATTGTTAACCACAGACATTATGCTGTACAGTAGATTTCTAGCACTTGTTCATCTTGCATAATCGAAACTTTATACCTGTTAAGCAGCGACTCCTTATTTCCCCCACCCCAGCTCCTAGCAACCACCATTCTGCTGTTTGTTTCTATTGCTTCTATGAGCTTGACTATTTTAGATACTTTATATAAGTGGAGTCATGCAGTATTTGCCCTTCTGTGATTGGCTTATTTCACTTATAATGTCTTCAAGTTTCCTCTATGTTATAACATATTACAGGATTTCCTTCTTTTTTAGAGAGTAAATAATATTCTATTGTATGTTTATGCCACATTTTCTTTATCCATTCATCTATTGATGGAGATTTTAGGTTGTTCCCACATTTGGCTATTGTGAGTAATGCCACAATGAACATGGGAGTGCAGACATCTCTTTGAGATCTTGGCTTAAATTCTTGCTATAAGCCCAGAAGGGGGATTGCTAGATCATATGGTGGTTCTATGTTTAATTTTTTGAGGAATCTTCATATTGTTTTATACAGTGGCTGCACCGTTTTACATTTTTACCAATGGTGTACAAGGGTTTCAATTTTTCTGCATTCTTGTCAACGCTTATCTTTTTTTTTTTTTTAGAAAATAATTGATTAGAAAGAGAAAGAGACTGAAAATGTCATAAATGAGGAGATAATTGGAGAAAATCATTGTGAAGAGGTATGAATGGATGGCAACACAAATGGAGTAAGACTTAAAGAGATATAAGCCTACCAAATGCTGACATGATTTTTGTGAGTTGTGAAGATTTAAAGAAATCTGTTTGAATAACAATTTTTGAGGCTACCTATAAATTTGTGTTCATTACTTCCACTAAGCAAGGTTCTTTTGATTATTCTTTGATCATTGAAATGTTTTATATTTTATTTAATTTACAGCAACAAAAATAACTCTTGAGAAGAAATAAATGTGAACCTATGGAGATAATTATTTAGTAATGTTTGAAATATATGATTTAGAACATTTCATTGCACTTATTAATGAGTATAAGAATATTATGAAAACAGAAAAATAATGAGCCTTGTAAGAGTTCACACAATTATTTTATGTAATTGGTATTCTATATTCAAGGAGAGCTTGAATGCAGAAATTAAAGAAGCATATGCTCATTTGAAAAGAGACAAATCTAGTAGTGTAATTAAAGCTTGTGCCTTATAACACAATAAAAATATTCAGAAGGATTTTATCCTTAATTGTGACATAAAATGATTTCTAACCTTTATTTTTTGAGTCAGAAAAAACGGAGGAAGCATGGGTTCTTCTTTGCTATATGAAATCAAAGTAACTTTACAAATTTGAAGTGCTTAGTTATCTAAAATCATATCATGGAAAGATATATATTTATATTTTGATTGTTTTATGTATGTAACTTTTTAAAGATCAGAGTGATCTGGGCAAGAAACCAGTGCTATCAGCCAGTATTGCATTTTGTTTACATGTAATAGAAATCCAACTAAACAAGGATTTTATTTTCATCATGTTACAGAAAGTTAGGATATAGGAAGTCCTTCCTTGTAGTTGCTCAAGGAAATCATGAAGGACCAAGTTTATTCTAGCTTCCTGCTCTGCCACCTTTAGCAAGTGGACAGTCCCCCTACCTCTCATAGGCAATGAACTTCTTCATATCCAAGCATGTGCTTAGGGCAGAAGAAAGGGATTGGTGAGAACAAAAATCACATGCCAGTGAAGTCTGTTCATCTTATATTAGGAAATAATAGCTCCTGCAAATGTCTTACTTGATAGGCTTCTACCACTGGAACTGCCTCACATGACTACCACTAGATAGAATGGAATCTGGCTTGATGAGTATTTTTAAGTGGATACATTTACTTCCTAAACAAAACCAATATTCTATTAATAAAAGAGAAAGGAAGAAAGATTCTTGTAAGGCAGCTAATATTTCTGTCACACAGAGAAAAACAAATTGATAATGCAGTACAAGGTTGATATTTTAAGGTAGAGATTTTTAGCTTGAGCATTTAGCATCCATTTGTTCTTTTAATGTAAATGTCAAACAAAATACAAAAATCGTATGTATAATTACCAAAAACTATTTAAAAGTAAATTTATAATTCACTCAATAGAGTAATATAGATTAAATAATTTTTGTAAAATTTAACGTGTTTTTGCTTTCAAAAAATACAAAAGATAAAAAAAGAATATACAGCTAAACAGTCTATATGGAAAAAACCATAAAAGTGTCAAAAGTAAGATGATGGCTTATGAAAATTACATTTTTACATTTATGGATGTGACCTGAATGTAAATGTAAGTAAATTGTAAATGTATTATAAATGAATGTAAAAACCAAAATAAAGTTGTTTATTGGCAAGATTGATTTAAAAAAAAGAAAATAACGGGTGCTAGGTGATATTTTGTTGTGGTTTTGATTTGCATTTTTCTGATGATTATTAATGTTGAGCATCTTTTTGTATACCTATTGGCCATTTGCATGTCTACTCAGGTTCTTTACCAATTTTTAAATAAAGTTATTATTATTTTTGCTATTGAGTTGTAAGAGTTCCTGATATATTTTTGATATTAACCCCTTATCAGATATATTGTTTGCAAATTTTTTTTCTCATTCTGTAAGTTGCCTTTTCTCTGTTGATTGTTTCCTTTGCTGTGCGTAAGCTTTTTAATTTGATGAAATAATAAAGCACACAAAAAATAAATGGAAAGACATCTGTGTTCACGGATTGTAAGACAATATTGTTAAAATGTTCATACTGCACAAAGCAATCTACAGATTCATTGCAATACCTATCAAGATCCCAATGGCATTTTTTACAGATATAGGAAAAATAGTCCTAAAATTTATATGGAATCACAAAACACCCCAACTAGCCAACACATTCCTTGGAAAAAAGAACAAAGCTGGAGGCATCACACTTCCTGGCTTCAAAATACATGACAAAGCTATTGTAATTAAAAGTGTGTTACTGGCATAAAAACAGACATATATATCAATGAAACAGAATGGAGGGTCGAGAAATAAACCCACACATCTATGGTCAACCAATCTTCAACAAGGTTGTCAAGAATATATGATGGGGAAAGAATAGTCTCTTCAATAAATGTTATTGGGAGAGTTGGATATCCACATGGAGAAGAATGAAACTGGGCCCTTATCTTATACCATACACAAATATAAACTCAAAATAGATTAAGGATTTATATGTAAGATCTGAAAGAGTAAAACTCCTGAAAGAAAACAAAGGGGAAAGCTTCATGACATTGGTCTTTGAAATTATTTTTTGGATATGACACCAAAAACACAAGCAACAAAAGTGAAAATAGACAAATGGAACTACGTCATATTGAGCACTTTCTAGGCACAGAGAACACAAGGTACATGTTATAAAACCCACATGGTCTTTTTTCTCCCAGAGCTTACATCCTGGTGGGGGAAAAACAGATGATAAGCACATACACGATCAAGTAACAAAAAACTAAATAACGTAATTTCAGATGAGTAATGAGGGCTATGAAGAAACTACGATGTGGTAATGTTTAACTAGGATGGTCAACAAGGACTCTGTGAAACAAAGACACAGAAGCAGGGCCTGAATGATGGGATATGGTCACACAAAGGTCTGAGGACAAAGGCAGAGGAAGAGCAAGTGCAAAGGCCCTAAGACAGGCAGGTCTTGGTGTGTTCAGCAAGGACTGTATGACTACAGCAGGGTGGATGAAGAGCAGGGACTTCCCAAAGCCAAGCAGGGACCACTCCCCCAGGGTATGGGGGCTGTGGAGAGATCTGAGCTTGTAGTGACTTGATCTGAGTTTTGTTTGAGAAATGTTGCTCTGATTGCTCCTGGAAGTTAGGCTGAACCAAGGCAATTTTTTTTTCCTTTTTTTCTTTTATTATTATACTTTAAGTTTTAGGGTACATGTGCACATTGTGCAGGTTAGTTACATATGTATACACGTGCCACGCTGGTGCGCTGCACCCACTAACTCGTCATCTTGCATTAGGTATATTTCCCAATGCTATCCCTCCCCCCTCCCCCAACCCCACAACAGTCCCCAGAGTGTGATGTTCCCCTTCCTGTGTCCATGTGATCTCATTGTTCAATTCCCACATATGAGTGAGAATATGTGGTGTTTGGTTTTTTGTTCTTGCGATAGTTTACTGAGAATGATGATTTCCAATTTCATCCATGTCCCTACAAAGGACATGAACTCATCATTTTTTATGGCTGCATAGTATTCCATGGTGTATATGTGCCACATTTTCTTAATCCAGTTTATCATTGTTGGACATTTGTCTTGGTTCCAAGTCTTTGCTATTGTGAATAGTGCCGCAATAAACATACGTGTGCATGTGTCTTTATAGCAGCATGATTTATAGTCCTTTGGGTATATACCCAGTAACGGGACGTCTGGGTCAAATGGTATTTCTAGTTCTAGATCCCTGAGGAATCGCCATACTGACTTCCACAATGGTTGAACTAGTTTACAGTCCCACCAACAGTGTAAAAGTGTTCCTATTTCTCCACATCCTCTCCAGCATCTGTTGTTTCCTGACTTTTTAATGATTGCCATTCTAACTGGTGTGAGATGGTATCTCATTGTGGTTTTGATTTGCATTTCTCTGATGGCCAGTGATGATGAGCATTTTTTCATGTGTTTTTTGGCTGCATAAATGTCTTCTTTTGAGAAGTGTCTGTTCATGTCCTTTGCCCACTTTTTGATGGGGTTGTTTGTTTTTTTCTTGTAAATTTGTTTGAGTTCATTGTAGATTCTGGATATTAGCCCTTTTTCAGATGAGTAGGTTGCAAAAATTTTCTCCCATTTTGTAGAACCAAGGCAATTTTTGAGGCTCCTGTCTTCTCCCTTACCTGGGATCCTTATCAGAACCCAGCGAGGGGAGCAGGATACACATGTATATTATAAATGTATATTCTAAACTTAGTCAAGAAGAAACTAGTGTTTAGTAAGGTAGCTATGATCTACTTACTCATGACAAATGCAGATCTCTTTGCCATGTATTGTACATCATGGTTTTTCTGGAAAAGTGCATCAATTTAAAAAGTATGTTTTTGTCCATCTAAGCACATTCAACTCTGTTAGACCATAGATGCCCATGTGAGATCCAGAGGAGAGGGTCACTGTAGCCACATGGCCTCTTGCCAGAGGACTTTCTCCTGATGCCTGTCTCCCTAGCAGTGCTTCTGCCTCAGACCAGTCCTACTGCATTTTAACATGAACTTCATCCTGTTATCCCACTGCTGCCCCTCAGAGTTCTTGAACAATCTGGTGCTGCCCTGCTGTCCAGTAAGAGTAAGCATGAGGCTGGCAGGATCTGTCTTTCCACATGGGCTGGAAATCATCCACTTACTTGATTTTCAGCTCCCTTATGCCTATTGCAAAAGAATTATGGAAGGACGTAGTGGATACAAAATATTATCAAGGTCAGCCTGCATCTCTATTTTATCTCCCTTGGCTTCCTGAGCTCCAACAAACTAAACCATTAATTCCAGTCACACCCACAGTGTCCCTCCAACCCCATCTAGGCCTAACTCAGTTCCCTCTGGGGCTCTGCTCCATCTTCTTTTGGTATTCATCCCCCAGTACCTATTCTTCAAAGCCCAGTTCATATACCATCTCCTTCAGAAAGGTGCATGAGCGTACCCTAAGCCTCTGTGGGATTTCCCACCTCAGTGCCCAAAGCATTGTATAGGCATGAGCTCTGGATTTGGACAACTGGGTTTGAATTTCAGTGGCTAGCTGGGTGACCTTGACCAAGCAACTTGTCCTTCTGAACCTCAGTGTCCTTGTCTCTCAGATGAGGAGGATAATCATACCAAATCATGGCATTGTTGCACCAGAAAGTTGAGATCATGCATGTAAAGCCTTTGACACTGACTGACGTGTGGCAACACTCAATAAATGGGGCACAGTTATTGTTAGTAAAAGTACTTTATGCATTTGTTTCATATCCTTGCTCTGTCTGAATCCTTCAGGGCACAAATTTCCTTATTCATCACCGTTTTCTTGGAGGTGTCTCACGCAGACCCTGGATGCCCAAGCTTTGCATTTAGGAGCCTCCCTCAGGTGAAGCCCTTTTCTCTCGGTCCTGCAATTCTACATCACAGCCCTAGAGGGTAGCAAGAGATCACAGATACTTTGGAAGGCTAGCAGGCATCCTGAGTGCTCTTCCTCTTGGCTAGCTTTTACCAGTGGTGAGCCACCCATTATAGCTTCTTGCTCAAACTGTATTTTTATTCCTTTGTGCTAGGAACATCCCAAAAGCAACAAGCCAAAGCCTATCATTGTAGTCCTTTGGGGCAACCTCCTCATTTCCCCACAGACACAGTTTGCTTTAGCTGGTAAGTTAATCAAAATCAGTTAGGATTTCCTAGTACAGAATATGTGCCCTTTACTGGGTTTCATTTTAAGGGATTAAATGGGTTCAAGAATGCAAAATGCTTTGAAAAATTCCTAACACATAAGAAAGAAGCAAAGTCTGTTTTCATGGTCTAATTAGACATGAGTAAAAGGCACAGAGGAAAACAAAAGGAACTTCTGAAATCCCAAATATGCTGTGTGAACCACTGCTTTCATTTGCTGAGCCCCTTTCGTGTGCTAGACACTAACCTAAGTACTTTGCAAGTGTTATTTAATAACGAAACCAATGCTGAAAGGTCAATATTTTTGTCTGCATTTTAATAATGAAGAAACAGATCAGAGATATGATGTAGCCTGCCCAGGATCACATAGAATGTAAGCAGAAGAGCTGGGTTCAATCTCAAGTGTGTGACTCCAGCAGACATCCTTTTAACCTCCACAGCAGTGCCTCACCTGGTCAGCTTGTTTTGTTTGCTTATAAATTATTTATTATTTTTATTATTTCCGTTACCTAGCAGAATGGTCCAAATGTTGATTTCTGAGGCATAAGAGCCAATGTTGTCCTTCCTATGTGTGATATTGTGGCATTACCGTAACTTTTACTCCTGGACAGGACAGTCTGGAGGAGATTTTTAAATGCTTGGAACTAAACAGTAGCATAAATATTGCATATCAGAACTCACTAGATATACAGAAAAAGCAATAAAAGTAAGGAGAATTAAGACTTTAAAAGTTTATATAAAATATGAAAGGCTGAAAATTAATGATCTAATACAGGAAAGTGGAATTAAAAAATAAATGCTAAAGAAAGTATATGTAGGCCGGGCGCGGTGGCTCACGCCTGTAATCCCAGCACTTTGGGAGGCAGA
Organism: Homo sapiens; assembly: GCF_000001405.40. Classification (NCBI taxonomy): domain Eukaryota; kingdom Metazoa; phylum Chordata; class Mammalia; order Primates; family Hominidae; genus Homo; species Homo sapiens. The sequence continues at coordinate 152,925,170 of NC_000001.11, read as the reverse complement.
GGCGGGCGGATCACGAGGTCAGGAGATCGAGACCATCCCGGCTAAAACGGTGAAACCCCGTCTCTACTAAAAATACAAAAAATTAGCCGGGCGTAGTGGCGGGCGCCTGTAGTCCCAGCTACTTGGGAGGCTGAGGCAGGAGAATGGCGTGAACCCGGGAGGTGGAGCTTGCAGTGAGCCGAGATCCCGCCACTGCACTCCAGCCTGGGCGACAGAGCGAGACTCCGTCTCAAAAAAAAAAAAAAAAAAAAAAGAAAGTATATGTAAGAAAATACTAAATATAAAATGAAAAATTAATAAAATAAAAGACAAAGATATATTATATGAATCGACTAAGCCAAACCGATTCTTTGAAAAGGTGAAAAAAATAGTCAAAATTAAAAATGTTGACCAAGATAAAAAAGAGAAAAAAGTTAATATGGAAAGTTAAAAAAGGGTTGTAACTATAATTAAAACAGAAATTACAAAAAGAACCGAATTTGTAATAAATCTCAGACTTAAATGAGAAAGAGAAAACATTAGGAAGATTAATCAGTTGCTGTTGAACTTTCTTACTGTAGAGAGACTTTATTCAAAAGGATTATTGCAAGGAGGGAAATGGACCATTGCAATAGGAAGACACTCTGATTATAAGGTCCATAAATATCTCCTGTCAAACTTTCTAGATGTCTACAGTCTAACATTTTTTATGCCCTTCCTCCTGTTTTCTCAGCTCACCATTTTACCCAGGCTGTAGCTATGGCAACCACCTATGCTGAGGAGTATCCCACAGCACCTCACTTCAGCTGCACTAGGTGTCTCTCACATCTGCCCCAGGGCTCTTGACAGCCAGGCTGTGGAACACTCACAGCCGACTACTCAGTCATGCTGGTGGAAGCACAGGGTGGAAACGTGAGGAGGTTAACATCCTCCAGACAACCACTGGTTACTAGACATAGGAGTACACAGAGAGCAAGCATTCTTTTCAGTATCTCCAGCAAACAGTTCTAATATATGTTCTAGATGGCCCTTGGAAACTTCAGGGTGCGGTTTAGCCTGTTATCCACAGGAATACACAGCTCAACAGCACACCATTGGACTGACTTTCTCTCTCTATTGTTTTATTCTTCCTAGTGGCCCTGACTTCTGCTATTTGGGGTCACATCTCAAAATAAACTACTTGTACCTATTCACTTGTCGCAGACTGTGCTTCTTCAGGGAACCAACCTAAGACAGCTCTCTGAAATGTTTTAAAAGTTCTGCACTGCTCGTTACACTTTTAAGTTGAAGTCTTAATTTTTTTTTAATTATATGTGTAGTTACAAAGGATGCAGTTTTTATACTGTATATGTTAGTTCACTTCAATAAAATTATTATATTATTTTAAAGACATTTTAATGGTAATTTAAAACATATAAATGAACAGAATAGTAGAATAAATCACGTGTACATCAACTAGGTTTAATAACTTTCAAATTATGGACAACGTTGTTCATTTTATCTCTCTTACCACTTGCCTCCTACAGTGTTACTTTTAGCAAATCACAGACTCATGTCATTTCATCTCTTTATATCTATAAATACTTTTTTCAGTAGTTATGTTAAATATTATCACACCTTGAAAATACTAGCTAACATCTTTATACTAGGAAATATCCACTCAGTGTTCACATTTCCAATTATGCTACAAATCATTAATTTACTAATGACTTATTTGAAATGACATCAAAATAATGTAGATACATTTTTATTAATTAATACATCTATATATCTCTTAAGTTTATTTTGATCTAAAGGTTCCCAGTTTATTTCTTTTGTCCCTTTGCAATTTTTTATTAAAGAAACCATACTATTTGTCATATGGAGTTTTTCAGTCTGGATTTTGCTGACTTCATTCTCATGGTGTTGTTCAACACCACTTAGGTTTGGGTATCCTTTTGCTTTCATTTGTTTCTATCTGATGCTTCTTCAGATGAATGTGTTTGGCAACTGAATTTGCTATGTCCTCACATGCACAAAGCCTGAAGTACCAGATATTTTATGTCTCCCTGGAGTGGCCCTTAGCCAATGACTTACAGGTACGAGAGTATCACAGCCTAGCTTTCTTGTCTCATATCAATACAGCTTTTCTTTTACATTCCAGAGTTTTCTTGCAGAATCAGGATGAAGCTACCTGCACACATGTTTGCCCAAAATGACAATCTGGTTTCCTCTCCTTCTCTGTCCTGCTACTCCTATGCCCTAACTAGTTTCTCCTGGAAGTACTGCTTTAATAAGTTATACTGCAAATAAATCCTCATCTCAGGATGTGCTTCCAGGGAACCCAAACAATGACAGTTGGTAGCTGCAGTTCTAGGAAGATTCTAGTTGTGGGATTCTGGAGTTGGCTCCCCACAGAAGAGAACAAGAACCCCTTTGCTGGTGGTAAGTGAAACAGCGATAGCCCTTGGCATGTTGTAGTGTTGTAATTATGATCTCCTGTGGTGATTTAGGGCAAGATGCAGCAAAAGGCAGTGCACTGACTTGATAAATAACTTTGACGTTTGAGAGATATGGAAGAAATGGACAAAGGGCTTGGCTAATGTTTCTGGATGCTCTTGATGTTTTAAAGAGAAAAAGAGGACAAACTCAAGTCGTTCATTTACTATCTTAAGACGTGATATGAAAGTCAGAAGGGCTCCATAGCAGTGTTTAAAGAGAACTTCACCTCCTGCAGAGGGAAGATGGTGTTAAACACCAGGCACAGGAACTAACACTAAGCTTTATAGGAAGCTGACTTTACAGCATCCTTATGCCAAAGGCATAGGGTCCTGATAAGGAAGGAATGGGACCTCAAGACTTGGGATGGGAATATATTCATGGATGTGCTTGATATACCTGATTTTTCTCAGCCTATAGAAGTGGTCCTTCTTGGATAGAAGATATCAATCCCTACATCCCATTGGCTGAACTGAAACAGGTGCCTTGTAAGACAATACTTATCTAACTCAAGATCTGGCCCCACCTCCTTTCTTGGGTATTGGTTCAAGTCTTAGCAGAGCCAATTGGGTTAGTACTTGTCCTGCTAAGGGAGAGAATTATTCACTGAAGGATCTGCAGGGCCTGGATAATATGGACCAGCACAGGTTGGGATTCCCTAGGAGAGGATCTTGAGTGTGTTAAATCATATGATGTGGAGTATGAGAATGATTAGGGGAATAATTCCTGATATGGGGGCAATACATATGACTCAGTTTCCTAAATAAAGTCTTTATATGCTTCCAGGATGCCTTTTGGAACTCAGAAAAACTTATGGCCCATATTAAATGAGACGGAGATTCCAGAACCATCTTGGCAGAATATTGAGATAAAGATAAAAAGGTTGAGAGGCAGGTGTGTAAGAACAGATCTATTACATAATCCTGAAACTCAGAAACTGTGTATGTTTTTCAAGAGGTCGCAGAAGACACTTATTTCATTAAAGTTACAAGAAATGTGCTGGTGATTGGGTGGGCCGTACTATCATTATTGAGAGGCCCAATTGTGGCTGTCCTTTATTGCCTTGGTCTGAGGTAGGAAATGCTGATTGAACTAGATTCCATAGTGTCAATGAGAATGAAAGGACAATAAGGGAATAACAGAGGGTAGATTGTGTTAGTTAACCATCAGAGGCAAAGTAGATGTGACTACCATCATGGCCAACAAAATTGGAATGTCAGAATAATCACTAAGATGTCCTGACCCACAGGGGTCTAGAGCAATGGATAGTAGAATATGGTCTTATTAGGGACAAAATAGGTGGGAAGTCATTAGGGACATTACACACATGTGCCACATACAGATGCTCCTCAATTTATGATGGGGTCATGTTCCCAATAAACCCATTGTAAGTTGAAAATATCACAACTTGAAAATGCATTGAATCTATCTAACCCACAAAACATTATAACTTAGTCTAGCCACCCTTAAATGTGCTCAGAACACTCACATCAGCTTACAGTTGGGCAAAATCATCTAACGCAAGCCTATTTTATAATAAAGTGTTAAATATCTCATGTAATTAATTGAATGCTATGCTTAAACTGAAAAAAATGGTTAGATGAATACTTGAAGCACTTGTATGGTTTTTTACCAAATGCATATTGCTTTCATACCATCAGAAAATCATTGTAAGCTGAACCATCCAAAGTTGAGGACCATCTGTATGTGTGTGTGTATCCCTATGTGGCTGATGTCAGCTGCCTCAAAAATCAGTCACAATTTCTTACCCAATATCTAGTCCTGAGCCAGTTCTCAGATCCAGAACCCATTGTTTGAAAGAGATTCAAGTCCTATTGAGAAAGGACTGTACAACACCACATTAAGTGTATACAGTAGTGATTCAAACTTTTATTTCCTTAGCAACTGTACTTTGGAGAAAGGGAAGTACCCAGGTTCTTTGAGGGCTGTTGGATATATAATTTGAACTGACACTAACATCAGGGGACTCCAGGGATTACCTTGACCTCCCCATTAGAATAAGAGTGTATTGGGGTTAGTGATAAAGAGTTCTGACCAAGGTAGTCCTTTTCACTATGGGTTTAAGAAGTCAAAGGTCAGGTGGCTCACGCTTGTAATCCCAGCACTTCGGGAGGTCGAGGCGGGTGGATCATGAGGTCAGGAGATGGAGACCATCCTGGCTAACACGGTGAAACCCCACCTCTACTAAAAATACAAAAAATTAGCCAGGCGTGGTGGCGGGTGCCTGTAATCCTAGCTACTCGGGAGGCTGAGGCAGGAGAATGGCGTGAACCTGGGAGGCAAAGCTTGCAGTGAGCCAAGATCGCACCACTGCACTCTAGCCTGGGCAACAGAGTGAGACTCCATCTCAAAAAAAAAATAAAATAAAAAAGTCAATGGCCACATCCAGTGGCCATTTTCCCAGTTTCTGGGTACATACTTGTAGGACAAACATATTTAGTGCCTGGAAGTTTTCTCATACTTGTTCCTTGATCCACGGAGTAAGAGCTATCATACTAGAAAGATCAAATTGAAACCCTTAAAACTGCACCCCCTTCCCAAATAGCCAAGATAGTAAATAGAAAACAATATATCATGGGCAGAATGGCAGAGATCAGTGCCACTCTTTTAGTAGTCCCCATTATACATTCCTATTTAATTGACCGCTACAGCTCTTGAAAAAAAAAAAAGCCAGGGATCTTGGTGAATTATTGTAATGGCTAATTTTGTGTGTCAACTTAGAGCATGATCATGGCTAAGATTAATATTTTCTTTTCTCCTCTGACACTGTATTTTCAAACAGACTGTCTTTGAGCTTACTGATTCTTTCCTCTGCTTGATCCATTCCGCTGTTGAGAGCTTCTAACAAAATTTTCAGTTCAGCAAATGTATTTCTCTGTTCCAAGCGTTCTGTTTAATTTTTTTAAAAATTATTTCAATCTTTTTGTTAAATTTCTTTGATAAATTTCCAAATTGTTTTTCTGTGTTATACTGGAGATCACTGAGTTTCCATAAAACTGTTATTTTGAATTTTTGGTCAGAGAGTTCACATACTGCCATCTTACTAGGGTCAGTCACTGGTTTCTTGCTTTATCCTCTTGGGAAGGCCATGGTTCCTTGTTTGCTAATGTTTCTTCTGAATTTATGTGTATGTCTTTGAATTGAAAGATTAGTTATTTATTCCAATTTTCTCTGTCCAGCTTGCCTTGGTTTTTATTGGATATGTTTGCTTAGAGATTCTTTGTAATTTACCTGTTGATTTTTTTCCTTTTTTCCCCCTGCTATGTTGCTGCCTCCTTTTTGGTACTAGATGGTACTTAATCCCAGGTTTGCCTCAGCTCTAGTCAAGGATCAGAGCACTACTTATCTTAAATGGAGGAGGTCCTCAAAGGAATGTCCCAGCAGTGTGGAAAGGCTGGCTAAGGATTGTTCCCAGGGGGCCTGTGGAATGTACCACTCACAGTGTGATGCTGCTGGACAGCCATCTGATTTGGCATCTCCTTTGGAAGAGTTACAGTGCAGAATTTCCAGGACTGGGGATGGTAGTCTCACCCTCCCTCACCCCTTTGTTTCTGGTTGTCCTCAGGGATATGCCTCCCTTCAGGCATTTATGATATTTCCCATGGGTTGAGACAGGGACAGGCCTCCTGCCAGAGAACCCGAGATTGTGGGGAAGCTGATTGTCCACCTTGATCTCACTTTTTCCGTTGTAAAAACCATGAGTTGGGGGAAAAATTTTTACACTTGGTACCAGGAAAACTAAGCATGGGGGAAGCAGGGGGCATCATGAATATAGAAGTCCAATTCTCTTAACATCTGCTCAGAGATTTTTTACTTCTCTTTTGCCACAGCAACTGTTGCATTCTCCTATTTGAGTTCTGGGATATTGCTGGTGATAATCTCTGTGCTGTTTATCTTTGTCTCTCCTTTCTCCCTCCTCCCTCCTCCTCCTCCTCCCTCCTCCTCCCTCCTCCTCCTCCTTCTTCTTCTTCTTCTTCTTCTTCTTGCTTTTTCTTCTTTTGACAGAGTCTCACTGTATTGCCCAGGCTGGAGTGTAGTGGCACAATCTCAGCTCACTGTAACCTCCATCTCCTGGGTTCAAGCTATTCTCCTGCCTCAGCCGCCACACCCAGCTAATTTTTGTACTTTTAGTAGAGACAAGGTTTCACCATGTTGGCCAGGCTGGTCTTTAACTCTTCACCTCAGGTGATCTGCCCTCTGTGGCCTCCCGAAGTGCTGGAATTACAGGCATGAGCCACCATGCCTGACTTCATTCTTCCTTCCTTCCTTCCTTCCTCCTTCCCTCCCTCCCTCCCTTCTACCCTCCCTCTCTCTCTCTCTTTCTTTTCTTTCTTTCTTTCTTTCTTTCTTTCTTTCTTTCTTTCTTTCTTTCTTTCTTTCTTTCTTTCTTTCTCTTTCTTTCTTTCTTTCTCTCTCTCTTTCTTTTCTTTTTTCTCTCTCTTCTTTCTTTCTTTTTTCCTTTTTAGTATTTTTGTAGAGAGTGAAGCCAGCTTTCTTCTATGCCATCAGTTTGGCGAGATTAATATGTAAATAAATGAACTATAAGTAAGCAGATTGCCCTCCATAATATGTATGGGCCTCATTCAGTGAGCTGAAGGCACGAATACAATGAAAAGGCCAGCCTCTCCGAGCAAAAGGAAATTCTCCAGCAGATTGCCTTGGAACTTCATTTGCACCATCAGTTCTCCTGGGTCTCCACCTACTGGCTTTCAGAATGTAACTGCAACATTGGCTCTCCTGGGTCTTGAGCCTACCAGCCCACATCACAGATTTAGACTTGCCAACCTCCATAATTGCATGAGTGTGAGCCAATTCCTTATAATAAATATATTTATATATGTATGCATACATATATATATATCTAGTTGTGTGTGTATAATATGTATATATACATATACTTACAAACATACATACATACACACATACCCATACACACAATGTATTGGTTCTGTTTCTCTGGAGAATGCTGACTAACACAATAATGGTAGACTTCCACAAACTTAACCAAGTGGTAGACTCAATTGCAACTCCTTTATAATATATAAAATTTTTAATAGAACAGATCAATATAACTTCTAGTGTGTAATATGCAGCTATATCTCTGATGAGTGTAGTCTGTTCAACACCTAGGAGTCAGGAGAATAAGAAGTGGTATATTCACCTAGGATGGGGAGCAATACACATTTATGATCTTGCCTTAGAACTGTATTAACTCTCTTGCTCTCGACACATTAAGTATGAAAGGACATTGATCATCTGAACATTCCAGAAAACATCATGCTAATCTGCTATATTAATGGCATCATGTATTATAATATCATAAGTAGAAATTATCAAGTAATCAGGATGTCCTGGTAAGATATTTGTATTCTACTCAGTGAATATATTCTTTATTATCATTTTAATATCTAAATAATCTGCAATGATCTTACCTCTTTTATTCATGATTTGGTCATTTGTGTGTTCTCTCTTTTATTCCCTTGATCACTCTAATAGGGAGTTTATCAGTTGTGTTTGTGCAAATTCTATTTAAGGAGTTCTTAGGGACACCCAAAAATAATAGAAGAGACAAAACTTAGGACACTAGAAAAATTTGATAATTTAAAATAAATATTATTAGTATTATAATGTCTGTAATGGAAAAAGTGCAGTACATACAAGAATATCCGGGTAATGCAAGTAGATAAATGGAAACTCTAGGAAAGAGTCAAGCACTAGAAAAAAGAAAACTGACAGAAATGAAGATTCCTTGGTGGGTTCATCAGTAGGCTGGACACAGCTGAGATAAGAATCAGTGATCTTGAAGACATGTCAGTAGAAACTTCACAAACTGAAGCAGAAAAAGAAAAAGAGAATTAAAAACAACAACATCAACAACAGAGTTATCCAAGAATGTGGGACAATTTTGAAAGATGTAACATATACATAACAGCAATACCAGAGGAAATGAAATAGCAAATGGAGCAGACAAAATATTTGAAGTACTAATTGGAGTTTTCCAAAAGAGCGATACATTAAATAACAGATCCAGGATGCTCAGAGAACACCAAGAAATCTACCCCTAGGCTTATTCTATTCAAACTGAACAAAACAAAAGGCAAAGAGAAAATTCTGAAAATTCTGCAGAATAAAAAACCTTACATATAGAGGAGCAAGGGCAAGTATTACTTACACCAGACTTCCTGTCAGACACCATACAAGCAAAAAGAGACTGAATAAAATATGTAAATTGTTGAAAGGAAAACTCTATACTTCTATATCAGTGATATCATCCTTAATAATTGAAGATAAAATAAATATTTTTTCAGACAAATGATATTCTGAGAATTCATTGTCAGAAGCCCTAATAGCTGCAATAAATGTTAAAAGAGGAAGGAATATTTTTTAAAATGTTATAAGAAGAAAAATGATATAAGTCAGAAATGTGGGCCTATATAAAATAAGAGGGAGTATCAAAAAAGGTAAAATAACATGCTTATTTTTCTTATTCTTAATTGATCTAATAGCTATTCAAAGTAATAATGTATTGGATAATTATAGCAAATGAATACATGATATGAATGACAGCAAGAAGAGTTGAGAATACTGTTATGAGTTATCTGCACTACTTATAAAGCACTATAGTGTTACTTCAAAGGACTTAGATGTGTTGTAAATGTATGTTTTAAACTCCAGGGAAACCACTAATTTTTAAAAGTAAACATAATTATTTATATAATTATATGCTAACAGAGAATATAAAATGAAAATAATAAAGTCTCAAAACTAGAGAAAGCAGAGAAAGAGGGAAAGAACAAAAGTGCTGTGAAGAAAAAACAGCTCCAAACATGGTAGATAATAATACAATTATATCACAAATTACTTCAAATGTGAATGGTCTAAATACATCAATAAAATGACAAGGATTACTAGCATAGATAAAAACCAATATCTGACTATATGTTGCCTGGAAGAAACCCACTTTAAACATAAACGCACCATGGAAACAATTTTTTCAACACATGGGAACCTGTGACCTAGGAACCTGTGAAATGTACCTCTCATAGTGCAATGCTGCCGAACAGCCAGTCTGATTTGGCATCTCCTTTGGCAGAGCTACAGTTCAGAATTTCCAGGGCTGGGGATGGTAGTCCCGCCCCCGACTTTGGTTCTGGCTGTCCTCAGGGATATGTCTCCCTTCAGGCATTTATGATGTTTCCCATGGGTTGAAGTAGGGACTGTTCTCCTGCCATGGAACCCAAGATTGTGGGGAAGCTGATTGTTCATCTTGATCTTTTTCCGTTGTAAAAACCATGAGTTGGGAGAAATTTTTTTTTTACACTTAGTACCAGGCAGATTGAGTGGGGGGGGCAAAGAGAGGTGTAGTGTGTTGAAACAGTTGGATACCCAGATACAAAATAATGATTTGAGACCTATCAATTCATAGTATCATAGTCCTAAATGAAGGATGTAAAATTAAAACTTCTATAGGATAACACGGGAGAAAATTTAAGTGATCTTGGGTTTGTTGATGAGTTTTTAGATACAATACCAAAGTGTGATTCTTGAAAAAAAATTGATAAGTTGGACTTTATTAAAATTATAAACAACTGCTTTGCAGAAGACATTGTTAACAGAATGAAAAGACAAGCCACAGACCAGGAGAAAATATTTGCCGAACACATATCTGATAATCCCAATATATAAGATAATTTTAGAAACTCAACAGAAAGAAAATGAACAACTCAATTAAAAAAGTGGGCAGAAGATCTGAACACCTCATAAAAGAAGATATGAAGATGGCAAAAAACATATGAGTGTATGCTTAACATCATGTATAAGAAAATTGCAAATTGAAACAATGAAATATAACTATGCACCTATAAATTTGGCTAAAATTCAAAAAGCTAACACCAAATCCTGGTGAAAATAACAGACAACAGGAAGAACTCATTGCTGGTGGGAATGTAAAACAGTACAGTCACTTCTGAATACTGAAAATGAATAATTAAGAAAACAGGTGGCAATTGGGGGCCAGGTTTCTCACAGCTGGAGTGATAATTTTCAGATAAGAAATGGGAGGAGGCTAGAAAGATCCAAGTAGTAATAAATTATAGTTGGAGACATTAGTATGAGCTCTGTTTAGCTTAATATAGATACAGATCACTACTAGAAAACATACATAAATGCCCACACACACAGGTTAGTATACACATATATACTTCCTTTGCCAGTTAAGAGGGCCTAAAGGAAATGCTACCCCAGGAGTAATGGTTATACCCAGTTCCAAGTTCTTGGTTTCTAATACCATTCTCCGATAAAATGAAATGGGACTCCTTGAAGAAATTAATTCTAGGACTGGGGCAGGAAATATACAAGGTAAGCCTGGAGTATCTTGTAGTGTCAGAAAGCAGGGCAGTATGCCAAAAAAAAAAAAAAAAAAAAAACAAAAACAGAAAACAAATTGAACATAAATACATACATACATAAAATAAAATTAAAAAACACATATTGATGGAAGTATATTTTAAAGAACACAGGAGCCAATGAAAGAGCTCACAATGGCCAAAGCTGGAAAAATTTGAACAAACAAATAAATAAAGTACTATTGGGTTATAGCCCATAGTACAAAATAACTAGTCATGACTCCATACTAATATAAATAAATAGGGTGGGGACAAATCTGTACTGAAAATTCCAAATAACTTATGAACTTATGTAGATTCTCCATCCTCAATGATGGAAACTTTACATTCCACTTTTTAATGGTGACCTTTGCATAGTGACTCCTTTCCAGAGTACAGTATAGAAGGGGAAATTGGGGGAGGGTGAGGAGAATAACTTTACAGTGGAGAAACCTGACACACATTGTCTCAGCTAAGTGATCAAGTTTAATAGCAACTGTGATGAGTTGTGTCTGATATACGTATACTTTATATGATGTGGTAAGAATGAATGACACTTTACCTCTGTGGTCTTCCTCCTAAAAACCCATACCCCAGTCTAATCATGAGAAAAACATCAGACAAATATAATACAAATTGAGGGATATCCTACAAAATATCTGACCAGCACCCCTCGCAGCTTTCAAGATCATCAAAACAACAACAACAAAAATGTCTGAGGAACTGACTCTGTCAAGGGAGAAGCCTAAGGAGACAAGTACATGCAACGTGATATGCTGGATGGGATACTGAAACAGCAAAAAGAAATTAGGTGAAACTAAGAAAATCTGAATAAACCAGGAACTTCAGCCAATAACACCGTATTGAGCTGCGATAATTTGTAGCAAATGTACCCTACTCATGTAAAATATTAATAATAGGGGAAACTGTGTGAAATATATGATAACTCTAATATTTTCTTAACTTTTCTACAAATTTGATACTGTCCTAAAATGTCTATTTTTAAAAAATCAACTGGAAAATGTGCACACACACTGGGTGCTTCTGATTACTGTACCTTCTGTCCCCAATCTCCCTGCCCAGAGCTTGAGCCTGCCTTCTCATGGTCTCAGTCATGAGAACCACTGACAAGTGCTAACCTAAGGAGGGATGTGGTTAGATTCGAATTTTAAGTAGAACACCCTGTGCTCTGGGTGATGAGTGGATCGCAGGGTATGTGGAGATAGAGAGCAAGAGAGACCAGCTGGAAGGGTGTTGCAACAGTTCAGGTGAGAAACGACTTCAGGCCGAGCTCAGAAGGTATTGGTGGAGATAGCAAGGACTTGATCCTTGATGGGGGTAGGGAAGAGGAGGAAGAATGAGGAATGATTGTGAATACACAGATGGCAATGGCGGTTTTCTTAACTCAAAGAGAAAACACCTAAGGAGGAAACACAGTGAGTGTTGCTGGGGTTGGGTGGGGAGGAAGGAATGCTAAGTGCCATGATGTGCAGATCTATTAAACTTGAGTGTCTCTGGACACTTCAGTAGGGAAGTCCCTGATAAATCCTTAACTGCCTGCAGTAAAATAGCTTCAAATAGCTTGAGACAGCCTGCCTAAAATGCTGTGGTCAAATAGTTAAAAGTGAGCAATTTGAAGAATTAAAAGCAGCGCTTTTCCCAGGAAAGGAGAGCCCCAGGTCCTGATATGATTGATGGCAGTAAAGGCTATGGAAATGTCAGGGAGCCAGGTAGCAGGAGGGTGACACCTGCAGTGACTGGGTCTGTATTTCTCCAGCTTAGTCAGTAGTTTTGGCTTCCATGACTGCTGCTGGTCCAACCTTTACTTACTTTAATAACGCTGTCACTTTCCCTCAGAGACAATCTGGAACACCTCCTCTTCCCACCTTGCCCAATTCTACTTCTATTGCTTTGCTAAAGTCTTCCTCAGCCAAGTAGGCAGACCATAAGACTTTTTGAAATCATGAGATTTTCTAAGAGAGAAAACCCAAGAAGAAGAGCCAGGAAATGTTTCCAGGGAAGGGACTAGAACCCAGATGGAGCCCCCAAGCTTTCCTAGCATCTTCCCAGTCCCCCTCCTGAGAGGAGCTGAGTCTGGAGCAGAAGTGTAGGGTGGGCTCTGCCAGGGGTTGAGTGTGGTGTTGTGGTGGAAGGTAGTGTTGGACTGAGATGCAACCAGAACAACGTATCCCCTTTTCATGGCTGGCAAGTGTTGTTTTCAAGTACATCAAGTGAAGCTGATTTTTTTTGGGGGGGGGTTTGTTTCTTTTTCAGGAACTGTTAGATCTATTGAGTGGTTTGAGGACCAAAATTTAAAAAGAGTCTGTCCTCCTTTGAGAATGGGCCGTGGGAGTCTCTTGCAGCCATTGACCCATACACAGGTTTTTATGTGGTGTGATAGAAGAAAATGCTAAAGAGAATATAGGATCCCAAGACTTCCAGGATTTATTATGTATCATTGTACACACTCACTGATTCAGCTTCAATACTGGGGAAGTAAGGATTCCTATAGTAACAATAGTCCCTCAAGTAGAGGCTCTGCTCACCTGAGGTTGGGATTGGGGTCATTGGGGTTGGCACTGGACAATAATTCCCTCTCTCCCCCACCCTCACCCCATTAAAGAGACATGTAGAGGGACAGAGTCAAGTTCACAGATGAGACGGGCCACCTAGCGGACCCGAAATAAGTGGAGCCAGTGGCTCTCTCTTCCCTTGTATGAGACGATCTGAGGGCCTCTGGACACTGCGGGTGGTTATTTATGTTTGGGTGGCCACTGCACCTCCTGCTTCTGCTGCTGGTGCTCTACAGGAAGCAATACTTCTCCCTTTGTGGGCAGGGCTGGTTGAATGTCTTGGACCTGGCCTGGAGCTGGGGCAAACACAGGCTGCTCCAGCTGCCCCTTCTGCTGCTCCAGGTCCTTCAGCTGCCCCTCCTGCTGCTCCAGATGTTTTAGTTGTCCGTCCTGCTGCTCTGGGTGCTCTAGGTGCTTTTCCTGCTGTTCCAGGTGCTTTGGCTGTCCTACCTGCTGCTCTGGGAGCTCCAGCTGTGCCTCCTGCTTCTCCAGGTGCTTCACCTGGCCCTCTTGCTGCTCTGGGAGCTCCAGTTGCTTCTCCTCCTGCTCCAGGTTCTTTGGCTGCCCCACCTGCTGCTCTGGGACCTCCAACTGCCCCTGCTGCTGCTCCAGATGCTTCAGTTGTCCCTCCTGCTCCTCTAGGTGCTTCAGCTGCCCCACCTGCTGCTCCAGGTGCTCCACCTGCCTCTCCTGCTGCTCCAGCTGCCCCTCCTGCTGCACCAGATGCTTCAGCTGCCCCTCCTGCTGCACCAGGTGCTTCAGCTGCCCCTCCTCCTCCTCCAGGTGCTTTGGCTGCCCCTGCTGCTTCTCTAGCTGCTTCAGCTGCAGCACCTGCTGCTCTGGGAGCCCCAGCTGCCCTTCCTGGTGCTCCAGGTGCTCCAGCTGCCCCTCCTGCTGCTCCAGGTGCTTCAGCTGCCCCTCCTGCTCCTCCAGCTGCTCCAGTTGCCCCTCCTGCTGCTCCAGATGCTTAGGCTGCCCCTCCTGCTGCTCCAGGTGCTTCAGCTGCCCCATCTGCTGCTCTGGGAGCTCTGGCTGCTTCTCCTGCTGATCCAGGTGCTTCAGCTGCCCCTCCTGCTGTTCCAGGTACTTCAGCTGCCCCATCTGCTCCTCTGGGACCTCCAGCTGCCCCTCCTGGTGCTCCAGGTGCTTCAGCTGTCCCTCCTGCTGCTCAGAGAGCTCCAGCTGCCCCTCCTGCTGCTCAGAGAGCTCCAGCTGCCCCTCCTGCTGCTGTGGGAGCTCCAGCTGCCCCTCCTGCTGCTCTGGGAGCTCCAGCTGCCCCTCCTGCTGCTCTGGGAGCTCCAGCTGCCCCTCCTGCTGCTCTGGGAGCTCCAGCTGCCCCTCCTGCTGCTCTGGGAGCTCCAGCTGCCCCTCCTGCTGCTCTGGGAGCTCCAGCTGCCCCTCCTGCTGCTCCGGGTGCTTCAGCTGTCCCTCCTGCTGCTCTAGGTGCTTCAGGTGCCCCTCCTGCTGCTCTGGGAGCTCCAACAGTTGCTCTTTCTTCATTCCCAGTTGCTCATCTCTCTTGACTAGCTCTTGATCCAGTTGCTGGTCTAAGAGCTTCTTCTCTTCTTCCAGCTGTTTGTTTAGCTGCTGATCCCTTTGTGTTTTCTCCTGCTTAAGCTGCTGCTCTGGGTTTTCTGCTTTCTGATATTCCTCATGCTGTTCCCAGTGCTGTTGCTGCAGCTCCTGCTCCTGTGGCTCCTTCTGCTGTTGCTCACATTCTTGCTCAGGCAGTCCCTTTACAGCAGTCATGTGCTTTTCCTCTTGCTTTGATGGGACCTCCACTGGGAGCTCGACAGGCACCTTCTGGCATGGGGGAGGCAGTGGAGTTGGCTGTTTCATTTGCTCCTGATGGGTATTGACTGGAGGAGGAACAGTCTTGAGGAGCTCCTGACTGAGGGCAGGGGAGAGGGTCACTGGCAGTGTGTGTTGCTGGGACATCTTAGAAGCTACTGTCAACCTGAAAGACAGAAGAGGTCTGATGCACAGGCTGAAGGCAAAGGAAATAGATGAAACCTTGGGAATCTGCAGAAGTATCTGGTTTTTTAGCATCCCCTCTTCCCTTGGGCAGGGTACTGTTCTACCACCTCTGGACTATCATTTCCCAAAAGCAGCAGAGAGAGAAGGGTGGAAATGTGGAGGGGCAGAGAAAGGTCCTCCTAGGAGCCTCCTTGTTCCCAGGTGAGAGCCAACAAGGAGATCTGTCTGCAGGGCTGTTCTGCAAGGGTGGGTCAGGTGCCAGCTCACTGTCTGCTCTTGTCTAGTCCTTGTGTCCACCCTCATCGCTTCACTGACCAAGGAGCAGAGATGCGTTCTGGGATTATGTCACAGTGAGGAGTAAGGCCTTAGGGAATGAAATGTCTCTTGGAGAACACCAAGTCCTAGAAAACCAATAGGCCGTGCCAGAGAGGACCTAAGAGGTCATGGTGTGACCTCCAGACTGGAGCCACAGGACATGCTCTAGGCCTGAATCTCCCATTGGAATGCTGTGTGTTTCTGGGCATGTCACTTAGTCTCCTGGGATTTGGTTTTCCCCCCTGTAAAGCCAGCAGGTTGGCCTATTCAACCCCAGGGCTGCTTTCTCTCCTGACCTTCTGAGGTTTAGCTGCAGTCCTTGTGTCTGGGGTGGGGCTGCGGGAGCTGGAAGGTTGCTGAGAGTTGGAGGTTGTTCTTCCAAGTCTTATACTTCTAAGTTGAGTTTTCCTGTCCCAGCTCTGCCTAGGTTTCTCCAAATAGAAAGGTTTCCCCATTCTGCCATCCCTCTGTGCAGCATAGCCAAAAGGTAGAAGCTCTTCCCTGAACCTCTCCCTCCATAAAGAAGGCAAAATGATGGTCTGTCAAAACCCAAGAGGTTTAGGAAAGAAGTTGAATGCTATTCCCCTCCTCCCTTCCATAATTCTCTCTCACACACAAATCCAAAAATATGGTCACAAGAAAAGATGGGACATAGGATGATTACTCTCTGTTCTGCACTTCTGTGCCAAGGCACTTTTCTCTCAGTACTCTGACTCGAGTCCCCCTAGAATGAAAGTCCAGCTGAATCCAGCCCCAGAGTAATGCCCACCCCCACCCAGGCTGCCCACCCCCACCACATCGTATGCTGTTGGAGGTCCCGAGTCCCAACCCTGGTTCTACCATCCGACACTTACCAGACTCACAGTAAGGCTGAGGCAGAGGCTTTGGTGGAGTGCTGAGCTGAGCAGGAGTCAGGGCACTCTTTATATCATTCTGCAGCCTGGCCTCCCTCCAGGTTGAAGGTGATGGACAGGTTTCACCACTCTAGTTGGTCAACTTCCTCTAACCCCTTCCTGACTCACCACAGGCATCTTAAGCAGCAAACCCTTTAGGGCCCCATTTCCCAGGGACACACAGCTCCTGCCTGGCCAGAGGATTCTGGTAGCTCAACTATTCCTGTGATGCTTTTCTGACCTAGGCACAGGGAGCTGAGTGAGGCATCCTACTGTTTTGTGACCTTAGTCAAACTTCTGCTCTGAATCTCAATTTTTCCACTTTCAAAATGAGTTTGTTCTCATTATTAGGCCAAAAGATTCACTTTCAAGGGCATGAAATGGAAAGTTATGTGTCTTTCGGGGATGTCCAGGCTGGGTTATATGTTTGAAGATAGAGTCACTTCCCATGAAGGGGTGGTATTTCTGGGGTGTTCTCTTGGGCCACAAGCCCTTCCTCTCTCAGAATATATTTTTTAACTCCATCCTATGTGGAAATAAACTCTGTCTTTGGTGGAGGGAGTTTGACTTTAGGCCAAGTAGAGTCAAGTAGAAGGCTTCTAGGAGTCCTCTGCTGCTGCCACTTGCTGCCCAGCCTCTATGCCCGAGGCTGCAGTTAGAGAAGTTCTCAGGAATGCCATGCTCATAAGAACTCCAAAGCACGGCCCACTCTAGGCAAGGAAACAAGATTGAATCTACACAATATAAAAATAAGTATTGCTTTTTATAATGACAAACCAAACTACTTTCTTAAGTACTTTTTTAAATGCATGAAGGTATAAAGATCAGAATCAAATCATCCATTTCCTGTTGTAAATCATACTCTAGAAATAGCTTAAGAAATCTTTCAGAGTGGGGATTTGAGCACATCTCTCCCCCGTGCCAACAGTGCACCAGCACACTTGAAATAACATTCAAACTCACTGCCGTGGTTTAAAAGACCCTGGGTACCTGGCTTCTGCCTTCTTCTGGGGCCCCAATTCATGTCAATCTCTCCCTGAGAGGTATATTCTTACCTCACTGAGGGCCTTCGGTTCCTGAGATGAGCCCAGAGCTCTCCACCTGGGGGCTTGGCACCTGCTCTCCTTCTGCCCACCGGCCCCTCCCCAGGTCTCTGGTTCTTTTATGCCTTTCAGCTTCAGTGTCAATGTTGGGGTCTGTCAGAGATCCTTCTCTGTGTACCATATCTAAAGGATTGGTACTTAATTTCACTTATAACAATCTAGAGTAATTTATTTGCATTTGTTCACTTGCTTATTGTCTATCTTTCCCACTGGAAAATAAGCTAAGAGCAGCGTATACCTGGTATGTTTTCCACTATACCCCTAGAACCTATCAAAACTACTGCATATAATATGTGCTCTACAAGTATTCATTGAAGAACAGTGAATTTTACGACCCGAAAATAATGACTATTAAACATTTCAGTGTTGATCAATGTTTATATGTGTGTGTCTGTATGTGTGTGTAAAAACCAAACTGATTTATTTCTTCCCTTTCTTTTTAATGGTTGGCTAATAACTTATTATATGGACATCATTCATTTACACTCTCTTTTTTACAATCTAATCCAAAAAGAAGGAATTATAAAGACAATACTCAGTGGGGCTAATTTTGAGAAGTGTCCTGATTCCCCATAGTTTTCCTGACAGGCACATTTCTCTTAGCCCCAAGTAAATCTATTTAAAGCACTAATTTTGTCATGTTCCTGGATCATGCCTAAAAAGACAGAGGGAGGACTCACAAGGCACCCTTGGTTTCTGCAGTGCTATCCCCTCCTCATGACCTCTCTGTTCCCTGAGCCCACCCAGGGACCTCACATTCTTTTTCCCATAGAACAGGGACTGTGCCATTTTCTGGGGCAGAGGAAGCACAGCCCACTCTGCCCTGAAGAACTAATCAAGCATCCTTACTTTGGCGCTGATGCCCTTGTGCTCTGCTGCTGACTTCATCTGGGGGGAATCTGCCTCTTCCCAGCCCGTGACAGTCAGTCTGGGGCAGCAGACTCAGATCAAGGAAGTCACACCGGTCTTATGGGTTAGCAGGGGCTCAGTATCTGCCAGATCTGCCTCCCGCCCTCTGACTCACGGCATAATAAGAGCCTTAAGGAGAAGATGGTATGTGTGAGCCTTTGACTGCTGGGCAAAGCTAGGGTGTGGGAAAGAGGGCAGTGGATACAGCTGAGGGAGTGTTTGTGTGTGTGTGTATGCAAGGGAGGGGTTGGGGAAACCTCAACATTCTAGGGCTGAGAAGTCCCTTATTCTGCCCACAGGTTGCCCCATTTGGGAGACAGGCATTCACGTATATGGGAGAGGTTCTTTCACTGCCTATGTGAATGACCTCATAAGCTCCAGGTCCACATGACAAGTCTGGGTAACTGTCCAACCCCCACCCAACATAATAAGGATGAGCTCATATCCCATGACACATGGAGAAGCTTTGGCCCCAACTCTGCCCCAGCCTAAGGATGCACTGGCTATTTCAAATTTGGAGGCAGAAGCTGGCTAGTTTGTCTCTCTCCTGAGTGAGGCAACCTATTTGAGCTGTTGCTTAGTGGTAGGGGGCAGAAGAAATTGGTTATGGTGATTCAATGTCCTGTGGGGAGGGATGCTGAGGACAGCTCTTAACAGATTGCCAGAGGGGTCATAGCAGATGGTCCTGGAAGGTGACTTGGGCCAGAAAATCATGCATTCTCATCTTGAATAGCCATGCCTCATCTGCTTCCTGGTATGGCACTGCCCCATGCTCTGAGGCTGCTAGCCTCCTCTCCCTCTCACAAGCCTCCTCCTCTCCCCAGGGCACTGTCTCCTACATCAGCGGCTCTCAGTCCTCAACCTGCCAACCTGCACTAGTTGTCTCCCCACACACTTCTTTTTTTTTTTTTTTTTTTGAGACAGAGTCCACTCTGTCTCTCAGGCTTGAGTGCAGTGGTGCAATCTTGGCTCACTGCAACCTCTGCCTCCCCAATTCAAGCGATTCTCCTGCCTCAGCCTCCTGAGTAGCTGGGACTACAGGCATGTGCCAACATGCCTGGATAATTTTTGTATTTTTAGTAGTGATGGGGTTTCACTATGTTGGCCAGGCTGGTTTCGAAATCCTAACCTCATGGTCTGCCCGCCTCAGCCTCCCAAAGTGCTGAGATTACAGGCGTGAGCCACGGTGCCCGACCTTCCCCACAAACTTTGAATCCTCCTCATCTTTTTCCATTGCTTCCTGGACCTGACCTTGGCTCTTCTCTCACCTTTTGTGCCCGTCTGCTATTCAAGGAAGGGAGATGAGACCAAGAAAGGGCCAAGAGGGCTGACTCATCCTTTTTGGGCTTCTGGGTGGATCTGTCTGTCCTGACCTGCTTTCCTCTCTTACATCTTCTTATAGCTTTCTCTCCTGGGCTTGTTGGATCACTGGATCTCAGTCACCAGTTCTGGCCTTTGTTCTTGGATCTGAGAGCTGTGGAAGGGCAGCCACAGCTCTGCTCTTGGTGGCAGCAAGAGGAGCAGAGGCATAAAGGCTGCCAGTAGTAGAGGAAAGAGACACTCAGTTCCCCCTTCTCCAACTAAAGGAAATTCCCTCCCCTTTGGGCTCATTGTTGGGGAAATCACATTTTGTACAGTTGATTCTCTGTCCAGCAGCAGAATGTCTGAGATGGAGGAGTCCTCAGAGAATGCATGGGAAATGCCTTACACTGCGCCTGGTGCATAGGAGCTTCTCTATTTATCTATCTAATAATAACTAATAATAATAACTTAAATTCACAATATGTAAATTCATAGAAACAGAAAGCAAACTGATGGTTGCCAGGAAGTGAGAGGAGGAGAGAATGGGATGTAGCTGCTAATGGGGATGATGAAAATGTTATAGAACGACATAGAGTTGGTGGTTGCATAATATATGAATGTACTAAACACCACTGAACTGTTCACTTTAAAATGGTAACTTTATGTTATATGAATTGTACCTCAACAAAAAAAGAAGTAATGCCTTTGCCTAATACCAGGTCACAAGGTAAAGTTGTTAATATAATTGATGTATTCATTCAACCAACACTTACTGAGCCTCTACTATGTGCAAGGCACTGGAGATAGGGTTATGAATAGAAAACACACAATCCCTGCCTTCAAGTAGCTTAGAATGCAGGTGCTTCTTAACACACCTATGCCTACTTCTCACCATTGGGGCTCATCTGTCTTCTGACAGGAATTGAAGTCTGGAGAGAACATGAGTTGCCCAAGAGCCTACAGCGAGGCTGTGATAGAGCTGGGCTGGAACCCATGTGTCCTGACCTCCAGTCAGGGGCTCTCCTCCCCATCAGGCTGCTTTGCTAGGTGCTTGAGCATCTGATGGCTGTGACAGGTTCCACTAGGTGACTTCAAAGACACATTCTAGCTCTGTGAGTCAGTCACTTACCTCAACATGGCCAGTTCTGGGTTTTCTGGAGGGAGTGTCAGTTTTCTCTGGCTCTCATTCAGCCAAAATGCCCTTGGGATGACCCTCTTTGGTCCTGGGAATAGGGAGCTCCACTTCCTGGCTGGGTCTGGTGTTTAAGTTTATTTCAGCCTAATCCAATCTGAAAGAATGTTACTGTTCAATGGTGGGCACTGGCTTTGCTGTCAGACAGGCCTGGGTTTGAATTGCACCTGCACGTCTTTTTATCTGGACAAGACATTTCACCTCTATGAATTTCAGTTTCCTTGTCTGTAAAATGGGGATACTAACAATTCCTTAGAATTCTGTGAGAATTTGGTGAGGGAATATATGTGCTTAGCACATAGGTTGTAGTCAGGAAGTTGGCTATTTTATCGCTGGGGGCCATTGCAAAGTTTTGCTGATGGATTACAGTGTGTTACCTACCTAAAGATAGTTTTGAAGGTGTAAGTTCTTTAAAGTTCATCAGCTTTAACTAACTCATTTTGCCCATGAAAAACATGAAGCCCCACAGTCACACAGTCCATGGGAGTAGCGTGGTGAGGGGAGCCAGGTCGCCTTCCCATTTGCTGCTCCTTCCAGTCTGCTGCTGCTGGGCCTCAGGTGACGATTCAGCCCAAGACATGAGACTCTGTCTTGTGCTTTGATAATGGCCTGTGTGCACTGAGTATGCTCCCCTGAGTGGGAATCATGGGGACATTAAGGTGGCTTTCCATTTCTAGAGCTTGATGGTACATGGTGGGGCCTGGGATCTGCATGGGCAGAGGACAGACAGTGGTTTGGAACAAAATTTTATCTGGAAAAAGGAATCTAGCAATAGAGTGAGGAGTATACATACAGTCACAGCCCATCAAGTCAAAGGTATAAGGTACGATTTCAGCCAAGCACATGGAATGGAGGTGATAGGCAAAATACCATAAGGGGTAAGACTTCACAGGGCTGTGTGAAAAAGAAGGCAGGGCTGTGAGGAGCACAGTTTGGTTGAAGGCAGCCAGCAGTGGCAGGGCCCTTGGGTGCAGGGAATGGGGGAGGGACACTTCAGAGGGGAGAAAGAGACAGTCACAGAACAAAAGGGGAGTGCAGGGACCAAGTCCAGCCATGAAGCCTCCCTCCAAAGTGTCCTCAGTTGTCAGACACTTGTAAGGGATCAGGGATTTTCCAGGACTTTGCCCAGCTTCCTGATTTATCACTCCCCACTCCTTCTTTCGCCCCTGCTAATTAGAGACTGGTGGGGGACACCTGATCCTGCATCAGCTGCCTCCTGAGAGGCGTAATTGCTCTTACAAATACTCCTAAAAGCAGTTGCAGAGGCCACTCAGATGCATGTGTTTGTGCATGTGCGTGTGTGTGTGTGTGTGGCTCACGACTTTACCAACACAAGTGAGCTGCCCACATTTTCCTGCCTGGCATGGGCCCTGGTGAGCCCCCCATGAACTAGTCTGTATTTATGGACAGTTTGTTACAAAGCAGTCTGACTGCTCCAGGCTACTAGATGAATTGGTCTGGTCCAAAGTAGAAAATAGTGCCTATCCCTCCCTCCCTAAGACACATGTCCCCTGCTTACTGTCTCACATTAAACTAGGTCACAATGCTGAAAGTCAGGGCATGTGCAGGCCTCTGAGATCTCAGCTGAGCCAGTGTGCTGGGAAGGGCCCTGGCCTATCCTCCCTGTCTGACAGAGAGATACAACCCCTGATCTCAGGATGCTCTAGATGTAGTAGAGGATCCTGATTCTGCCGTCAGGGAACTCCTAACCTGATAGACAGACAGGTGCAGAAACTGAGAGGTGGGTGCAATTCAGTGCCATGCCAAGTGAGCACTCAGCTAACTGGACCCTGCATGGATGCAGGTATAAACAGAAACAGGGCTTGGAAAGTCTCCCTGGAAAGAATGCAGAGGAAAGTGCAAAGGGAACAGGCCTTCCAAACCTGCTGTTTGGTAGACACTGTGCATCAACCCCTCATTCACTCTCATGTAATAATCCTTTATGCTTTACAGGGGAGAAGCTGAAGCTCAGAGTAGTGTAGCAGCTGGCCAGTGCTCTCAAAGTCAGCAGGTTGATCAAGCTCGAGTCCCTGTGCTCCGAAGCCACCCTCTCCACTGGGGCAGAGATGTCCACCATGTGCAATAGACACTGAATCCTGGTACGCCCCAGTAAGAGAGAGCCCAGGGCTTCCATAGGGGATGACAGGGGAGTTGCAAGTCAGAAGACAGGTGCGCTGGAAATTGCTGGAGTAGCTGCAAAGTTATTTTCTTGCCACTCAGGTTTTACTAGAAAGCCTGCTTGGGGTGGAGTGGGCAGGAAGGGGAGAGAGCTGTCAGAGTGCTATGGGAAAGAAGGGTGAGCCCATTTCCTCTCATAGGCTAGTACTTGCATGCTCAGCTCCAGCTACCTTTCCTTCTCCCCGTACATCCCCTACCTCTGCCAGGAGCCCTAGGCCCAGTAACCCCAGGGCCACCTCTCTACCCCGCTTAGGGTCCAAGTCTGGGGATTCTAATGCTGGAGGGGCCTTCAGGGCATGGAGTTCAACCTTCGCTTTACAGAAGACAACATAATCTCAAGAGGAGAACACAGGAAGGCAGGGCAGATCTCCAGGTCCCAGGTCTGTGGACCTGGTGCTTTCCATCCTTCCTGTCTGCTAGAAATGCCTTTCCTACCTTCTTTCCTATTGGTTGATTTTTTATTCACCTGCTGTTTCTGGACTGCTTCTTTGTGTGCCTGTGTTCTAGGACCTAGGGTATAGCATCGACCAAAACAGGCAAAAATCTCTGCCCTGCTAGAGCTTTCATTCCAGTGGGGGGGTGGAGGAGTTATGCAAAATAAACACACACCTGAAATATAAATCAAGGTATGCAAAATAAACACATATCTGAAATTTAAATCAAGTTAAATGTTCAGAAATTCTGTGTAGAAAAATGTGGCAAGGAAGAGATTTATGGAGTGCTGGAGGAGGGGGTTGTCATTTATTTTAAATGGGGTAGCCAGGGAAGGCCTCACACAGCAACCTGGAGAAAACCAGGAGGTCAGCATGAGGATGAGTGCAGGCACAGGGCCCAACAGGGGCAGCATCCCGGAGGCAGGAGTGCTCTGGAGCCAATAAGGAGGCTGGTGTGGCTGGGGCTGAGTGAATGAGGGAAAGATTTTTGAGAGACAAGGTTGGAGGTCTGGGTAGAGGTAGGCGGTGGGGAGAAATCATGTAAAACTTTAGCTTTATAGTCAATGAGATGAGAAGCTGCAGATCAGTGACATTATCTGACTTAGTTTTTAAAGGCTCTCTCTGGCAAGAGTGGAAGCAAGTTGAACTGTTAGAGAAACTGTGGGAATTTAGCGATGGCTTGGAAGTAGGGTGGTAGCAGTAGAGGCAGAGAGAAGTGAGCAGAATATAGATATGTTTGGATCCTAGAACCAATAAGACTTACATTTTACAAATAAAATAAGATGTAGGGCATCAGTGGGGGAACAACCTGAATGACCATAAAGATTCATTAACAGAGATGGGGAAGACCACAGGTGGGTTTTTTTTTTTTTTTTTTTTTTTTTGAGATGGAGTTTCACTCTTGTTGCCCAGGCTGGGGTGTAATGGCATGATCTCGGCTCACTTCAACCTCTGCCTCTGGGGTTCAAGCGATTCTCCTGCCTCAGTCTCCTGAGTAGCTGAGATTACAGGCATACACCACCACGCCTGGCTAATTTTTGTATTTTTAGTAGAGACAGGGTTTCACCATGTTGGCTAGGCTGGTCTCAAACTCCTGACCTCAGGTGATCCACCTGCCTTGGCCTCCCAAAGTGCTGGGATTACAGGCGTGAGCCACTGTGTCTGGCCGAGGGGCTGGTTTTATGGAAAATGTCAGCAGTGAACGTTGAGACATGTTAAGCTTGAGACATCCAAGCAGAGTTGTCAAGTAGGCAGTTAGAGATACTAGTTCTGAATTCAGAAAGAGGTTTATGCTGTGGAAATACATTTGGAAATCATCAGCATATAAATGGCATTTGAAGACATGAGCCAGGATGAAATCACCAAGGGAATGAATATGGAGAGGAAAGAGAAGAGGCTCAAGCATGATCCCCTGAATCACTCCAGTGTTGAATGATCAGGGAGATATGAAGAAAAAGTTCAGGAAAATTGAGAAGGGAAAGAGCAGACAGAGTTAAGAAACATGGTAGGATAATGTGGTGTTCTAAAAGACAAGTGGACACATTGCCAAGGAGGAGGGATAAACAGTGAGACAAATGCTATACAGATATGTGGAATCTAATAAAGTCAAACTTATAGCAGCCGAGAGTAGAGCAGGGGTTTTCAGGAACTGGTGAGGGGAGCTGGGGAAATGGGGAGATGTTGGTCAAAGGGTACAAACTTTCAGCTATAAGATGAACTTAGTTCTGGGGATCTAAGGTACAGCCTGGGTCCTGATGGATGTGTTAATTCATTTGATTGTGGCAATTATTTCACAACATGCACATATGGCAAAGCATCACATTGTATACCTTAAGTATATACAATCTTTGTCAATTAAATATGTTTTAAAAGATAAGGACTAAGAATGCCCATTGGATCAGGCAACACAGAGGCCATTAGTGACCTTGACACTGGCAGTCTAAGGCAGTGGTAAGGACAAAAGCCAGATTGGGGTGGATTCAAGAAAGAATGAGAAGAGAGGGCTTGGGAACAGCGAGGATAGAGAGCATTTTTAAAAATATTGTTAAGAGAAGCAGATAAATGGGGCAATAGCCAGTGCTGACTCTCTTTCTCCAGCTCCTTGTAAACTCTGCTCATTACCCCACCCTTCCTCCCCAATAAAGCTGTTACTGACACACCAAAGCCCATGACGCCCTGACTGTTCCACAGTCCCTGTTCATTTCCACCTCACCTCCCCACTCCTCAGCTCCTACTTGCGGAGGGTTTGGATCCAGCCTTGCAGGTTTTCCACTTGTTCTCTGTTTCCGGAGAGCTCTGCTGCAAATATCCCAGTGAATTACTTCTTCATGTCATTCAGATCTCTACTCCAATGTCACTTTTCTGAGATGGCTCCTTTAACCTCTCTAAAATATTAGGTTGATGTGAAAGTAAGTGGGGCTTTTGCGTTGTTGAAATTTGCCATTTGATATCGGAATACATTCTTAAGTAAATGTGGTTATGTTATACATCATTTTAATGCACACTTCTCACTTGATGTTTTTTGCTAATAACTTATTACTTGCTGTTTATTTTATATTTATTTTAGACCATGGAAGTGATGTTAGACAAGGGCAAATTCAAGCGATTTTCTTACTCAAGTTCAAAATGGGTCATAAAGCAGTGCAGACAACTTACAACATCAATAGCAAGTTTGGCCCAGAAACTGCTAACGGACATACAGTACAGTAGTGGTTCAAGAAGTTTTGCAAAGGAGACAAGAGCCTTGAAGATGAGGAGTGTAGTGGCTGGCCGTCAGAAGTTGACAATGACCAATTGAGAGGAATCATCCAAGCTGATTATTTTTCAACTACACAAGAAGTTGCTGAAGAACTCAACGTTGACCATTCTATGTCGTTCAGCATTTGAAGCAAATTAGAAAGGTGAAAAAGCTCGATAAGTGCATCCCTCATGAGCTGAGCAGAAAAAAGAATAGTTGTTTTTGAAGCGTCATCTTCTCTTATTCTATGCAACAACAAACCATTTCTTGATCGGATTGTGGCGTGCAAAGAAAAGTGGATTTTATATGACAACTGGTGACAATCAGCTCAGTGGTTGGGCCTAGGAGAAGCTCCAAAGCACTTCCCAAAGCCAAACTTGCACCAAAAAAAATGTCATGGTCACTGTTTGGTGGTCTGCTGCCAGTCTGATACACTACAGCTTTCTGAATCTCAGTGAAACCGTTACATCTGAGAAGTATGCTCAGCAAATTCATGAGATGCACCAAAAACTGCAATGCCTGCAGCCAGCATTCGTCAACAAAAAGGGCCCAATTTTTCTCCATGACAATGCCCAGCTGCTTGTCACACAACCAACACTTCAAAAGTTGAATGAATTGGGCTACAAAGTTTTGCCTCATCTGCCATATTCACCTGACCTCTTGCCAACCGACTACCACTTCTTCAAGCATCTTGACAACATTTTGCAGGGAAAATGCTTCCACAACCAGCAGGGTGAAGAAAATGCTTTCCAAGAGTTTGTTGAACCCTGAATCATGGATTTTAATGCTACAGGAAAAAGTAAACTTATTTCTCATTGGCAAAAATGTGTTGATTGTCAATGGTTCCTATTTTGATTAATAAAGATGTGTTTGAGCCTAGTTATAATAACTTGAAATTCACAGTCCAAAATCACAATTACATTTGATTCTCTACCCCGTGCCCTTCTTCATCTCATTATAGCGCTCACCACTATTGGAGCTTGTGTTATTTGTTGTGTTCTTGCCTCCCTAGAATGTTAAGTTCATGAGAGCGGGGCCCTTGACTGTATTTGGCTTCTTGACTTCCCCAACACCTAGAACTGTGCTTGATGCATAGTCTCTCCAATACATCCATTATGACACCTTTCTAAATGTTTGTTGAAGAAATGAATACTCCTGTCAAAAAGATATAAATGCATTTTCCCATAAATAAACTTAACTTCTAATATCCAGTCACTATCCCTGATTGCAGAAAACAATGTACTCAACTCCTAGTAAACACAGTCAGCTCTGGCTTTACCTCATGCAATGTAGAATCTCCTCTCCCGCTCCTTCTCCCCTTACTGGAGATTTATTTAAGACTGCTTTATGGAGAGCATATACTTTTAGATCTCTGCAATAAATCCCCAAAGCCTACTTAGAAACTTAAAAGTCTTTGTCCGGAGGATCCAGCTCTAGACCCTCCCCTGAATAGTATGTTCTGCTGACTCGATGGGATGGCCTCTGAGGAAGCTTCGTGTGAGAGAAAAGATGGCCTTGCAGTATTCCAGAATTTCATCCTCCTAAGTACTCTCTCCATTTTTTGGCAATGGTGATCATATGATTTTGTAAACATCCCTTTCCTCCTCACTAATAGCCCCAAGCTCCCAAGAACAAAGACAAGACCCAATTCTTTCCTCCTTCATCTGCCCTGGCACTTGGTTGGTGGGTTTCCTGTGCTTAAAGTTTCACCCCTTTATTCCTCTCCTCCAGTTCCGTGACATAAGAAATTACAACAATTCCTTACTCCTGTTTCTAAGCAGCTCCGAGCAACTGGCTAACTGGCCATGAGGCCAAACAGAATGGGAAGTCTGCATGTAGGGATGAGGCAAGGAAAGGGAGACCTGGCATTTCCACAGGCCCTGGTTGGCTGATACAGCTAAGACAGACCAGCTCTCCTGAGGAGTCTGCCCTGTGCCCACCTCCAGGAGGTAGACAAAGGTGGAGGGGGAGGGGAGCTGCACCCAGGGGGTTTGCAGTGTGATTTTACATGAGGAAGGAGGAACATTTTGTCAGGCCAAGGCTCAAGGACCCAATCTTCTGTGTTTGACCTGGTATTGCAGCCCTCTCGGCCTTGCACAACACAAACATCTCTGCTCTGTGAATCATTATACCGATATTTTAAAACAGAATTTATATTTTTTGTTCTAAATGAAGCACAACCACTTCATCCAGTGCTTAACCAAGCAAAGATCAATTGATCCAGTGCTGAGTGCAGGAGGAACTAGTTGTATTGGACTTCCAGAGACACCTTTGTAACTTGAGTTTTCTGTCATTGAAATTATTCCCCTTTATACGAAGTGCTTCTTTGGCTTTCCTTCCCTCACTTCCCGCTGCATACAGCCTCTTAGAGTAGAGTGCATCACTGTCTTAATATTAGAGCTGCTGTCTTCTGTTTCAGCAGCAGTTTGGCAGCTTTGAAGCTCTGTATCTCAGGGATTCTCCATCCCGAATTTCAATATTTATTTCCACCACAGCATGGCTTCTCACTAGTATTTAGTGAAGGGCCAAAGAGCTTTCTTACCATGTATTTTAAAACCTCCAGCCCTATTCATAGCCTCCTGAGCCATTTCAGTCTTTGCACCCAACCCACAACCAGATTCATATCCACTGGAGCCTCAGCAAAGTGTACCTGTCTTTGGTTTTCACTCCATGAGGATGCAGTCAGGGAGGAGTCCAAGGAGACTCCTGGAGAAAGGATACATGGGCAGGAAAGATCAGGTTGTTGGAGTTAGAAAAAAACATGCTTCCTACCATCACAACACTTACACCTTTGTATCTGCTTTCCTGTCTTGCTGTCTGTGCTGTAAGCATCACAAAACAGACTTGATTTATTTATTTCCATGTCTGAAGTGTATCACATAGGACCTTGCAGTTATTTGATGCTCAAACAAATAGTTGGTAAAACAAAGTGAACTACCACTCCTGGTAAAGATAAAGTAAAAGGGGCCAGATTACCCTTCCACCAAAAAAGAAAAAAATACCTGAGACAGTGGTTTTCAAGATACTAGACACACCAGGCAACGAAGGACAGTGGACCTTGACAGACAGATGAGGTGAGCCCTGATTGCTCCAGCTTACTCTCAGAGAGTTTGCAGGCTGCTGTGCAGAAGGGGAATCCAGACAGGGCCTGGTTATTTCCCTGAGTGAAGACAGAACTGGGAAGCGGGGATGCCAAGGCAGCTAGAGTTTGCAGAAAACCAGAGAGAAGAGAACTGTGCACAGAGAGAACTCTGTAGATCTGCAGAAGATTCTTCTTGAGTCTTCAACTGAGTACTAACAGGCACATTCATGTGAAGAAATCATATGAGACAGGAGAAAGAATTACTTCAAAGAATTAAGAAGGAAAATCACTGGAGCCCACAGGGCCAGAAATACTTTCTGTTTCTACTAGCCAGACTGGAAAAATGTGTAATTCACATGGCTTCAGATAGGATACTCAGAAGGGTTATGCTTCAGTAGTGGGTACAATTTAGTTTTAGATTAAATGTTTTTCTGGTCTTAAAAAAGATCTGAAGGAATCAAACTGCTGCCAAGTAACTTAACTGTATCTCAATACAGAGCTTAAGTATATTTATAGGGACATAAATATATTTAGCACCCAGAAAGACAAAATTCACAATGTCTGACTTCCAATTAAAAATTGCCAGGCATGCAAAGAAATAGTAAAATGTCATCAATAATGATAGAAAAATAAAAGCAACGCAGAAAAGACACAGGATTTGTAGACAAGAGCATTGAAACAATGATTATAAATTCATTCTATATGTTTAATAAGCTAGATAAAATATTGCACACATTCAGAAAATATATGAAATATATATATTTTAAAATTAAATTTGTGGAGATGAAAACTACCATGTCTGAAATAAAAAAATACCTTGGATGAGGTTAATAGTATATCAGATAGTACAGAAGAAAATATAGTGAACTTGAAGATGTCACAATAGAAATTACCTAACACAAAACACAGAGAGGAGGAAAAAAGACGAAAACCAACCAAACAAAAGAACTCAAATAGAGAACATCAGTGAGGTGTGGGAAAATTTTGAGCAGCCTAATATAAGAACAGGTGAAATCCTTGAATAATGGGGTAGATGGGGAATTACCAAAATTTTTCAAAATTGGCAGGGTGCTCTAAATCCACAAATTCAAGAAACAAGAAACATGAAGAAAATTATACCAGGGCACAAGGACAATACAATTGCTTCGAACATATGATAAAATAGTCATAAAAATAGCCAGAGATAAATAGACATGTCACATGAGGAAAGTCACATGATGACAGGAAAAAGAAAGAAATGAGAGCAAATTTCTTACTAGAAACAATGCAAGCCAGAAAACAGCAAAGCAACATCCTTAATATATTGAAAGAAAAAATACAAACAGAAAAAACAACAACAAAAAACTGGAAAACTAGATTTCTATATCCAGCAAAATACATTTTTAAAATGAGATAAAGATTTTTTCAGACATTTAAAAGCTGAAATAATTTCACACCGGCAGACTATGAATTATACAAAATTTTAAAGGAAGTCCTCAGGATGAAGGAAAATAATATCAAATGGGACTATGAATCTACACAACAGAAGAGCACCATAAATGGTAAATACCTGGATAAAACAAAACCTTTTTTTCTTACAATTCAAACCTACTGGAAGAATAAATAACTATTTAAAGCAAAATTGAGAGCAACATATTATGAATATTTTTAAGATATGTAAAATAAAAATGTATTATAATAATAGCACAAAGATCAGAAGGAGAAAAATGGAAGTATATAGTTTACAGGTTCTGATACTGTAAGCAAAGTAGTATAACATAAAGGTGGACTATACAAAGTTAAAAATCTAAACAATAGAATCCTAATGCAACTACCTAAATAACACAAAAAAGTTACAGAGATTAAGTCAATGAAGGAGATGAGATGGGGTTGTATAAAAGGCTCAATTCAAAAAAAGGAATAAGACAAAAGAAAACAAAAAATAGATGAGACAGAAAACAAACAGCAAGATGGCAGATTTAAACACGACCATATTTACTAATCACATTAACACTATTGATCTTAGTACTCCAATTAAAAGGCATAAATTATCAGGTCAAATAAAAAAGACCCACCTATATATTGCTTGGAAGGAACCTGCTTTAAACATAAAGACATAAATAGGTTAAAAGCAAAATAATGGGGAAAATGTCTTGTTAACACTAATCAAAAGAAAGAAAATGTGGATATATTGACTTCAAAGTAGATTTCAAACTAAGATATTACCAGGGATAAAGAAGGTAATTTTGTGATAATAAAGAGGCAATTCACGAAAAGGATACAATAAATCTTAAATCTTTATGCTTCTAATAAGAGAGCCTCAAAATACACGAAGCAAAAACTGCTAAAATTGAAAGAAACTATAGAATAATTCACAATTATGGTCAGACTTTTCAATGCTATACATTTAATACTTGATAAACAAGTAACCAGAAAATAAGTAAAGATGTAGAAGACTCAAATCACATGGTCAAACAAATTAGTCTAATTGACATTTACAGAACACTCCATCCTACAATAGTAGGATACACTTTCTTTTCAAGGGCACATGAAGCATTTACTAAGATAGAGCATATTCTGAGTCATAAAGAAATCTCAGTGAATTTTAAAAAATTCAAGTCATATAAAGTATGTTATTTGACTGCAGAGGAATAAAATTAGAAATCAAAAACAGAAATATCTCTTGGAAAATCTCACAGCATTTTGAAAATAAATAAAAACACTTCTAATTAACCCACAGATCAAAGTAAATCAAAAGGGAAAATAAGAACTCCTTTGAACTAGAAACAGAAACACAACATTCCAAAATTTTTTTGGTTGTGGCTAAAACAATGCCTAAAGAAAAATTTCTAACATTAAATACCTATATCAAATAGAAAATATTTCAAAATAATAACCTCGACTTCCACCTTAAGAAATTAGAAAAAAGAACAAATTACACCCCAAATAAGCAGAAGAATGGAAATGATAAAGATCAGAGTAAAAATAAATGAAATAGAAAACCAAAAACAACATAAAAAACTAATGAAACAAAACGCCAGGGCTTTGAGAAGACTGATTAAATTGATGAAAATACTCTCTAAACTAAGTAGGAAATACAGAGAGGAGATGTAAATTACCAATACAGGAATGAAAGAGGTAAGCTTACTACAGATTCCATATATGTTAAAAATAATAAGGGCATCTCATGAATAAATTTGTACCAATAAATTTTAAAACCTAGATGAAATAGATGATTTTCTTGAAAGACAAAAAGTGGTAAAATTCATTCAAAAGTAAACAGATAATTTGAAAAACTAAAATCAATTAAAGAAATTGTATTTTCAGTTAAACATCTTCCCACAAAGAAACCTCCAGGAACAGATAACTACACCTGGGTTCCATCAAATGTCTAAGGAAGAAATCACACCAATTCTCCACAAACTGCTCCAGAAAATTGAAGTGAACACCTCTCATTTCATAAGGACAGCATTACTTTGGTACCAATATCAGACAAAGATATTACAAAAAAGAAAACTACCAACAAGTGCAATATCCCTTATTAACATAAAGCCAAAGCTTCTTAGCAAAATTTTAGCAAATCAAATCCAAGAATATAAAAAGGATAATACAACTTGATCAAAGAGGGCTTATCTCCAGTATGCAAGGTTCTTTTAACATTCAAAAATCAATGTAATTCACTGCATTAGCAGACTAAAAATAAAAAACCATATGTTCATCTCAATAGATGTAGAACTAACATTTTTCAAAATCCAACATTCATTTCTGTTACAAACTCTCAACAAAGTAGAAAAAGAAGGAACATCTTCAAGTGGCAAAACAGAGCAATAAAATACATTGGAAAGAAAAAAGTCAAATCTTTGCTTAGATGGCATGATCATTTGTGTAGAAAATCTTATGGCATTTACATGAAAGCTGTAAAAACTAAAAAGCAGTACACAGGCCGGGCACGGTGGCTCATGCCTGTAATCCCAGCACTTTGGGAGGCTGAGACGGGCGGATCACCTGAGGTCAAGGGTTCAAGACCAGCTTGGCCAACATGGTGACCTCCTGTCTCTACTAAAAATACAAAAATTAGCTGGCATGGTGGTATGCGCCTGTAATCCCAGCTACCCGGGAGGCTGAGGTGGGAGAATTGCTTGAGCCTGGGAGGTGGAGGTTGTGGTGGGCCCAGATTGTGCCACTGTACTCCATCCTGGGTGACAGACTGAGAATCCATTTCAGAAAAAAAAAAAAAAAGAAAGAAGGAAAAGCCATACACAAGTTTGATATACAAAAAAAATTGCATTTCTGTATATTAACTGAATAATTAGAAACCAAAATAAAAATGTCATTTATAATATGATCAAAGTATATCAAACACAGAGGAAATATGACAAAATGCTTGCAAATTTTAGGGGAAATATGACAAAATGCATGCAAATTATTCACCAAAAACCATAAAACTTTAAAAAATTAAAGAAGACGTAAATAAATGGAGAGATAATCCATGTTCACCAATCAAAATACTCAATATGGTTAAGATGTTCATTTCCATCCCCAAAATATAATCCATAGATTTAAAAAATCCCAGCATTTAGTTTTAGAAATTGACAGGTTTAGTCTAAACTTAATATGAAAGTGCAAAGAACTTAGAGTAGCTAAAACAACTTTGATAAACAACTAAATTAGAGGACATATTACCTGACTTCAACACTTAGCATAAGGCTACAGTAAATAAGACATTAGTGTCAAGACAGACAAATAGATCAATGTAAAAGAGTTAAACAAATATGACATGGCAGTGATTTTTGACAAAATGCAAAGGCTGGAGAAAGGACAGTCTTTAATAAATAGTGATAAAACAATGGGATATCCCTATGCTTCCCTCTGCCTCTCCCCCAGCAAAACAAACAAACAAACAAACAAACAATGAACCTTTGTTCATACCTTCCACCGTAAATAAGCATACGCCATTTTATTGCACTTTTCAGATATTGTAATTTTTTACAGTTTGAAGTTATATGGCAACCCTATGTCCAGTAATTCTATTGGTAGCATTTTTCCAACAGCAAGTGTTCATTTCATGTCTCTCTGTCAAATTTTGGTAATTCTTGCAATATTTCAAACTTTTAAAATTATTATTATATTTGTTATGGTGATCTGTGACTGTTGATCTTTGATGTTACTATTGCATTTGTTTTGGGGCACCATGAACTGTGCCCATAGACGATGGATGACAAATTTAATTGATAAATATTGTGTGTGTTCTTACTACTAGACCAATCAGCCATTCCCCCATTTATCTTCCTCTCATTGGGCCTTTCTAGTCTCTGAGACACAACACTATTAAAATTAGGCCAATTAATAACCCCACAATGGCCTCTAAGTGTTCAAGTAAAAGGAAGAGTCACATATCTCTTATTTTAAACCCAAAGCTAAAAATCGTTAAGCTTAGTAAGGAAGACATGTCAAAAGTTGAGATAGGCCAAATGATAGGACTCATGCTGAACAACCAAGTTGTGAATGCAAAATAAAAGTTCTTGAGGGAAATTGAAACTGCCACTCTAGTGAACACATGAATGATAAGAAAGCAAAGCAGCCTTATTGCTGATATGAAGAAAGTTTTAGTGGTCTGGATAGATCTAAGCAGCCACATAATTCCTTTAAGCTGAAGCCTAATCCACAGCAATCCATAGAATTAACTCTCTCTTTAATTCTATGAATGCTGAAAGAGGTGAGGAAGCTGCAGAAGAAAAGTTTGAAGCTGGCAGAGGTTAGTTCATGATGTTTAGGAAAGAAGTCTGCTCCATAACATAAAAAATGCAAGGGGAAGCAGCAAGTGCTGATGTAGAAGCTGCAGCAAGTTATCCAGAAGGACTAGCTAAGATAGTCCATGAAGGTGGTTACTCTAAACAACTAATTTTCAGTGTAGATGAAACAACCTTCTATTGGAAGAAGATACTATCTAGGACTTCATAGCTAGGGAGGAGAAGTCAATGCCTGGCTTCAAAGCTTCAAAGAATAGACTGACCCTCTGGTTAGGGGTTAATACTGCTGATGACTTTGAGGTCAATGCTCCTTTATCATTCCCAAAATCCTAAAGCCCTTAAGAATTATGCTAAATCTATTATTCCTGTGCTTTATAAATAGAGCAACAAAGCCTGGTTGACAGAAAATCTGTTTATAGCATGGTTTACTGAATATTTTAAGCCCACAGTTGAAACCTACTGCTCAGAACAAAAGATTGCTTTTGAAAAATTACCGCTTATTGACAAATGTACCTAGTCACCCAAGAGCTGTGATAGAGATATAAAGGACATTGATGTTTTCATACCTGCTAACACAATGTTGATTCTGCAGCCCACAGATCAAGAAGTAATTTCCACCTTCAAGTCTTATTATTTAAGAAATACATTTTGTAAGGCTATAGCTGCCATAGATGCTTTAAATAGTGATTCCTCTGATGGACAAAGTAAACTGAAACTCTCTGGAAAGAATTCACCATTCTAGATGCCATTAAGAATATTTGTGATTCATAGGAGGAGGTAAAAATATCCACACTAAAGGGAAGTTTGGAAGAAGTTGACTCCAACCCTCATGGATGACTTTGGATGGATTCAAGACTTCAGTGGCAGAAGTAACCACAGGTGTGTTAGAAATAGCAAGAGCACTAGAATTATAAGTGGAGTTTGAAGATGTGATTGAATTGCTGCAATCACATGATAAAACTTGAACAGATGAGTTGTTGCTTCTTATGGATGAGCAAAGAAATTGGTTTCTTGAGATGGAATCTACTCCTGGTGAAGATGCTGTGAACATCGTTGCAATGACAACATAGAATTTAGAATATACCGTAAGCTTGGTTGATAGAGGAGTGACAGGTTTTTAGATGATTGACTCGAATTTTGAAAGAAGTTCTACTGTGGGTAAAATGCTATCAAACAGCATCACATGCTAAAGAGAAATTTTCTGTGAAAGGAAGAGTCAATTGATGCAGCAAGCTTGATTGTTGTCTTATCGCAAAAAAGTGTACCTTGAGAATCTCTTGAACCTAGGAGGCAGAGGTTGCAGTGAGCCCAGATCACACCACTGCACTCTAGTCTGGTCAACAGAGCAGGACTCTGTCTCAAAAAAAAAAAAAAAAAAAGTAGGAACTGTACCAGCCACTCCAGTCAGCAGCTATCAACATCAAGGCAAGATCCTCTACCATCAAAAAGATTACCAATTGCTGAAGGCTCTGATGATTATCATGTTTCAGCAATAAAGTATTTTTAACTCAGGTATGTACATTGTTTTTTAGACATAATGTTATTGTGCATTTAATAAGCTATAGTATAGTGTAAACATAACTTTTATATGCACTGGGAAGTAAAAAAATGTGTGACTCACTTTACTGTGGCAGTCTGGAACTGAACCGGCAATATTTCCAAGGTATGCCTGAACAAAAATTAACTTCCAGAAGAAAATATAGGAGAAAATCTTTGTGTTCTAGAATCAGGCAAAGATGTCTTGGGTATGACAAATAAAACAAAATAATAAAAAAACAACTAACTGGACTTTATCAAAATTAAGAATTTCTGCTATTAAAAAAATTTTTTTTAAGAGAATAAAATGATAAGCCACAGTCTGGAGAAAATATGTTAAATCATTTATTTGACAAGACGCTTGTATCAAGAATATACATATATACGTATATGCATACATACACACAGATATATACATACATACATGTGTACATACACATACTATGTGTATATATATATACACATATACATACACACATATACATATGTATATACACATCCCCTTAAAATCCTGTAATAAAATTCCAAATAGCTCTAAATAGTAAAAAAATGGAGGAAATATTTGGACAGAAAATTCACCAAAGAAGATATATGAAGGCAGAAGAGCTCAAGGAGAGATGTTCCGTATCATTAGCCATTAAGAAAATGCACATTAAAGCCACAATGATGCAGCACTGCATATTTATTAAAATATCTGCAACTCTAGAACTAAAAAAAGTGAGCATACAAATAATCAGCAGGGCTATGCAACAACTGGAGCTGCCATACACTTCTCACGGGAATGTAAAATGGTAGAACCATTTTGGGAAACAGGTGGGCAGGTTCTTAAGAAGTAAAACATACACCTATTATATAACACAGTCATTTTCCTCTTAAGTCTTTACTGAAGTGAAATGAAAGCATATGTTCATAGAAAGATTTGTGCATGAATGTTCATAGCAGTTTTATTTGTAATAGCCTCAAATTGGAAACAACCCAAATGCCCATCAAAGGATTAGTTGATAAACAAAAGCGACATATTCACAATAATGAGGGTATTTGCTACTCAGCAATGAAAAAGAATGAACAGTGGATACATGCAAAAACATGTTTGAATCTCAATCTAATTTAGCTGAGTAAAAGGGGCCAGGCATAAAAGAATGCACAGTGGTTTGGGCTGGGAAGTGGCAGAGGAGGGACTTGACTTGATGCCAGGGCTCCCCACGGAGGGTGGCCAACCCAGAGAGCTGCGTGGAGACTCAGGAAGAGGACAGGGAGTGGGACTGGGGTGGGGCAAGGGGCAGGGATGAAGGTTGGAGTCTCCAGGCTGGGCAGGGTCTTCCCACCATTCCTGCAGACCCATAGCCTTGCCTTTCACAGAGGGTTGGGTAATTACCACTGGCTTCCCCAGACCCCAGCAAGGGAAAGGCGGGTGAGTCAGCTCATCTCGGCTGTCCTTGCACAGGGTGCAGATCCCAAAGCCCAGCTCTACCAAGATCTTGCTCAGCCGCATTGGGCCTGGGGATGGTGGTGAGGCCCAGTGTAGCAGGACTCTCACTGGCTTCCACCGATGAGTTGGGGGGCGATGCCAAATTGGAGGCTGGTGCCATGGGAGGGTGGAGGTCTCGCCTTGGAACCGCAGTAGTCCCTGGAGCATGACAGCCAGTGGAGGCTCCCAGGGTGGAGAGCAGGGCACCCACCACCCAGGCTGTGAAGAGTAGCAACCCTCCAACTACTGCAGCAACCACGAATCCCCCAGGACCAGCTGGATGGGGCACGAGGAAGCCTTCAGGAGCCCAAGATCTCAAGATTTCTCCCATCTGGCCAGATTCTTGGAATGACCTGAACTTGCAGGTCGCTAGCTACTTCAAGAAACTCCTAAAATCGTGCTGCATCACTTCTCCTGAAAGTTTACATGCAAGGAATGGGGTTTTGCCCTTTGCAGTGTGGGAATACAAAATAACTCAGAGTTGCCATGACCCAGAATAGAAATAGAGTGGCCCATTTTAGATGCTTCGTGAAAATCTGTTTACATTTTGAAATCTGAACCTTAGCATTCACAAAAACTTTGGAGAGATGGCTGCCTGCCCACCTAGAGGGAAAAATAAACTACTTCCAACATAACTTTTGTAAGACTATGAAATTCTTCCAATTTCTCCCACAAACTAAACAAAGTGCAGGAATATTTTGTGTGCCACCGCTGCATTGTTGCTAGGGAATCTCTATTTTGAAATTCCAAGTAATTGAAAATGACTTTCATAGACCCTAGATGGTACCAAAATAGAAACTGCAGTTTTGAGCTTCTTCTTATATGCAGTGTTTAGTGGGTAGGGGAAGACCTGCTTTGAAATAATAAACTCTCAGCATAAAAAAACAAACCTACTGTGTGATTACATAAAATTCTTGAAAACACTAATTTGAAGGGACAAAAGTAGACCAGTAGTTTTCTGGGGATTGGTGGACAGGGAGAAGTATGAGAGAGAGAGTACAGAAGTGCACTCGAAAAATTTTAAAAGTGATATGTTAATTACACATCAAAAAGCAGTAAAAATGGAAGTTTACAAGTGTGCTTAATGAGGCTGATTTCTCTATTTCTACCTGTCTACCTGGACTAGTGGGGGTGTGCTTGGGGACAAATTATTGGAGAATGATGTCTTCTTTAGAGGGAAATAGGGCCTTGTGGCTGAGAGGAGTTTGAAAACTATGCACACTGAATAGCCACTCGGTGTCAGACCCTATGTCGGGCACTTTAAATGAATTATCCCTTTTAATTCTCATAAAAAAATCTTTGAGGGAAGTACCATTGTCTTCATTTTACACACGAGGAAATAGAGTGTCAGAAACACTGAACCACTTGCTTTAAGATTGCTACTCTGTGACTGAGGAGCCAGTGCTGATCCTGGAAGATTTCACTCTTTGCCGCTAGCCACTGTGCTTTGCTGAGTCCTGGGGACTCTACCTCCATCTAAAATTTCTGGATGCGGGGGTGGAATCACTCCAAGGGACTTACATATTTTTGCTTGGTCTGGAGTGCAATGTGGTACCCAGGGACCCAGAGGAATTAGGATTCTTGCACTTTGAGTGACCAATAATCTTTTTTTTTTTTTAATAAGGACTGAAGGGGTTCCTGGAATGCAGGACTTTCATTTTAAAACCAAGATGAGTCAGTCAACTACACTCCAGCTCAGCAGAGGTTTTGTTCTTCAGGATGCTAGTTCTTGCTCCTTGGACCTCCAGGACATGCCCATAATATTTTCTTGGGCTCTAGGCCAGGCTGGTGAGATGGTTTCACAAGTAAGTAAAGGAACAAACGGAGGCAATGTTCTTTTTATTGCTCTTTATTTCTGTGCTGTCTAAATGTCAGGATCACTAGGAAAGATGATTCTAGCCTCTTCATCCTCCCATTTCCAGATGGAGGCCTCCCTAGGGTAGGGAGCTATGATGGGAAATAGGAGCCTCTCATTGGGTGGAAATGGTAGTCACTGTGAAAACTGCTTCTCTAAACACAGGTCTAGCCTGACTCTCAGTAATCCCCCACCCTACAAAGTGAAAGGCATGGCCCCAGGGACTTCTTCTTTGTTTGACTTCTTCTGCTCTCATTTGCTTGGCCTGGACTCATTTTGTGGGCTATGGGGCTGCTGCTGGGTTTGACAGCCCTTGTCCTGAGTTTGCGGTGAGTTGGGCTCAGACTCCATGTTAAGGGGTGAGACTTCAGGCTTGGTCTCCAAACCACAGCACCTGGCCTGAATGCAGCATGGGGGTTTTGGCTGGCAGCAGTGATTGTGTTTTGGTGGGCAGCATTGACTGCCTTTTGGCTGGCAGCACTGGTTCTGTTTTGGTGGGCAGCATTGATTGCCTTTTGACTGGCAGCACTGGTTCTGCTGTGGTGGGCAGCATTGATTGCCTTTTGCTGGGCAGCATTTACTGTGTTTTGTCTGGTCACACATCTTCTGAACACTTGGAGGTACTAGAAAAAGAAAATAATATTCTCATCAGAAGGAAATCTGGGTGCCTGCTTTCATTTCCTCCTTTCTTGACACCCAAATACATCCATCTTCAGGATAATGACTCAGACCAGGGTTGAGAAAGCAGAGCTGGATCCCTCAGAGAGGCCAGCCAGCCCCATAATTCTACCTTTGCATATGCCAGTGTGTTTGTTCCTTACTAGGTAGTCATTTGTCAGATAAAGAATCAAAAGACCAGAATATGTAAGCAATGTGAATAAGGTCCCTTAGCTAATGAGCAAACAGTTTGACCCTCAGTCTCCAGATCCTGAGTCAAGTGTCAGGCACTTCACAAACATCAGCTAATGTTATAACGGCTACCAGCCTGAGGTAGACATTTTTAGTCCACTTCACTTCATATGAGGACCACTGAAGTTCAAAAATCCACCTCAGTTGCTTGTAAGTGATTCAAGCCAAGCTCTATCCCACTCCAGAGCATGTGCTTGTTCTTGTCTCTAATGTGGCACCCATGGACCCAGGTGCAATGAAACTCTTGCACTTAGAGTGACCAACTGTCACACGCTTCCTGAATGCATCATTTTGTCCCATGCACGGAGCACTGTGGTGGTTACAGCAAGATGAAATGAAAAGTACAGTGCTCTTGGCATGGCAGGACTTGAGTTCCAGGCCTGGTTCTGCAACTCCCAAGCCTAAGGGATTGTGCAGTTCTCTTCATCTCTCTGGGCTTGTACCTCTTCCTCTATAAAGGGGCAGTGGTGGGGGTGAGGAAGGGGGAACTGGACCTGGTAGGTGTCCTCAAACTCAACCACTCAGCAGTTTTATCATTTCCTGATTCTTCCAGGTATAGAGAAAATCCAAACAACTCTTGCTTTACTTCTATCTACCCATCTTCCTCCTCCCAGGAAGTCCAAGCTCTTCTGGGAACGTCCCTGGGCCTCAGCCCAGGTATGCAGCCCCTGGAGAAGCCCCTAATGGTTTCCGCCCTGGTCCCTCCTATGGCACATGATGAGAGGATGAACGCCACTGTTGTGGTCCCAGAGCAGAATAGAGGGTCTAGAAGTGGCCAGGAAACAGCAGACAGTGAGCAGGTTGTTATCTAGCCTCCTCAAGGAAATGTAGAAGCACGGGAAATGAGCCTGTACCCCCTCTGTGGACTCAGCTCACAAAGCCACAAACCCATGTCAGGGAGGTGCCAGGCCTGTCAGAGCCCTGTCACTGGTAGGGTAGGATGGGTGTGGGATTTGGAGTGACAACTGCTGAGGTGAGGTGGCAACCACCTTCCAGCCTCTGGCATCCTTGGGATTGTGAGAAAAGCCTCTGGCCCAAATTAGTGGTTCTTTGTTTTTGTTTTTGTTTTTTTGAGATGGAGCTTCGCTCTTGTCACCCAGGCTGGAGTGCAATGGTGCGATCTCAGCTCACTGCAACCTCTGCCTCCCAGGTTCAAGCGATTCTCCTGCCTCGGCCTCCGGAGTACCTGAGATTACAGATGCCTACCACCACGCCCAGCAAATTTTTGTATTTTTAGTAGAGATGGGGTTTTGCCATGTTAGCCAGGCTGGTCTCGAACTCCTGACCTCTGGTGATCTGACCACCTCAGCCTCTCAAAGTGCTGGGATTACAGGCGTGAGCCAATGTCCCAGCCCCCAAACTTGTTTTTTAAACTGAGCCAGTTACTGCTGTGGGCTTTCCACTAAGCACACACATGCCCATATCTCTGTGAGAGTGTGTGTGTGTGTGTGTGTGTGCACCTAAGTGCATGTAGGCATGTGTCCATGCATAATTATAGGTACATGGAGAGAAGAACTTGAGGTTTGTGATGATGGCTGTTTAACAAATTGAGATTGCTTGAACTTTCTCATGAGTCTTTACAGTTAGAGCCAGTGTGAATAGCTCCTAGTAGGGGCCAGCCTCTGTCCTGGCCTTCTCTCTCCTGCTGGGTGCTCCCTACTTGCCCTCTATCCTATCCTGACCTGCTGTCAGGCTGCTTCCCCACAGCCCTGCTCCAAACACTCTCCCTGATGTTTAGAAAGCCACATCTCTTGTCTTGTCCTCTTCTTTTGTGTCCTGTAGATAAAGGGACTCCTGGGGACAGTAGCTACAAATCTCTCCTCACATTAAAGTCTTTCTGGGGGAGGGCCGGACACAGTGGCTCACGTCTGTAATCCCAGCACTTTGGGAGGTCGAGGCAGGTGGATCACCTGAGGTCGGGGGTTCAGAACCAGCCTGGCCAACATGGTGAAACCCTGTCTCTACAAAAAATAGAAAAATGGGCATGGTGGCAGGTGCCTGTAATCCCAGATACTTGGGAGACTGAGGCAGGAGAATCGCTTGAACCCAGGAGGTGGAGGTTACAGTGAGCTGAGATCGTGCCATTGCACTCCAGCCTTGGCAAGAAGAGCAAAACTCCATCTCAAAAAATAAAATAAAGTAAAATAAAATAAAATAAAATAATTTCTGGGGGTTACCCCATGATATGGTTTGGCTCTGTGTATGTACCTCACAAAATCTGATGGTTTTATAAGCATCTGACATTTCCCCTGTTCTTACTTCTCTCTCCCACCACTATGTGAAGAAGGTCCTTCCCCTTTGCCTTCTGCCATGATTGTGTTTCCTGAGGCCTTCTCAGACATGTGGAACTGTGAATCGATTAAACTTCTTTCCTTTATAAATTATCCAGTCTTGGGTAGTATCTTTTTTTTTTTTTTTTTTTGAGACGGAGTC
This sequence comes from Homo sapiens, assembly GCF_000001405.40. NCBI lineage: Eukaryota > Metazoa > Chordata > Mammalia > Primates > Hominidae > Homo > Homo sapiens. The sequence goes on along the minus strand of NC_000001.11, from coordinate 152,881,683 downwards.
TCGCTCTGTCGCCCAGGCCGGACTGCGGACTGCAGTGGCGCAATCTCGGCTCACTGCAAGCTCCGCTTCCCGGGTTCACGCCATTCTCCTGCCTCAGCCTCCCGAGTAGCTGGGACTACAGGCGCCCGCCACCACGCCCGGCTAATTTTTTGTATTTTTAGTAGAGACGGGGTTTCACCTTGTTAGCCAGGATGGTCTCGATCTCCTGACCTCATGATCCACCCGCCTCGGCCTCCCAAAGTGCTGGGATTACAGGCGTGAGCCACCGCGCCCGGCCGGGTAGTATCTTTATAGCAGTGTGGAAATGGACTAATCCACCCCAGTAGGACAAAAATCTGTATCATCCTCTCCTGAAGGTGTGCAGGATTCTCCAGTCAGGTGGTTGCTAAAGGACGCCTGTTAGATGACCTACTTTGCTATCTGAATCACCCTTGTGACTTTATAGAAGACCCAGGGCTGTGGCTATCCTGAATGATGGGTGACATGCTCTTAGACTCAACCCTTTTTTATCTGGGGATTCACCTAAATCCAGTTCATAGTGTACAAACTGGGTCCCATTGAGCCAGGTGTGGCCGACAGCGCCACCCACTAGAAACAGTAACTTTCAGACTCACACGTTGGACCCAGCCCCAGCGCAGACTCTCTTCACTTTCACTTTCTGAACCATTGGAGCCTCATCTCAGGGTTTCTCTGTGGGAAGGAGGGGAGCACAGTGCTACCTCTTATAAGGACCCCTATGTTTGAATCTCCTGAACTACAGCATTAGGGTGAGAGAAGATTGGGAGGGAAGAGTTATCTCTTAAGGCCCTGCCACCTGGTATAAACCTTTCATGATCCTAAGTCCCTGGCTATATGGCTGCAGCCTGAACTGGGTCAAGGGCAGTTCCCACCTAAAAAGGGGAGAGTGACTTGGGTTAGGATGTTGGCTTTAATTCAGTCATGACTCTATCTCTGCCAGTTATTCCTGGATTCATCCTATCTTTCAGGAAAAGGCCCCTGCTTCCATTTAAGAGGAAGACACTAGAGCAAAGACTCCTAAAGGATGGGGGTGGGGACAAGTCACCCTATTGCTCCTTCTAGGTCAGAGGAAGCTGCAAAGAGGCTGAGGTGGCAGATACAGGCCCTGCGATGCCTTGACTTGCCCGAGAGAGAACAGGAAGGAGAGAGGTGAGCAATGGAGAGGCACACCAAAAATGGAAATAAGACGGAGACAGACCAGTATAAAAATAGGGAAGAGGTGAGAGAGTACAGGGCCATGTTCTCTACCACCTTTGCAGTGTTCAAAGCTGTTTGACAGGAAGTGTGTGTGTGTGTCCACACGCACACACAAGCACACACTTGGGTGCCCCTGCAGCTGTACAGTGGTGAATTTGGGTGTGCCGGGGTATGCAGGGAGCCCAGTATCTGTCCGTATCTCCTTGTTGTTTGAATCTGCTCCCTTAGAGGTCAGACCTAAGACTAGGTTTTGAGAGGGACGAGGGAGGAGTGAGCCCCTTCTGTTTTTATTTTCTGTTGTTCCTCTCTGTGTTTATTTTTGCCTTTTGCTATTTTTTTTTCCTCTCTGCCTCTCTATCATTCTCTGGTCTTCATTCTGTCTCTACCTTTCTGTCTTTTGTCTCTGGTTTACCTTTCTCTACTCTGAAGGTCAGTGCCCTGAATTGACCAAAGTGCAGAGTCTCATCACCACTTGGAAGTCCAGTTTGTTAGTGTCCATCTTTACAAGTCCAGACTGAGCTGTTTCTACAGAAGCAATTCTCATTCCAGTGATCAGAGGTGCAGAGGCATCAGAGGCACCTGGAGCCCAGGTCCAGGGGCTTGCCTCACCAGTCCCACCAATGTCCCCACTCCAAGCATGTCCCCCATAGTGAGATCCTGGGAATAGGTCCTGAATGTGGAGGTTGTGCAATATCAGAGAAGGACAGCAGGTTGGAAACCAGTCTTGTTGACTGTAGCATAGGGAGGGCAACATCAAGTCCTTCTGCAACCTCACCCCCATGGATGCAGGTCCTGCCCCTCTGAGCCAGTGCTGTCTCCACTGTCTTCCTTCTGCCTGGTGAATAGTATCTATATCCTCCACTTTCAGAACCCTGGCTCCTGTCCAACAAACCTGCCTCCTGGACCCCTCTGCCTCCTGCAAGAGTTTCTTCTTAAGATTCTCTCCTTGGCCGGGCACAATGGCTCACACCTGTTGTCCCAGCGCTTTGGGAGGCTGGGACGGGTGAATCACTTGAGGTCAGGAGTTTGAGACCAGCCTGGCCAACATGGCAAAACTCCATCTCTACTGAAAATACAAAAATTAGCTGGGTGTGGTGGCGTGCACCTGTAATACCAGCTACTTGGGAAGCTGAGGCAGGAGAATCACTTGAATCCGGGAGGTAGAAGTTACAGTGAGCCGAGACCTCACCACTGCACTCCAGCCTGGGTGACAGAGTGAGACTCCATCTCAATAAATAAATAAAAAGAAACAAACAAATAAATAAATATTCTCTCCAAGCTCCATTTCCCTTCCTTCCCAACCATGCTGTGCACAGCCTGCCTCAGGAAATCTGCCTAATCATGTCAAACACTTGTGGTGCAAGGCCAGGGCCATCTTCCTAGCTCTTATTGCTCTATTCAGAGAGGATTGATACAGAGCCCAAACCACCAGGAGGGCTCTGGCAAGGCACCTTCTCCCTCTGCCCACAGGCCCAGCCTCATGTCCAAACACTGTTCCCTCAGGCACCAGACTGGCTCAGAGCAGACACCTGCTGAATTTTCTCACCTCTTTCCAGGTCTTTGAATGTGCTCTTTCCCAGCTTAAACCACCCTTCCTGGGTCTCTGTCCCCACATGCTCACTGAATATCGTTCAAACCTGAAGTCTCTGCTTACACATCACTCCTCGAGGAAAACTTCCTTAACCCAAAACCTCCATCTCCCTGAAAGGCTTTCTTGGATCCCCTGTACTTCCCATTACATTTTTATAGTGGTTATTATTTTCCCAATTGTCTCACTTTTGTGGTCTGTTAGTTCCATAAACACAGGCATTCTCACTATCCCCACCCCCAGTGGCTCCCATGTCTTCCTCTTAAATAGAAGCAGGAGCTTTTTCCTGAAAGATAGGATGAATCCTGGAATCCTCTCATCCAACACACTGAATGGCATTGCATGGGTCTCAGTAGGTAAATACGTAATGAACTAATGAACACATGAAAAAGCCATGGAGAGAGGACCCAAAAGACAATGTTTCTCTGTGTTACCTGGTCTGGCCACACACACAATTCACAATTTCCATGCTTGACTTCTCATGACTGATTCCAGTAGGTATTATTGATCTTCCTCAGCAGCCTAGTGAGTCCATGACTATCAGAAGCCAAAGCCTTCTGAACCAGATGGGTTCCCTTCCCTGCTAATGCCAAGATTCTAAGCCTCTATGACACCATAATTCTCTCCACAAGACTCTATGCCTAGCTCACTCACTGGCGCCCCCTGCCTGCTGGAGAGTCTGTCTCTTTGGTTTCTTTCCTGAAAGATAAAAAGAAAGCTCCCTAGCTAACCCATAAGCATGCAATAACCTAAAACACAAATCTGTATTGATTGTCTCCTATCTACCAGGCTCTGTCCTAAAAAGTGAAGTGTAGCTCAATGGGATGTAGTTCCCATTCTCAAAGATCTAATTCAATATGGAGGCAAGTCAATAGCCAACAATACCATGTGATAATAATGATGGTAGGATAAGCACAGGGGTCAGGTTTGGGGGTCAGATATGCTTCCTGGAGGGAGTGATATTTAAGCTGAGACTTGGAAATTGGAAATAGGAAGTTGGACATAGGGGTGTGTCTGGGAGGACATTTTCAGATCCAGAAATGTGAAAGTATAGGCTATTTGGTGGAAAAGCTCAGTGTGGCTGGAGCAGAGTGGGGAGTAAGGAGAAGGGGGAGATTCACCTACCTAGGTAGGTAAGGCTGTGTTGGTGAGGACCTTTATGCCATAAGAAAAAGAGTTTGGACTTTATCCTGAGGACAATGGGAACCACTGAAAGGTTTTAAACAGGGGAGAAACTGGGATGCCTTAGGGGCCAGGACCCTATTTTATTCACTTTGATATTCCCAGTGTCTGGCTGAGCAATTGGCACATAAAAGATTCTGAAACTGAATCAATTGAATAGTGAATTGACTAAAATAATGATAAGAGAGAAGCATTTCATTATGTTTACTCTTTCCTTTTCTTCCTGTAGCATGGCCTCTTTGAGGACAGTGACTAGGAAATTCTGTTCTTCTGGGAAGCATGCCTGCCATAAACATTTGTAGGACACCAGGCAAGAGCACAAACAGAGGCTTCTGACCCCTGTGGTTCACCCCTGGTTCTCTTCCTACTCCCTGGCTTCATCTTGTGTCACGAGGGACCTCGGGCGTGCATGAGTGTAAATATCCTAGTCCATACCGTCCATGTTCTTTTCATACATGGATCTCTCAAACTGCCCCTCTCTTGGTCATTGAGACCTAGAAGTGAGCACAGTATTGGCTGTTTGAGTCTTCAAGAGGATAGACACATAAAGGTGATCTCAGGGCCAGTTGACAGAGATTTCTGGGGTCCTGGATAGCTGGAGTGAGAGAGACAGCAGCTCTGGGCCTGTACCCTGGACCTATTGAATCATCCTATGGGGGTGGGTCATGGCTGGAGGAGAGCCAGAGAAGGACTCTTTAAAGTCTGAAGTCCAGGACAGAACCACCTCGGCCAAAGGGTAGCACTCTTGGGAAGTATGTGAATTGTGCTTTTCATTCTATAATAGCCTATTCAAGTATTTCTCTTTTACTTGTCTTCTTCAGGTCTTCATGCTTATAGTTATCTCTAAAATTTATTCTCAGTAAAATGTCTACTCTTATTCACATCTCCCAAAGTCTCTAACATTGTAGTTGGGACCAAAGCCTTAATCTATAAGAATTAAGTTCTTTCTAGGAAGAGTACGGAGAGGGAGAGAGAGGTAGAGTGAGAGAGAGAGGTGGAAATGGCCAACAAATCTATGAAGAAATGCTTATTCATAACTAAAGGAATGCAAACCAGAAGATCAATGAGACACTGGCTTTTCTATGACAGTCTGGCAACAAATATGAAATTTTGATCACATTAGTTGTTAATGAATATGTTGAGAAACAGGTATTTTCATATTCTGTTAATGAGATTTCATTTTACAATCATGTAATAGGATAGTATATAGCTAATAAAAACAGAGTCCAGTTGTAGATGATGCTATGAAAAATTCTCCCAACTATGTAATCAAAGAAAGCAATCCAGTAAACAATATGTTAGTATATTCCTTTTCTTATAAAAAGAATGTATATACGGAGATATATACAAAATAAGATAAACATATATGTTAGTATACATAAATATTTTCCTAGAAGAATCAAATACACACAAACTATTTGAATTTTTAACCATGATGCATATTAGTTTGTTAAAATTAAGCTAATGAAGGCTATCTAGAAGGTGAGGATAGATATACTTTCTGCTCACCATTTAAATTCTATTTCCAACACAATGTATGGAACATCCTAGGTACTAAATCCACATTTAGTAAATAAATACATGGAAGAATAATTTAGCCAGTACATTAACTTGGAACTCTTTGTGTTCCTGTTCTTCTGCCTGGCTACTTCCTGCTGGAGTCCTTGGTTCTCTTTTCTTCTCCATCAATACTCATTTTCTTGGTTAGAACATTCAGTCTCCTGACCATGAAGGCCATCTATATGTCATTGATGATGGTGTCTACTTTGTTAATAACAGCTGAGAAATCTCTCCGGAACTTCAGACTTTCATATTCAACTGCTTATTTATTTAGTATTCTCACATGGATATCTAATAGACATCTCATATTTAATGTGCTCACAACTGAGCTATTGATATTTTCCTGAAAACATCCTCTACCCCTAGACATCTCAGCCCAGAAGATGCTAACTCTATTCTTCCATTTGCTCAAGCTAAAGACTTTTGAGTCCTCCTTGGCTTCTGTCTTGTATAACTCACACTCAGTTAATATCAGTAAATTCTGTTAACTTCAAAATGAATCCATCTGTAACTGTGGCCAACCTACTCTGAGACACCATGATTTCTTGCTGACTTTTCTAATCAGCTTTTAACTGGTATCTCTGCTCTATTCTTGGTCCTCTATTGTCTGTTTTCAGCAGAGCAGTTGGGGTGGACTTTAAAACATAAGTCATATCATGTAATTCTCCTGCTCAAAAACCTGAAGTGGCTTTCCATGCCTTGCTGGGTAAATTGAAGTCCTCACAATAGCCCACAAGGCCCTGCATTATTGACCCCCAACTCCACACACACCTTGGACCTCATCTCCTACTGTTCTTCCTGTCACTTGCTCTGCTGCAGCCACACTCACCTCCTTGCTGTTCCTGCAGCAGGCCAGGTGTGTGCACATGTGTACATGCATACGAATGCACAAGCATGCCACTAAGGGCCTTTTGTTTGTATTTCAAGTCTTTGCTTAAATATCAATTTCTCGGTGAGGTACACACTGATTTTCCTAATTAAAATGACAATCTTCCACACTTGCCCTCACTCCAGTCACCTTTACACAGTCCTATTTTGTTTTCCTTTGGTAGTACTTTTCACATACAATATAATATAAGTATAATATAAAGACCAGTATCTCATAGCACTAAAATGAGCTAATTTTTATTTATTATAGTTTTATGTATTGTCTTCTCTCATTAGAATGTCATTGCCAAAAAGGCAAATGTTGTTTACTGATATATCTCAGGCTCTCAGTCAGAATAGTTCCTAATACATAGTAAATACTCAAAAATATTAGTTAAATGCATGAATGGTGATTGTTGGTCTTTTTTTCTTAAATCAAACTTTTTCTGCCAATAACTCCCAACTTGCTTGTCCAAATTGGGGAACTCATTTTTTAAGGCTGTTTTCAATGCATCATCCAAACTAGCAGAATGTGTCCCGCGGCAGCCACACTCCTACCTCCTTATGTTTTTCTGCCTCTGTTATCAAAAGTGGGGAAGACTATTACCATCTTTCTTTGCTGCATGGGCTATGTTAATTGATGGTGAGAAAAGTTGAGGCCAGTTTGCAGGAATTTGCTAATGTAATGATGTGATTACATCCAGTAACGGAGCGGAGCGAGTCCTTATGGTGCTGTCTTCCTGGGTTCCAGCATTTGAGGCTCTGCTTCCTGCAGGTCTCCTTTAATGCAATTTTTTTTGTCCTTTTTTTTTTTTTTGAGACAGGGTCTCACCCTGTTGCCCAGGTTGTAGTGCAGTGGTGTGATCTTGCCTCACTGCAGCCTTGACCTCCTGGGCTCAAGTGATCCTTCCACCTCAGTCTCCCAAGTAGCTGGGACTACAGGTGCGTGCCACTACACCTGGCTAATTTTTGTATCTTTTGTAGAGATGGGATTTTGCCACATTGCCCAGGCTGGTCTTGAACTTCTGAGCTCAAGAGATCCTCCTGCCTCAGCTTCCCAAACTGCTGGGATTATAGGCATGCACCACGGAGCATGGCCCATCTCCTTTAATATTATTAATAGTGATCATTATCACACATTCACTTGGGCCTAAAATCAGAAGTTACAAAGGATACACAGTGAAATCCCCAACTTGAAACTCCAATTACTTCAGTTCACAGAGATCAATTTCTGAAATATCCTTTCAGGGTTATTTTATGCACAAAAAACCCCACACAAACATGTATATTTTTTCTTCTTTTAATGAAATAAGAGTAACTCCACATCATTTTGCTCATTGCTTTTTTCACAACAGCATCTGTTGGAGAGCATTCCACTTCAGTGCATTAAGACTTTCTCTCTTTGTTTCCCAGTCTGGATAATAACCTATGTATATATAGCAGTTCCCAATTTTGGCTCTTGCAAACAATGCTGCAGTGAACACATTATTTATACATCATTCCTCAGGAGATAGAATATATTTATTTAAGTGCAATTGCTGACTCAGAGGCTAAATACTTTTGTAATTTGATCAGTATTTCCAGTTTCTTCCATATGAGTTTCACTGATTTATTTCACTCCCTACAATGTATAAGACTGCATTTTTTTCCCCACAAACTCATCAAAATGATGTATTTTTAAACTAATTGTTCTTGGCCCATCTGGTAGGTTAAAAATGGGATCTCAAAGTAGTTTTGAGTTGCTCTTAGTAACTAAGCTCAACTATATTTTATTACATTTAGTGAACCACAACATTCATTTTCTGGGAACTGCCTGATGACATAACTTACCTAATACTTAATTGTATTCTTGATGACTTTATTATTGATTTGTAGCACTTATATAATATTGGAGAAATTAAGTTATTTTTGTGCTATGAGAAACTAAATTTCTTCCTCTGTGTTTTTTGACCTTTGACTTTGTTATATTTCAGCCATATAGAAAATGATAATTATGTAAACACGTTTTAAAATTTTTTTATTTTCTAGTTCTTGTTTGTTGTATTATAATTATAAAAGTGATCCCCATTTTGAAAGTGTAGAAGAATACCCCCAGATTTTCTTAAGAGTTAACTTTTAATGTTTTAACCCTTAAATAACTCATCCTAGTATAAGATGAGAGTTTTTATTTTCTTAATGGCTTCCCAGTTGTAGCAACATCATTTATTAACTGATCTTTTTTCACAGATTTGAGGGTGTGCTTATCATGTACTAGCTTCTTCTGTATATTTTTTCCCAGCTCTGAACTTATCATGCTCTATTGATCTGTCTGTATATTCATGGTCCAGTACAAACTGTCTAACTATAATAGCTTTATAATATGTTATACATCTAGTCGAACTAGCTCCTACACATGAATTTTATTTTTAAGAATTGTCCTGGATATTTTTATATTTATTCATTTGTGTGTATTATTTTAATGTGGTTTTGTTGAACTGTAACATACATGCATCGAGAATACAGCCCAATGCATTTCAGCCAATGCATTTAAACAAAGTAAAACATCTGTGTGACTACCACCTAAGCCAGGAAATAGAATGACAACCCTCTGCACAACTTCTCCACCACAGAGTTCTAGGAACTGAATTAGCAAGGGTAGCACTGGCAAAGTTAGAGCTATCTCTGGCAATAAAAGCAGAAAGGCTCTGAAGTTGAGCTTTCTCTTGGTCAGGTTTTAGTGAACTTCTACAAAGGGGTGCACGTTGTCTCTTTGTCAGACTCAGACCCTCCTTCCATTTATGGTCTGGTTGTCCCTGCATCTGCTTGGCTTTTGCCCACTGAAGTGAATATGATTCATCTCCAATGCTTCCAGAAGTGCTACCTTGCTTCCCACATCTGTCGCGGTCCCTTCCCATGGGCCTTAGACCTGAGGAACACTTGTTTTCCCGGGTGCTGTCTCTTCAGGGTAAGGATTTAAAATCAGAGATTGTGTCTCTGCTGAGGCACCTTTGTGTTCATTATGGGCAATTGCAACATTCTCAATATTGTAAGAAGACTGACCTGACTAACAAACTTTGCTGTTTTACAGAACTGTCACTGAATAATCTAAGGAAAAACAAAGGTGCTTGCTTTCAGGCAAGCCTCCTGGCTGCTCTCCTTGCCTGCTCTGATTGCTGTCCCTAAGTCGTGCATATATTCTCGAGCCATCCCTGGGCCCATCTAGTGAGTTATTTACCTCTGGGGCTAGTCGCCACCAAGATCCGAACAAGCACAGGGCCATCTCGGGTCCTCAATATTCTGAACAATCTGTAAATAATTTCTGAATTTGCATTAGCTTCTTGTGGTCTGTAAAAAGCCTGAAATAGAGTAGCTAGGTGACCAGCAGTACTTCCTGTGTCCCACCAGGTGAACTGGAACCAAAATTAAAGCTGCGGGCTTCAACTAAGCCCTAAACTGTCCTCCTTTGGGATCTGGGAGTAGGTCCTCCCTGCCATGCTTCTGCTTTCAAGAGGTTGAAGTATCACAGCCTTTTCCTAACTACACTCTACATCTTGGATCCCAACTTCAATTAGAAATAACTATTCCTGGAGGTAACTGTGGTCCTCTTTTTTCTCCTCAGGCATGATCAAGGTGATCAATATAAGAATACCCATCAAGGTGATAAGTATAAGAATCTTCAGGTAATTCCTGACTGCACATCGCTGCTGCAGTCTGGGTGAAGGCTTGGCTTTGCTGCCTCCTGGTGGAAAACACAGCCATCCGTAACAGTCCTGAAGCATGAGCAATGACTCCTCTTTAGTTGATTTATCTTACATATGAATTCCAAAAGTCTCCATGGTACTGTGTATGTGCGAGTGAGTGTGTGTGTGTGTGTGTGCGCGCGCGCGAGATAATCAGCGTGTCAGTTACCAATTTATTATCTCTCAGCTCCAAACACACCCTTCGATTTGTGCTCTGGGACAAACAATGTAATCCCTCGAATCCTTTCTCCATTAAAGTGAGAACAATGCTAAACTTTCTCCATAGGGGGCGCTGGAGGGACACTGCAGTTGGAAGAGGCAGGTAGTGGGGAGTGTGTGGCAGTCCGGTGGTGCCCGCCACAAGGGCCCAGAACGAGATCCCTCTGCCTCCTTGCAGCCTTGGTGTGAGGATGACCTTTTCACAGCCTTCTCATCCTGAAACCAAAGCCCCTCCATGGCCTCAGCTGCCCATATCAGCTGTATGGAGGTGGGGGAGGGGCAGTCCACACAGAGCTGCGGCCCCCTTTGCAAGCCTGCTTGCTGCCCATGTACTCTGAAGGTAAGCCTGGACTCCCACTGCATATCCAAGCCACATGGTTCCCAATGTCGGCCTTGCCCTGCATTGGGAAGGTGACCTATTGTTTGCCCCCTATTGGAGGGTTTAACTCCAGACCCACCCCATCTAGCTAAGCCAGAGCACTTCTCTGCTGACTGGTAGCTAAACCGCACTTTTCCCAATAGGTAAGAGCCCCTTCTACTTTTGTCCTTCTTTGGGTACCCTCCCTGAGCTTTTTTCTTATGTCTTATAGTTTAGTCTTTCTTTTATTAATTGTTACTAATTCTTATATTAAATTCCCTCTGTCTAACTTACTCCATCACTTCTGTCTCCTGATTTGACTTGCTGCTACAGTGGAATAACTTAGACTCAAAGCTTAGTTCTATAATTTACCAGCTCTGCGTCTTTGAACACATTTCTTAACTTCAGATTCTTGGTCTATAAAAAGAGGATGGACACAGTACTTTTCTACGCAGTCGGTGTGAGGATTAAATGAGATAGAACACATTAAGCTCCTCGAAGAGTGCTGGTACAGAGTTTGCCAGCAGTTACATAGGACCAATTCGGGACAGAGACAGAAAGAAAGGGAGGAAAGATAAACGGTCAGAAAAGAAAAATAAGCCAAGAAAATGCCAGAGAGAACAAAAGGTAGCAAGAAATGTGAACATAGACACATGAAGCAAAATCCAAGAAATCGATAGGCAATAAGATTAATAAGATTATTAGGCAAGAGATTCATCGGTCTTCTAATTTATTGAAAATAAACATTTTATACAGTACTTTACAACTTAGGAAAAAATTCAAATATATTACCTTATTTAACCTTCAAAATAGATCAACTTAGTGTCTCTTGTCTTTGTTGATGTTGTTTCCATTTTCAAATGTCTAAGATGAGGCTCGTAGAGGTGTTCCAAGCCACACTGCTGGCTTGTAGATTGGAGGGCCTCATCTCCCCGTGGATCCTGTGGTCTTCCCGCGATTGCCCTCTTGTGGTCTGGTGTGTAACAACACCTCATACTATGCAAACCATGTTGTTGGCCCCAAGCCCTGCAGAGGGTTTAGCTCTAGTAATTGTTGCTCTGTTTTCATTTAAGCCAACTTTGGTCCCCAAAGAAGACTCTGCATGACACGGGAAGGTGTCCACCATGACTCAAAGTAGTATTTCTAATTATCGTCCCAACTTTTAAAATTTTCTTTTTTTGTTTTCTGTTATATTGTACTTAAAATTTATATAGTAATATGTGCAGATAATTCATTAATAAATAAAAGTATACACATTGCTTACTAATAGAGGCTTGAATAACATTGCTCTAGAACTACATTTCCCAAAGTTATTTGAACACAATATATGTCATATTTTAAATTTAATAATGAAATAATACATTTAACTTTGTTCGAGAAATACAGATAACGGCCCCTTTGTATTATGGTTGAGAAAAAAATGCAAAGGTCTCACAAATTTATTTTCTCAGTAACACATCAAAGCAGAATACATGTGTGTAGTAAAGTTAATCATATTTACTAACGTTGAATAGTATCTCAAGTATATGCTGATATTGAAAAATAAGATAAATTGCATTGATGAGTTTTTCCCTTCCATTAGACACTATACATCAAGGCAAGGATGAACCAGAAACTCTGCATGCGAATTCATGCCCAAGTTACAGGTGATGTATTCCCAGGTCAGATAATTTGTCAGTGACTTTCTGGCCTTCTCTGATTAGGCATGTTGTTTTCTTAAATGCAGATTGTATGCTAAGAATAAAATTAGTATGTGTTATTTTTATCACAATGATGCTTATATTGTTTACAACATTTGTGAAGATAATTATCACTTGTAATTATTATTTTCACAGAACACCTATTAACAAAGCATGGAATCTCTAATAGTCTCTGAGAGCCTTCAAATACTTTAACAACTGCAACCATTTGTCTAATAGCAACTTACATTGAGACCACTATACATAAAACAGATAAGAGCTTATTTATTTATTTAAATTTATCTTTTACATTAAAATTTATATCAATTAGTTAATTAAGAAAAATTGGGTTATTTTGATGAACATACAAAACTCAATTCATGAAATGCAGATGATAGTTGTAGTATTATTAATTAGTCTCTGCATCCACTGTTTTTCTGTATTTTTTCTTTCTGGTTGGGCAGTACTGGTAAAATAATAGTTACTTTGCACATGGTCCTTGGGGCCTTTGCTTGGAGCTGTCCGGATTGTGCAGTCCACAACTCAGGGAGCACCAGTCACAGCACCAGCTGTTAGACAGTTGTCAGGATTTGTTTCTTGCTTTGTTTTGGTTTTCAACAGCTTACTTTACAATTTTGGCATATTTTTCTATTAGATTAACCTCAATATTTGAAAAAATAGTTATAAAGGATTTGGAGACAATCAGCAGAAATGTCTAAGAACTGTTCACATTCCTTGACTGAAAAGTGTTTAATGACAAAATAATTTTTAAAAAACAACTATGTCAGATAATGTAAGTGTTGAATAGAGAACTATTTGATATGCTATGACTTGACAAGATATATGACATTATATAAAGCAATGTAATGTATTACTGGCACATCTATAATGTGAGACAATCCTTGATGCTATTCTTAACATTTTAAGATTCCTCAGTCCTTGACTGGAACCTTTTAAAAGCAATCCAGCCACAGCCAGTAGGAATGGAGGTGGTGAGGAATGGGAGTGGGGGTGGGAGTGGACAGGACTCTGTTCATCCTCCTGGGTCCTCCTCAGCACTCACAGCCTGCTCTCTCATTCTGCCTTGATGACACTCAGCACTAACTGGTCATGCCCTCTGCCTGTTTGTCTCAGTCACCAGCAGAAGCTCAGGACTCCCAAATTGCCTGCCATCACCAGGATTCCTCCCTTCCCCATAGGTCTGCACAATCCCCAATGGGACTCCATCTTCCATCCTTCTCCAGCACCCTAAACTCCCCACAAGCCCTCAAGACTCAAGGCTGCACATCGAAAAAATGTGCTGTATCAACCAACTCTTCTCACAAAGCCACCTCCACCTTCTTGTCCTAAGTGAAACCTGAGTTCCGCGTAGTCCTCTCATGGTCTGGCCATTTTCTTCTTGCCCATGCCTTTGTACTCATTGGGCCAAGGAATGGGCTAGGCATCCATTACACCAACCACTGCTTCTCTTCATTGCAAATCCCCAGGTAAGTATCTGGCACCCTGTTCACTGTTGCTCAATCCAAGACTTTCTGTCATGGTCTTTGGTGATTTTAATATTCACAAAAATGATTCATTTAATAATTTACTTCACAATTCTTTGACCTCTGCACCTCTCACTGGTTTGTCTTTCATCCTAACGTTCATCTACTCCCATGTCATACCAGCCTAGACCAGTCATTATTATTAACAACTACAACCCTTCTGTAAAATGAGTTTCAAATAGTCCATTTCCCAAACCTAACCTCCTGTATTTCCAACTTACTTGCTCTGGTATCCCACTCTGAGAAGTTTTTCAATACGCTGGAAACTACAATTCATTGATACCACAATGTTTTATCTGGCCAATATCTCCTTCATGTCTTCATTTCTCTTCTTACCCAGTATAAGCTCCACAAACTATCATTAAAATCATGTGCTTGCATAATCCATGTCTCTCTTGCCCCTCTGTCTCTCTCCCCGAATTTCCAACATTTCCATCACTCTTCTCCCTTTCAATGACGAGCATACTTATTATGTTACTGAGAAAACAGAAGCAGTTATAAGAGAACATCCATATAGTCTTGTCTACTCACCTACCTTTCTACTGTGGTCCCTCTTGCTACCATGTGTAACCTGTCCATGCTCCTATCTGGGGACAACCCTCCATTGGTGACCTGGATTCCATCCCTCTCATCTACCCAAGAGTATCATACCAGCAATTTTCCCCTCTCCATCCTTCATAATTGTTTTTCCTCTCTATACTGGATTGTTTCATCAGCACACAAAACATCGTATTTTCCATCTAAAAAATACTTATAATGCTCATCTTAAAAAAAATCGGTGTCTGTCTCTCTCTCCTTTTCTCTCTCCCTAGGTCTCACAACCACTTCAAGTCAACACTCAATTATCTATTTTTTTAAAGCATTATATTCCTCAAAAGTTTTTTTTAAATTATTGGTACTCCTTGTCTCCAATCCTGCTTTAAACCTCATCAGTCAAGCTTTTGTCCCACCAGTTTGCCTAAAATGCTCTTGTCAAGGTCACTGTTGATCTGCTTTTTGCGAGATATAATGGATGTGATTGACACCACCAGCAGCACGTGACTGGCATAATCACTACCTCTTTCTTGCAGTACTTTCTTCACCTGACTGCTCGGCCCCTATTCCCTTGTAGATAGATGGCCTCCTTCCTCACTGATCACTACCCCCCACCCAACTTTCTTTTATGGTTACTTCTCATATCTTTGATTTCCAAATATTGGAGTGTCCCAGGGTTGAGTCATTGTATATCCTGTCTTCTCTATCTGTATTTCCTCTCTAGGTGATATCATCCTGTCTCAAACATATGCTGATAATTCTCAAACTTCTCTCTCCAGACTTAAGTATCCAAGTTTGTCTCTTAAAGTTCCTACTTGGACAGGAAATAGGTATCTCACATATAAAACAAAACTTCCCTCCTGCCTCAAAAAACACTCATTACTCCTAAAGTCTTCATCTCTTAAAATGCAACTGTATCCTTCCCATTGCCCAGATGAAAGCAATCCTTGAGTCCTCTTTTTCTTATAGACCCATACATCCTGTTGCTTCAGTCTTCAAAATATATCTAGAATCTGAAATTTTCTTCCACCACAAATTCCCTGGTCCCAGCCACCATTAGCTCTTGCCTTGACTATTGTGGTGGCCTCCTATGTGGTTACCCTGGTCTGCACTTAACTTCTAGTCTTTCCTCAACAAAGCAGAAGGGGAGGTAGCCAAAGGTGGGTTAACAGATGCAAAGCAGACCTCGATAAGAGGAGTAAATTCCAGTGTTCTAGCACTATAGGGTGACTATAATTCATAATTCCCTGTATATTTTAAATAGCTAGAAGAGGATTTTGAATGTTTCCAACACAAGGAAATGATAAATGTTTGAGGTGATGGATATGCTAATTACCCTGATTTGATCATTACACATTGTATACATGTATTAAATTATTACACTGTACCTCATACATAGGTGAAATTATTATGTGTCAATTAAAAATAATAAAAGTGAAAAACCCATAGCTTAGGTAGTGGCATACCCCTGCTCCAAACCCTCCAATGCATACCCATGTCATCCATAGTAAAAGCCCAAATCCCATAAGGTCCTCATAGATTGAATCCAACTTATCCTTGTAATCCAGGCAGCCACTCCCTCCTTCCAGGCACACTGACCTCTTTGCTGTGCCTCCGAAGCATCTTGCACAATCCTGACTGAGTTTTGTGTTCCTGGTGCTCTCTGCCTAACAGTGCTCTTTCTCCAGATATCCATGTGATTTGCTTCTTCACTTCCTACGAAAGAATACTTGATCTCATAAGCCTTCCCTAACCACCCTGTATAAACAAGCAGGCCTGCACCCATACTGTCTGTTCCCCCAGCCTTTCTTTATTTCTTTTCCATACTATTTAGTACCATGTAATATGTTATATATTTAGCCATTGTGTAGTTATTGTCTGCTGCCTCCATGAAACTAAACTCCATGACAGTAGGAACTGTTTTTGTTTATAGCCATATCCTCAGCTCTCAGATCAATGCCTAGGCCATAAAAAGCGCTTGATAAACAATTATTTAATGAATTAATAGTGATTAAGTGTTTCAGAAAGCTGAATTTATTTTCGGTGTTGAGTCAGTTTTCATTTGATTGTTTACACTTTATCTGCTGCTTTAAGTATATTGACCTTGCAATATTGCACATGACAAGCTTTTTCAGTTTATTAAACAAATCAGCAAAAATTTCCAGCTGTTGTAACTATGATATGTTTATGAGATATTTATCAACATAATGATGTTTATCAACAAAAAATGGTTATTTCTTATCTCATTTGAAATATCTTTGCCAGGACATTGTCCCTTATTGCCAGTGACCAGGACTTATCCCATGTCTTCGCATTTCATACAAATAACACTGAAAAGCTGAAAATTTAAAGCCAATTTTTATGAAGGGCTTTGTCAGACATCATTTTGCAATATATCTGCAGCTTCTTAAATTCATTTGTTTTTCATGCAACACACAATTACTTAAGCACACTTTAGCAATAATGTCTATATAAAACATAGTTTCTACAATTTTTCTTGTCATTGCTTTTGCAATGTCAGTATAAACATCCCATTGTGCTGATTTATTCAATAATATGCTAAAAAGCTGATCTCAATATTTAAAGTTTTCTTCTGTTGCACATGTGTCAGTCATCTTTCCATTGACTTGCTTAACCATATTGTACAAAAATAAGCAAAATGGAAATATTCTCAATAGGCATACTCCTGTTCAGTTTTATTATAAATATTTCATGATCTCAACCTTAGAATAATTCATGAAGTGAGGTTGTTGTCATGCTGCAGTCTTTCTGAAGTTCTTTATCAGCAAATGCTCCTAACTGTACTTCTAAATCAGCTGGTCATCGAACATCCTTCTTGCAGTACCAATACCATGTCATTTTTAACAGGCTTTTTTTCTAGTAGTAGTGTCATGTGTTACTTAAGGACAGGGATACATTTTGAGAAATGCATCTTTAGGTGATTTCGTCATTGTGTGAACATCATAAAGCATAGTTCCACAAACCTAGATGGTGTAGTCTACTACACACCTAGGCTGTATGGTCTGGCTTGTTGTTCATGGGCTATAAACCTGTACAGCATGTTACTATACTGAATACTTTAGGCAGTAGTAACACAATGGTAAGTATTTTTGTATCTAAACATAGAAAAGGTATAGTAAATATATCTACAGTACATATAGTATATATATACACTATATATAAATTATATATACAGGGAATATATATATAGTATATATAAAAATTATATATATACAGTATATATATATAGTTTGTATATACACCAGTGTATTTACAGGAAAATATAGTATAAAAGATACAAATGGTACACTTGTATAGGGCACTTACCATGAATGGAGCTTGCAGGACTAGAGGTTGCTCTACGTGAGTTAGTGAGTGAGTGGAGGGTGAATGTGACAGCCGAGGAAATTACACTACTGCAGACTTTAAAGACACTATACAGTTAGGGGACACTAAATTTATACAAAATCTATTTCTTCAATGATAAATTAATCTTTGTTTACTATAACTTTTTAACTTTATAAACTTTTTTTTAACTTTTTTACTTTTTTGTAATAGCAGCTTAAAACACATATTGTACAACTGTACAAAAATATTGTCTTTCTTATATCCTTATTCTGTAAAGTTTTCTTCCTAATTAAAAAATTAAACTTTTTTGTTAACAACTAAGACCCAAGCACACACACTAGCCTAGTCCTACACAGGTCAGGATAATCAGTATCACTGTATTTCACTTCCACATCTTGTCCCACTGGAAGGTCTTCAGGGACAATAACATGCATGGAGCTGCCATCTATGACAACAGTGCCTTCCTTCTTCTGGATATCTCCTGAAGGACCTGCCTAAGGCTGTCTTACAGTTAACTTTTTATGTAAGTAGGGGAGTATACTCTAAAATAATGATAAAAATCCAGTGAATACATAAAAACCAACAACATAGCCATTTATTATCATTATCAAGAATTATGTACTATACATAATTATATGTGCTATACCTTTATGCAACTGAGAGCCAGGTAGGTTTTTTTGCACCAGCATCACCACAAACACATGAGTAATGCCTTGCACTATGATATTACCATGTCACTAGGGGATAGCTGTTAAAATAATTTATCATGAGACATTGGTGCACCTGGACTTATCTGGTATTGTATTTAATGCAATGAGCTGTAATACAATTTCGTGTGAATAAAATTTTACATAACTAGATGTATAAATGGTGGATTCTGTACACAGTCACACTCTTTGTAATATTGGGATTTTTGAGAGGGTTAATTAATCATATGTCTTTCCTTCCCAAACTCTTAAACAATTGAGAAAGAGAATGGTTTAAGACAGAGAGTTTATAAATCAGAGCTTTGGCAAATGTAACTTGTACCACTGCCAAGATGAACTTCATAATATTTATTTCAAAGTCTAAACCTTGGAGCCTGCATTGGGATAGAACTTGGTCCACAGAGAGACATCCTTCCAGCAACCAGAGTGAGCACAGTAGAAAAGCAGAGACAAAGGAAGGCAGAACTCTTGCCATTTCACCTCTCAGACAACTCACTTGCTCTCCATTGGAAAGGAGTGAATGTGAGATGGAAGATATTATTTTAAAGATGAGGCTACAATATGGATAAAAATAACATTTCCCCTTAAATCAATAACTATGATTAAAAAGTTAAAAATACACACAAAGACGTTACACAATTTTTACTCTGCAATCTACTATTTAGATCAGCTAATAGTAAACTAGTTAGACTAACAGCCCAGATGAACATGGAGAGCTGGGTGCTCTCCCAGGTGTTATCATTGTCACCTGTTATTTAACATTTTGAACAGGCATTCTGAATATTCTCCAATGTGTCAACACACATAAACACACACATATACATACAAATAGAAATCTCAAGAACCCCTGAAGAACCTCTCTGGAACCCTACTGTTCCTTTTGTCAGAGGCTGGAAAACACTAGAAGTCCTCCTCCTTGGACTGAGCATAGGGATGTCAAGGACGGTGATGAAATCTGCCTTCATTCTTACCCTCAGAACTCCCAGTGCCCTGGATGCCCTGGGACAGCCATGACCTTTAGTAAATGATTTTGGGCCAAGGGACAGCCTGGAACAGTCTCTCTTCTGCTAGGACATACTTAGTGGGTGGCATTCAAGTGTGTGACACTCCTCTGCCTGAAACCAGATGTTTTGACAGCATAGCCATGGTTTAGTTATTCTAAGCTGTGGATATGTGCAGTTTCTGGGGTACTGACCATAACCCTATTTCTTTGTCTCCCACTGACCTGATAGGCACCGTGTGTCTCAAGATTGTGGCTAAGAGCCATAGCCCTGGAGGATGTACAGAAGCATTGCTGTGGCTTATGACCCATGGCCACTGTTGGGTCAGGAAGGACATTGCTTTAAGAGCAGGCCCTACACCTATGCCATTTGGCTGGTTGAATAGATGAGGGAAAAATCTGAAAAGGGTAGATAGCAACACCAAGGCCAGAAGTCTCCTGGGTATTGTGCTGATTGGACCACGTACAAGTTCCTCCCTCATCCTGGCTTCTGTGTGAAGACATGGAGCAAAAGACTCAGTTGAGTGAATATGCTCAAGCAGAGTATTTCTCATGGCTTCTGAAACTGAGATCTGAGAGGTACAAGCACTGCTGTACCATCTCCTTCCTGAGCATGAGATTCTCCCAAATAAGGAGGATCTAGGCAGCAAAATGTCCTCAATAAACAGAAAGAAAACTCTGTGATGGTGTCACCTGCGGCAGCAGCCGTGGAACAGGGTCACTTACATTTTGGAAACTCCCTCTACTCTACCCTTCTGACTCGCTGCTCTTCACAGCCTTCTCAAATAGCTCAGACTCTAGATCTACCTTGGTAGGAATTTCCACCTGGCTGGCACCTTGTGGGAGTCTGCTTAAATAATTCAGATTAATGTGAGCTTTTCAGAGCTGAGGATGGAGTATCGACAAACATATAGGGCACCAGGAAAGATAAGCTTTATTTTAGCACACAGATCAGGCTTCAAAAAGCAGGTTTTTCTTTTGCATGCAGGTCTCCTTGATCTAGGAACACAGCCAAGGCCAAGAGGCCTGAGGTTCTCAGCAAAAGGGGGAGCCCATCACCTATGGAGCTAGGCAGCTGAGTTCAGGAGGAGAAGGAAGGAGGAGGGTAAGAGTGAGGGAAGACATCAACTCAGGGCGGGTCCTTGGCTGTGGTTCTTTGGTTCCTCAAAGGTCACAGGTCAGCTGCAGTCTCCAGAGCTATAGCAAGTGGAACATCTAGAAGACTCGTGCTCACAGCAGTCAGAATGCTGGGGCTGACGCAGGTAGAATCGTGGAAACCGGAGTGAAACTAGAGAGCAGTGGCCTCCAAAGCCAGAAATACAGCAACTGGAAACACAGCAGGAGGGAGCTGGAGGGGGGCATGGAGCTGGACATGAAGCAGGAGCCTGAGGGGTCCACTTGGATGGATATTTGGGGAGGCACTTGGCAGGGAGCTGCCATTTCTGCTGGTGTTTCTGATAGGACATCTTGGAGAAAGTCCAGTTACTCTAAAAAACAATGCAAACATTTCAAAAGTCTAATTAATGTAAACCTTGTTTGTATCAACATTTTTCTACAGAGCCCGAAATTCTACAGTTGAATATGTGGCTCCAGAAGCCACATCATAATAGCAGAGCAGCCCTGCTTTCCTGACATAGGAGAGATTCAGCAGTGAGTAAGTTAGAGTCTGGTGACATCTTCTCTTGTGCCTGGCCTGATTCTCTCAAGACTCCTGACTTCAAAGGCAGTTGCTTAGGGCACTATGTAGTCCCCCAAATCTTCACTTACTTATTATCCTATCTTCTAATTTATGCATTCTAAAAACCACATTTTTAACCTGAGTCTATGGTTACGTCACCTCTCATCATCATCTCCCTTTTTTTCTTTCTTGCATCATGAGCTGTACCTTTAGCCCTACTCTTCAGCCCTGCGTGGCTGTCTCTTGCCCTACAAACACTTGCACTGCCCCAGTCTCTGGTTAACTTCACTCCTTCTGGGTTTGCTGCTTCTGAACCACCTCGATGATTGCCATGAGCCTGGTCTTCCTGGAATTATCAATTTCCATTCTCTCCAACTTTGAATGGCTTTTCCAAAAGGAGGTGTAGCAGCCCTAGTCATCCCCAAACTGCCATCAGATCAGTAAAAACACTCACCTTGTCCTCTTAACCCTGGGCAAACGATGGGACTACGGATAGATACACTGTGAGCGGGAGCCTTTTATACACACACTGCATTCAACTAGAGAGAATGAGCCACAGATGATGTGAAAACTGTTTCCCAACCAGGTGGTTGTGATGTCAACTTCCCACATTCCAGTGGCTCTGTCATTCTGTCACTTTGTCACCCTGTGTCACTAACAGATCCCCCAGAGCATCCTTCCCCTTCATAAACTCTCACAGGATTTCCATAAAGATTAGAAGATCATGACTTAGAAGGGTATTTATAATGACATAGCTTGGGAATTGAAATTAGGGTTTCTGGAGGAATCCAAAACATGACTGGGCATCTAAAGTCACAGATGTTAGATCAACACAGGCACTGATCGGGGTTTCTGCAGGCATTATCAATAAGATGGGAACCAATAATCTAAGCACACATGGGCCAATACTGAGGGCTCAGTGTATTTGATTCAGATACCAAAGTGCCTAAAATATTGATCAACCATGTGGCATCATAGAAAGTCCCAGCTGCAAGCGGATTTAGGATACTTCCACTCTACGTAGGTCAGGAACATATGGCCAGAGGGGGCAATGGAGACCTCAAAGTTGTGCAGAGTCTGAACTAGAAACCATATCTTCTAACTCTCTGAGATCATCAATTCAGGCCCCCATTTCACAGCAGCCCCTTCTTTTGGATTTGCTTGGGTACATCCACTAGGATCTAGTCTCTCCCCTGCCCACAAGCTCCCTCCTTTTTTCATGCCACTCCCCACCCAGTTCACTTTTCTTAGTTCATTGTTTCAACTACTCTTTTGCCAATATAATAAACTTTCTTTTGTTACCCATTTGGCTTGTCACTGCATTTGACTGGCAAAGCCTTATCCCTGGCTGAATTCTCCCTGTTGTGCCTAGTTGCTATAAAAATGAAAACAAAAATAGACATTTTGGCAGGATGACACCATCATAAAATCACCATCATCCACCTTGGCTGGTCCAAAACATGGCTTGGTGATCCCCGTATACCTCCCTGTATTCACCATGCACATACCTCATGGCTTTTCTCCTCCCTTGAATCTTCCAAACCTTCACTACTGCCTCTAGATAGATGGTACTGCCTCTACCATATGGAGCAAAGAGTTCCTGTCAAACATAAAGCACTTCCGCTTCCTTCTCCTAAGTCTTCAAGCTCACTTACATCTGCAGCCATCCTTCATGACTTCCTGTGTTACAGGGGAGGAGTGGCCCCTTGTCTTTTCCAACACCTATCCCTAGCCCTTTTCTCTGGATCCTTGCACCTTCAATCTCAATTGTATTGTTTCTCCTATGAAATGCTCCCATGGCACCTTGTATTTCTGGTAACACTTGCTTGTATTTGTTTTTCAATATCTGTCGTCCTGGATAGAATGAAATCTCAGTGTTCATGGGTTCACTCTTTATCTCCAGCACCTACACAGAATCTGACATAATGTAAGTGCTCAAAAGTATTTGTTTAATGAGTTAATGGGTGATCTGTGGTTGAGGCAAAGGTCTCCCCTCCTTTCACTCCTTGAGAGAGAGTAGCCTGGGAGGCCAGGTCAGTGGCAGGCCTGTGGGGCAGGTGTGGGAAGCTGCTCCAGGGATGGAGTCAGCAGCAGGAGCTTTGCACTGTGAGTCAGTGCTCTGGTCCCTGCTCTGCTGCTCTTTCTGGGTTTCAGGAGAGGCTGGACCAGATTATCTTAGGTATATCTTCAAGTAGGTATTTTTATTTATGAGCCTCAGAACTCCACGGAGCTTACACTCAGCACAGGTCTGATCTTGTCCCTGAATATATTTTATCTGGGATTGGAAGTGGCAGTGAACTTGATGAAGAGGGTGGAGATGATGGCTGGAATGTTGACTATGCCAGGGTGTGAGATAGTTGAAAGTAAGTCACATTATGAGGGAGGAACTCCATACAGTCTATTCAGTTTCTCCCACTTATCAGAGGAAATGACTTAACATCTTGCCTTGTTGTGCCAAAGCAGAGTATAGTGTATATATGTGGTTCTCTTCTGGTTGTGCCTCTTCTGGCTCTTCTTCTGAGCCACTGAAGCCCAGATCTGTAGAGATAGGCAAAATGATGCTCTTTCCCTGTGATATTTCTGACAAAAAGTATTACAAGTATATTTAAAAAGGTTGGAAAACACCATTTTATTGTGTTGGTCTAATACCCATCAATGACCTTCTGGTTCAATAATGAAGAATTATTTATGTCCACAGAAACTCCTTTTTTGTAGTAACTTTTCAAATGCTACTTTAAAGATGTTAATTCATTTGTTGAGTGCCTGATACTTGCAGAGTTTTGTGAATTCAAAGAAAATTAAGATATTTTCTTGTCCTTAGAGAATGGTCCAAGTGAGATAATATGAGAGAAAGAAAGGGAATTAATATTTATTCTTTAAATATGTTATTTGAATTATCATAGTATAATAGCTTTATGGGTGTCTTTTTGTTAATCTCATTTTACAGAAAAAGTAAGGCTCCTGGCTCACACCTGTAGTCCCAGCACCTTGGGAGGCTGAGGCGGGCAGATCACCTGAGGTCAGGAGTTCGAGACAACGTGGCCAACATGGCAAAACCCTGTCTCTATTAAACGTACAAAAATTAGCCAGACATAGTGACAGGCACCTGTAATCCCAGCTACTTGGGAGGCTGAAGCAGGAAAATCACTTGAACCTGGGAAGTGGAGGATGCGGTGAGCCAAGATAGCTCCACTGCACTCTAGCTTAGGCAACAGAGTGAGACTCTGTCTCAAAAAAAAAAAAGGGGAGGCTCAGAAACATTATATAACATACCTATGTCTCAAGTGCCAATGCCCTGATTCTGGGTTGCATACTCTTCCAGCTTGTATGCTGTGTAAAAACATGAAGCCAATGCAGTAGGCAATGGTGGAGGCATGGAGGGAGGGCTGGAGAGTGCACAAAGGCAGAAATTTGTACTGTCTGGGACTACATCTCTTGGAAGAGGTTACATTTGGAAGATCAGTGGGAGTTAATCAGGGAGTGAAGGGGAAATTGGCATTCTAAGTAAACGGAAGAAGAATTGACAAAGGCACAGAGATGTGGATGAGCTTGGTTTGTTCTGGAAACAGATAGTGGCCATAATATTGGGTGTATAAGAACCAGAGGTGGGATGTTTGCTGGACAGAAAGGAAGGACAGGCCCAAAACATTAAAAGCTTTACTTGATGCATTGTGTGATTTTAGCATACATTTATGGCTTCCAAATTATATTTCCTAAAATGCTGTTGCCAAGGATGCTCGACCGTCATCTCTTTTGAGAGCCTCCAGACAACATGAGTTTCTCTGCCTTTGTGCACTCTCTAGCCCTCCCTCCATGCCTCCACCATAGACTATTGCATCTGCTTCATGTCTTTACATGGCATACAATCTGGGAGAATATGGGTCTCAGAATCAGGGCATTGGCATTTGAGCTGTATGTTATTTAACATTTTTTGAGCTTCATTTAAAAAATCTAAAAAATGGGATTATCAATAAGAAACTCATAGAGCTATTGTAATGTGGTAATGCAATTAACATGTTTGATGGATAGGATGTTGAGAATAAATTTTAATTCCCATCTCATTAATATGAGGGTTCCAGAAATTTGAGCTCCACTTAAAAATACCATTAATCCTTGACTATTTAGGCTGCCTGGGAAGGAGACCCTGAGCAGACAACAGTGGGGGCCTTGTACCTACCCCCTGCTGCAATCAAAGTAATTATACCTTTACCTTCTTTATATATTGGAAGCATACATATGATTTAATGTGAAAACAGGGTGATTCTGCTTTTAAAAGTTTGACCAGAGACAACTGGACATCCCTGATCATTTAAACAAGGGAGAAGTATGATCAGATTTACATTTTAAAAAGATTACTAGGATAAGGTGGTCTTAGTTGTTTTGATTTGGTTATCTACAAAGCTGAAGCCTATGGTGAATGACCAGCCTGATGGTTTAATGAGGATCAGAGATGGACTTGGGGGAGGAGCTTCGTTAATCAGCTTCTAGAAAAGGGGAATTGCTGGAAGATGACTGGAAGATCTTTGCTTGGCCTAGGCCATCTGGGCATAGCTGGTGCATTCCTGGACTCCACTCTCATCTGCCCATGCACTTCCTCACCATCCTGCCTGCCTGAAGATTCAAGAATGTTAAGGATTCCCATCTGGCTTGGGTGTGCCCCTTAATAAAACGGTGAGGTACCAGCCAAGCTAGCATTGGCATGCATGAGATTCTTATCAAGCTAATTCCCAAGTGATGAGAGAAAGGAAAACAAGGATTATCCTTCTGCCTGAGCAATCAACCCCTTGAACAGTCCTCCTGTGGGCCAGAATCTCTGTGGGCAGGGAGCATATGTGGGTCTGATTGGCAAACCACACTAGGAGAGGATTTATGGTCCTCCCAAGGATGATGGGATTCATAACAGGGCCACTGAGGGACCAATGCTGCTTGTGTTTCTCTTGGAGCACAGAAAATAGTGATGACCCATGATCAATGACCTGCCTCATGGTTCTGTGCCCATCTGAATTAGTGGGTAGAAGAAAGGGACAATAACTATTCAGCATAACATATTCTCATCACCTTTATTAGGTGGCCTTAAAACAGGCACTCCATTCTATCTGTTTAGTGTGAACTAGAGAGGTAGGCCCATCATGTATAATATGGTGGTTAAAAGAATTACTGTGAGAAAAGAAACCAACACAGTGCCCAGCAATTAACTGATATTCCATAAGCTGCAGTTACAACTATAAGCATTATTATTACAGTCCCAGTTATTCTCCAGATGCTGAGCTCTATTCCTTTAGGATGGGGGATGCACACCAATATCATCTCGTACCAGTGTTGTGGCCCCTCTTTTCCCTAATATCTCCAGCTGTAGAAAACTCCCTTGGAAAGAAGCAGCAGGTCATCCCTGGAGCACAAGCCTAGTCCTGACTCTGACCAGCTATGAGCCACTTGCCTCTTCTGGGCCTCAGTCTCTTCATTTGTAAAATGAGTATTGTTGCTTTCATCTTGATCACTAAGGTAATTATGAGATCTCTGTGCTTGTGGTTGCTCTAGACCATATTAGAGCCTGGGTGACTCCCTGATTTATTGTCTCCGATAGCTTCGCCAATCCTTCTCCTATGTAACACATGGAACGATGCCCTCTTTGGATCCTAGGCCCTGCCCTGGCTTCTTGGTTGACTTTGGTGAATGGAGCAATAGCTAAAACACCTTATCAGGAGCCTGTATTTACACATGTCACCATCAAGTGATGCCTGTTAATCCTAAAATAGGAAGGGATGAAGAGTGATCATCTTGCCTATCATTTTCCTCCAGACCCAAGAATATATTTTTAAATAAGAATATATTTCTAAAATCCCAAGAATATGTTTCTGAATCTTCTAAGAAAGGAGACTCCACTGCCTACAATGACAGAGCTTTCTGACTCCTGTGAAACTTCATGTCTTTTTGCTGATGTTAAAGATGAATTCTACCAACTAAGGTGAGCAGAACAGATCTTTGGCTCCACCGCCCTCCTATTCTTGGAAACAGTTGTTCTGATGATATCTCTGGCTCATCACAACTCCATGCCTTTGATCTCTCCATCATTTTCTCCACTGTGCCTAAAGGAGATAACCCAGCTGGACTGTATCTCTCATCCTGCAATTAACACATCTTAAGAGAAAGGTAGGGAAGATGAATCCCTCTTATCACCACCCTTCACCTCAAAGCCTGTTTTCAGTAGTGTTTTTACCTAGGAAAGCCACTACAAAACTCTTAAGGGCATGGGGGGACACATTAAGAAGCATTAGGCAAGTTGCTCAATCTTTCTGGAGCCCACACCTTCACCTGTGACACCAAGACCCCGTGTTCCATCACTCTGTGAGCCTGTAGTTCTAAACCATTCATTCTTTTAGTGATGGTGGTCACACAAGGGAAGCCCCTCACATCCCTCCATGCATTGCATTTCACATGCTTTGTAATACGTTGTATTACATTTCACATGCTTTGTAATGCATTGTATTGCATTTCACATGCTTTATTTTCTCTTCTTAACAACCTTGAGAGTTTGTTATTATTGCATCTAGAAAAACTGAATACTGGACAGTTAAAAGTAAGTGCATATCACACAGTCTGTAAGGGTGCAGAGCAATAAGGCAAGCCCGGCAAAGAACTGCGCAAAGCAAGGAAGCTGTCCTGGACTCTCAGTGCTGTTGTAGATCAAGAATTGCAAACCTGGTTGGGAACATGAGCCATCTTGGAAGTACTTTTAAAATGCAGATCCCGGCCAGGTGTGGTGTCTCACGCCTGTAATCCAAACACTTTGGTTGGCCAAGGCAGGGAAATCACAAGGTCAGGAGATTGAAACTATCCTGGCCAACATGGAGAAACCCCATCACTACTAAAAATACAAAAATTAGCTGGGTGTGGTGGTACGCGCCTGTAATCCCAGCTACTCGGGAGGCTGAGGCAGGAGAATGGCTTGAACCCAGGAGGTGGAGATTGAAGTGAGCCGAGATAGTGCCACTGCACTCCAGCCGCCTGGTGACAAAGCGAGATTCTGTCAAAATAATAATAATAATAATAATAAAATAAATGAATAAAAAATAAAAGAAGCAGACACCTGGTCTCTAACTAAGACCTACTGAATCATAATCTCCAAGGAGTGGGTCTTTATGATTTACATTGGTTAACTATTTCCCAGGTTATTCTACCTAGTTTGGTAGCCACTGTCCTGGCATGTTCTGGTAGAACCGTAGAACTATAGCCAGCCCATGAAACATTCTGGTAACAACATTTTCACAGTCCTACCACCTTCCTCTGAGCTCCTCTAGGGATCTTCCTAGGAAATTGAAAGATGCAGGAAGCATAGTAAACTCACAAACTTATTTAGCCTTGCAGAGGCCTTAGAAAGAATGTAGTGTGGTTTTCCACCAGGAGCTTGTATCTCCTCACCCACATGCCTAGTGGTGAGCTTCCTGGCCTAAATGAAAATGCTTTTAGTTGGAGAACTCATTACCTCACAAGGCAGTCCATTTCTTTCCACATTGTTATCTTTGTTAGAAATTTTTCTCCAATAAAATAGGAACACTTTTACACAGTTGGTGAGACTGTAAACTAGTTCAACCATTGTGGAAGACCGTGTGGCAATTCCTCAAGGATCTAGAACTAGAAATACCATTTGACCCAGCCATCCCATTACTGGGTATATACCCAAAGGATTATAAGTCATGCTGCTGTAAAGACACATGCACACGTATGTTTATTGCGGCACTATTCACAATAGCAAGGACTTGGAACCAACCCAAATGTCCATCAATAATAGACTGGATTAAGAAAATGTGGTACATATACACCATGGAAAACTATGCAGCCATAAAAAAGGATGAGTCCATGTCCTTTGTGGGGACATGGATGAAGCTGGAAACCATCATTCTGAGCAAACTATCACAAGAACAGAAAACCAAACACCGCATGTTCTCACTCATAGGTGGGAGTTGAACTATGAGAACACTTGGACACAGGGTGGGGAACACCACACACTGGGGCCTGTCATGGGGTTGGGGGAGTGGGGAGGGATAGCATTAGGAGGTATACCTAATGTAAATGACGAGTTAATGGGTGCAGCACACCAACATGGCACATGTATACATATGTAACAAACCTGCACGTTGTACACATGTACCCTAGAACTTAAAGTATAATAAAAAAAAGAAATTTTTCTCCAAAAAATGCATAAGATCAGATCATAAAGAGGTAATCACTATAATACCTAAATAAAGCAGTTCTTTACATATAGCTGGTACTTACTAGGGGTTCATTGAATGATTGAGTTAATTACAAATAAAATATTTCAGTGGGCTTGGTTATAGGCCTTCATTTTAGAAACAAGAGTTGGAGGTTCACAGAAGTCACCTTACTTAATCCACAAAGTTAAAATAGTGTCAGAATCAAGACTAAACCTAGGGTTGATTAAGTTCCAACCCAGTGTTTATGACTAGGGGTGGATGGAGGAGGAGCAGGGATGCAAGGTAGCAAGAGGAGAGCATGCCCATCCAGCACTACACTTCTGGGAGCACAGCATCACACTTCTGGGAGCACAGCATAGCAGCTCAGTGTTTAGTGTTGGTAGCCAGATTTCCTAACTTCAAGCCTAGGTTTCGTCACTTACTGGTTGTAAACTTTAGGCTTGTCACTTGACATCTCTGCCTTAGTTGCTGGTCTGTAAAATGGTGATAACATCTCCTTCATAGAGGTGTTGTGAGAATTAAATAAGTAATATGAGTAGAGTGCTTAGAAGAGTACTTGGTACGTAGTAAGCACTATATAAATACAGATTGTTGCTGTTCTTCTTCTTCTTATTATTATTATCATTTGTTTAGCTCAGTGTCCCTCAATGATGGGGGCCTATCTCTTTATTTCTCCCATGATTTATGAATACCCATGAATGCCAAGAGAGCATGTTGGTGACTAAGCAAAGCTGGTTTCACAACACTCTCCCTAATCCACTCTCAGGACCACTTCCATTTCTTATAAAAAATCACCCCAAGTCACATATAGATTGGGGCTGCAGCCATGACAATGGATACTGACATGGATTGGGCAAGGATTCAAGGTTGGAGTCTTACACTTGGGGAACCATTTTCACATATCAGGCTTATTGTATAAAGCCATAATAGGGAAAGTTTCCTAAAATATTTACCTGTAGGCTGTGAGAACAAACTGGACATTAGAGAAGCCATTAGAGTTAGTCCTTGGTCTAGGCAGGGGCTGAGTTCTCATTAGATTCAGGGTGCCTCGATCATTTCTACTCCTCCAGCAATCAAAGCAGGGCAGAGAGATTCTGACAGAGATAAGGATGTAACTCCAGGACTGACTATTAGAAAGATAAGGAGGCACCTCTAGGTCCATGTAGGGAGGGCATATTGGAGCTCAGAGGAGGAGGATTGGGGCCAGTGAGAAACAAGGACTTGAGAGAACTGGCAGAGCTGCTAGAGAGAGAAGAGTTATAGACTCTGTGTGTGCGTGCATGCATGCGTGTGTGTATGTGTGTGTGTGTATGTAAAAGGTGTAGGTGGTATTGAAATCTTCCCTGGCTAGATGTTAGATGATATCTGTGAAGGGTGGTGAATGAAGTAGCAAGAAACACATTTAGTTAGGGCTCTTTTATCTTATTTGGACATCATTTTATGCTAGAGTGATGCATTAAGTTTTTTATTGTCCACATTTCACAGATGGGTAAATTATGTATCTTGTAAGCCAAGCTATGGTTGGCCTGAGAGACCTTCTGCTTTTAGGCATCTGCATTTTTGCTTCCTTGTATTCTTGGTATACCCTTTCTGCCATATCATGAATAACATTCTGTTTCAATGTACTGTGTGTTTTTCAATGGGAGACAAAGCAGTATGGGTTTGTCAACCATCTGTGTATTTGTTGTAAGAGTGTTGTTAAGCGTCTTGCTGACTATTGCAAACAATTTCTTTTAGAATCCACTGTTATGATGGTCTATCCTTTCTTTGAAGAAAAAACGAGTGTATAATAGACTGTCTGTTTATATTCTGTATGTCAGGAAGTTCAGAACTACTCATTAGGCTGAGGTATAGCAACTATGTAGGTTGCAGATTGAATATCATGTGCTCTTTTATCTACTCACAGCCTGTTCCCTATGGTTTCCTGATTTCCTATTTATAGTTGTGTAACAGAGATGCTATGTTCACTCCTGTTCTGCTTCATAGGGACAATCAAAACTGTTTCAACCTGTGCCTTATATGGAGTGAGGCCCTCTCATGCCCATAACCCCATGCAAGATACCCATAACCTCACTCTTTGTGTCCAAACTATACGAAGGAAGCTTGTTCTCAGAAGTGGGTCTGTTAAGATGGAATGGCAGGAGGAGGAAGCTGAGTAGGAGGTTTTGATAGAAGGAGGTCCCCATGGAGTGAAAGCCTACTTCTATTCAGCCTCCAACCCCCACTAGCTGCTCCTCCTTTTTAGAGACCGTCTCACTCTGTTGCCCAGGCTGGAGTACAGTGAGTGGTACAATCATAGCCCACTGAAGCCTTGAATTCCTGGGTCAAGGGATCCTCCTGCCTCAGTCTCCTGAGTAGCTGGTACCACAGCTGCATGCCACCATGCCAAGCTATTTTTTCTTTTTTTTTTTTTTACCATTTTAGTCCAGATGAGATCTTGTTATATTGCCCAGACTGGTCTCAAGCTCCTGGGCTCAAGTGATCTTCCAGCCTTGGCCTTCCAAAGTACTGAGATTACAGCCTTAAGCCACGATGCTGAGGCTCTGTTCAGCTCCTTGACCTTCAGGATGTTCTGTCTTTACCTTGATCCCATCCTTACCCAGTTTCAAGAACCCTGGCTCACTCATTCTTTCTTTTCAATAAACAATCATATAACCTGCAAAGTCAAGAAAAAAATGTTGTTTACATAGGATACACTGACTACTGAGCATTTTATAATTTTGTTTTTAAAATAGAGTACACCATATAGGCAAACTGGGATTGAACATATAATTGAATATACGGCAGATGGTGAGAGCCTGATTTCTCAATATTGGAGTAAGAAATGATAGCTAAGCAAGGAAGGCTAGAATAAACCATGTGATACTAAATTAGAGTTAAGGACATCAGTATAAACTAATGGTTAGCTTATACAGAAAAAGATGGATACATATTGAAATAATTATGGATATACACTGATTAGTATATGCACATATATTTCTAATCTCTGTCCACTGAGAAAGCTTAGAAGCAATGACATTCCACTAGCAATGAGCACAACCAACACACTTGGTTTACAACACAATTTTTCAATAACAGAAGCCAAGGCTCACTAGAGCAATGAGTTAATCTAGGTTCAGGACAGAGACTATACAAGATAAGTCTGAAGCATCTTGTATGACCAGAAAGCCAGGGAGTGCTCTGAAAAGGAAGTGGTGGTGTTATTGGGGAAGAGACACAAGAGCCAACTGAAAGAGTTCCCAAGGCTGGAAAAATATGAGCAACAAGTAAATGACATATATTGGATTATAACCCAAAGTATGACATAAATATTATCCAATATCCATCAGTTCATGCTGATAAGAAGAAATGATTGTATAGTTCTTAAAAAGGGAGGGAAAATAGGAAAATCTCTCATAGAGAAGAATTACAAATAATTTATACAGCATATATAACATGTACTCCCAGCCCCATAAGGAGGTGTCTTGCCCTTGGAATGGGTGATGTGGAGTGACATCCTTCCTAAGACATGAGTACTGAAAGGGAAAGAAATGGAGTAACTTTACAATAGAGAAACTTGATGAACACTGTCCAGGGTCAGTGTTTGCAGTGAGGTCACATTGCTATATAACCTTGATATGATGTGATGAGAATGGCACTTAACCTCTGTGGTCTTCCTCCCAAAGGTCAATAATCCTATTATAATCATAGGAAAAACACTACACAAATCTCAATTGACAGACACTCTACGAAATACCCAACAGTACTGCTCAAACTGTCAAAGTCATCCAAAATACTAGGTTGGTGCAAAATTAATTGCACTATTACTTTTGCACCAACTTAATAAAAAAAGTCTGAGAAACAGTCACAGTCAAGAGGAACCTGAGGAGATGTGACCACTGACTATAACTTGATTTTCCTAAATGGGACTCAGGAACACAGAAAATTGATTATAACAAATTTACTATTAATGTTAGATATTAACAAAGGAAACTGAGTGCAGATATACAGGAATTCTTAACTATGTTTGCAATTTTTCTGTAAATCTAAAATTATTATAAAATAAACAATCTATTTAAAAAAATAGAATGTACCCCAAATGTAAACTACAACGAACTTACAACTTGGAGTTAAATTGAGTTAGATATGCAGTACATGTTACCTATGATATCATGTGCGATCCCTCCACAGTCTCACAAGGCAGATACTATAATTTTTATCTAATTTTTAGATGAGGAAGATTTCAGAGGTACAGAAATTTTCATAAAGCCACGGAGTTGTCAAAGATTTGAAGTGAGTTTCATCTGACAGGATTTCAACTTGTACTTGCTCTGTTAGGGAAGGTTTGGCCTAGGACTCTTACAGATGCATGTGAAAAAAGGGGATGGGCTTTTAGTTATTTATTTATAGAAAAGCAATACATTTAAATGAAAATTTAAAGTCAGGTAATCCAAATAGTTGTAATATGAAAAAATTAAGTATCAGTCTAAATAATCTGCTTATACATTTATTTCTTAGGCCGTGTCTATTTACCTTCTCAATAAAAAACAGAATTAAGCTCACATTCATCATCCCTTCCCTCCCTCCTTCTTATTTAGACATATTTTTAATTTTAATATCATTATTGGCTACCTCTATAACTTTAAATGCTATAATTAAAACTCTATTTCTTCATTCCTGAAGTTTTGGCAGTATTTCTTGACTTCGTACTAAATCAGCACCGCATTTCCTTCACTTTAGATTAATTTTATTTTAATATATTATTTGTGATATCTGTACAGGAATAAATAAAAGGAACGACTTATTATTTATGCTGTATCATGAAGTGTATACCATCCAATAGCAAAATACCGCCTGTCAAACACTGTAAACTCATAGCTGCTAAAAAGGTGTTATACTTAGGGAGTGGGCTATGCCAGCCGCAGTAGAGGTTGACTATGTTGACCATGGGCCAGGCTGAAGAGGGCCCTATTTGTCCTGGCTGGAGACCCGGAAAAGCTGGGCATATTGAGGCAGTGGATGGCCTGAACTGAGATCACTGGGCTCAAGTTCAGCTTCCGTGCAAGAGCTTGCTTGCTGGAAGGCTGGAGTCCAGACTTGTTAAGGAAGACAGAGTAGTGTTAGGAACTGACACCTGGGGATGTTTCAAAGTCCCTGGGGAGCGCTTCTAAACACCTAGCACCTTTTTTTCTTTTAACTTATGTGTTCTTTATTTAGTCCAAACAATATAGCATTTAACATTTTCTAAAAATTAGATAAAATAATATGTTAAATATCAAATATATAAAGTTTTTCTGTCAAAATAAAGTTTTCTGAATTAAAAGATGTAAAATATATGTAAGATTTTTAACATTTGTTAAAAGCATAAAGTTAGATATATTCTAAATAAAAGGAATTGTACCATTTACCTACTTTTGTTGTTCCTATGAAGTTACAAAATTTTATATATAGGACATTTAAAAAATACATGTATTTATTTATTTTAACTGGCAAATAAAATTTGTGCTGTATATATTTAGCATGTACAACATATTGTTTTGAAATAATGTGTACATTGTGGAATGAGTAAATCAAGCTAATTAACATGCATTATCTCACATACCTTTTTTTGTGGTGAGAATGCTTAAAACTACATATATATTTATGTATAAATCATAACATATATATAGATTTACAGGACATTTTGTGTAAAATATAAAGTCTGCATTTTTCATTACTTATTACTATAAAACAAAATACAATGTACATGTAGTATTAAAATGAAGCCATCCTAAAGCCATATAAAAAAGTCACTCCTATTGACATTTCTGATGTACAGGCATATTTTAGGAATTGTGAAGATGCCAAATACAGCCTTTATAAAGAAAAACAATAATCAAATCATTAGTTTATTTTCATTGTAGTAATTTAGAAATCAATTTGACACAGACTAACCAGTGTATCTATAGAATAATACATAGGTTGAACACTTAGCACAGGGAATTCAAGTACTGACTAGAGAAAGCTGAGTAGGCCAAAATAGTAAGTAATATTCCTGTCAAAGAAAAACAGTTTCTGTAAAAACTTTTTAAAAAATTTTCCTTTGGTAAATACCTGTCTTCAATAAAGAGCAGAAATAAAAAGTAGAAAAAAAGATGTTCTTACACATTGAGCTTTACACAATCAACTCAACATTGATATTTTGTATTTTTCCTAGGGAAATATGGGATTCTTCCCAAAAATCTCTCATGCAAATATAGACACAAAATTTCAAACAATGGTATATCAATATTCATAAGATATTGCTTCATATAATACAAAGCACTCTTTTTTCCTCAAAAGAGGAAGGCATCTAAACTTTCTTTAAAGTATAGATTTTATGATGGCAAATAGGTGGACACCTCTCAAGCTTTTTAGGAAGTGTCTCTTCTCAAAAAGTGGACTTTTTCCACTATAAACATGGGCAGTCTTTTAACTTTGTATTCACTTTTGCTCTCAAACAAAAGAAATCCCCTCTACCATAATTAATTTCTTAAGTGGAGTAATTTTTATTGCTCCCAAAATGCAGTCTTGCTGAAGAGTCTGAAAAAGTCTTCATAGTTTTGCTAATTTATTCCAATTCTAAAAACTTATTCTAAGAAAATTAAGAGTAACTATCAATGGGAATGATTATTTTAAATTACACTTGACAGCAAGTGCAAAAACAACATAAATGCCCAGTATTGGAGACCTAGTTATGCAGACCATGATGTGTTTGTGAATATCATGTGTAAATAGTGTTGATCAATATTTACCAGCATGGAAGAGTATTGACAATGACTCTTGTTCAATTTTACCATTTACTTAACAGTAAAAAAAATGTAGGTTATAAAGTATTCTGTAATGAACCCATTGTGTGATGTTTAAAGGTTTGCAAATACATCTATGAAATGATTAGCCATGGTTATTTTTAGGTGATAGGATTTTTAGGTTGATCTTAGTCATCTTCCTTAAGCTTATCTCCATTAACAAATCTTTTTTTTTTCTTTTTTTTTTTTTATTATACTTTAAGTTTTAGGGTACATGTGCACATTGTGCAGGTTAGTTACATATGCCCATTAACAAATCTTTATACAAGTGTGTGTCATTTGTTTAATGAGAAAAATCATGCATATGAAATTATAATTATATATAACCATGATACATATCTGCATATAGATGTGTGTCATCACAAAGGTGACATCATGTCCCAGCAATGAGGAGAATTACTAAGCTCTGAAAATGAGAATCCCATATACTGGATATTACAGGTTGAAATTCTGTTCTGAGCCTGGTCAATACAATCTATTGAGTTGGATATTTGGTTAAAAAAAGTAATGCTTTTAATGTCTTGCCAAAAATGCAGATCAACAAAATTATTTACATAAACTTATATTTATATGCATCATAGTTGAGCTTCAAGTCCCCTTCAAGTCTGTGTAATTTATGTCATGCTTCCCTCATCTCAGACTACTAGACTTGGGGTTTGGGCCCAGACTTTTCCCAGAGGTATGATCTTTTGGTAGCTGGTGTTTGATACCTAAAGCTCAGTAAACTCAGCTGGTTTGAATTATCATGAAGACTTGGGGTTATGAACTGTGTCATATCTCTCATCTCACACCTGGCACTCCAGCCAAATTGAAATACACACCATTGGCAAGTACCACCCTTGTTATGCATTTGTTTATGCTGGATCTTCCACCTGGATGAACTTTCCTCTTCACTGCACCTCCTAGCACCAAAGTCTGCTATCTTTAGAGGTCTGGGAGCCTCTTCTCCCCACTCCCAAGTGGGATACTCTCTTTCCTTCCAAGGCCTAGGAAACCACATTTGATCCACACCATCAGAATGGTTCTCCTCTCTCTGCTGTCTTTGACCTAAGGTACTTTTTAAATTTCTGCTTTAAGTTCTTTTGAACACAAATGAGAGATAAAAATGAGTAAATTAATCAGCTTAAAATGATATTTACTAATCCACTTGTTTCTATCTGAAGTGTCCATTGCATCTCCTACTGGATTATAAGCTTTCTAGAGCAGGGACAAATTTCCCACTTACATCTGTAAACACAGAGGCCAGTACACAGTAGGTGCTCAACATATGTTTATTGTAGTCTTTGGTGCTAGAATCATGCAATGACATGGGTTGATGGCTGTGAGGCTGCTGGAAACTGGGACATAAATCCCAGAACATCTGCTTCTTAAAAATACTATCAGCTGTCTTAAGAGGAAGGAGGAGAAGCACCATGCACTTGGGTTGAAGCGGGGGTCTCAGTACATCTGAGCAGGGGTCTCAAGAACTCACAGAAGTCAGGGCTCCAAGTAAAGCAGCTTTATTGTTGCTGAGCTGAAGGGGTGAATGGAAGAGAGCAGTAGCAGCGTGGCTCAGCCTAGTTCTCGCTTCTCTAGAGCTGGGGATCAGGAAGTGTTTCTCAGTCCAAATGAGAGGTTGAGGGCCTGGCTTTCCAAGGGGGAATTAGTACCCAAAGGTGGGGCAGGGAGAGAGTAACTGCACCTGTGCCTCAACTCTTCTGGGCTCAGTCGCCTTCACACTCTTCCTCTTTGCAGTGGTAGGTTGTGCCCCTACTTAGGCAGCGCAGCTTTTGACGAGCCCTCCTAGGCTTCTGAACCTCAGGCCTTTGGGAACTGGAATGACAACCTTCTGAATGGGGAGCACCACAAGGAGTCGAGTAGGGAGCTAGGCAGGGGTTTGATCTTTGGGGAGGGGAGCATTTGGGAACATTTGGAGGCTTCCAAGATTGCTGCTTCTGCTGTGACATTGCTTGGCTACCAGGTCGAATCTGGAAGAAAAATAGTTATATCAGGGACCCAGGCAGCTTGGGCTTCTGTTTCTCTCCTCCACAAACTGGAGCTGTCAAAAATGAAGTCCAGCATTTACAACCCACTGAACTCCATCTCAGGAGGAGAAAAACGGACTTGAAAGGACTAAATATTTGGGAGTAAATCTTCCCAGGGGACTCACTTACTAATAACCATGTTAATGATATATGCTTCCTTAAAAAAAAAAAAAGACAAATTGTACTTAGTTGAGCTGACAGTTTACTTTTCCCAGCCCAATGTCCACCTGGTTAAGTGCAAAGGAGAGCCAAGTCTCTGCTCTTTCTTTACTCTGTCTTATTCTGTCCCCAGACTCCTAAGTCTGACTGTCCCATCTCTGCTTTTCTGGCCCTCTAACTTCTATGGCTTTCTCCCATGTTAGATTATTTGGGGTCTTTCTTTTGCAGGGATCCACTTCTCTTCCCTTCTTTCTACCCCAAGCATCTCCTACCTGGCTTTTCAGCTCCCTGGGAAGAGACGAGAGGAGAGATCAGGACTGCCTAAGCAGCACTTGAGCTACATCCAAGTGTCTCCTCAGCCAGAAGTAGCCTTACCCTAGTGGAAGATGTGTGGACAAGTTATCCCAGGAGGAGTCTGGAGGCCTTGTGTTGCCAGGAAGTAAGAGGCTCTTTTATATATCCTCCAGTTGAAGCCTCCAGGCCACATGTCATTGGAGGAGAGCCATGGAGTGGATGATTGATCTGGGTATTTCACAATTCCCAGTGCTAGATTCCTCAGCTACATGTAGCTGGGATGTGGTTCAAAGGCATCTGCAGGTGCGTGAGTGAGCAGAAGGCTGGGGCCTTCAGATTGGCCTACGCAGAAGTGGGTACACTGGCTAATCTGGATGATGTCCTTGGGAGGCTGGGCGGGTTGCAGCTGCTGTTGAATTCTATGTAGGATTGGAGGGAAAAATCAGGTTCGACATCACCCAGGGTCTGAGGAAGACCTTCCTTGTCTACTCCCCACCCATCATCCATGACTGTCAGCATCCCATTCCGTGTCATCACCTCTGTGGAGATTGGCCCATTGCTCTAGCCACACATGAGTCCTTCATCCTCTGACCTTTATAGATACATGTCACAGCCTTTACTATTGCTTTGGGTCGTGTGACCAAGATACATATCCTATCTCACCTATTAAACTGTTATTTGATGACAGTGCCTTTATCACTTCTGCATTCCTAGAGCCTGATGTTGTTCCTGACACAAAGAAAATACTCATTAGTATTTGTTGAATGAAACAGTCTATGTGCCATTAGAAAAGACTTTGTGTTTCAGGAGAAAAAAACAGGAATAAAATAAAGCCCAACTCATTTTGTTTTGTGGACGAGACCTTGACTTCTTGTTTCCATCATTCTCCCCTAAGGCATTTGTGAACACCCTTTCATAAATACTACAGGGAACTCTGTGGGTGGACCTCACCTTACACAATAGGCTGAGCAGAGGGTGGGAAGCAAAACCTTCACACACCTGCTGTCTCTTAAATGCAAAAGGGGAGCTGTTCTTGGAATTATCAAGGGACATTGTGGAAAAGCCTTCCACAGAGTGAAAAGTTCTTCTTTAGCTTTCATGAAAATTGAGATAATCATGTTTTGGCAGTGCTTAAATTGGGAACATTCTCTAAACACAGTCCCTCACCTCTGGATGCTTCCATCTCAGAATCGCTCCTGGTGTGCCCAGCTAAGTTAAAAGGCACTGATGAAACTCCCTGCTGCTCAAGAGTGTGCCTCACCTGCCTCTGTATTTCTGATGCCTGACACACAGTAGGTATTCAGGAAACAGTTGGGTAAATAAAAAGATGAGCAATTACAAGGAACATTCTGACTGTAGGGGCAGTCCTCAAAGGCCTTCAAATCATGTATAGGACAAAGGTGAGTAGGGTTGGGGTATGGGAGAGGGTATGAAGACCAGGGTGGAAAATAGGACAAGGCCAGAAAAGGAGCAGCTATTGGATCCCAAAATCCAGCAGGGCAGGATCATCAGGTTTCAATTGCTTCATCTGGGAAAACTTTGAGATGCAGTTTGGATGGAGGAAGAGAAGATCTTTGTGAGTGAAACAGCAGGTGGAAGAATGGTATGAAACCTCGCTCACTCTGTTAGAGCAGAGCCCTGGAGAGAGAGTGCCTGATTTAGACAGCCTCAGGGATAGACCCCATCTTCCTTTACTTCCTTTTCCCTTTTCTCTCTCCTTCTCTTTCTCCTCTTTTCTTCCCTCAGACACCAGAAATAACTCTGATGGTGCCTCAGAAGTGCTTCCCTTGCACTAAGCATTAGCAGGAAGGCAAAGTAACACTGGTCTCAATGCACCAGTTGCTCCTTTTCCCCACCCAAGACCTGCACCACTTAAACACATGCTTCAGAGACCTCACACATCACAAATGCATTTTTTTGAAGTTAACTAGCAAGTACCCAACCCTTACTGTCTCTGCCTAGGGCTGAGGGTTCTTTCTGGAGGCTCTGCCCTAGGCAAACTACACTTCCTGCCCCTTCTATATCTCTCCCAGACCACCTCCCATAATAAATTGCCCACAGAAATCTCTTAGCCCCCTCCTTTTCAGTACAGTGAATTTCATCACATATAGGATGGAGTGTGTCCAGCATCTAGATTTGCCTAGCTCATTAAGTGAGCCTGTTTGAGGCCCCTGAGCTGCACTGTCTTCCAGATAAACTTAAAAGTCCAGCCAGTTTTAAATCAGGACCACAGAAATGTAATGTTCTTATTCTAATCCCACTCCACTTCTCTTCCTGGTTCAGATTGTGTCTATAATTATGTGATTTGATATTTATTAAGTCCCAACTATGTACTGGATACAAGAAAGAATAAGATGTCTATATTATGTTTCAAAGCTTTCACTCTCCAGAGGGAATACAGACAAATTAATAGGTAACACAAGCTTGTAAGTGAAAAATCGGCAAATAGGCAAACTGTAGTTGTAGCTTGAGAA
This sequence comes from Homo sapiens, assembly GCF_000001405.40. Lineage (NCBI taxonomy): Eukaryota > Metazoa > Chordata > Mammalia > Primates > Hominidae > Homo > Homo sapiens. Next base: position 152,840,515 of record NC_000001.11, on the reverse strand, counting down.
TACAACTAGTCCTCTTAAATGTACCAAATTAGAAAGGTAGTGTCTCAAGTATGTAGCTCCCACCATTATCAGAGTCCCCACCTGGTCTGAAGACAGGAGCCCATCTCTGAGAATAATCCCATCTCATTCCTGGTCTCTATTCAGGAGACTGTTTCTCTGAGCAAGAGATATCTCTAGGTCCCCAGCCTCAAATGAAGTTGCTTGGCTTCCCATGACTGGGTTTCTCTTTGGTCAATTTCTTTCTGATATCTCAAATCATTTAACTATTCCTGAAGTAACTCCTCAAATATATTTTTAAAATCTCTTTTATTTTGCTTTATGTTTTTAATGAATAATTGCCCTGACTGTTAAGTGTTCATTCAGAACACTCTGATGTCTTCCGGATAAATCTAAATTCCTTTAGCCAGCATTCAAGTCCCTGTGTATACTCGAACCTATCCCATCGCTTTATGCTTAACTTCTGGAACTTCCTTTCATTATGTCTCCTCCTCTGCTGAATGGATGGATTTATTGTATGGTGAACTGGCTTTTATCCTGTCTGATGTCCGTCTGTCTCTACCTCTCTTTCTTCCTCCCTTTTCCACTCTATCTCTTTGTCTTCCTCTTATTTCCTCAGCCTGCCTGCCTTCCTTCTTCCTCTCTTTTTTTCTTTCTTCCTTCCTTCTTTTTTCTTTCTTTCTTTCTTTCCTTTCCTTTCTTTCTTTCTTCCTTTCTTTTTTCTTTTCTTTCTTTTTCTTTTTCTTTTTGTCTTTCTTTGTGTCTTACTTCTTGTCTTTCTTGGTTCCTCTTCTGAGACTACTTCCGAGGGCCAGTTCAAATCCCGTGTTCTCTGTAATGAATTTCTAGACAATGCCTGGCTGAGAAAATCTTTCAGAGCATTTATTACTTGTTATACATATAATTTATTATCATAAACAATTGTACTTGTATGTGATATTGTTAATGCCTTGAACATGGGGCTATTATCTGTATATCTCAAGCCCCATTTCAGTGTACACAATGGTTCATTACAGTTACTAGTTATTAGGTTTGTTAATTATTAAGTTTTTAAAAATCCCCATCACAGATGTTTGCAAAGAACTTTAGTTTACAGAATGCTTTTCAAATATTATGTCCTGAGTCAATTAATTCTGATGAAATACAGACTCAGGCCATGATGAAATCAGACACTTACAGTGAGTTTGGGATTGTCCACATCACACTGTGGGCACCTCAACTATATTTCCTGAACACTATTATATTTTTACTTAGACTGTGCCAAAGAGTTTAGTTTGAGGGGAGTGTTCATGTCCTTTGTAGGGACATGGATGAAATTGGAAATCATCATTCTCAGTAAACTATCGCAAGAACAAAAAAACCAAACACCGCATATTCTCACTCATAGGTGAGAATTGAACAATGAGATCACATGGACACAGGAAGGGGAATATCACACTCTGGGGACTGTGGTGGGGGGGGAGGGGGGAGGGATAGCATTGGGAGATATACCTAATGCTAGATGACGAGTTAGTGGGTGCAGCGCACCAGCATGGCACATGTATACATACGTAACTAACCTGCACAATGTGCACATGTACCCTAAAACTTAAAGTATAATAAAAAAATAAATAAATAAATAAATAAATAAAAGAAATCTATATCATGTTTTCTACAGGTACTTCTTATTTTAGAACCCAGCCCTGCTCATGTTTTCTTAGGAAGAAAGGCCAAGAGATCTGGTCCTACCTCTTTCCTCCAGGTAGGATGGTATCCAAACCACCAATTATCCTGACTTGTACTCAAGACTATAATATCATCAGAACTGGCTTGTTAATCTAGGCCAAGCTTGTTCAACTCCTGTGGGCCCCATGTGACCCAGGACGGCTTTGAATGTGACCCATCACAAATTTGTAAACCTTCTTAAAACATGAAATTTTTTGTGATTTTTTTTAGACCATCATCTATTGTTAGTATTATTGTGTGGCCCAAGTATTAATAGTATTTTATGTGTGGCCCAAGACAATTTTTCTTCTTCCAATGTGGACCAAGGAAGCCAAAAGATTGGATGCCCCTGATGTAGACCATTGGATATAAGTGGTTTAGTTTCCATTTCAATAGAATAAATTGTCATTGGCAAAAGAAGAGCTTAGTGTAGTGTTTTCTTCATCAGACGAGTAAGTCTCTTTTTTCCCTTTCTCATCATCCAAAGAAAGAGAAAAGAAAGCTTCTAAGATTTAGAAGAAAATAATTAAAACTGTGTCCACAGCAGGAAGGGGAACATCACACACCGGGCCTGTTGTGGGGTGGGGGAAGTGGGGAGGGAAAGCATTAGGAGATATACCTAATGTAAATGATGAGTTAATGGGTGCAGCACACCGACATGGCACATATATACATATGTAACAAACCTGCACATTGTGCACATGTACCCTAGAACTTAAAGTATAAAAAAAAAAAGAATTAAAAATAAATAAATAAATACAAAAAAACTGTGTCCACAGCTTAGGTTGTTCACAACTCTATGTTAAAAAAACTTTTAAAGACTAAATTATAAAAGAAATCTATAAATACATAAAATCTCAATTCAGAGTATTTTCTAAAAAGCCTTATGGAAAACCTAAGACAAATTAAATAAAAATCCCTTTAGGGAGGACTTTCAGAACAGTGGCATGAAGAACTCCTTGGACCCTTCTCCTAGCAAAATAATTAAGACTTGAAAAAAAAGTTTTGCAATCATCCTTTGCAAATTGTCCTAAGGGTATAGAGCAAATTAAAAAACTTTTATTCAAGAAAATCTACTAAATCATAGTAACAATAACAATAGTCTGTGGCACTTGAATCACAACTTGCACCCTCCCTAATCTCTTCCAGTTGGGCATGATGCTAGCTCCACTCTTGGAAGATGCAATCAATGAGATAAGGTTCCATCCCCCTTTAGCTCCAAATCATGGCCTCCAGTGTCTTCCTGTGAGGGGGAGGCTGCCAACATTTCTTACACCTCTTCCCTTAGTTCTGTGGTATAGAGGCTAAATTCCAGGAGGGGGACTCTAAGAGATTGGGGGCTTTCTTACTCCCCATCTCCCACTCATGGGGCAGGCAGTCACTCTACCTCAGGTGCAGCAGGGCAAGAATATTGGGACACCAAAGTCCTTTGTCCCAGCTCACTTGTAGGGTGGAGGATCGATGGTGGGAGAAACAATCCAAGAAGAATAGTGGTTGCCACCCCATTAAAGTGTTCTGCTCATTAATCAGCAGTGAGCTCCAGGAGACATTTGCCCTCAGCTCAAAAGCAGTGGCTAAGAGAATTTGTCCAGGGAAGAGGATGTCCAGAAAACCCAGAGAACTCCAAAGTTCTCACCAAAGGAACTGACTATATTTGGAAAAGAGTGTGGGGACGTTCAAGCTTAAAGGCACTTTGGTAAATGGGAGAGATTTTGTTGGCAAGCATTTAAGAAGAGGCTGTTGAGTCATAAGAGCAATATGCTAAACCATAGGGCAGCTTGTTTACCAGAGAAAACCAAGGAAAGTGAGGGCTAAGTAGAGTCTTCCCGAGTTTAGAACAAATTTCAAACCTGGCCTCAAACACTACCCTTGAAAAGGGGCCTAGACTTAATTGGCTTCAATTATGAAGCAATTTCTGTTTGTGTTCTAGGACATTATCAGAAATAATAAACCAATCTGTCAGCAACTGTTGTGAAGCCTAACAGTTGTGTGTGATGCCAACAGAGATAGCTTAACAGAGAAATCATCGAAGAGACAACCAAAGAGAGTTCTGCTAAACCTACTGTCATTCAGGGTAACTGTGAGCAAGCCCAGGGTTGAGTCCCCTGAGGAGTGACATCAGAGACATCCCATTTCAGGAGAAATAGACTTTACTAATATAGTCTATCTAAATAGTCAAACAAATAAACAAGCAACAGCACACCTTAAAGGGAGAGGAGTATCATTACACAGAGTTGCTACATTCTAATCTCTAAAATAACCACTTTTAAAGAAAAAACACATGATACATGCAAATAAACTAGAAAGTGTGACCCTTACACAGGAAAAGAAGCAATAAACAGAAACTTCCTGGGAGACGGCCCAAAGGCTGGACTTAATAAACAAAAATTCCAAAGTAGCCATTGTTGCCACTTTTAAAGAATTATAGGAAACTATTTTTTTTTTTATTATTATACTTTAAGTTTTAGGATACATGTGCACAATGTGCAGGTTAGTTACATATGTATACATGTGCCATGTTGATGTGCTGCACCCATTAACTCGTCATTTAGCATTATGTATATCTCCTAATGCTATCCCTCCCCTCTACCCCGACCCCACAACAGGCCCCGGTGTGTGATGTTCCCCTTCCTGTGTCCATGTGCTCTCATGGTTCAATTCCCACCTATGAGTGAGAGCATGTGGTGTTTGGTTTTTTGTCCTTGCAATAGTTTGCTGAGAATGATGGTTTCCAGCTTCATCCATGTCCCTACAAAGGACATGAACTCATCATTTTTTATGGCTGCATAGTATTCCATGGTGTATATGTGCCACATTTTCTTAATCCAGTCTATCATTGTTGGACATTTGAGTTGGTTCCAAGTCTTTGCTATTGTGAATAGTGCCGCAATAAACATACGTGTGCATGTGTCTTTATAGCAACATGATTTATAATCCTTTGGGTATATACCCAGTAATGGGATGGCTGGGTCAAATGGTATTTCTAGTTCTAGATCCCTGAGGAGTTGCCACACTGACTTCCACAGTGGTTGAACTAGTTTACAGTCCCACCAACAGTGTAAAAGTGTTCCTATTTCTCCACATCCTCTCCAGCACCTGTTGTTTCCTGACTTTTTAATGATCGCCATTCTAACTGGTGTGAGATGGTATCTCATTGTGGTTTTGATTTGCATTTCTTTGATGGCCAGTGATGATGAGCATTTTTTCATGTGTCTTTTGGCTGCATAAATGTCTTCTTTTGAGAAGTGTCTGTTCATATCCTTCGCCGACTTTTTGATGGGGTTGTTTGTTTTTTTCTTGTAAATTTGTTTGAGTTCATTGTAGATTCTGGATATTAGCCTTTTGTCAGATGTGTAGGTTGCAAAATTTTTCTCCCATTCTGTAGGTTGCCTGTTCATTCTGATGGTGGTTTCTTTTGCTGTGCAGAAGCTCATTAGTTTAATTAGATCCCATTTGTCAATTTCGGCTTTTGTTGCCATTGCTTTTGGTGTTTTAGACATGAAGTCCTTGCCCATGCCTATGTACTGAATGGTATTGCCTAGGTTTTCTTCTAGGGTTTTTATGGTTTTAGGTCTAACATGTAAGTCTTTAATCCATCTTGAATTAATTTTTGTATAGGGTGTAAGGAATGGATCCAGTTTCAGCTTTCTACATATGGCTAGCCAGTTTTCCTAGCACCATTTATTAAATGGGGAATCCTTTCCCCATTGCTTGTTTTTGTCAGGTTTGTCAAAGATCAGATAGTTGTAGATATGCGGCATTATTTCTGAGGGCTCTGTTCTGTTCCATTGGTGTATATCTCTGTTTTGGTACCAGTACCATGCTGTTTTGGTTACTGTAGCCTTGTAGTATAGTTTGAAGTCAGGTAGCGTGATGCCTGCAGCTTTGTTCTTTTGGCTTAGGATTGACTTGGCAATGAGGGCTCTTTTTTGGTTCCATATGAACTTTAAAGTAGTTTTTCCCAATTCTGTGAAGAAAGGCATTGGTAGCTTGATGGGGATGGCATTGAATCTATAAATTATCTTGGGCAGTATGGCCATTTTCACGATATTGATTCTTCCTACCCATGAGCATGGAATGTTCTTCCATTTGTTTGTATCCTCTTTTATTTCGTTGAGCAGTGGTTTGTAGTTCTCCTTGAAGAGGTCCTTCACAACCCTTGTCAGTTGGATTCCTAAGTATTTTATTCTCTTTGAAGCAATTGTGAATGGGAGTTCACTCATGATTTGGCTCTCTGTTTGTCTGTTATTTGTGTATAAGAATGCTTGTGATTTTTGCACATTGATTTTGTATCTTGAGACTTTGCTGAAGCTGCTTATCAGCTTAAGGAGATTTTGGGCTGAGACAATGGGGTTTTCTAGATATACAATCATGTCATCTGCAATCAGGGACAATTTGACTTCCTCTTTTCCTAATTGAATACCCTTTATTTCCTTCTCCTGCCTGATTGCTCTGGCCAGTACTTCCAACACTATGTTGAATAGGAGTGGTGTGAGAGGGCATCCCTGTCTTTTGCCAGTTTTCAAAGGGAATGCTTCCAGTTTTTGCCCATTCAGTATGATATTGGCTATGGGTTTGTCATAGATAGCTCTTATTATTTTGAGATACGTCCCATCAATATCTAATTTATTGAGAGTTTTTAGCATGAAGTGTTGTTGAATTTTGTCAAGGCCTTTTCTGCATCTATTGAAATAATCATGTGGTTTTTGTCTTTGGTTCTGTTTATATGCTGGATTGCGTTTATTGATTTTCGCATGTTGAACCAGTCTTGCATCCCAGGGATGAAGCCCACTTGATCATGGTGGTTAAGTTTTTGATGTGTTGCTGGATTTGGTTTGCCAGTATTTTATTGACGATTTTTGCATCAATGTTCATCAAGGATATTGGTCTAAAATTCTCTTTTTTTGTTGTGTCTCTGCCAGGCTTTGGTATCAGGATGATGCTGGCCTCATAAAATGAGTTAGGGAGGATTCCCTCTTTTTCTATTGATTGGAATAGTTTCAGAAGGAATGGTACCAGCTCCTCCTTGTACCTCTGGTAGAATTTGACTGTGAATCCATCTGGTCCTGGACTTTTTTTGGTTGATAAGCTATTAATTATTGCCTCAATTTCAGAGCCTGTTATTGGTCTGTTCAGAGATTCAACTTCTTCCTGGTTTAGTCTTGGGAGAGTGTATGTATCGAGGAATTTATCCATTTCTTCTAGATTTTCTAGTTTATTTGCGTAAAGGTGTTTGTAGTATTCTCTGATGGTAGTTTGTATTTCTGTTGGATCGATGGTGATATCCCCTTTATCATTTTTTATTGCATCTATTTGATTCTTCTCTCTTTTCTTCTTTATTAGTCTTGCTAGTGGTCTATCAATTTTGTTGATCTTTTCAAAAAACCAGCTCCTGGATTCATTGATTTTTTGAAGGGTTTTTTGTGTCTCTATTTCCTTCAGTTCTGCTCTGATTTTAGTTATTTCTTGTCTTCTGCTAGCTTTTGAATGTGTTTGCTCTTGCTTCTCTAGCTCTTTTAATTGTGATGTTAGGGTGTCAATTTTAGATCTTTCCTGCTTTCTCTTGTGGGCATTTAGTGCCATAAATTTCCCTCTACACACTGCTTTGAATGTGTCCCAGAGATTCTGGTATGTTGTGTCTTTGTTCTCATTCGTTTCAAAGAACATCTTTATTTCTGCCTTCATTTTATTATGTACCCAGTAGTCATTCAGGAGCCGGTTGTTCAGTTTCCATGTAGTTGAGTGGTTTTGAGTGAGTTTCTTAATCCTGAGTTCTAGTTTGATTGCACTGTGGTCTGAGAGACAGTTTGTTATAATTTCTGTTCTTTTACATTTGCTGAGGAGTGCTTTACTTCCAACTATGTGGTCAATTTTGGAGTAGGTGTGGTGTGGTGCTGAAAAGAATGTATATTCTCTTGATTTGGGGTGGAGAGTTCTGTAGATGTCTATTAGGTCCATTTGGTGCAGAGCTGAGTCCAATTCCTGGATATCCTTGTTAACTTTCTGTCTCGCTGATCTGTCTAATGTTGACAGTGGCGTGTTAAAGTCTCCCATTATTATTGTGTGGGAGTCTAAATCTCTTTGTAGGTCACTAAGGACTTGCTTTATGAATCTGGGTGCTCCTGTATTGGGTGCATAAATATTTAGGATAGTTAGCTCTTCTTGTTGAATTGATCCCTTTACCATTATGTAATGGCCTTCTTTGTCTCTTTTGATCTTTATTGGTTTAAGGTCTGATTGCAACCCCTGCCTTTTTTTTGGTTTTCCATTTGCTTGGTAGATCTTCCTCCATCCCTTTATTTTGAGCCTATGTGTGTCTCTGCACGTGAGATGGGTTTCCTGAATACAGCACACTGATGGGACTTGACTCTTTATCCAATTTGCCAGTCTGTGCCTCTTAATTGGAGCATTTAGCCCATTTACATTTAAGGTTAATATTGTTATGTGTGAATTTGATCCTGTCATTATGATGGTAGCTGGTTATTTTGCTCAGTAGTTGATGCAGTTTCTTCCTAGCCTTGATGGTCTTTACAATTTGGCATGTTTTTGCAGTGGCTGGTACCAGTCGTTCCTTTCCATTTTTAGTGCTTCCTTCAGGAGCTCTTTTAGGGCAGGCCTGGTGGTGACAAAATCTCTCAGCATTTGCTTGTCTATAAAGTATTTTATTTCTCCTTCACTTACGAAGCTTAGTTTGGCTGGATATGAAATTCTGGGTTGAAAATTCTTTTCTTTAAGAATGTTGAATATTGGCCCCCACTCTCTTCTGGCTTGTAGAGTTTCTGCCGAGAAATCAGCTGTTAGTCTGATGGGCTTCTCTTTGTGGGTAACCCGACCTTTCTCTCTGGCTGCCCTTAACACATTTTCCTTCATTTCAACTTTGGTGAATCTGACAATTGTGTGTCTTGGAGTTGCTCTTCTCGAGGAGTATCTTTGTGGCATTCTCTGTATTTCCTGAATTTGACTGTTGGCCTGCCTTGCTAGATTGGGGAAGCTCTCCTGGATAATATCCTGCAGAGTGTTTTCCAACTTGGTTCCATTCTCCCCGTCACTTTCAGGTACAGCAATTAGATGTAGAGTTGGTCTTTTCACATAGTCCCATATTTCTTAGAGGCTTTGTTCGTTTCTTTTTATTCTTTTTTCTCTAAACTTCTCTTCATGCTTCATTTCATTCATTTCATCTTCCATTGCTTATACCCTTTCTTCCAGTTGATCACATTGGTTACTGAGGCTTGTGCATTCATCACGTAGTTCTCGTGCCTTGGTTTTCAGCTCCATCAGTTCCTTTAAGGACTTCTCTGCATTGATTATTCTAGTTATCCATTCGTCTAACTTTTTTTCAAAGTTTCTAACTTCTTTGCCATTGGTTAGAACTTCCTCCTTTAGCCTGGAGTAGTTTGATCTTCTGAAGCCTTCCTCTCTCAACTCGTCAAAGTCATTCTCCATCCAGCTTTGTTCCATTGCTGGTGAGGAGCTGCGTTCCTTTGGAGGAGGAGAGGTGCTCTGATTTTTAGAGTTTCCAGTTTTTCTGCTCTGTTTTTTCCCCATCTTTGTGGTTTTATCTACCTGTGGTCTTTGATGATGGCGACGTACAGATGGGTTTTTGGTGTGGATGTCCTTTCTGTTTTTTACTTTTCCTTCTAAAAGTCGGGACCCTCAGCTGCAGGTCTGTTGGAGTTTACTGGAGGTCCACTCCAGACCCTGTTTGCCTGGGTATCAGCAGCAGTGGCTGCAGAACAGCGGATATTGGTGAACTGCAAATGCTGCTGCCTGATCGTTCCTCTGGAAGTTTTGTCTCAGAGGAGTACCCAGCCCTGTGAGGTGTCAGTCCGCCCCTACTGGGGGATGCCTCCCAGTTAGGCTATTCGGGGGTCAGGGACCCACTTGAGGAGGCAGTCTGTCCGTTCTCAGATCTCAAGCTGTGTGCTGGGAGAACCACTACTTTCTCCAAAGCTGTCAGACAGGGACATTTAAGACTGCAGAGGTTATTGCTGTCTTTTGTTTGTCTGTGCCCTGCTCCCAGAGGTGGAGCCTACAGAGGCAGGCAGGCCTCCTTGAGCTGTGGTGGGCTCCACCCAGTTTGAGCTTCGGGGCCACTTTGTTTACCTACTCAAGCCTGAGCAATGGTGGGCGCCCCTCCCCTAGCCTCGCTGCTGCCTTGCAGTTTGAACTCAGACTGCTGTGCTAGCAATGAGCGAGGCTCCATGGCCTAGGACCCTCTGAGCCAGGTGCAGGATGTAATCTCCTGGTGTGCCGTTTGTTAAGCCCGTTGGAAGAGCGCAGTATTAGGGTGGGAGTGACCCGATTTTCCAGGTGCCGTCTGTCACCCCTTTCTTTGACTAGGAAAGGGAATTCCCTGACCCCTTGCACTTCCTGGGTGAGGCGATGCCTCGCCCTGCTTCGGCTCACGCATGGTTCACTGCATCCACTGTACTGCACCCACTGTCCTGCACTCCCCCTTGAGATGTACCCAGTACCTCAGTTGGAAATGCAGAAATCACCTGTCTTCTGCATTGCTTATGCTGGGAGCTGTCAGGAAACTATTTTTAAAGAAGTAAAGGAAGGTATGGTAATGTTTATAAAATAAATAATGTCAATAAACAGGTAGAATTTTTTTAAAGAATTAACTTGAAATTCTAGAGTTGAAAAGTAAAATAATTGAAATGAAAAATTCAACAATATATTGAACTGTCAGAAGAGAGAATCAGCAAATTAGATCAATAGCAATTAAGCAATTTAAATAACACTGAGAAAAAAGTAATGAAGAAAAGTAGGCAGAACCTCAGAAAATTTTGGGATATATGCACACCAACATATGTGTAATAGGAGTACAAGAAGGAGTGGATAGAGAAAAGGAACAGAAAACAGAAAAAAATTCAAAAATAATGATGTAAAATTTACTAAATTTGATGAAAAACAATCTATTCATTTAACAAGATCAACAAACTCCAAGTATGAGATACACAAAAAGACTCACATCTAGAGACATCACTGTAAAAGTATTGGGGAAAAAAGGTGAAGAGTGACTCCTGAAAACAGTGAAAGAAAAATGACTCATCACTTACAAGGAAACCCCAATAATATTTATAGCTTATTTTTAATCAATGAAAGCCAGAGGCATTGGAATGGCATTTTCAAAATGCTGAGAAGAAAAACAAAAAACAAGAATCAAAACAAAACTGTCAACTAAAGCTACACACAAAGAACAGTGGAAGAGAATTGAGTGTCAAAAATAAACCATAAATTGATGGTTAACGATTTTTTGACAAGGGTGCCAAAAATTTGACTGTTTCACTGAGGAAACAATAGTCTTTCAACAAATAATGCTATGGCTACTGGAAAACCACAAGCAAAATAATAAAATTGACCCTTATCTTATAACATTAAAAACATTTAACTCAAAATGGATCAAAAACCGAACTGAGGGCCTAAAACAATAAAAGTTGTAGAAGAAAATATACAAGAAAATCTTTATGACCTTATGGGAAAACACAGTCTTGGCTTTCATGGAACTCTGGTCTGAGATGGCTATATAGCAGCTGCCCTTAGGGAGCACGCAGTCCAAGTTGGGGAGAGAGAAACCTGGACCTTAGCGTGTGTCTGATCCCAGCTGGAACATTATTTCCTTTCTGGGGAATGGTATCATCTGTCACTTTGGCCACCAGTCAGCTCCATACTTATTAATATGCTAGTTGAATTATTTGGAGGGGTCACCCAATATGTGCAGTGCTTGAGCTCCTTCTTGTTACTGAAGCCAAAAGGAATATATCCCTCATCTAGTCTCCTGGAATAGTCAAGAAGCAGGTATATGGCTGAGAATCAGTGTACTGGATGTCCCTTGGGTGACTGACCAAAGACACAGGGACATCTAGAGGTTGTATTAATCAGAGCATTTGTGAGGTGGACATCACATTATTCCTACATGTTCTTGCTGTCTGATCTGCCAGACACCAGGGGGTTTTCATGGATTAAAAAATAAGTGCAGGGTATTGCCCACTTATCCAGTTCATAGTAAAATTATTGAGGCATAATACACACAACATTAAATTAACAATTATTCAATCTCATGTAAAATTTGTAATTGAAAAAATATTGATGAAAAATCAGGACTTCTTCACAAAATATAGAGACGAAATATTTGACTGGAAAGATTGGACTTGGGACTCTGGGAGAGAAAAGAAAGACATTGATTTTTAACATACTGATTCCTTTTCTACGGATTTTTAAGTTTTTTCAGATCATATTTACCACATGTTCTATGCATACTTGTAGTTAGAATAGTCTAAGATTCATGGTCTGTTTGCAGGAAGTTTACATATAATTTTCTAATATTTTTTACTGAAAGAGAATGAAATTTGGGAGTGAGTGGGCAGTATTGTAAAGGGGAGGAGGGGTAGATGGATGAAAGGATGGGGTGCATATCTGTCTCCCTGCCACACCCTGGAGACCAAGTAGGACCCTGAAGAAGTCCAAAGCACAAGGCTCTGTGTTCCTGAAACACCAGGAAGATGGGCACAGGCAGAGCCACGTAGTGATTCCTCTGACATAAGGTGTCAAAGTAGGAGCCATAGAAGTTTTTCTCTCCCCTCCTCCATATCTTTAGCCATGCGACTAGCACATCTTGATTTCCAAAGCTTCCAGGCAGCAGGAAAGTAGAGAGCAGTGAAAAAAATATTGGAGACACAAACAGGCAAGGAACAGTCCACAATAAGTGGCAAGAAGATCTTTTGCTTTATTGTTTCACTTGAGGCTGCAGGAAATGAGCTGGAGAGTGAGTTTGTGGCTTGGGATCCCAGAGTAGACAACACAGTTGGTGTCAGGGGCAGCAGATAGGTTTGTGGGAGAAGAATCAAGTTTCTGGATCCCAGGGCAGAGGGATCCTCTAGGCCAGAGCTCAGAGCCTTCACGCGGGCATCTCAGCCACTCTTGCAGGCCCAGGAGGAGACAGGTGAGGAGGAAATGTTTGATCACTCATTTCACCCGAGTCTGCTCTTCTAGGTGCAGAGTCCGCTTCAGCAGCAGCCTCCAGAGTGCTGGCCGCTGTCCCCTCCACAGCAGCTGGAGCCTCCCGAGGGCTGGCTGCAGCAGCCAGAGCTCTGGAGTCTGTGACGGTGGGACCTGTGGCGCCTGTGGTGGCTCAGGCAGCAGCCACCTCCCCCAGAGCTGCAGCCGCCCCCAGAGCTGGAGCCACAGCAGCCTCCGGAGCTGACACTGCAGCAGGAAGAGACTGGAGGGCACTTAGGGGGACACTTTGGGGGGCACTTAGGAGTGGGGCACTTGGGAGGGCACTTGGGGGTGCACTTGGGAGGGGGCTGGCACTGCTGCTGGCTCTGCTGGCAGGACATCTCGGCGGTGGGTGTTCAGGAGCTGAAGGAGAGTCAAACAGCAAGTTACAGCCAGGCACAGAGGCCACCCTTATTGCCTTTTTACCATCATTTATTTTTGCTACATTTTTAAAACCTGTTCAAATAAGTCAGAGAGAAATTATCTCTAAAATTGTTTGTCAGATGCTTTCACAATGTGTTATAGGATCATCAGGATGTTTTTATAAAATAGAAATAGACTATCTTATTTTAACCCAGCAATATAATGAGGACATCTGTATTAACAAACTTGCCCAAAATTAATGTCCTTTAAGTGGAAAAGGCAATCTGACATTCACAGAATCTGACTGAAGTCTACCCTTCTGCACCACTTAGAATTCTGAAAATGTCCAATCTAGGAGCCAGTTTAAACCTGCAGTTCTGCTTTTTAAAAAATAAGCAAGAAGACCCTATCTCTAAAAAAAAATTAGCTGGGTATGGTGGCACGCACCTGTAGTCCCAACTACTTAGGAGGCTGAGGCTGGAGGATCGTTTGAGCCCAGGAGGCCAATGCTGCAGGGAGCCAAGGTCATGCCACTGCACTGCAGTCTGGGCAATAGAATGACACTTTGTCTCAAAAATAAATGAAATAAAATAATAAAATAAAAATAAAGATTCCCTTTTGTAGGAGCTTCCCAGATGGCTGTATTTGGTTGACACAAACACACAATATATTATAGTCAGAATTGCAAAGGGTCATCATATGAGCTGGCTATCCCAAATCATATTATAAATGGAGAAATGAGGTCTAAAGCTAATTGTAGCAAGCTGACACGTGACCCTAGATTTCCCGGTCTGGTGAATCCATGCCTAGTGAAGCTCCCTCTTAGAACCCACAGACTCCTCTATCTGCCACCCTGGCAACCATAAATTTCAACTTGTTACTTGCTGTTCAACACTGGAGCTTCTGATATACAGATGCCCAGGCACCACTCATGACTAACTCACTCCTGATGAAGGTGTAAGGGCCATGTATCTCTGTGTTTATCAAGCTCCAAATATGCTTCCTCTGGTCTCCGGTCTCCATTATTTAAGAACCACTATAATCCCAGTACAGGCTTCGGGGAAGAGACACAGTTGAGTTGCTAAGATCTACTCTCTGAAAGGAAAGTTTGTTTTAACTTATCTGGAATGGGAGACACTAAAAAAAATACAGAACTAATTTGGATTAGAGCATGAAGCATAGACATACAAATCATCCAGGTGCTTCCCATCTCTCCTGCCCCACAGCTTGAACTCCATCAGAATTTCTAGACATTCTCCACCTCTTCTAATCCAGCTACCCCTCCCCAACAAAGCCCTGCCCAGCCTTCCCTCCTGCCCTGGTCTGGGCATCCCTCTGTGGAACCCCTGCTCCTTTTCCCAGTGGACGCTTACCGAGGTCACAGGCAGCACAGGGTCCTTCAGCACCTCAGGAGGTGAATGGATGGGGTGCTCTGGCCACGAGCCCTTTTATCCTGGCCTGGGCTCTGCCTCCAGCTGTGAGACAGGGCCTGGGAATGAAAGGATCTGTCTCCTGACACCCACATGGGTCCTGTGACAAGGAGTGACTGGCAGCTCCACATCTGCCTTTCTCCACGGGGCTCAGGGGAGCTGTTCCTAGTGTGGAATATGACTTAGAAATGGGGTGGGAGTGAATTCCTACCACCACCTGGTACCTTATTCTCTTAGAGGTGCCTACCTCTCAGTTCTCGCTCTTGAAATGTGGTCCCCCAAATGTTCTCCTTCTTCCTCTAGCAATGTGAATTTATGAGCTCCAGGCATCCAGGTTTGAACAAAGAAACACAGAAGCCTCTTAGCTTTTTCACATGTGTCCCACCACTTAGCCACTGGGAGTTGTTTACGTGTGTGGGTGCCTGTGTGTGTGTGCCTGTGTGCATGTTTCTTTTTTTTTTTCTTTCTTTTTTTTTTTTTTTGAGACAGAGTCTCGCTCTGTTGCCCTGGCTGGAGTGCAGTGGCATGATCTCGGCTCACTGCGAGCTCTGCCTCCCAGGTCCACGCCATTCTTCTGCCTCAGCCTCCCAAGTAGCTGGGACATACACATATATGTATGTACATATATATGTATATACACATATATGTATGTACATATATATGTATATACACACACATTTATTTTTTGGTCAGGCATGAAGCCAGCATTTGCATAGCACTATAGAGTTTATGAATAGTTATTCCACATGACTTAGGCTATCAGCATAAGAACCTGGAGCATGCAGACATACATGCTGAGGATATGTCATCCTGCAGAGATCTGTACCTATGTTGCCTGAGTGTGACTCTTCTTTTCCTGCTCAGGTTGTTACAAAAGGCTTTGTTATAAGGGAGTGGTCAGGATATCAATACCTTGGCTCATAGGTAAGTCTTACTCAGAAGCAGACTCACTGATTCTTAGGATACTTGGCCTGAGGGATCACATGATCCATGCCTCTAGTGATGTGGTACTCAATATGTCAATCAGTCTGATTTAGATCTGGATGGTAAGTTGGCAGCAGGTTTGAAACCTCATAAAGGTTGGTCTGCTTGCCTTAATTGTATGATGTCAGTGACTTAAATTTCATAAAATTTTTATTAAGCAAGTGACTGGCTTTTTAGATCTTCTGTTATCAAGGCTTGGAAGCTGACATGGCTGAGATCTAGAATGCAGCTATGAGGCAAATCAAAAGTAAAGCATTATGTCCCACATTGTAAATTTATAGGAATGACTGCAATACTTTTTTTCTAATTGTTTCTATGTCCATCTGTAAACTGGTTATTAATTAACACATTTTTGGAAATGTTCAATTTTTAAAGAATCACTCGAACTTCATACTGAGTGGTATCGTACTTTATGCTTTGGAATCAGCACCTAGTATGTTAATGGGTTATTTTTTTCACCCATTAGATCCTTTTTTATAACATACATTATTAAATAACACTCTTAAAGTAGAAAAGGATAGTTCATTATTTCTTATGCCTGGTGGCTCCCAAAACCATGTTACAAAAGGAAAACGTGATGTTTATTTATTTCTGAATAAAAACTTCATGTGGAAAAGAGCAACATGTAAACACTCCTGAAAGAGAAGTGACCAATTGAGAGGAAATTACATCACATATCTCAGGAATAAGATTAACACTGTTGACATGCAAATATACTTTACAAAGTAATAAGAAAAAAATTCCATGAAAATAATGGACAAAAGAGATAAGCAGGCAACGCAAAATGTTAGATTTATAGTGAAAAATACATGTATAAAAATAATTGTCTTTTATTTTTCTCTATGGAATTTATGCATTCATATTAAATAGGCAAAGATTTAAAAATTTTACAAACGAAGGGTGGATATGGGAGGGAAAAGTTACTGTGGATGGAATACCTTTCTGAAAGGCAAACTGGTTATTGATTCATTCAGATATTATTTACTGGTGAGTTCAAATAATTAAAAATGTAGAATGTACATATATTTTGACCTAGAGATTCCAATTTTCAGGCTTTCGTTTTATGGAGATTGTTATAAAAATGTGAAAATCTAAATACTCAAAAGTGTTAACTATGGTATTGTAATAAGGTAAATTGGAAACGCTTACTACTAAGTACTTATTTTAATACTTAGGGTATTAAATTGTGAAAGAGGCATATAAAGGCACATGTGACAATAATTAAAATTATTTTGTGGTTCTACATTTAGGCATAAAAAGCTATTTCTTGACTGAAGCTGTTATGTTATAGAACACATATACACCAATAATCAGAAATTGTTATTTAAAAATAAAACCATAGATATCAGTAACAAAAATATGAGACATCTAAGAATAAATATCTCTAAAAGACGAATAAATGGAAAAATTACAACATTTTATTGAAACGCATTAAAGTAGACCATAATAGAAAGAAACATTGTCTTAAAAACGTCAATTTTCTGCAAGTCAACCTGTGGATTCCATGTAATTCTAATGAAAACCACAAGAGAGAGTTCAACAGAACTTAATGAGCTGATTCTACGACTCAAATCAAACAGCAAGAGGCCCAGAATAGACAGGATAACCATGAAGAAGAATACATGGGAACTTATCTCACAAAACACCAAGAATAATTATAAAGCAATTGTCGTTCAGACTGTGATTTATTGATTAAGGAACAATGTGACAGGTTATAAGAACTAAAAGTCATTCATTCATGTATGAACCCCTGAAATGTGTCAGAGGCAGGATTACAGAAAAGTGGGTTAGGAGTAATCAGTTCAGTAAATGATACCATACCAACTGTTTATTCATTTGGGCAATAAATAAATGCCTCTACTTCACACCATATAATTAAAATAAATTCCATAAATCAAAGATCTAATGTAGTAAACAAAACTTTAGAAATATATTTAAAATTTTCAAAAATGATTTAATAGAATAACCTTATGGACTTTTGATGGAAAAGATTTCCTAAATAATATACATGTGTTCACATCAGAGACAAACACATTACAAACAAACAAAAACCCTTGAGTTTGGTTATATTAAATTTTCTTTAACCAGAAAACATCACAAAAGATGAAAATACAGATTATGAAAAGATATTTGCAACACATATAATTGACAACAAATTAGTATCTAAATAAATAACCCTACAAATCAGTGAGAAGAAAGCAATGACCCAAAGGAAAAATGAGAAAAACACATGAAAATTGATTTCCAGAAGTGAAAACCTGAATAACCAATAACCAATATGTTTTTGAAAAAGCTTTTCAACCTTGCTAGGAATCAGAGAAAAGCAAGAAAAAACCATGATGGTATATAATTTCACATCTATCACCTTGGTAAGAGTGAAAAATTCTCACTATTTATTCTTCTCATTGATGTTGAATAACAGAAATTTTCATGTACTCTGATGGGAATGTACATTAGTACAACTTTTGAAGAGTAATTTGGCAATATTTAGTCAGGATGAAGGCAGATATACTGAATAACATGCTGATTCTTCTCATAAGTGTATGCCTTGGATGCAAAGGTTCCAAAGTATGTGTAAGAATGTTAAAAAGTAGCACTTTTTATAAAGTACAAAGTGAAAACAAGGTAAGTACCCAATTTCAGATGAATGCATAAGTAAAGTATGAATATTCTTACACTGGAATGCTATACAATAGTGAGAATAAATGAAAATGAAATTGAGTCATCTGTATCAACATAGATAAATGTCTCAAAGTCATGGAGTAGATCACTTTTAGAAAATTAAAAATACAAATTATAACTAATATAGAAATAAGTTATAAATAAAATATAGCTAAGTACAAATAAAGTATAGTTAAGTACAGAGGAATTGTTACATTTTTAACTTATAAATAAATTATAAGTTAAGGATAGATAAGCACAGGAAAGTATATGCATTGCACAGGAAGGAAAAACACAAAATACAGAATAATGAATATCTCTAGGTAGAAGGGATATATAAGGGGATGGTTTCAATCATATTTATGATTATTTATTTCTCAATATGAGTGGAAAATACATGCATGCAGTGTTTACCAGGAAATCCTTTTAAGTTTGTATCTGTGTAAAATATTTTATTTAAGAAATTTATACATATGTAAAATTTAACACATACTTATATAGTAAGGTATTACTCTATTATATTTCATATATATTAAAATATTTCAAAAAATTATTTTACTTAATTTTGTTTTCCTCTTCTCTAGCAAAATATTTAATTTAATATGCATGTATTTGTGCTTATTTTTCTTTATAATTTCTTTAATTGTTTTTATATTGAGAATGTTTTTCTCAATCCTGGGAGAAGATAAACATTTAGCTACAAGTACTTCTTTCTTTATAATTCGATTTCCTCAAAATATTTAATCCCATGGATTTTGTCTTGGCATCTAATACTAAATGAGGGTTTACGTTTTTTTTTCAGTTATCAAAATTCCCTAACTCCAGGTATTGAATAGCCATCTTTTCCCCATTGATAACCATCACCTGCATCATCATATTTTAATTCTTTGTGTATATATACATATATATAGAGAGAGATTTAATAGTATATATATGTATACATACATATGTGTATACATAGATACGTATATGTGTATATATACATACATATATGTGTGTGTGTATATATGTGTATATATATATATATATATATATACTATTACATTCTTTTTTTTTTTTTTAAATTTGCACCAGTCTCAAGGTTTGGGGTTTAATTATGTGAAAGTTACAGATAAGTATTTTATCAGAATGGGACTTGTGGTGGATAAGAAAAATCCTCTAGATTTCCGGCAAACAAAAGGAAGAAAGAGAATTTCCTAGGACTAGAAGCTTAGGATCCTGCCCTCTTTGTCCTTTCCCTGGGAGGAGCCTGCAGGTGAGTCCCTGATATGGGGGATATACAGAATGAGGACCCGACTCTTCCCTCAGGAAACATGGAGGAAATGAAACCAGTTTTGTCATCTAAGCAAAGATGAGTTTCTAGTTCCTCTGCAAGCATGGGTCAAATGATGCATGAGTGCTTTCTATGACCAGATGTTGATCACATTGTCAAGACCAACTGTTCTTAGCCATTTATCCACTGTCTAAGAGAAGATTCTGGAACCAAGGCTGAACTTCAAGAAATTCACCCTGGAGAGGCATCACTCACATCACAGATAGAGGGGAGACACTAAAATGCCCAAGAGTGGAGGAGTCAGAAATTGGATTCTGCTTCCTGGTTGCTCCAGTATCAGAAGGATATTGCGCCTACATGTCAGACTGAGCCTTTTCTTTGTTCTCCATTCAGAAAATACATTTAGAAAGCTGGAGAAGGACAGACATTAGGTGGGGAATGAGTAGAAGGACCAGGCTCCCTTTCTCTGGTATGGTGGGCCAGCCCACTGGAGCAGGGATATGGGCAAATATGCCATTCAGTCAAATTTGGGGCCGGGGAGAGTGGCTTGTGCCTGTAATCCCAGCACTTTGGCAGACCGAGGCAGGCAGACCTCTTGAGGCCAGGAGTTCGAGACCACCCTGGACAACAGGCAAAATCCTGTCTCTAAAAAAAAAAAAAAAATACAAAAATCAGCCTGGCATGGTGGTGTGCATCTGTAGTCCCAGTTACTCAGTAGGCTGAGGTGAGAGGATCACTTGAGCCTAGGAGGTTGAGGCTGCAGCGAGCCATGATTGCACCACTGCACTCCAGCCTGCACAACAAAGTGAGACTCTGTCTCAAAAAAAAAAAAAAAAAATCAATCAACCAACCAGTCAAATTTGGCGTTGATATTGTTTTTCTGACTGGATATTTCATTACTGAACTGAAACCAAGTTTGTAATTTTTTTGTTTTAGAAATGGGGTCTTGCTTTGTTGCCGCACCTGGTCTCAAACTCCTAGGTTCAAGTGATCCTCTCTCTCGGGCCTCCCGAAGTGCTGAGATTATAGGCAGGAGCCACTGCACTGGGCCCACGTTTGTGATTTCAAGTAACAAATCATTTTGCATTACTTTGAAAGAGCTGTAAAGTCAGTTGGCCTTTCAACTTGTCATTTAGGAAGGAAAACCATCCCACTGAGTAAAATTTTAAGGACAATTTTACTTTTAAAATTTTTAAATTTTTAAAAAGCTATAATTTTATTACATCCTCCAAGCTAAGCTTGCTCAATGTGAGGGTTGTAGACAGATTTTTTAACATCCACCAGCTTAAGAAAACACACAATCGGATAAGATTTCATAGAAGGATGACATTTGAGGTGAACCTTAAAAGAGGGACAGAATTACACAATGTCCAGATGGTGGGGAGAGATTTGGAGGAACTTCAGATAGAGGAAATAGCAAGTAATGCTGCTAATAGTAATAGTAAGTAATGATTACAGTAGTTAGTAGTGATACTAAGGGTAGCAGTAGTAGTAGTGGCAACACTTATAAAATATCAAGAGAAGCTACTCTTTATTGAAGACTTATAGTATTCTAGATACAGAGCTATGAATAGTAAATTCTAC
This sequence comes from Homo sapiens, assembly GCF_000001405.40. Classification (NCBI taxonomy): domain Eukaryota; kingdom Metazoa; phylum Chordata; class Mammalia; order Primates; family Hominidae; genus Homo; species Homo sapiens. The sequence goes on along the minus strand of NC_000001.11, from coordinate 152,819,518 downwards.
TTACAGCTTCTCAGAAAAAAAAGGATGAATATATACAAGTGTAAGTTATGAGTTGCTCAGTGCGGCAAGAACATGGGGTGTCATGGGAAGTATGAATGGTAAACCTTAGAAAAGAAGTTGGAAACAATTCCTGCTGAGTCTCAAATGTAATACTTAAGAAGCACATGCATTTTTCTATAGAAAGCCTCTGTTTTGAGGAAGTAGAGTGACAATTTCAGACATGTGGTATAGGGAATGTGTTCTGGAAAAAAGTGCAGAGAATTTAATGGAGATGGAAGAGGAAGAAAGAGACATTTAATGGAAGGTTAATACAAGTGCAATTTTTACACAAAGATATGCCTCGAACTAAACTGATTTCAGAAGTAGTTAGTGGGAAAACTGTATTTTCAAAATATATTTCTGTTTTTTGCTTTCTATTTTATTAATCTATTTTTCTTTTCTTTTTTCTTCCATATGCATGCATCCATGTGTGCATGCGTGCGTGTGCACCTGTACTTGTGTGGAAGTGTGTGTATTTGCATGTGATGTGTGTGTATGTGCATACATGTGTGAGGGAGGAAGGATGTTGGGTGGAGCTAGGTGAGGAGGAGAAGGTGGCGCTCACAGAGGGAGAGGAGCATGGAGAGACCAGTCAGGGCCTTGAAGGGGACCAGAGGCAAAGAAGCTGTGTTTACAAAAGACATTTCAGACTTGGTCACAAGCAATGCTGCTTCAGGCCAATTGACATAGGACAAACAGCGTTGGAAGTCCCTTCCCACTCCTGCCCTCATTGACCCCAATTCAAGCCAGTGTGTCCCACTGGCCCCTGAAGTTCCAAGGCCACCACCTGCAGAGGACAGGGTGAGGAGAACAATAGCTACTCAAGGAGAATAGGGGAAGGGGTATGTGCAGAGAGCTCTTTAAATGAGCAAAAAATGTAAGATATTTGTGTTCCATATGAATGTTTACTAAACAATAACCTTAGCAGAGACTTTAATAAATAAGTGGATAGGATAACCTATTCTGTGGATACCAGTCAGACTCTTTGCCCAGCCTCTCCTGTCATTTCCCAATGAGCTCATGAACAAAGTGGCCATGGTGGCAGGTAAGACAGTGAAGTTGTATTGCTGCCCTTGCCAGCTGAAAACAACCTGATTCTGGTAGTCATTACTAATAGGTAAGAAGAAAAAAAATCCAGATCAATAGCTGCATAATAGGGGATATGCTAATTTGCTCAAGGAAATACCACATCTAGTACATCTGTAAATGGAGTCACCCCCTGGCTAGGCTTGTAATAATTCAGTGTATTAGTCTGCTCGAGCTGTCATAACAAAATACTATAAATTAGGTGGCTTAAATAATAGAAATTTATTTCTAGTAGTTCTGGAGGTTGGGAAGCCACCAAGGTCAAGGTGCCAGTCGATTTGTTTTCTGATGAGAGCTCCTTTTCTGGCTTACAGATGGCTACCTTCTCATATCTACAACTATCTGATCTTTGACAATCCTGACAAAATAAGAAATGGGGAAAGGATTCCCTATTTAATAAATGGTGCTGGGAAAACTGGCTAGCCATATGCGGAAAGCTGAAACTGGATCCCTTGCTTACACCTTATACAAAAATTAATTCAAGGTGGATTAAAGACTTAAATGTTAGAGATTTTTTTTTTTTTTTTTTTTTTTGACAGAGTCTCTCTCTGTCACCCAGGCTGGAGTGCAGTGTCGCAATCTCGGCTCACTACAACCTCTGCCTTCCGGGTTCAAGCAATTCTCCTGCCTCAGCCTCCTGAGTAACTGGGATTACAGGTGTGTGCCACCATGCCTGGCTAAGTTTTTGCATTTTTAGTAGAGACGGGGTTTCATTGTGTTAGCCAGGATGGTCTTGATCTCCTGACATTGTGATCTGCCCACCTCGGCCTCCCAAAGTGCTAGGCTTACAGGCATGAGCCACCACGCCCGGCCAATCTAAGCTTTTTAGAGCTCTTCAAGGATGCTGAGCCTCGCCTCACAAACATATGTTTCACAATTGTGATGAAAGGTGAATCATTTGGACCTTCCACGGTGGGTGATTTGTCATTTCATGACAAATTCATTCTAATATTCCAATCTCCCTAATGCTCTGAATCTCTTCCTCTGCAGCAAAGCAAGGCAGGCCTGTCATTTCTAGGTCACACACACTAGGCCACCTTTCAGTCCATGTTTTGACCAGCCAACCAAACAAACTCTTAGGGCCTTTTCTTACTCCCCGAACTGTAACATTGCCTAGAATCTCTGCAATCAGTTCAGCCTCATCCAATCTTTTATTCTTTCCACAATTGTTCCACACTCTTAATATCCATTCCCACATGTATTCCCTAAATGTCTGTCTGTAAACACTGTAGTTCTTTTGGAGTGTAGTGCTCCCTTGTCATGGGTCACATGTTGTACCTCACCATTGGGGACCTGCTGGGACTTCACTCTAGAAGCAAAATGAGGTGATAGGGAGGGGTCCTGAGAAGAATCATCATTGTCTTTCAAGGCAACTGCCTCACAGGAGCCCATTACAGTTTTCTTAGGAAAATCAGGGTCAGCCTCCTCAAGTGGGTGTAGAAAGGCTGCTTCTACTGGCAAAGAAGACTCAACCAAACCAAACTCAGAGGTATAGTGTTTCCATGGTCATCAGGATTTTCTCATTGGTCCTCATTCCAATTTTCAGGGTCCCATTTCTTCTTCTTCTTCTTTTTTTTTTTTTTTTTTTGAGACAGAGTCTCACTCTGTCACCCAGGCTGGAGTGCAGTGGTGAGATCTTGGCTCACGGCAACCTCTGCCTCCTGGGTTCAAGTGTTTCTCCAGCCTCCGCCTCTAGAGTAGCTGGGATTACAGGCGTGTGCCACAATGCCAGGCTAATTTTCGTATTTTTTTTTTTTAGTAGAGACAGGGTCTCACTATGTTGTCCAGGCTGGTCTCGAACTCCTGACCTCAAGTGATCCACCGACCTCCGCCTCCCAAAGTGCTGGGATTACAGGCATGAGCTACTGTGCCAGGCCCCCATTTCTTCTTAATCAGTGGCCTCACTTTAACTGTAGACATGCTGAGAATTTGGAAATTTAATTGGCATTGTAATTCAGTCATTCACTGAAAAGATTTTGGGTTTAGTTTTTAGCAGTCTCAGCTCTGAGACTACAGAAGATAAGGGTTTCTTTCAGAATAGACATAGAAACTTTCAGGTTATTTATGTGCTGCATGGTTATTTATGTGGTGCACAAACTGAGGATTCAAATCCTGGACCTCATCATTTTCTTCTCCCATCTCACTTAACACAATGAGGAGAAACCAGCCAATCTCTTTATATTCATTAGTTTGACAAAAGTATTCACAGGTAGCAAATCCATAGCCACTCAAAACCTTGTCTCTTATAAGCATTTGATTAGAAACATCCAATAGTGATATTTTGCAAATCCCTATAGCCACATTTACTATCAGTGTTCTCTTCACTATGGGAAATAGGGTTCATTAGTGCATTTAAATCTAGTTAGGCTAGAAAACAAATTCCAGAAATCCCAGAACTCATTCAGAAAACTTGTCCTTAAGATTCTATTCCTTTAGATTCTGTTATGTTTTGGTAAAGTAAGTGTGAGCAAGAAAGAGAGAAAGAGGACTATTTTGCAGCATTGGTTCAAGTGACTATCAGGGATGGAAAAACCAAAATTTGTAAGGAAGGATGGCAGGATGCAGATTCAGGGGAGAGCTGATGTTGCAGTCTCAAGTCCAAAATCATTCTGAGGGCAGATTTTGTTTTAACTTTTTATTTTCAGTTTAGGGGTACAAGTGCAGGTTTGTTACATAGGTACACTTACGCCATGGGGGTTTGTTGTACATATTATTTCATCACCAAGGTACTAAGCCTAATACCCACTAGTTATTTTTCCTGATCCTCTCCCTTCTCCCACCCTCCACCCTCTGACAGGCCCTCTATGTGTCCACGTGTTCTCATCATTTAGCTCCCACTTATAAGTGAGAACATGCAGTGTTTGTTTTTCTGTTCCTGTGTTAGTTTGCTAAGGATAATGGCCTCCAGCTCCATCCATGTCCCTGCAAAGGACATGATCTCATCCTTTTTTACAGCTGCATAGTATTCCATGGTATATAGGCACCACATTTTCTTAATCCAGTCTATCATTGATGGACATTTAGGATGATTCCGTGTCTTTGCTATTGTGAGTAGTGTTGCAATGAACATACATGTGCATGTGTTTTTATAATGGAATAGTTTATGTTTCTTTGGGTATGTACATAGCAATGGGATGGCCGGGTTGAATGGTAATTGCTGGTCTTTGAGAAATTGCCACACTGTGTTCCACAATGGCAGAACTAATTTACACTCCCACCAAGAGTGTATAAGCATTCCTTGTTCCTGGAGGCAGAATATTTTTTCCGTCTCTGGATATCAGTCTTTTCTCTTAAGACCTTTGACTGATTGGTTGAGGCCTGCCCATATTATGGAGGGCAATCTGCTTTACTCAAACTCTGCTGATTTAAATATTAGTCGCATCTAAAAAAAAAACATGTTCACAACAACATTTAGACTGGTGAATGGTGCTAGAGCAAGATCTAGGAACCATAGCCTAGCCAAGTTGACACATAAAATTAACCATCACATATGTACATATTTTTGCAAATACAATGGCAAATAAAATTCAAAAAGGCTGGGCACAGTAGCTCACACCTGTAATCCTAGCACTTTGGGAGGCTGAGGTGGGTGGATCACCTGAGGTCAGGAGTTCGAGAACCGCCTGGCCAACATGGTGAAACCCCATCTCTACCAAAAATACAAAAATTAGCAGGGCATGGTGGCAGGTACCTGTAATCCCAGCCACTTGGGACGCTGAGGTGGGAGAATCGCTTGAACCCAGGGGGCTGAGGTTGCAGTGAGCCGAGATTGTGCCACTTCACTCCAGCCTGGGCAAAAGAGTGAAACTCCATTTAAAACAAGCAAACAAAAAAAATTTCAAAAAACATGTTCAACTTTACTGATATTCAAACAAATGCAAACAAAATAAAAAAGAAATATCTTGAATTTGAGAAAGGAGACTAACAGATTTATTTACTTATTTCAAAATGACAATTATTTTAATGACTAACAAAATAGTATGTGACAGTTGGTAATAAACATATTTTGAGATGGCAATGTGAATTGGCATAACAATTCTGGATAGCAATTTGATACTTATTGAGGTGTAATGAGTTTAAATTTATAATAAGCAAATCTTTTTACACAAAAACATTGTGTTATAGGAATTTACCTGAAAGTAGAGTTATAATGTAGGAGAGATAAATGGATAAGGATGGTCATCACAGGAAATTAGATATAATAAGAGTTCAACAAGAAGAAATTGTAATGGCCTTCCTTCAAGTAGTTGTGTTGCAGGACATTGCTGATTTTGCTCAGGACCCATCCTCACCACCTCTCTTTGCTTTACATATGTACATAGACTCAGGGTATGAGATAAATATATTTTAAAAAACTATACTCAACAATACCAGCAACACTATAATAATAATAACAGTTTTGTAAAAGAACATCAATTATACTAAAAAAGTTTTGGGAAAATGTTTGAAACAAAATAGATGTTTAGGCTGGGGGCTGTGGCTCACGTCTGTAATCCTAGCACTTTGGAAGGCTGAGGTGGGCAAATAACTTGAAGTCAGGAGTTCAAGACCAACCTGGCCAACATGGTGAAACCCCATCTCTACTAAAAATACAAAAAGTAGCTGGGCGTGGTGGCACACACCTGAAATCCCAGCTACCTGGGAGGCTGAGGCAGTAGAAATGCTTCAACCCAGGAAGTGGTTGTTGCAATGAGCCGAGATGGTGCCACTGCACTGCAGCCTGAGCGACAGTGAGACTCCAACTCAAAAAAGAAGTTTAACTATTCTCTCCTTCATAAGTTTTTAATTCAAAGGAATAAATATTAAATTTGCAATAGAGAAAGCTGGCAGATCAAGTGGTCAAAGTTGTATCTCCAGGAATGGGACAATTAGACATCATGTAAGGCTTGATATCATGCTCTAAGGACAACATCACTTTTGTAGGATATTTGCAAAAATGTGTAATCTGAGCCTGGTCAAGAAGAAACATCAGAGAAACCCAAATTGAGGGGCATTCTACAAAACCAATAGTTCTTTAAAAAGGTCAATGTCAAGGAAGACAAAGAAAGACTGAAGAGCCATTTCGGTTTGGAGGAGACTGAAGAATCATGGCAACTATGTCAAGGCAATGGAGATCCTGGATTGGATTTTGAACCAACAAAATTGTCTTTTGTTATAAAGGATATTAGTAGGAAGATTGGCTAAATTTGAACAAGGTCTGTAGATACTAACATCTTGGGAGAGCCTGGAGATGAGGACAGAGTATGAAAAGCAATGAAAAAATAACAATCAGTCAAGGCAAAAAGGAATGCATATTTCTGGTTTTATTGTTTCACATCAGGCTGAGCTATGCAAAAAGACAAGCTGCAAAGGGATATAGGTCTGTGCTTTGGGCTTCCCAGAGCAACCACACATACGCAAACTGAGGTCATTAAATGGCTTGGCTTTGGGGGAGAAGTTTTGGGCCTCTGAACTCCAAGACAGAAGAATCCTCTATGCTTGAGTTGAGCCCTCACCAAGACCTCTCAACAACATGGGCAGGCCCAGAAGGAGAAGGAAGACGGAAGGGAAATATTTGGCCATTTGTGTTCTTCTAGGCTCAGGATCCACTTTAGCAGCAGCCTCCAGAGTGCTGGCCACTCCCTCCTCCACAGCAGCTGGAGCCCCCGGAGGGCTGGCTGCAGCAGCCAGAGCTCTGGGGTCTGTGGCAGTGGGACCTACGGCGCCTGTGGTGGCTCAGGCAGCAGCCACCTCCCCCAGAACTGCAGCAACCCCCAGAGCTGGAGCCACAGCTTCCCCCAGAGCTGGAGCCACAGCAGCCTCCGGAGCTGACACTGCAGCAGGAAGAGACTGGAGGACACTTAGGGGGACACTTTGGGGGGCATCTAGGGGTGAGGCACTTGGGAGGGCACTTGGGGATGCACTTGGGAGGGGGCTGGCACTGCTGCTGGTTCTGCTGGCAGGACATCTTGGTGCGGGTGTTCAGGAGCTGAGAGAGAGTCAGACAGCAAGTTAGACCCAGGTAGAGGCCACCCCGGCCTATTCTTGCCCTTTCAGCATCATTTCTAATCCCTACATTTTGATGAACTGCTTAGTGTAGTTGTAGCTAATTAATCACGGGAAGTTTCATTGTGTCTAATAGTTGGCTAAACACACTTATAGCCTCTGTTTTGAACCTAATGCTTTTTATATACTTATAAAATCATAAAGCATTTTCAACTATTTTATAATTAGAAAACCGAAGCCAAAAGATATTAAGAAAGTATTCTCAAAATCAAGCATGTAGTATGTAGAGGAGACATTCTGCTTCAACTACACACCTGAATCATGAAAACAATCTAGAAAGGGGTTTGGAAATAAAATTGTTTCTCAAGGGGAAACAGTCATTCTCTCTTGGAAGAATTTTCTAGATTACCTTGTTGTAAGGACATAGAAGTTCAGAACTGCAAAGGAAGTTGGAGGAAAAATATCATTGAATTAAGTGAGAATTGTATACAGGTTTCTGACTTAGTCCAGTGCTCTGACATTTTTCAGCAGACAAACACCTGTACTGAATGCTCAGCACTTATATTTTGTTTGTCTACCGTACTTGTCTCACCAAGTTAAATACCATTAAATGTGAGTTTAAGAGAGTCGGTTAGCTGTGATATCCTCTACACTGGCTGGGAACCACTGTTTCCATCTCATCTTTTCAGGAAAGGACAATTATATTTTTCAAGGTAAATCTCCCTTTCTGAAAGCAGTTACAGGTGAACATGGCAGGCAATGTTGCAATGCCTTCAGACTAGAGACCCAAGAACTCTAGATCCATCTCATTTCTCCAGAACACCAAGTCACCATCACAGGACTCCTCATTCTCATGTCCCTGGTCTGTCCCCATTGCCTTTGCTCAGTTTTCTTGAGGCTCCCTCCTTCACTCATATGGATACCAGCACCACCCCAGCCCTGGAGGCTCTGCCTGCCCTCCCCTCCTGCCCTGATCTAGGCATCCCTTTGTGGAAGCCCCTGCTTCAGTACCCAGGGAACACTTACTGAGGTCACAAGCAGCACAGGAGGTGAGTGGTTGGAGTGCTCTGGCCCTGAGCCCTTTTATCCTGTCCTTTGGGCTCTTCCTCCAGCAGTGAGACAGGGCCTGGGCATGAGAGGACTTGCCTCCTGACACCCACATAGGTCCCGTGACAGGTGGTAACTGGCAGCTCTGCACATGTCTGCCTTCGTGGGTATTCAGGAGAGCTGCTGCCAGTATGGAATATGGCCACTTAGAAATAGAGGTGGGGTGGGGAAATCCCTACCATCATCTCCTGCCTTGATCTGCCTGAAGGGCACCTGCTTTTAAGGTTCTCACTTCTCATTCTTGGAGCTTTGAAGTTTTGGCCCTAATACTGCCCTTCTTGCCTCCCCGGTGTTAATGAGCCCATGCAACCTGGTTCAAACCAAATTGTAATATATTCCTTCCAATTTTATTCTGTACAGGTTACCCTGATACAATATACACTATGGATTACATGGTTTTAACTCTATAGAAATGGCATCATACTTAAGACACTCATTTTTGACTTGTTCTCTTCCTTAAACATTGTTTTTGCTAGTTACTCAAGTTGATCTGTATAGCCATAGTTTACTCATTTTTACAACGGTGTAGTATCCATCTTATGAGTGCATCATGATTTGTTAGCTTCTCTCTTTTGGATAGACATTTAGAGTGTTTTCACTTTTCACTGAATCAATATTGCAGCTAAGGAAATTTTTGTGCGTGTCTACTTGTGTATTTGTGGGAGAGTCTCACCAAGTTATGTACCTATAAGTGGAACTGTTGAATTTTGGATCACACCCATCTCTCCAAATTGCTCATACTGATTTCAGTTTGCACCTATGGTGTATAAGAATCATTCTTGCTGCACATTGTTCCTAAACTTCAATAATTGCCATTCGATGGATGTGCACTGGTATCTGTCGGTAGTTTAATATGTGTTCCTCTGCTTTGTAGTGATCACAGCATCTTTTAATGTATTTTTGGTTAATTGAGGTTTCCCTTCTGTGACTTGTCTGCTTTTTCTCGAAAATGTTTTTCAATTTGTTTATCTCCTTTTGTTAGTATTTGTAAATGTTCTTTACATATTCTAGTTACTAATGTACTGCTATTAAATGTGTTGTGAATATCTTTTCCAAACAAATATGTTCTTGTTTGCATTTTAATGGTGTCATTTGATGAACTAGTGTTTTATTTTTAACATAGTTGAATTTCTGCAACAATAACTATATTGTTTGCAATTTTCATGATTTTAATAAATCTCAACCATTTGTAAGTTTAGAAATCTTTTCCCTATCTTTAAAAAGTTGAAAATTTTTTCTTTTTAAAAATGAAGGTTTTTATTCAATCAAGAAAGGAATTTTTGTACATTTTATATATTTTAAACATTTTTCTGAATGGATAACCAATTGTCTTAGTATTGTAATCAAATTTTCCATTTTCCCCCACTCATCTGAAATACCTATGGGTCAGAATCAATTTTTCACATTTCCGTAGATTTATAATTGGGTGAACAATTCTTGTCATTGCCAATTTGTCAACACCTCTGAGAACATCCTGCTGCCTTAATTACCATAGGTGTATAATCAATTGCGGTATCTAAATCACACAGGTTTCATCATTCCTTAAGATTGTCTTGGTGATTATTAAACCTTTGTCATTTTATATAAACATTAGAGCCAGTTTGTCACATCCTACACAATGAAGATGAAGCAAAACAAATCATTATTAGAATTTTGATGAAAACATCATTGAGAATATGCATTAATTTATGAAGAATTATTTTATTTTATTATAATTTTTTTCTACTCACCCATAAATATGGTATATCTCTTTATTATGGTATTCTGTAATGCTGTTTAATAGTCTTCTCATTTTATCAAATATATTTTACATTAAAATTGTATTTTAGACTTTATGTATTTTTGCTATTTTAAATGGCAATTTTAAAAATTATATTTTTGAATTATTTGTTGCTGGTTAATGTAAATTTATTCTTACATCTTGCAACTTTTCGAACTCTTAATATTATTTTAATTTCTATAGTAATCATTCTTGTCTATATATCTTCTTTCTTAAAGTTTTTTCTCCTTAAGTTAAATTCTTGAAAGTACAACTGTTGGATAAAAAGTATGCACATTTAAAATTTTGATTTGTATACAGAAAATTATTATTTGTTGAGTAATGGGTCACCAAATGTCATCTTAATTTTCATTATTATGCCAATTTATAAGATCCATTTCCTATCACCTTCAGTAATACTGTTTTGTTATTGATTTTAAGTTTCTTCTAGTTCAATATAAAGGAATATCTTCTAATCCTTATCATCCTTGAAATGGACGGGCTGTGCTTCTAGATCAGAACTACTAATGTAAGCTGAGTAACCAATGTCTTCACTACTCTCGTATTAAATACATTGTTTGGAACAACATGAGCCACAGCCAGGCAATTCAGTGGCAGACTCAGACCTCATCCTTGAAAGACCATCCTTGTTTTATATACTAGTCTTTGGTTATTTGTATATGCAAATATGAAATAACAAATTTCAAAATGTATTGGTCATGTATTTCTTTCCAAGCTATCTGTTTGTTCATGCACTTTGCCCATTCATTTGTAGATAGGCTTATTTCTTTTCTATAAAGTTGTAAGGACTTACTATTTATCATAGATTTTAATACTATTCCTGACTTACATACTTTACTTTTTCTCAGCTGGTTATTTATATTTTTCATCCTTTAAAATTGTGCTTTCTGACATATAGTATTCCTTTCACTATGTGATGAGATTTATCAAGTTTTTTCATGCTTAAATATTTTATCCAATTACTTATAAAGAAATAATTAGATAGTCTGTATATTCTTCTAATAATTTTGGAGTATCAGTTTATTGTTACTGCTCTATGCAGGGGTTGCAGAGGAAGGAAGCAAATTAAAAATCAGTCATGTGTGGTGCTGGCTCTGGGACACAGAGTAAAATCCACTAAGTCTAAGTTAATTTTTACTGTGTCTCAGCATTCTTCCCACCAATCTCTTGTGATATGAGAGCCTGACAACATAGAAATGTATTTTCAGAAAATCACTCCTTTGCTAGTGCATATTGTTAGCATTAAAATGGTACCAAATTCAATAAATTTCAAATGCTATTGAAATCTAACACCAAACATAAGGAAACAATCCTCATGATGTTACATCATATTGCTACCTTATTAACCCAATCCATGTCAGATTAATTGACAGTTTGGGTGCTACCCTTTGTGGTATCAGAGTCATGGACAGAATAGCTTCTAATCCTCATCATCCTTGGAATGAATGGGCTGGGCTTCTGGATCAGAACTGCCAATGTAAGCTGAGTAATCAATATCTTGACTACTCTATTATTAAATACATTCTTTGGAACAACATGAGCCATAGCCAGGTAATTCAGTGGCAGACTTCTGCAGGGTGATAAGGCTAGTATACTGTAATGTAAATGTCTCAGAGTGAGAATTCCAATGATGATGGCTTAAGTCATACACAAAGTAAAGATGATGCTAATAGTAATCAATTCATTTTTAAATTGCTTACCTATGGAGTCCACCTCTGTTGTAGAAACTGTTGAGGGGTACATAAATATAAGAACAAAGCTGCAGAATCAAGGATAGTTTACTGTAGTCATATTTGAAAATTAAGACTCATAAAGAAGTTACAGTTGAATGGCACTGTTTTAGAAATGCATAGGTCACGGAATAAAGCCTGGATGTTGAAGAAGGAGCGTTATCCAAATGAATATAAATTGTTCTATCATAATGACATATGAATGTGTATGTTCACTCCAGCACTATTCACAATAGCAAAGACATGGAATCAACCCAAATACCCATCAATGGTAGACTAGATAAAGAAAATGTGGTACACATATACCATGGAATAGTATGCAGCCATAAAAAAGAATAAGATCATGTCCTTTGAAGAAACATGGATGGAGCTGGAGGCTATTATCTCTCCTTAGAAAGCAGCTATAATTTAAAAATATTAATGCATTGGCATTTGTTTAGAGAAAATGACATGTTATAAGCTCTCCACCAGAAACTTCCTTTGCATTATTTCATTGACTCTCAGCCATCCCTGGACAATTGTTTTTATATTATCTCTATTACAGAGTTGACAAACTGAGAACAAGAACGATGAGGTATTAATGCTTTTCATAAGGTCATGCAGGTAATAAGTGGCAGAATCAGGTTTCTCTCTATGTCTGACTCTTTAACCAGTTACCTAATGGCTTTAATACAGAAGCACACGCACACACACACACACACACACACACACACTCTCTCTCTCTCTCTCACACTCACACACACACACACACACAACTATAAGATAGTTGAGGGTTGGAGGATTCTATGAAACTTGAGTTAAGCCAGGTTGCCCAGAGCCACAGAGGTAAGATTTGGGAGTTAACAAAACAGAGAACTCAAGCTCCAAGACTAAACAGATTAGGTATTCTCCACGGAGAACAACACAGGAAATGATGGTAGGGATTTTCCCACTCCATTTCTATTTCTAAGTGGCCATAGTCCAAGCTGGGAGCAGCTTTTCTGAGCCCCATGGAGGAAGGCAAGTGAGGAGCTGCCAGTCACCACCCACCTCAGAACCCATGTGGGTGTCAGAAGGCAGGTCCTCTCATGCCCAGGCCCTGTCTCACAGCTGGAGGCAGAGCCCAGGCCAGGATAAAAGGGCTCTGGGCCTGAGCACTCCATCCACTCACCTCCCGAGGTGCTGAAGGACCCTGTGCTGCCTGTGACCCCGGTAAGTGTTCTTTGAGAATAGTTGCTGGGGCTTCCACAGAGTGTTGCTCAGCCCTAGGCAGGAGGGGAGGCTGGGCAGGACCTTGAGGGCTGAGATCCATCTGGATAGAAGTCAAGACCTCAGAAAGATTGAAGGAGGATGTGCTCAGGAGGCAGGGAGAGGGCCAACTGGTAACACAAATAAGAATTAGATGTCTCTGTCTTTGTGCTTCAGCTAGTTGAGTTTTAAGGACAGAGGGAGTTGAAGCCCAGGCAAATAGACTCTGCTAGAACAACTTCAAATAGGACACTTACTTTTCAGAGCAAAACTGTGACACTCCTTGCAAATTTGAGCTGGAGATAGTAGTTCTCAATCAGTGGAGTAGAGATAATTAATGGATCTTTTAGGGCTTTTTGAAACTCACTTATCTCTAGATTCAAATTGGAATTGAGAATCTCTTAAAGTAGTTAGACATAGCAAGCTGAGGATCACTGTGCCAACATGTTACTGTGAGGCCGTTGCGTGATGAATATGGCAGTGCACCAGCCTAGAGCCAGGGCACCTGAGTTCAGATCCCCTCTATGCACCAAAAATACTGTTCTCCAGCATCTTCCTTAACAAAGGGAGCCTGTGAGACCAGCCTGTCTCCAAAACCATTTACAATTGTACATGCGCAGGTTTTTACAAGACAAAGTCTCCTAGGAAGTTACTCCAAGAGATAATCCTTCATTATCTTTTTCCAAGAAAATGTTTATATCCCCAGGTTTCCACACTGGACAGTTTCAGGGTTTTATTTGACACAATGAGAAAAACTGCTTCCTTTAATTTACTAAATGTTTAATCTTGACAGATATTTTTTCATATGGCTTACTGCCTCAGTTTCCTTCTTTGTAAAAGATATAGTAATTCTTGACTGTCTTAAGATGAAATTGTGAACTCAAAAGATACAGTGTGAGAGCATTTGCCAAACTACAAGAAACAACAAAATTTTCAGTGATTAATGATTTACCATGACATTTGAACAGTTCATCAAAATAAAGGAAATAGAAACAATGTGGAAAGGACAAGAATAGGCAGGGGTGGCCTCTGCCTAGGTCTGACTTGCTGTTTGACTCTCTTTCAGCTCCTGAATCCGCCACCAAGATGTCCTGCCAGCAGAGCCAGCAGCAGTGCCAGCCCCCTCCCAAGTGCACCCCCAAGTGCCCTCCCAAGTGCCCCACCCCAAAGTGTCCCCCAAAGTGTCCCCCTAAGTGCCCTCCTGTCTCTTCCTGCTGCAGTGTCAGCTCCGGAGGCTGCTGTGGCTCCAGCTCTGGGGGCAGCTGTGGCTCCAGCTCTGGGGGATGCTGCAGTTCTGGGGGAGGTGGCTGCTGCCTGAGCCACCACAGGCGCCGTAGGTCCCACTGCCACAGACCCCAGAGCTCTGGCTGCTGCAGCCAGCCCTCGGGGGGCTCCAGCTGCTGTGGCGGGGGGAGTGGCCAGCACTCTGGAGGCTGCTGCTGAAGTGGACCCTGAGCCTAGAAGAGCAGAATCCAGGACCGCAAACTGCCAAGGACATCCCCCTTCTCCTACTAGGCCTGCCTGAGAGGCTCACAGGTCCAAGGGAAAGCTCTGAACTTGCCAAGAGCATATCTTTTCCCTGGAGTCCAGAAACTCAGATCCTCTCCTGGATCTCCATTCACTGGCCTTGGACCTCACCTTTGTGGCTACCCTCCCACGCTCTGTCTAAGCCCCTAGCTTACTCAATGTCATTTGCAGCGTGCATCTGCTGATTAAAGGACTAAAACAAGGAATCTGCTCAGTGTCTTGTTCTATGAGGACCCTATTCTCCTTGAGTGGCTCTTGTTCTCTTCACCTTGTCCTCTGCAGTTGGTGGCCTTGGAACCTCAGGGGACAGTGGGGCACTCTGGAGTGAATTGGGGTTAATGGGGGCAGGAGTGGGAAGGGACCATTGCTCCCAACTCTGTCTGTCCTATGTCAACTGGCCTGAAGCAGCATTGCTTCTGACCAAGTCTGAACTGTCTCTTATAAACATAGCTTCTTTGTTTCTGGTCCCTTTCAAGGGCTTGACCAGTCTCTCCAAGCTTCTCTTTCTCTGTGAGTGCAGTCTGCTCCTCCTGACCTAGCCCCACCAATATCCTTCCTCCCTCACACACATCACATGCAAAAACACACACTTCTGCACATCTCCAGGTGCACACACAAACATGCACACACATGCATGTATATAAATGGATAAAAAAAGAAAAATATAATAAGTAAACAAATGAAATAAAAAAGAACAAAACCCATGAATATATTTTGAAAATACAGTTTTCCCACTGACTACTTCTGCAATAAGTTTAGTTCCAGGCACATTTGCAAGTAAAAATTGCTTTTCTATTAACCTTCCATCAAATCTTGTTGCTTTCTTCCTTCTCCATCTTCATTAAATTATCTACACTTTATTCCAGAACACACTCCCTGTACCATATTTCTCAACTTGCCCATGACTCTCTATAGAAAAATGCATGTGCTTCTTAAGTATTACATTTAAGACTTAACAGAAAGTGTTTCCAACTTCTTTTCTAAGTCTTACCATTCATACCTTCCATGAAACCCCAGCACTAATGCTGCTGACAGGATTTAAAAAGTTTTAACCACCCATGTGGCCATGACCTTGTACTAGTAGCTGATGGGGACTACACAATATAAGTCACAAATTGTGCTGTCCAAAGTTTTGTTAAAACCTGATTCATGAGGTATGTCAAAAAAAAAAAAAAGGAAAATGGAGCAAGTGAGATTTGAACTGCAGTGTCTCAGAGAGAAAAAAAAATATTGGAATAAAACATAGAGGTAAAGTAGGAAGAGACATCTTCAAAGTATAGCTAATAGGCAGTCCTGCTTAGCAAAGCATAAATTAGAGGAATTGTACAGGGTCTTATGCACAGAGCCTTGAATGTCACTCAATGGACATTGACCTTGATCCTGAACACAGTGCAGAGCTCTGGATGAGATTTTCTTAATGGTCAGGGGTAATTATTTCTGGAGTGCGGGATGGTGTGGAAAGATCATTTTCAGATTCCAGTGAAAATTAGAATCATGGAGAAACCCTAGAGAAGTAAGGCATTGTAACTTCAGGGAAGGCCATGCATCTTGAGATATATGATACTGTAATAATAGAACAAGGCCGATTATATATCCATATCTATATAATCTACTTCTATATCTATCTATGCCTATGTTCATATACATATCTCAGATATTGATTCTCTATACCCATTATGACCTGGATATTGGTATTATTGTGGCCATTTCTACCTCATCACACGTTCTGGAGAATTGTTTTGGACACTTCCTGAAAAGAGAACTTTTTCACATGATTACTCCCTAGTCTAATTTGCTTTCATCTAATTAGTTCTTTTACTTTTTAAATAATATTTTCCTCAAGATACAAAAGGAACACCTGTTATATACCAAATTGACATTAGTAAATCTTAATCTCCTAAAAATGTTTTTAAATAGACCTTCAGACAAAAACTTTTGTTCATGTTGAAACAAAGCAATAACACTAAAAGTTTCCCATTGTATTTCAAGTCCTCCTATTTTTTCAGGTCTTCCAGCCTCCTCCACTAGGGAACTCTTTTCCTTCACTCCACATAGTGCCCGAGACTTGGACCATCTCAAAAAGTGTTCATTCCCTTTAAAATTATTGATAGACAGGTGTTTCATATGAGGGTTCACTGTGTTACAGGAACTTTAATGTGCATTTTCTTTCTACAATTTCATTGATCCTCACGACATCCTGGAGACTAATCTTTATTATCTTCATTTTAAATTTCAGGAAACGGAGGATGAGATAATTTGGGATTTTCAGAAGTCACACAGCTAATAAGTGACAGAACCAGGATTCTGTCCCAGATATGTCTGACTCCTACCAGGCTTGTAACTGTGATGGCATAGACATGTATTTACACACACATGCGTACACACACACACACACACAGAATCTGGGACACATCAGGGACATTAAAAGACTTCTGTAAAATTTTGGTTTAAATGATACCATCAGGGATATAGAAAAAGAGGACTTGGGAGGCCAAACTCCAAGAAAAAGGCCTAAGGCAGCTCCAAGAAAAATGAGGTGGCACTGATGGGAGCTATTCTGATCTCCTGTGGAGGGAGGCAGGTGAGAAGCTGCTGGTTATCACCTGGTCATACAACCCATGTTGTAAGGTCCTCTTATGCCCAGGTGCTGCCTCACCCATCAGGAGCACAGCCCAAGACCAGGATAAAAGGGCCTCCTTGATACTGTTCCAGTGTGAGATTCAGGAAAAGACTCTCTCATCTCCATAAATAATTAACACTCAATCATTAGTAAAGTCTTGTTCAGGACTGCACACTGTTTAAGGGTAAATGTCCAAATTCCTGCAGTGAAATAAGACTTTGTGTGCTCCCTCGCATTTAAGCCTTTGTCATGTACTCTCAGAAATGACCTGAAGCTGAACTGGATTATTTTTTTGTACTTTGATTATGCTTCTCTCTGTGATGCAAGCCATGGTCTCTGCCCTTCCAGGACAGCGTGGCTCAATCCCACTTTTTTTTTCCCTTCCTGTGGCATATCACTCTAATGAGATAATAGTAAATTATTTGATGGCCTGCCTTGAGTGTTTTATATTTCTTTACCTCAATATTCAACACAGAGCTATGCACACAATGGATATTTAATGACTTTTAAATCCTCTCATTGGTAACAGCATTGACTTTACAGTTTATAAACAGCTATTCCTTATGAC
The DNA here is from genome assembly GCF_000001405.40 of Homo sapiens. Classification (NCBI taxonomy): domain Eukaryota; kingdom Metazoa; phylum Chordata; class Mammalia; order Primates; family Hominidae; genus Homo; species Homo sapiens. The sequence goes on along the minus strand of NC_000001.11, from coordinate 152,801,849 downwards.
TCAGGCCATCCTTATAGGAGACACACTCTGAGACAGGCTCAGTGAGGTGTGTGAGCCACATCACCTTGAGAGGTCTGACACCGTCTTTCTTGGGTATGACATTTGTTCTCCTGCTCAGATTGTTCCAAAAGGCTTAGTAATGGGGCAGTGGTCAGGACATTGGTTCCCAGGTTGTCACAATGGCAGGTATACTCAGAAGTTCAACTCCTGGTATCTAGGATGATGGGTCTGGGATGCCATCTGGTCCATGCCTCTGCCTTCATGCAGGGCAACCCCAAGCCCTCAACTGACGTAACTCAGATGTAGGTGATGAGTCAGCAACATAGTTGTATCAGGAAGACTGGAAATTAAGTCTTGGCTTTGAGAAATCACAGCCTAGCTATCAGGTCAATACAGACATGTTGATCAGCAAAGCACTGACTTTTCTGAGGGTCAAGGCATTTATCTTTTACATCATCAACATTTTATCATAACATGGGATGGAAGGAAACATTATTGAGATCTAACTGGAAATATAATACTTTAAGCAGAGTTATATTTTTATCTCTGTGCATCAGAGCCAGCACCAAGGAAACTGGTGATCTTGTTTTGCTTTCTCATCTTGACAAACTCTTAATAATTATACATGAAGGAACTCATACAACTGAATGGCAACAACCAAACAACCCAATTTAAAAACGAGCAAAAGACTGAATAGCTATTTCTCAGACATACAAATGTCCAACAGGTATACAGAAAAAGTTTCTCAATCTCACTAATCATCAGGGAAATGCAAATCTGAACCACAATGAGATATCGCTTCATGCCTGTTAAAGTGGCTATTATCAGAAGGATGAAATATAACGTGTTGGCAAGGATGTGGCAAAAAGGGAATTCTTGTACACTGTTGGTGGAAATATAAATTGGTACAGCCATTATGTAAAACCGTATGGAATTTCCTAAAAGTATAGAAAATAAAACTACCTCATGATCTGCTAACTCCACTTCTGGAAATAAAATCAGTATTTTCCAGAGATATCTGTACTCCCAGCATTATTTCGGCATTATTAGCAATAACCAAGATCTGGAAACAACCTAAATTTCTGTCAGTGGATGAATGAATTTTAAAAATTCTGAATATATATACTATATAGCAGAAGGAATATTATTCAGCCTTAAAAAAGAAGACAATCCTTGATTCTGCTGATGTGATGCATTATGTCTATTTATTTGCATATGTTGAACCATTCTTGCATTTCTGGGATGAATCCCACTTGATCATGGTGAATAATCTTTTCAGGGTAGTATTGAATTCTGTTTGCTAGTATTTTGTTGAGGATTTCTGCATCTATATTCATCAGAGATATTGGTCTGTAGTTTTCTTTTTCTATTGTGTCTGTTTGGTTTGGTATCAGTGTGATTCTGGCCTTGTAGAATGAGTTTAGAAGTATTTGGTGTTCTTCAGTTTTTTGAAATAGTTTGAGTAGAATCAGAATTAGCTCTTCTTTAAATGTTTGGTAGACTCCAGTAAGGAATCTATCAGGTCTGGAGCTTTTTCTTGATGGGAAACTTTTTATTACTGCTTTAATCTCATTACTCATTATTGGTCTGTTCAGGTTCTCTATTTCTTTATGGTTCAATCTCAGTAGGTTGTCCAGTAATTTATCTATTTTTTTCCAGGTTTTCCAATTTGTTGGTGTACAGTTGTTCATAACAGTCTCTAATTATCCTTTATATTGCTGTGATACAAGTTATTATGTTTCATTTTTTACCTGATTTCATTTTTCTGGGGCTTCTCTCTTTTTTTCTTGGTCTAGCTTAAGTTTTGTCAATAGAGGCTGAAAAAGCATTCAATAAAATTCAACATCTCTTGGTGGTTAAAAACCTTCAAGACATTGCATGTAGAAGGAACATACCTCAACATGATAAAACCCACACCTAATACTATACGGAATGAAGAAAAATGGAGAGGCTTTCTACTAAGTATGAAATAGGACAAGGATGCCCACTTTCACCACTTTAATTCAACATATGGTAGAAGTCCTAACCGGAGTAATTAGCCAAGGAAAAGAGATAAGTGGCATCCAGATTTCAAAGGAAGAAGTCAAATTATCCTTTTTGCAGATAACATGATATTAGATTTAGAAAAACTAAAGACTCCACCAAGAAACTCTTAGAAATGACAAATTTAGTAAAGTGGCAGGATACAAAATCAACATACAAAAATCAGTAGTGTTTCTATACACTTATAGAAATCAATCTGAAAAAGAAATCAAGAAAACAATCTCATTTATAATAGCCACAAAAATAAAATAGCCAGAAATAAATTTAACCAAAGAAGTGAAAGAACTACAATGAAAGCTAAAAGCATTGATGAAGAAATAGAAGAAGACACAAACAAATGGAAAGATGTCTCAGGCTCATGAACTGGAAGAATTAATATTGTTAAAAAGTCTACAGTATTCAAAGTGGTCTACAGGTTCAATGCAATCTCTGTTGAAATACCACGAGAGCCAATTCTCCCTAATAAACTTCCTTTCATATATACATATATCCTATTAGTTCTGTCCCTCTGGAGAACCCTGACTAATACAACAGAAAAAAAAGGCTTAACATTTTTATGGAACCATAGAAGACTCCAAATAGCGAAAGTGCTCCTGAGTAAAAAAGAATAAAGCTGGAGGCATCATACTACCTGATTTCAAATTATACTACAAAGTTATACTAACCAAAACAGTATAGTGCTGGCATAAAAACAGATGTATGAACCAAAAAAAAAAATAGAAAATCCAGAAGTAAATCCATAAACTTATAGCCTATTTTTAAACCTTACTGCAAATAATGATTAATAAATAATCAACTACATTTTTAGAGTGTTCCTTGCAATTGTGGTTACAAAAGAGTGTATACATTTGGTAAAACTAATTGAATTGTTTATTTTAAAAAGGGGTTTTATTGTGTGAAAGTTATAGATCAATAAAAGTGATTTAAGTTTAAAAACTAAAGATTTATTCCATATAATGTGAGTATATATAAATATGTGTGTATATATATACATGTACACACACATATATTTATATGTCTACTACGTGTACATACAATCTGAAGGAGGAGTCCGGGGAGATTGTTAGTGGAAGGAGTGGGGAACGAGGAACACAAGAGTGAAGAGGTGACAGTGAGAAGGAGGATGAAGTCGGCCTCCTGGCCATGCCTGAGGGATGCGGTTACATAGGTGAAAGGAACCAGAATTTGAAAGAAAAATATTTCTCAATGCTATTTCAGTCCCTTGGTTTAAAAGGAAAACACAGAAAGAAGAAAAAACACAAAACACACAGAAATGCAAGCTTTTTCCTCCTGACCCCTTCCCCATCCTCTGTCCACCAAGGCCTCAGCAGCCACCAGCAGACACAGGGGAGCAGAACAAGGATGACACAAACAGGAAAATCAAGCAGGCTGGTAGCAAATTGGGGAGCAGATTCTGGATTTTATTTCTTCAGTTCAGGCAGCACAGAATACAGTAGCGTGAGCTGGGGAGGAAGTAGGTGTGTGCTTTGGAGTTCCCAGGGCAGCCATGGATCTGCAGAAGAAAGTCTCTAAATGCCATTAAGGAGAAAGATTTTGGGTTTCCTGACACCAGAGCAGAGGGATTCTCCAGGCAAGACTTCAAGCTTTTGCTGGAACCTCTCAGCTATTCAGGCAGAATCAGAAGGAAGAGGAAGTCAAGGTCCACTTCAGCAGCAGCCTCCAGAGTGCTGGCTGCTGCCCCCACCGCAGCAGCTGGAGCCCCCCGAGGGCTGGCTGCAGCAGTCAGAGCTCTGGGGTCTGCGACGGTGGGACCTGTGGCGCCTGTGGTGGCTCAGGCAGCAGCCACCACCCCCAGAGCTGCAGCAGCCCCCAGAGTTGGAGCCACAGCCGCCCCCAGAGCTGGAGCCACAGCAGCCTCCGGAGCTGACACTGCAGCAGGAAGAGACTGGAGGGCACTTAGGGGGACATTTAGGGGCGGGGCACTTGGGAGTGCACTTGGGAGTGCACTTGGGAGGGGGCTGGCACTGCTGCTGGCTCTGCTGGCAGGACATCTCGGTGGTGGGTGTTCAGGAGCTGAGGGAGAGTCAAATAACAAGTCAGACCCAGGCAGAGGCCACCTCTGCCCCTGTGACACTCTTAGCACCTCTCAAGTTTAAAAGCATCATCTTCAGTAGTTTTATTTCCAATAATTTCCTCAAAATCTCACATCATCTTTTTCAAGATATCTTTGGATGTCAGACAACTGTAAACTAAGACTAAACAATATTGCAAAATGCATCTAAGATTCTGATGTGTTGTCAGTGGAGGAAGAAATTATTACAAATATATCTTAAGACTGAAATTGTCTAATTTATGAGTCATTTAAGAGAAAATTATTTTTAAAGGAGAAGAAGCAGTCATTCTCTCTGGTCATAATTTGCAAGACGATTTTACTTTGGAAGGTCAGCATTGTGCAGGATCTTGGAGACTACTAGGTCAGTAAACTCACTTCAATAGAGACAGATAAACTTAGCAGTTTCTGCAGACTAGTACTTGAACCCTGACCCCCTGATCTCAGGTTGGAGCTCAGACTTCCTCACTCACCACCTGCTCAGGCTGATGGGATGACACGGTGGGTCTCAGGCTTGGTGTGTCCTAACCAAGCTGGGAAGTTTGTGAACAAATCTCAGACCCATGAAAATGTGGGGTTCATAAACCCCAAAGAGTCTTTAGTCCCATGTCCACAGCTCCAGTTCTTCCCTTGCAGGCAGAGACAGGGTTGTATCTTCAGAGGTGGGCTTCCCTCCTGTGGGCTGCCAGAGTGGAGCAGGTCTCTGTGCTTCAAAGTTCCCACTCTGGAACACCCACCTCATCCCAGAGCAGTTTGTTTCCTCTAGAGTTCAAAGGCACATGGCACAGCCCGCCAGCTCTTTTCCTCTTTTCCTTCCTGCTCCCAGTTAGTGCCAGACCCCTTTTGGCCCCCGCCCCTTCAGTCTTTTCTAAACTCTCCACCTCTGACAACATGGCCCTAGCCCCGGAGGCCCTGCCCCTCCTTCCCTCCTGCTCTGTTCTGAGCATCCCTGCTCTGTTCTTACCGGAGTCACAGGCAGCACAGGGTTCTTTAGCACCTCAGGAGGTGAGTGGATGGGGTGGTCTGGCCCTGAGCCCTTTTATCCTGGCCTGGGCTCTGCCCCAGCTGTGAGACAGGGCCTGGGCATGAGAGGACCTTCCTTCTGACACCCACGTGGGTCTTGTGATGGTTGGTGACTGACAGCTCCTCACCTGCCTCTCTCCCCAGGCTCAAGGCAGCCACTCCCAGGTAGGAAAGTGCCTACTTGAAACGGGGTTCCAGGATGACTCCTACCATCACCTACCTCATTCACTTGAAGGCTGCTTGCCCTGAGAGCCTCTCAGTTCTCAGTCTTAGAACTTAGGACCTATCTCATTTCTGTCTCTTCCGAAGTACCTGATGCTCCGTGCAGCCTGGGTTGAAGTTGAAGTACTAATCCCTGAGGTTTCCATGCATGTTTATTTCTGTCCCTGTGCACCACCAAACTGTGTGGCTGTGGGTGCAGTGTAGACATCTACACAAGTAAAACCCTGGAAGTATAACCCGGCCCAGGACCAGGCCCTGCGAGATGGGACTGTTGAAACTATTTAGCCTGTACCATTTTTTAAACCATAAAGCTGGAAGATGAAAAAGAATTAGTTACAGAAGAATTAGTTGGTTGTGAAAGTCAATAAAGTAACACAAAAAAGAGAAAATGTGCCTGACAGAGAGACTGAAACATTGTAGGCTCTGAATAAGTGAAACATTCATAACTTGCTGAATACAGAATGAAGATACTGATCTTTGTTTAACAAACGAAGCACAGCTTTTTTCTAATGAGAGTGAGTCTGGCTGTTTGGTGATCTGTTTGCTTTTAAATAGCCCTTTTCTTCTGGTGGGGTCCTTGATGTGTCAGCACTGAGATGTGAACAAGGAAGCAGCTCATTAGAGAAACAAGAAGCAGCAGCTCTGCTCTTTGTATTGGTGTGAGAATTTGGACTTTTCTGGGTTCACACTGGGAGCACCGGATGATGGTCACAGATGAGAAACAGGAAGAAAAGAGACATGGTTGTGAGACATTATAAGTCTACGCTTCCATGTGGGGTCAAATGGCTGGCAGAACCCCGTCCTGGACCATAAGGGGACGGGTGCCTTTTAAGAACAAGAGTCCTTAATATTTAATGTGAATGTGTTTATGCTGCTACTTTGGAAGCCCCTCTCCTCTCTCTCCACTAGAATCACTAGCTTTCTACATGTCCACAGGATTTATATGAATGGAGTGTTCTGAATTTATACATTTTTAGGATATTAATGAAATGGGCTGCTGTTCATTCTAGGACACACTAGTCACTAAGACAGCCATGACTGCAAGGTTATCCACAAATTAAACTATTTCTTCAGAGGAAGACCAAGAAAAGCCAGATTAAACCATATGAGGGACAAGTCCTCTTCTTCCCAGCCCCTGACAGACTCTGGATATGCCCAGAACTTGGGAATGATATCTAGGTCAAAATGGACATGGTGACCCTAACCAAAACGTGGTGGAGATACATGTATATTTATAAACACATATACAGAGCATACATATTGAGAGAGATGTATATGTGTGTGTACCACCTGTCTCAGAGCATCAATTATTACAGCTGCCCAGACTCCTGTGATAACGTAGTATCTCCAAACACTGTAGTGTGTCTTTGATTCTGTTCTTTTATGACATCCAAGAAAACATCTTCCATCCCTGTACATAATTAACACTAAATCATTAGTAAAGTCTTGTTCATGATTGCACACTGTATAAGGGTAAATGTCCAAATTCCTTCAGTGAAATAAGACTCTGTGTTCTCCCTTTAGTTTAAGCCTTTGTCATCTACTCTCAGAAATGTTCTGAAACTGAACTGGATTATATTCTGTACTTTGATTATGCTTCTCCCTGCAGTGCATGCCGTGGCCTCTACCCTTCCAGGACAGTGTGGCTCAATCCCACTTTTTTATTTATCCTTCATGTGGCATATCACTCTAATGAGATAACAGTAAATGCTTTGATGGCCTGCCTTGGGTGTTTCATACTTCTTACCTCCGTTTTTCAACACAGAGCTATGTGCACAATGGATATTTAATGACTTTTAAATGCTCTCATTGGTATTAGCATTGATTTACAGTTTATAAACAGCTATTCCTTATGACTCAGGCCACCCTCATAGGAGACACACTCTGAGACAGGCTCAGTGAGGTGTGTGGGCCACATCACCCTGAGAGGTCTGACACCATCCCTCCTGGGTATGACATTTGTTCTCCTGCTCAGATTGTTCCAAAGGGCTTAGTAATGGGGGAGTGGTCAGGACATTGGTTCCCAGGTCGTCACAATGGCAGGTCTACTCAGAAGTTCAACTCCTGGTATCTAGGATGATAGGGCTGGGATACCATCTGGTCCATGCCTCTGTCTTCATGCAGGGCAACACCCAAGCTCTCAACTGACATAACTCAGATGTAGGTGTTGAGTCAGCAACATAGTTGTATTAGGAAGATTGGAACTTGAATCTTGGCTATGAGATATCATGGCTTAGCTATTAGGTCAAATAAGATATCTTGTCCAGCAAAGCACTGACTTTCTGAAATTTCCTATTTGTCAAGGTTTTTCTCTTTTAGGTAGTCAAAAATTCACCGTCTCATGGGATGTGAGTGAATACTATTGCGATCTAACCAGAAATAATTCAAATGGAATAATTTTTTGTATGTGTTCTATAACCAGTAACAAGTTAAGTTAGTAATCTTTGTTTTGTTCTTTCCATATCTACAACCCTTTAAACAATTACAGTGATGAGAAAATACTATTAAAGTCTAGAAGAAAATTCTATTCTATTTAAATAGTATATTTTAAAAATATTTTTATTGCTGTTGTTGTTATGATTGTTAATATATTGATATACTGCAACTGTGTTGAACTCTCCTAAATTTTTGCAGTGAATACTTTCCTAAAAAAATTGGTAAAATACATAATCCAAAATTTACTGTCTTAATCATTTTTTTAGTGCACAGTTTAGTAATGTTAAATAGCATCACATCGTTGTGTAGCCAATCTCTAGAATTTTTGTCTTCTTGCAACACTGAAACTCTACGCTCATTAAACAACAGTTCTCTCTTACTCCCTCTCCCCAGCCCCTGGCAATCACCATTTTACTTTCTTTTTCTATGAAATGGACTACACCCCATATCTCACATAAGTGGAATCATACAGTGTTTGTCTTTTTGTGACTGGCTTATTTGATTTAGCATATCTTTAGGATTCATTCATATTGTAGCATGTGCATAAATTTCTTACCTTTTTAAGGCCATATAATATCACATTGTATGTGTATGCCTCCTTTTGCTTCTATAATCATCCAGCAGTGAATGCTTGGATTGCTTCCACCTTTTAGCTATTGTGAATAATAAAGCTATGAACGTGGGTGTACAAGTACCCTGTCAAGACTCTACTTTCAATCTTTTTGTATTGTATATACCCACAAGTGGAATTGCTGGACCCTATGTTAATTCTATTAACTTTTTGAGGAATCACCATGCTCTTTTTCATAGTAATTATACCATTTTATATGCTCACCAACAGTGCACAAGGGTTCTAATTCCTCCACATCCTCACCAACACTTGTTATTTTCTGTTTTGTTTTGCTTTATTTTTTATAGTAGTCATTCTCTCGGGTTTGAAGTGATATCTTACTGTGGGTTTTACTTTAAATAATTTAATCTAATTATGAATGGTGTTGAGCATACTTTCATGTGTCTTTTGGCTATTTGTAAATTTCTTTTGGATAAGTGTCTATTCAAGTTTTTTTTTCCATTTTTAATAAGGTTGTTTGTTTACTTGTTGTTTAATTGTGGGGGTTCTTTACATATTTTGTATAGCAACCCACTACCAGATACACGATTTGCTAATATTTGCTCCCATAACAAAGATTTCCTTTTCATGGTATTGACTTTGTTCACTGATTCACATACATTTCTAATGTTTATGTAGTCTAATTTATCTATTTTTACATTTGTTGCCTGTGCTTTTGGTATCATAGTTAAGAAATCATTGTCAAATCCAATGTCATGAAGATTTCCTCCTATGTTTCCTTTTAGAAATTTTGTAGTTTATTTATTTATTTATTTATTTTGAGATGGAGTCTTGCTCTGTCGTGCAGGCTGGAGTGCAGTTGCATGATCTTGGCTCACTGCAACCTCCACCTCCCGGGTTCAAGCGATTCTCCTGCCTCAGCCTCCCAAGTAGCTGGGACTACAGGTATGCACCACCATACACAGCTAATTTTTGTATTTTTAGTAGAGATGGGGTTTCACCATGTTGGCCAGCCTGGTCTCTATCTCTTGACCTTGTGATCTGCCTGCCTTGGCTTCCCAAAGTGCTGGGATTACAGGGGTTAGCCACCACGCCCAGCCTGTAGTTTTAACTCTATGTTTATGTCTTTGATCCTTAATGAGTTAATTTTTGTGTATGGTGTAACCTGAGGGTCCAGCTTCATGCTTTTGCATGTGCATATCTAAATTTCCCAACACCACCTGTTGAAAAGATTGTCCTTTCTCCATTGAGTGGTATTGGCACCCTTATCAAGAATCATTTTAATCAGCTAGGCATGATAGTTTGTGCCTATAGCTCCAGCTACTCGGGAGGCTGAGACAGGAGGATTGCTTGAGTCCAGGAGTTTGAGTCCTGCCTGGGCAACATAGCAAGATCCTGTTTTTGGACAAAAAAAGAATAATTTGACCATATATATGAAGGTTTATTTATTTTAAGTTTCTCTGCTACTCTTCTATTCTATTTCATTGACCTATATGTCTATCTTTATGCCAATAACACATTATTTTCATTATGGTTGCTTTGTTGTAATAAATTGTGTTAATTTACTTTTATTTTTTTTTAGAGACAAGGTCTCACTATGTTGCTCAGGCTTGTCTAGAACTCCTGGGATCAAGGGATCCTCTATCCTCTGCCTCCTGAGTGGCCGAGACTACAGGTATGCACCACTATGTCTGTCTGTGATAAGTTTTAAAGTCAGGAAGTATGTGACTCTAACTATATTTTTCTTCTTCAGCATTGGTTTGGCTATTTGAGGAATAATTCACAATTAGTCAAGGTGTATAATCCTTTTGATATGCTGTTGAGGATTTTTATCATCCCTCAATATCATCAGAGATATTGTTATGTAGTTTTCTGGCTTTGGCATCAGGATAATGCTGGCCTCAGAGAACGAATTCATAAATGTCCTCATTTCTTCAATTTTTTGGAAGCATTGAGTAAGATTTGTGTTGATTTCTCTTCAAATGTTTGGTAGAATTAATGAGTGAAGCTGTCTGGTCCTGCACTTTATTCTGTTGGCAGAGTTTTGATCTTTGCTAGTTATAGGTCTTTTCAGATTTGTTTCTAGGGATCTATCCATTTCATCTAGGTTATCCAATTTAGCATACAATTGTTCATGGTATTCTCCTATAATTTTTTATTTCTATAAGTTAGTTGTAATGCCTTCCCTCTCATTTTTATTTTAGTTCTTTGATTCTTCTCTTTTTTCTTCTTCAAGCTAGTGAAAAGTTTATCAGTTTTTGTGGTCTTCTCAAAGAACAAACTTTTGGTTTTGTTGATTTTCACTATTGATTTTTCTAGTTTTCACTTCATTTATTTCTGTCCTAATCTTTTTTTATTTCCTCATTCCTTCTACTAGCTTTGATGCAGACGGTTTTTTTTTTTGTTGTTGTTGTTTGTTTGTTTGTTTTATTTTTTTAATTTTCTTTTGGTTTCTTAAGTCTTAAGGTGTAAAACTAGGTTACTGATTTGAGATTTTTTTTCTTTTTAATGTAAGAGTTTATAGGTATAAATTCCTCTCCTAGCACTGCTTTCTTTGCATCTCATAAATTTTGGTATGCTGTGTTCTCATTTTCATTTTCTCAAGATATGTTATAACTTCCTTTGTAATTTTTACTCTGACCCATTGGTTGTATAAGAGTGTGTTGTTTAATTTCCACATATTTGTGGATTTTCCAGTTTTCCTTTTGCTACTGAATTCTAGTCTTATTCCATTGTAGTTGGAAAAAGATATTTGTCTAGTTTCAGTATTTTAACATTTATTAAGACTTGTTTTGTGGGCTTCCGTATGAGGCCTATCCGGGAGAATGTTGCATGTGTATTTGAGATAAATGTGTACTCTGCTAATCCCAGGTGGAATGTTCTGCATATGTCTTTTGGTCCAATTGATGTATAGTGTATTCCATGTCCTCTGTATACTTATTGATATTCTGTATGGTTGTTCTACCTATTACTGAAAGTGGAATATGAAGTCTCTTACTATTATTAAAGACCTCTCCATTTCTCCCTTTAACTCAGTCAATATTTGCTTCGTATATGTTGGAGCTCTGATTTGAGGCACATGTGTGTTTATAATGGTTCTATATTCTTGTTAAATTATTCCTTTTATCATTATGTAATGTCCTTATTTGTCTTTTGTAACAGTCTTTGAGTTAAAGTCTATTTTGTCTAATAAGTCTCAGGTTTTTTCGCTTTATTTTCATTTTCCTCCTCAAATTCAATAATTTCAAATAACTTGTCTTCAAATTTGCTGATTCTTTCTTCTGCCTCTTTGACTCTGCTGTTGAACTTCTCTAAATAATTTTTCTATTAAGTTATTGTATTCTTCAGCCCCAGAACTTCTTTGTGAGTTTTTGTAAAAATAATTTCTATCTGTTGATATTTTTATTTGTTAATACATAATTTTCTTAATTTTATTAGTTGTCTCTGTGTGTTCTCCTTTAATTCTTTGAGCATTTAAGACAATTGTTTTAAAGCTTCTTCAAGGAATTCAGTGGCTTGTGTTTCTTTAAAGTCAGTTTCTAGAGATATATTTTGTTTCTGTAAATAGGTCAATCCTCTGTCTCTTTACATGCCTTGTGTTTCTTTTTTGTTGAAAATTAGATGTTTGCAAAAACAGCCATGTCTCTCCATCTTTGGGAGCTGGCTCTGTGCTGTGGAAAACCTTCAGTGTAGTGTGAAGGCTCAAGAGTCCTCTCAAACCTTTTCTGGGGATGCACCTTCCCTGAGCAAGTGTTCGTGCTTGTGTTTGTGTTTGTGTGTGTGCACAGACACTTTTGTTTCAGTTCCCTGACTGCTTTTAAATGTCTACATTTTTCAGAGTCTTACTCTTGCTTCTTCTTGGAGACTTTGCCTATGATTTTCCTCTGCTGCTAATCTCTTGTCTTTAGGCACTTGCAAGTCTGCAGTCCCCTTGCAGCTGTTTCATGCCACAGTGCAGCCTCTGCTTTCAGCAGCCTTCAACCGAATATCCAGAATATGCCACTGACTCATTGGTGCTCTAAACTCAGGTGAGACAAAAACCAGTTCCTCACACAGTCCTCACACAACCCACAATCTTGCATGCAAGTTCCACTCTTTTCCTTCCATCTGTAAGAAAGGCTGAGAAATTGCGCAGCCTCCTCTGACCACACCACATTATGCGTAAGATGGGATGGGGTAGGGGTGAGCAAAAGCACCACAAAATTTCCTGCCATTTGAGTATGGTTACTTTCTTTATTAAAACTTTGCTTTGTTGCTGAAGCTTCTTACTTTGTTTTTAAAGTTTTCGGAAAGCTGTTTTTGTCTTTATATCATTGTCCAATGTCTCTGAAGTGAGCTAGAGCCTGGAGGTTCCTTATTTACCATCTTATGTCATCATCTGATGTCACTTCAGCAGTGAACACTCTTAAATATCTATTTTTTATTATTATATTTTGCCTCATTTGCCTAATACTAGAAATCCAATAAGTATTGGTAAATGAATAAATTAATCACCAAATAAATCTGTTGCATGAATTGTTATGCCAGTTAGCATTCTAAATTACAAAGAGTAAGTGATCATTTCCACATAGCTTCAACAACAATGTTTTGTAAGCTAAAATGCTCACAGAAAGCTTGTGAACCAATAATGAGTTCTCATCCCCAAAAGATGAGCTATGCTCTTTTTATTAATGAGATTAAATTGCTTTTAAAATCTAATTTCAGAAGTTATTGGTTTTCTTCATTAATTATTTGTGAATGAAATATGAATTCTGCCAAAACTTTTATAGGAACATTTATTTACTCAGTTTTTATGAACTCTATGTTTCTTACCAATATGAGTCATCTCCCTATCACATATATTATAATTTTCCCAAGTTAATTTTTTACCCTTCCTTGCTTTTAGTGGTACTATCTGATACTTAGAATTTCATTTTAATGTGGTTAACTGTATCCACATTTTCATTTATGTATTCTAGATTTTGTGTTATTTTGAAAATCTTCTCAATAAATTAACTACATTTTTGGTGTGTTATTGCAATTATAGTTATGCAGCTATAAATATTTGACAAAACTCATTTAATTTTACATTTAATTTTATTGAATTTTATTGCATGCAAATTATACAGCACTAAATGTGATTTAATTTTTTTACAATGCAGATTCATCTCATCTATGTGCATGTACATATGTGTGTGTGAATGCATGCACATACAGTATGGAGGAGGAGTCCAGGGAGATTGTTAGTGGAAGGAGTGGGGAACGAGGAACACAAGAATGAAGAGGTGATAGTGGGAAGGAGGATGAAGTCGGCCTCCTGGCCATGCCTGAGGGATGCGGTTACATAGGTGAAAGGAACCAGAATTTGAAAGAAAAATATTTCTCAATGCTATTTCAGTCCCTTGGTTTAAAAGGAAAACACCGAAAGAAGAAAAAACACAAAACACACAGAAATGCAAGCTTTTTCCTCCTGACCCCTTTCCCCATCCTCTGTCCACCAAGGCCTCAGCAGCCACCAGCAGACACAGGGGAGCAGAACAAGGATGACACAAACAGGAAAATCAAGCAGGCTGGTAGCAAGTTGGGGGGCAGATTCTGGATTTTATTTCTTCAGTTCAGGCAGCACAGAATACAGCAGCGTGAGCTGGGGAGGAAGTAGGTGTGTGCTTTGGAGTTCCCAGGGCAGCCATGGATCTGCAGAAGAAAGTCTCTAAATGCCATTAAGGAGAAAGATTTTGGGTTTCCTGACACCAGAGCAGAGGGATTCTCCAGGCAAGACTTCAAGCTTTTGCTGGAACCTCTCAGCTATTCAGGCAGAATCAGAAGGAAGAGGAAGTCAAGGTCCACTTCAGCAGCAGCCTCCAGAGTGCTGGCCGCTGCCCCCTCCACAGCAGCTGGAGCCCCCTGAGGGCTGGCTGCAGCAGTCAGAGCTCTGGGGTCTGTGACGGTGGGACCTGTGGTGCCTGTGGTGGCTCAGGCAGCAGCCACCTCCCCCAGAGCTGCAGCAGCCCCCAGAGCTGGAGCCACAGCTGCCCCCAGAGCTGGAGCCACAGCAGCCTCCGGAGCTGACACTGCAGCAGGAAGAGACTGGAGGGCACTTAGGGGGACACTTTGGAGGGCATTTGGGGGTGGGACACTTGGGAGGGCACTTGGGAGTGCACTTGGGAGGGGGCTGGCACTGCTGCTGGCTCTGCTGGCAGGACATCTCGGCAGTAGGTACTTAGGAGCTGAGGGAGAGTCAGACAGAAAATCAGACCTAGGCAGAGGCCACCTCTGCCCCTCTGACACTCTTAGCATGACTTGTAATTATGGAAACATCATGTCCAGTAGTTTCACTTCCAATACTTTCCCCAAATTCTCTCATCATCTCTTTGCAAGCTCAGGATACCCTTGTGTGTTATCTGCTACACAAAATTGTAAACTAAGACCAAACAATATTACAAAATGCATCTGACAGTCCAAAGTGTTATAAGTGAAGGAGGAAATTATTCCAAATATGTCTTCACACCCTGAAATTATATGATTTATAGGTCATTTAGGGAAAATTATTTCTTAAAGAGAAAAAGTAATCACTACCTTTTGTAACTTGCAAGGTAGTTTTACTCTGCAATATCCATACTACAAAAGATCTTGGATATTACTGGCTCAGTAAACTTACTTTGTTGAAGCAGAGACAGACAAACCCATAAATTCCTGCAGCCCTGGAATTTGAACCCTGGCCTCCTGATCTTAGGCTGGAGCTCAGATTTCCTCAGCTTACCACCTGCTCAGGCTGATGGGTGGGCATGGTGAGTCTCAGGTTTGGTGTGTCCTAATCAACCTGGGAAATTTGTGAACAAATCCCAGACCCATAAAAGTGTCGGTTCCATAAGCCCAAAGGAGCCTCTGGTCCCCTGTCCATGGCTCCAGCTCTTCCTTGCAGACAGGGACAAGGTTGTATTTTCAGAGGTGGGCTTCCTTCCTGTGGTCTGTCAGAGTGCCCCAGGTCTCTGTGCTTTAAGGTTTCCCATCCTGAGAGGACTGCTCCACCCTACAGCAGTTTTTTTTGGAGCCCAAAGGCACAGCCAACCAGTTATTCTTTCTGTCCCAGTTGTTACCAGTCTCCTCCCCCATGGAAGCCCTGCCCACCACTCCTCCTAACCTGATCTGAGCATCCCTCTGTGGAATCCCCTGCTTCTGTTCCCAGAGGACACATACCAAAGTCACAGGCAGCACAGGGTCCTTCGGCACCTCAGGAAGTGAGTGAATGGGGTGCTCTGGCCCTGAGCCCTTTTATCCCAGCCTGGGTTTCTGCCTCCTGTGGTGAGACAGGGCCTGGGCATGAGAGGACTTGCCCCCTGATACCCACGTGGGTCCTGTGATAGGTGGTGACTAGCAGCTCCTCACCTGCCTCCCTCCCCAGGCTGAGGGCACCTGCTGCTAGATAGGAGTAGGGCTGCTTAGAAACAAAGGGTGGGGACAGTTTATACAGGACCTTCTGCCCCATTCTTCCTGGTAAATCCCAGCCTTGACCGCTTTTTAGTTCTCGTTTTTGCACACTGGCCTGCAATTCCTTTGTTCTTTCTTGTTGCCCATGGAACTCATTGGCTTCTGGCAGCTGAGTTTGGACTGTAATTCAGAGATTCTTTCACATTTTCCCTCTTAAGTCTAAATAATCCTCCAGGCTACTGGGGGTCAGCTAACTTCTGTCTGCAGCCCAAATCTGCCTGCTGTCTGATTTGGATAGCCTCCAAGGTTTTTAATGCGTTTAAATTGTTGAGAAAAGAAAGCAAAAGAGGAAAATATTTTACAACATATAAAAATTATATTAAATTCAAATTTCAGGCTTCATAAAGTTTTATTTCTCTGACTTAGATAATGAGCCACATTTATTATTTTATTGATTGTGTCTGTGGTACTTTTCACACTAAAATGGAGAGCTGAGTAACTGGGATAGAGATGCTATGGTTCCCAAAGCCTAAAACATTTAATCTCTTAGAGTTTTAAAAAAAAAAAAAATGCTGACCCCTGATGCATTCCATTATATTTAAGAGCTTGCAGTCAGACAGGCTAGAAAACTGCCCTGGTTCTGCCACCTAGTAGCTGTGTATACTTGTGAAAATTACTTAACTTGACTCCTTTTCAGTTTGTTGTTCTTGTTTCTTCCTCAGTTTAAAAGTACAGATAGTGATACAGATATCTCACAGGGTATTGAGCCAGCCAGTAAAATAATATAAGGAAAAAGTCTGGTAGAAGGTCCGTGACATGATAGACCCTTAAAAAATGTGATGCCTACATATGCGTCAATAAACGAATAGGTATTTTGAAGTCATAGCTGCTTTCCAAGATGGGGGGTGGGGTGGGGTATAAATCTGGGATTTGGGGTTGTTTGGTTTTTGTCGATTGTTTCCTTTTTTAGTGTTTAAGACCCCTTTGTTCTGCTAAGTATATTGATGTCTTTGACTATGAAGTAGGAATGACTGTGAATGTGAATAGGGAAGGGATTTGTGTGGAGTAGAACTCTAGAACTCTACATCGCTCCACGTAGAGTGAAAAATCCCGGAATTTCCAAGGACCCTTTGTTGGGAAGGAGGTAAGGGCACACATGGGGAGATGGAAGGGGAGAGGGGGACTTGGCGGAAGGCCAGGCCTGAGGTGCAGGACACTGTCCAAGAAATGGTGGGAGAGCCTCTAGAAGCTTTTGCACCTCAGCAGCTCCCTCCTCCTAGGTTTCCCCCTATTGTCTCTGCTTGAAAAGTGTTTTCTTTCCCTCTACTTTCAGTAGATGAAGGGAAGGGGCAAGAGTTCCTCTCTGGTTCAAGTTTGTGTACAACAATATGGTGAGCTTTTCCAACATAAAACTAATTCATGAATTAGAAAAAGGTGTACTAAAGCCAGAATAAACATGTGAGGAAAAACCCTCTCTTTCCTGTCAGTGGTAGAAATACTGGGGGAGCATCTAAAATTCTCCAGAGCCTGGACCAATATAATGCATTAGTGATATCTAGGTCACAAGGGGAAGAGTGAAGCTAGTTCACAAGTAGTTGCAAAATATAAATATGTTTGTGCATGTGTATTGAGGTATCCAAATAATATATACACTAAATGTGTGTGTTTATATAAACATACACACACATCATATATTTTATAGTGACTCTGTGTGTACATATTTTCTTAGCTGTTTCTCTGCCTTTCACCTTCTTAGTTTCTCTCTCTAGCTCTTCTTCATTAGAACTGTTCTAGAAATAATTGCCCGTGACCTTAATAGAGTGACCAAACATCCCAGTTTGCCAGCAACAGTTTGGGATTATACCTTTTGTCTCGACATATATTATCATAAACCTTCTTTTCGATCTCAATTGTGTCCCAGTTTGGATGAAAATGTAAATAGTCATGCTACCATTGAAGAAGTCTTCTCAAAGGCTTTCACTGATTCATGATAAAGCCAAAACTCTTACCCTTCGCATTCAAGGACCTGTGTGATGTGACCCTATTCTATTTCTACAAGTTTTTCTTTTCTTCCCCCACCTCCTCCTTTTTTTGAGACAAGGTCCTGCTCTGTCATCCAGACTGGAGTGCTGTGGTGCAAATCAGGGCTTACTGCAGCTTTCAACTCCTGCTAGAACTACAGGCACACACCATCATGCCCAGGTAATTTTAAATTTTTTTGTAAAGTTGGAGTCTCATTATGTTGGCCAGGGTCTTCTTAAACTCCTGGCCTCAAGTGATCCTCCTGTCTAGGCCTCCCAAAGTGCTAGAATTACAAGCGTGAACCACTGTGCCCATCCAACTGCTTTGCTTTTTCAGAGAATAAATCCTGTACAGCTGACTTGGTCAGTTAACTCTACTTTGAACAGACTACTCCTTGCTTTACCTGTGTTTTGCTTTATGTGATGTATCTCTGAAACGAGATTGAATATTTTGTCTGGATGTGATGTTTGTATCTTTTATCAGTGCTTAGAGCAAGGATATGCATGTAGTCATTTCATCAGCATATCATAGCACCTGAGAGCTTGTAAATAGCTCTTCCATCTGACTCGAGATCATCCCATATGGGATTGACCCTAAGACATGCCCAATGATAAGTGCTGGCCATATCCTTTGGAAAGATGCCTCTGTATTATTCAAGGATGATGTTTGTACTTAGGTTATCCCAAAGGGCTTTGTTATTGAAGGAGAGGTCAGGGTATTGATTCTGTGGCTTACACAGGAAGTACTACTCATACGCCCAGCTCACTGATTCCTGCTATGATGGTATGATGGGGCTGACATGCCACTGAGCCATGCCTCTGTCTCCAGGAAGGGCAGCACCCAACATCAATTACTCTGACTTGGGTTTGGTGATAAATCAGCAGCATGGTTGTAGTATCATGAGGACTCATTGCTAAGCCTTGGCTGTTAGTTTTAAATTGGCTGGATATCATCTCAATGGAAGAAACATTTACTGACAAGTGATTGGCTTTCTGGGGTTATCTTTTCATCAAGGATATCTGTCGCTTATAATCTCAGGAGATGAGAGGAAACATGACTGAGATCCATGGGAAGTAATTCTAACTGCTTGGATTTCTGTCTGTTCCCTGGACCCTATAGCAGTTTCCAGAGAAGGATCTCGTACATTAGCAGTTTTTAGTTTATTCCCCTTTTTTTCCCAAAACTTTTATTTTGTATTGTAAATTCCTTTTAATGCATACTTAGATGAAGACATTTATGGTTTCTAATTCATTGATAAAGAAAATTATTTTGAGTGAAAAAGGGAAAAGGAAATATAAAAGAAAAATCAATAAGTGCATTTTTAAAACTTAGAAATCTATATAGCAAATAGCATCATAACTAAGACAGAAAGAAAAGTAATCAGTTGGGGGAAATTCAAATACATTTGCCAAGAATATAGAAAAAACAGTCCTTACAATTTAATTGGAAAAATGCAAGTTTGCCAATACAAAGAACAATGAAAGGCCATGAACAGGCAACACACATACTAGAAAAGAAACACAAATGGGAAAAACAAGTTAAAAATATGTTCAATGTGGCCAGGTGCAGTGGCTTATGCCTGTAATCCCAGCACTTTGGGAGGCCAAGGTGGGTTGAGTTTGAGACCAGCCTGGCCAACATGGTAAAATTCCGTCTCTACTGAAAATACAAAAAATTAGCCGGGCGTGGTGACGGCACCTGTAATCTCAGCTATTTGGGAGGCTGAGGTAGGAGAATGACTTGAACCCGGGAGGTGGAGGTTGCAATGAGCCATGATCGGACCACTGCACTCCAGCCTAGGTGACAAAGAGAGACTCTGTCTCAAAAAAAAAAAAAAAAAGTTCAATGTGACTAATAATCAAAAAATGAAAAATAACAAAAGGAAATATTTTGGGTTTTTCTGATGTAGGTAGTCCATCCAGTTTATTCATATCAGATTGGCAAAGATTTATTATCTAATAAAAACTCAGTGTTGGAGAGGATTTGTGGAATCGAACACTCATGCTTTATTAGTGTGAAAGTAAATTGCCATAATTATTCTTCATTGTAATGTGATGATTAATTCATTCAACACATACTTGATGGTGTATAAATGAATTAAAATATAAAATGAGCATACTCTTTTACAATATTTGAACATCTAGGAATTTCACCTAAGGAAATAAGGGAATGAAGGAAAGAATATATGCATAAGAATGTTCACAGTAGCAAATTAGAAATAATAGGAGTTCAGTAAGTTTTCAGAATACAAGACCAATATTCTTATATCTCTGAAAATAACAGAAGATAAAAAATTTAAAGATGCTATTTTAAACAGAAAAATGCATGTTATATAATAATATGTATATTTTTAATGAACTACATACTCAGGAAAATGGATCACATGACTACAATGAGAAACTATTTCACACTCATCATTGGATAATTATATAAACATCTAATATCACACAGTGTTGCCAGCATGTGAAGCAAAAGGCATTCTCACACTAACGGAGGGAGTGTGAGCTGGAGATCAATGTGACAGCATATTGTAAGGTTAAAGATGAGCCTATCCACAATTCAATTGTGTGATCCCTCAGCACATATCCTAGAGAGACTTACCTAGGCATAGACAACAGAGAATTTTAAATAGTGGAATTATTTAGATTTGCAAGATAATTAGAAACAACTTAAATATTCATTAAAAAGAGATTTCTTAAATATGTAGTAGAGTGGTTGTAAGGTGAAATATTACATAGCAGTAAGAAATGCACTAAGCTAAACCGATTAATAGGAATGTCTCACAAATGATTCTGTGATAGGAAAGCAAGTTTGCATAAGATTGCATCAAGTGTGTAATGTTTGAGTTGAAAATATGTAAACTAAATTGCATATTTTAAGGAAACTTACAATGTAATAGAAGTTTAAAGAAATACATAGGAATACTTAACTCCAAACTCAGGATATTCCTCTGGAGGGGAGGGAGAAGATAGGCACCAAATGTATAAAATTGTTTGCATCTTTGTTGGATAATGTGCAAGGAATTATTTATTAAACAAATATTTATACTTTTTAAATATCAATTTCTCATGACAATTACAAATATTTTAACTAAACTTTAAATTAAATAAGAACTTTTAAATTTTAACTTTTATTTCAATAATGTAATTTAAAATTTAATTTAAAATTCTGACTTTAAAATGTATATATATATAAATTGTATATATGCCCTTTTAATTATTAAAAAGAGAAAAAAATGAAACATTTTGTCTTTTTCTGATGTAGGGTGTCTATTCAATTTATTTATTTATATCAAATTGGCAAAGATTGAGTGCCTAACTAGAAATTTATTATATTTTATTATATGAAAATTCTGAAATAGTACTCATTGAAAATATTTCAGTAAAATCAAATCTATGCGTGCAGGAATCTTTTTCCTATTTGCTCACTAGTATGCCTCAGCTGTCTAAATAAGCTCCTAGAATATTTTAGGCTCTTAGTAAACATTTATTTAATATTTTATTTATAGTGTTATGGCTTTCTAGTTTGTTTCTTTCATATGATTTTGAATACACTGAAAATTTTATTTTGACGGTATTAGATCTATCAAAATTTCTCACTAACATTTGTTCTGTTTCTTTTGTGCATAAAAAATATTTTTCCATGGAGAGTTCTACTTTGTGATTCGATTTTAAAAATTAGCTACTTAATTCTCCTGAAACTCATTTTGTTAAATAACATAACTTGTTTTTTTTTCTCCAGTTCAGCTTACTAAATAAGCCATCCTTTCTCCACTGATCTATATGCTAACATATTTTAAATTCTTTTCACACAAAAGGGTCTCCTGGCTATTTATGGTACTCCATTTCCTCCCATCGTATGTGTTCAAGATGAAGCTATTTTCTTTGCACTTGGGTGTTTTATTGTGCAAAAAATCATAAGGACTTCAAAACAGCCACTTTCATCACTCTGAGACCTGTGGAGATGAGGAGTTTTCCAGAGTTTCTGGGAAGCTAGGGATGGAAAGGGGAATTCTCAAAGGACTGTGATGGGGCCATCTCCTCAGGATCCTGAACACTGTCTGTCTTTCTGGGGAAGGTCCACAACACGGCCCAACAGATCACCCCGGGAGTCCACTCTCTGGCTATCTGTCGTGTGTTTGGTGAGCAGAGGAGGGGGATAGTGTTGGCATAGATAACTGTGGCAAGTATCTTGAAAAAATACTTGCATTTAACTCTCTGTGCCTAAATTTCCGATTTTTAAACTGAGGCTAAAAATGGACCTGCTTCATAGAAATTTCAAGGATTAAATAGTATACTGTGAGCACACAGTGCCTGGCATATTGAAATTGCTCAATCAGTGACGGTTCTTCTAATATTACCCATTCATCAGAACACAGAACAATACAGAGTAAGAGATGTTCTTCAGGGAATGAGCAGATGGGAGTCACCAAGGTGGCTGAGAAGATTGTCTTTACCCTAGCAATCCAGGATGGTGGCACTCCTCTGCCACTGGTCTGAGTATCTAATGTGGGAGGAAGTGCTGAGAGAGGGCATTCTGGATCTTCTCATGTTGCTTGGACTGTGTCATGATCCTGGTCTCAAACTGAGTGGGAATTGTGGAGCATTTGTATGCATGAACAGGAGGGTCTTGTTAAAGTAAATTAAAATGGACACCAGACCTGAAGAGTCCCTGGACAGACAAAGCCAGTTAGGCCTCATAAATGACCTCAACTTTGCTTGATCTCCAAACATAAGGGAAACGTAACTTAGGCTATTTCTTGTAAACGCCTATATTAAAGAAAAATGATACTTAAAACCAACCAATCAGAAGCCACCAGCTACCTTATAATTATGCAACTAGGGACTTTCAGCACAATAGACTGAGTAAGAAAATGGTGTAACAGCAACCAATCAATAATTTTCTTCACTTTACTTTTGTGTTTGCTTTATAAAACCTTTCCTCTTGTGTTCTCTTGACAGAGCCCTCAAACCACTTCTGGGTTTCATGAATTGCTGTTTGCTCTTTAAAATAAACTCTTTAAAATTGTATCATACCTCAGTTTGCGTTTTAACAGTCCCCACATGTGGAAAGCAGAGAAGAAATGAAGTCCAGTCCCACTGCTTGATACTGGTTTCTGGACTCATCAGAGAGCGAAGAAGAAGGGAAGACTTACAGGGACCCTGCAGAAAACTGATGTCCTAGTATTTAAGGAGCTCCTTACCTTGAAGCATCTGTTAGTCCCTGTCTAAACAGCTCTGGTCCTTAGAGCTTGGAAAAAGTAGGAAAGAGATAAAAATGTCACCTTTAGCGGGAGTACTGTGAGATGTCCTCTCCTCCCTGGAGGAAGCCTTCTCAAGTTAAAACACAGGTTCCCCTGCCTTAGGGAGCCACAGGACAAGGGGAGAAGCCCAGCCCTTCTCCTCAGAAATCCCCCAGGATAGTGTAATACCCATATCCCCTGGACTCGGGAAGTCCTCACCCAAGGCCTATACGCTGCCGGTCCCTATGGAGTATCCCTGATCCCAATGCAGAGGCCTGGTAATACAGGGGTTGCAGTTTATAGGGATTCAAACTGCCTTTTCTTCAGGGATTCCATGCCAGATGGGGAAAGAGGAAGCACATCTGGGTGGTTCCAGGAGGAAAGGACACAAAAAGTCATGATAGGAGAGAGAATAGCCTGAGAATACTAATATTGAAGGATTGTAGTGTTAAAATAGTGTGAAAGTAGAGGACATATTAGGCAAGCTTCCTGGAAATGGAGGAGGCTGACTGATATTGATCCAGAATCCAAACCTCAGGACCGACAATCAGAAGGACTTCTAGAAGCACAGAGGCAGGGTGTCTTTCACAGAGTTGGACATTGTTTCCAAGCTCTTGACACCAGGGATGAACACTTGTGTGTTTGTATGTGTGTGTGTTTGGGTGTGTGTGTGTTTGCATGTGTGTGTCTGTAATTTATGACTCCATTTGTATAGGCAATGGCAAGAACAGAAACTCTTTGAGGTCCATTTGCAGAAGTGAGCTTAAAGGTTTATTTGTACTAGAGCAGTCTGCATTTTTAAAGTATAAGCTACATGGAGTCATTTTGCTATGTTTGCTGAAGGAGGGGCATGGTAAAATTCTTTGGGAGAATAGATGGGGAGAGAGTGAGGGTATCAGGAAGAAGGAGGGTGACAGCTGAGTAGGATAATGTCTGTCTTCCTTAATAACCAGGGTTATTAAGTCACCATCGCTCCACTTTGGTCCTCCCTTCCACATCTGGCCTTATGATGGAGGGTTGGGACTGCCAATCTCATTTCTCTTTGCTGGAGGTTTCCTGAAGTCTCCGCCAGTAGGCGGAGCTAGAGAGAACTTGGGAGACTGGCAGAGTGACAAGGACCAGGCTTCCTTAGATTCCCTTAGAATTCTCCAAGTCACCCCAATATTACTTCTCACCCCAGCAGGAGCAATTTATCCCTTTAGCAACAGTGGTTCCAGTGTGCAGTTTTTCCCGCTCACAAAACCAACCTTGTTGGGTTCTCATGGAGACAGACCCTAGGGCCAGCACCAGCTTGTGCCCCTCCTCAGAAGCCTGAGTCCAGACACACAGGGCCCCTCCTCTGAGCTCAGGGACCCCGGCACCCATGAGAAGGGCCCCTTTCCTAGAGGCCTGAGTTTCAATTCGTGGGCCACTGCTCCAAGTTTCTAAGTTTTGATAGTTTCAAGACACTCCCTTTACCTGCCATTGGTAGCATGGTGGCAATGACAGTTACCGCCTCCATGAACTCTTTTTGTCCTCTATTGGTCTTGTCAGTTCTCTGATGCCAAGTAAGCAAATTTTTATGTAAACTTCTGTCTATTAAAGTACATCTCATAATTCTCTTTCCTGACTTGACCCTGGCTGAGGCACTGAGGGGCGAGGGTCAGCTCTGGTGAGGACCAGGAGTTGAAGGAGTTAAGCAAGCCATGCTGCTTCAAGGCCCAGATAACCGGGTGATGGAGCTGAGATAAGACATGCTTATCCCTCTGTTCACATTTACAAGCAAGAGTAATGCAGTCTAGAAAAAGGTGATGAGCAGATTATTTGTTTTATTGTTTCATGCACAATGGAGATTGCCAAGGAAATCAGGGGAATGAGGCAAGGACTTCTATTTGGTATTCCCAGGCCAGGCGCACAGATGGAATCAGAGGTCAGAAGAGGAATTCTTGTGAGAGGGCAGATTTCTGGATTCTAGGTCGGAGGAATCTTCCAGGACAGAGTTTGAAATCTTTACTAAAATGTCCCAGCAACACAGTCAGTCCCAAGGAAGATGAAGTTGCCCCTTTCATGCCTCTAAATCTGCTCTTTTAGGCACAGGGTCCACTTCAGCAGCAGCCTCCAGAGTGCTGGCCACTGCCCCCTCCGCAGCAGCTGGAGCCCGCTGAGGGCTGGCTGCAGCAGTCAGAGCTCTGGGGTCTGTGGCGGTGGGACCTACGCCGTCTGTGGTGGCTCAGGCAACAGCCGCCTCCCCCAGAGCTGCAGCAGCCACCACCCCCAGAGCTGCAGCAGCCCCCAGAGCTGGAGCCACAGCAGCCTCCGGAGCTGACGCTGCAGCAGGAAGAGACAGGAGGGCACTTAGGGGGACACTTTGGGGGGCACTTCGGTGTGGGGCACTTGGGAGGGCACTTGGGAGTGCACTTGGGAGGGGGCTGGCACTGCTGCTGGCTCTGCTGGCAAGACATCTCGGTGGCGGGTGTTCAGGAGCTGAAGGAGGGTCAGACAGCAAGTTAGATGGAGGCAGAGGACACCCCTGCCTATTCTTGTCCTTTCTGCATTATTTCTAGATCCTTCATTTTGAAAGCCTTATATCAAACATAGGAAAATCACCTCTAATGTTTTTATCACTCTCAATGTTTACCAAGTGCTTTCATTCATGGATTCTCATTTCAAACCTTATTTGAGATGTTGTCATGCAATATATAATCTCCAAATATGTAAATAAAGTTTCTGCTCATTAAAAGCTCCTAAGTGTGGGAGAGAAGTCCAGGAAATAAATTGGCTCCGGGCCAGCATTCATTCTATCACATCACCAAGAATTCTGAAAATGTTCAATGTTGAGACCAGTTTAGAGATGAAAATCTCTTTAAGGAAAAATCAAAATAAATTTCTATTGGAAGAACTGATATATTTCAGTTTGCAGAAATAGAGAAAACTATAACCGCAAAGGATGTTGGAGTCAATTTGTTCCAACCAACTCAATATATAAATAAAGAAACTGAAGCCAAAAGAGGTAACTTCACTGGCCCAAAGTTATTCATTAACAGTCACATTTGTTCCGGGGTCCCCTGGTTCCCATCCTGGGCTCTGCCCTTTAGCACATCCTGCCTCCCCAGGCCTGTCCCCAGGCACTGTCACATGGCTTTTAAACTCCAGTGTGCACTCAGTTTTCCACTACAGATCTTCTTGTTGGCATCTAACAAGATCCACAGGTGTCTTTGATCCTTTCTTCCTCTAAGTAGCAGTGTTCTCAGCATATCTTTTCTAAAAGTGAGTATGTCTGTATTTCCAAAATTATATTCCCACTATGCAGCCCACTCTAGCAACATCCAGTGGCCAATGTGTTTATTCTCTAAAACCAGAGAAACACACTGAGCAACTGAAAACAATTTGGTTCCTCTAAATCTGTGTCATACAGCCCTTCAGATCTTACCAGTTCTTCTTAATCTCTCTCACTCCACCCCACCCCTCTACCTCCTCTTTCCAATTTTCTGCCCCCACCCCATTCCTTGCCAATCACAATTCCAGGCCCCTGAGGCCCTGCCTAGACTCTACTCCTGCCCTGGTCTGAGTATCCATCCCCTCCTTCCCTGGCCTGGGCATCCCTCTGTGGAAGCCCCTGCTCCTTTTTCCAGGGCACACTTACCAGGATCACAGGCAGCACAGGGTTCTTCAGCACCGCAGGAGGTGAGTGGATGGGATGCTCTGGCCCTGAGCCCTTTTATTCTGTCCTTGGGTGCTGCCTCCAGCGGTGAGACAGAGCCTGGGCATGAGAGGACCTGCCTCCCGACACCCACATAGGTCTTGTGACGAGTGGTGACTGGCAGTTCTGCATATACCGTCCTTCATTGGTGTTCAGGGGAGCTGCTGTCAGCTAGGAAAGAGCTTGGTGGAAATGGGGGCTTGTGGTGGGTGAAAATGGACATCATGGTTCCTGGAGTCCTCCGTGGCCTATTTCCTATGAAGATGGCTCTCTTCACAGTCTTGTAGTCACACTTATGAATTCTGCACAAACAACTCATTTTTCCTTCTATTCTAGATACTAATTTTCCATCTAGACCTTTGGGTCCATATAGCTTGGTTAAAAATCCACATGCCTGCATTATGGGGTTTGTCCATGTGCACATGGGCATGTGTGTGCATCATAGAAGTCGAGAAAAGAGGCCTTGGAGACCCTGGCAAAGTATTCAATATTTTTGGCCATTGGCTTTCTGATGTTTTAAATGAAGATAATAAGAGAAATATCTTTTCTGCAGGATTTACAAATTAATTAAGATAACAAAGGGGAAGTAGCTGAGATAGTATGTGGCATGTGGTTATAATTAGGAAATGGATGAATAGGTAGATAGATAGATAGATAGATAGATAGATAGATAGATAGAAAGAAAAATAGAGGCAAACCTGAGATTTTAATGGACATTGGGAATTTTTAAAGTCACAGGTGCCTTTTAAGTTAGGTGGCTCTTATTAAAACTAAAGGCCATTTTTTTTTCCTCCTACGTACCTCAGTGAATAGGGCTTTCTGAAGGTAGATCCAGAGTGGGTATAAGAAAAGAGGACTAAAGGATGTATATTGCCCCAAATTATAGCATAAAAGAATTTGCAGTTTCCTGAGGAAAAGCTGAAGGGATGAGGTAAAATAAAGATGAGAAGGGTGAAGAGAAGAGAACAGCCAATGAGGTGGCTTTGAACTGTGACTTGGAGTGGTGTAGTTGGTATAGACAAGAATAGACATAGTCAATATTTAATTTGAAATTATTGGCTTTGTTGCAATACACATTTCCTGGGTTTAATTTCCCAGTTTCCCATGCTCAAAACTAACCAAATGCAAAATCTAACAATAAAAAACCAAT
Organism: Homo sapiens; assembly: GCF_000001405.40. Classification (NCBI taxonomy): domain Eukaryota; kingdom Metazoa; phylum Chordata; class Mammalia; order Primates; family Hominidae; genus Homo; species Homo sapiens. Next base: position 152,773,983 of record NC_000001.11, on the reverse strand, counting down.
ATTTGAAAAATAAATATGGTCAAAATTACATATAACATCAAAGAATTATTGGATGGTTTTAGCAGATTATAAGTTGCAGAAGAACAGATCGGTGAACTTGAAGAAATTGTTCAAACTGAACTGAAGAAAGGGAAAAATATTAAAAAAATGAACAGATGATCAGTGACCAGTGGAATAATATCAAACATTCTAGCACCCATGTATTTAGAGTTTCAGGAAGAGAACTACAAACCACTGCCCAAGGAAATAAAAGAGGATACAAACAAATGGAAGAACATTCCATGCTCATGGGTAGGAAGAATCAATATCGTGAAAATGGCCATACTGCCCAAGGTAATTTATAGATTCAACGCCATCCCCATCAAGCTACCAATGACTTTCTTCACAGAATTGGAGAAAACTACTTTAAAGTTCATATGGAACCAAAAAAGAGCCCTCATTGCCAAGTCAATCCTAAGCCAAAAGAACAAAGCTGGAGGCATCACGCTACCTGACTTCAAACTATACTACAAGGCTACAGCAACCAAAACAGCATGGTACTGGTACCAAAACAGAGATATAGAACAATGGAACAGAACAGAACCCTCAGAAATAATGCTGCATATCTACAACTATCTGATCTTTGACAAACCTGACAAAAACAAGAAATGGGGAAAGGATTCTCTATTTAATAAATGGTGCTGGGAAAACTGGCTAGCCATATGTAGAAAGCTGAAACTGGATCCCTTCCTTACACCTTATACAGAAATTAATTCAAGATGGATTAAAGACTTACGTGTTAGACCTACAACCATAAAAACCCTAGAAGAAAACCTAAGCAATACCATTCAGGACATAGGCATGGGCAAGGACTTCATGTCTAAAACACCAAAAGCAATGGCAACAAAAGCCAAAATTGACAAATGGGATCTAATTAAACTAAAGAGCTTCTGCACAGCAAAAGAAACTACCATCAGAGTGAACAGGAAACCTACAGAATGGTAGAAAATGTTTCCAATCTACTCATCTGACAAAGGGCTAATATCCAGAAACTACAATGAACTCAAACAAATTTACAAGGAAAAAACAAACAACCCCATCAAAAAGTGGGCAAAGGATATGAACAGACACTTCTCAAAAGAAGAGATTTATGCAGCCAAAAGACACATGAAAAAATGCTCATCATCACTGGCCATCAGAGAAATGCAAATCAAAACCACAATGAGATACCATCTCACACCAGTTAGAATGGCGATCATTAAAAAGTCAGGAAACAACAGGTGCTGGAGAGGATGTGGAGAAATAGGAACACTTTTACACTGTTGGTGGGAATGTAAACTAGTTCAACCATTGTGGAAGTAGGTGTGGTGATTCCTCAGGGATCTAGAACTAGAAATACCATTTGACCCAGCCATCCCATTACTGGGTATATACCCAAAGGATTATAAATCATACTGCTATAAAGACACATGCACACATATGTTTATTGTGGCACTATTCACAATAGCAAAGACTTGGAACGAAGCCAGATGCCCAACAATGATAGACTGGATTAAGAAAATGTGGCACATATACACCATGGAATACTATGCAACCACAAAAAAGGATGAGTTCATGTCCTTTGTAGGGACATGGATGAAGCTGGAAACCATCATTCTCAGCAAACTATCGCAAGGACAAAAAACCAAACACTGCATGTCTCACTCATGAGTGGGAATTGAACAATGAGAACACATGGACACAGGAAGGGGAACATCACACACCAGGGCCTGTTGTGGGGTGGGGGTAGGGGGAGGGATAGCATTAGGAGATATACCTAATGTTAAATGACGAGTTAATGGGTGCAGCACACCAACATGGCACATGTATACATATGTAACAAACCTGCCCGTTGTGCACACGTACCCTAAAACGTAAAGTATAATAAAAAAAAATAAATAGAATGGGGGAGGAAACAACATATTTTTAAATAATGGTCAAAAATTCTCCAAAAGTGATAAAAATTATTAACCCATAGGGCCAAGGAATTAATAAATCCCAAGCAGGATAAATACATAGTAAGCCAATAAATGGTACTGTAGGTCCAGAAAGAGGATACCAATTAGTCTTGGAAGACTGGTGGAAGAGAGAGGGATTCTGAGGGAGGGTGTCTGGGAAAGGTTTGTTAAGGGTGTCTGATAGGATACAGGCTTTAAGTGGTGGTGAGGTTTGGATAAGTTAGAGAGATGGAGATGGTAGGGAGTAGGGAGGTATGTGGAGAAGAAGTGAAGGTTATGACAATATATACAGGGTAGGAGGGGCAGGTGGTCTTTTGTGGTTGGAATGCAGGGCATGTGATAGAGAACAAGGCACAAGTTGAGGCTGAAAGAAAGACTGAGTTCAGCCTGTGGAAAGTCCATTGTCAGGGCAAGTGACTGGGCTGTATTGAGTGTTCGTCAGAAATCCATCTCCTGAAGGCTTTAGTTAAATTTTATTTTTTAAAGTATATGTTTATTGTTTTAGGATGGGAAGAATGATCACATTAGTGCTGGATTCTAGTATGGAAGAGGACTTTAAGGGAGACCCTGTGAGAGAGGGTGACATGGTTTAGCTGTGTCCCCACCCAAATCTCATCTTGAATTGTAGTTCCCACAATCCCCACATACCATGGGAGAGACCCACGTGAGGTAATTGAATCATGGGGGTGGTTACCCCCATGCTGCTGTTCTCGTGATAGTGAGTTCTCACAAGATGTGATGGTTTCATAAGGGACTTTTCACCCTTTGCTCAGCACTTCTCCTTGCTGCCGCCATGTGAAGAAGGATGTGTTTGCTTCCCCTTCCACCACGATTGTAAGTTTCCTGAGGCCTCCCCAGCCATGTTGATCTGTGAGTTAATTAAACCTCTTTCCTTTATAAGTTACCCAGTCTTGGGTACTTTTTTGGGGTATGTCTTTAACAGCAGTGTGAGAACAGACTAACACAGAGGGCAACAGCAGTAGAAAATGAGATGAGAAAATACCATTGCTGATAATCGTCAAATATTACTACATATCCACACTCTCATAGTCACAATTTCCAATTCCAGCACCCCTAAAAACTGAGTTTTTGTCTGATTGTTGACAATATTCATATGGTGGCCGAAAAAAAAAAAAAACCTGACCAGAACAGACAGTGAACTCCCTTCACTTTGCTGTAAATATTCTTATTTTCTGTTGTAAAAATATAAATGTTCTCCCCAAGGAGAAGGATCCCTGAAACTTTAGGGATAGCAGATGGTCCTGGACTGCCCACCCTTACCTTGCCTGCCTAACATGTGGTCAAGTCCTTGGTTCTAATTCCATCATATTGAGACTGAACATGGCCAATTTTGAAGCATACCTGCAGTGTTACTAATGAATTTGATTCATTGTATTACCCTCCTTAAAAAAAAAGTTCTAAATTTCGAAACACATCTGTTGCCAAGGATCTAGGATGAAAGTCATTGGAGGAAGAAATAAATCTAGCATTTTTCAGGAGCAACAATCTATCTCTAATAATCACTACTTTGTTTAAGAGAACCTTGTATCAGTCTGTCTGCCCAAATTCTTAGACTTAAACAAGACTCAGATTCTCTCCATTTGTAACTGATACCCCAAGATTCTCCCCACTCATAATCATATCACCAGCCCTAATTCATAATGTGTTCCTAATGTTTTTACTTGTTCTCAACTAGTCTCCTGTGTTCAGTGGGTACCCAGAAGAGCAGTCATGGGCACCCAGAAAAGCAGCTGTGGGTATCCAGAAGAGGATCTGTAGGCATGCTCTTGAAGTCCCCCCAAGGGCCCTTGTGCATTTTTGTCTTTTTCTCCTTTTACCTATTAAACCCATTGACTAATCATCAATACAAATAATTCCTCTTTGTGTTAAAAAGACCTGTGTTATACTTTTCCAAGACAATAGAATTTCCTGCTTATACATTTTTCAAGTTGCCACTAGCACTGCATGGCAACTAAGTAGGAAGGTTAGAAAGTGAGTATTCTGAGCTCTTGGACAAGTTTGCCAAATAATGATTATAATTACTGGCACAGATAATCTACTCACAATTGCCATAATAGCCAAGATAAACAACTCTTCCGTAATCAGCATGCAGATCCCTTGGGGAAAAATTAAAACCTTCTGTATATCCTTAAAGTTGTAATTGCTTGCATGTATTTGCATGTATTCGTGCCTTATAGAGACTTTTTATTTTTAATGAATGGGAGGTTCTTGGGATGGAGGTAAGGGGAAGGTGTGATTCACTGTTGGCTTGGGATGGCCCTGAGGACAAAGCCTAAGACTTTCCTCTAATTCAGTGGTTCTCAATGGGGTGAGGTTGGGGATGGCCTGACTCCCACACCCCAGAAGAGGGCATTGGACAGTCTGGATAAGTGTTCGATCATCACAGCTACTGTCATCTAGTTGGTAGAAGCCACAGATGCTGCTAAGCACCCTTCAAATCACAGAATAGGCCTTCTCTAAGAAAGAATTATCTTGTCCAAATCGTCAGTAGTGCTGAGGATAAGAAATCCTGCCCTGGTACAGGAGGATTAAGACTATACTCACTGGAGACACCTCCTGGATTTCTCACCGAACAAAGCAAACCTCAGAAGAATGCTGATGAAATGCTGTAGAAATGACTGATTAATTAACTTATTGCTCAATCCAGATTTCACATTCAGGCCAGGTCAAGGAAGGACAGCTTTCAGTGACTAAGGACCCAATCCCAATTCGAGCCTAAATAGTATTTCTGATTGACTGCAAAGCCTCCCCTGTCTCATATTTCCTCTCCCTCTGGTGAACTAAGGAGCCGTGCTGATGGCACACTGGCTGAGTGGCATCAATACACTGATGACCGTCTGTGATGGCTGCTGACCTTGCTGTGCTTAACCCCACCCTCACTCTGACATCTGGACTTCCTTCCCCCAGATCTTATACTTCCTCTAGACTCAGTGTTTTGCTTAAGGCATTTTTCCAATTCACCCTATCCGTGTCCTCTCTGCTATTCCATAACCCACCACCGCTTCAATTCCTCCTCCTTGAAGCTTCCTGCCTGCCCCTGCTGACCACAAGCATCCCTACATGTGCATCCCTGCGGCTCATTCAGTCTCTGCTCCTGCCTGGGCTTGAATAACCCTTGTGGCCCACCTCCTTCATCAAACAGGCCATTTCCCAAGCCAATCATCCCCCTTTTCTCCAGGTGAATATTTCACTGCCAAAAGCAAATATATTTTTAGTGTTTTATAATATACTATTTTAAATAGCTTATCTCATTTAATCCTCAGAGTGATCCAGACAGGTAGACATATTTTCAGCTACATTTTATAGATGGGGGAACTGAGAGCCAGAAAAATTGCCTGAGTCAACACTTCTCAGCTAATGAGTGGTACAACTGGGCTCAAACCCTCCTCTCATGATGCCTCTTCCATGCCCTTTCTATTGCTGAGTATTTAGGCCCCACAGCCTCTCAGCCCCTTCTTCCACACATCTAGCTCAGTACTTCTCCCCTTTTTGTACTGTTTGGGATGCTTGCCCAGGTCGTCTTCTTTGCTATATATGTTCTGATTTCCAGATTAGTTGTATGTTTTGATTTATTATATAATTTTTTAAAATATGCCCAATGTTTTCTTTTCTCTGCTAGAATTTAAACTCCTTGAAAATAAGGATCTTGTTTTGTTCACTGATTTATCCCAATCATCCAAAATACTGTCTGACACATAATAAATATTCAATTAACAATGACTAAATGTTTGTTAAATGCATGGATGAACAATATATTTCATTTCCAAACAGTTCTATTACTTTTTCTTTATTTCTAGCCAGAATCTTCTTACAGTTTCCATGCATTGAAACTGAACTCTTTGTTTTACCAAAAAAGCTGATTCTTTTTCTAAGTGAAAGCACTATAAATAATGCAAGATGGAAGCGTGCTAGTCCCTTCAAAACATAGTGTTACTCTTCCTTCCACAGGGAGGCAGATCAAGTTTTGGAACAAGATTAGCCTAGGCTTGAATTCCATCACTATCACGTCTTAGATGTGTGACCAAATAAGCTAGTTAACCTCTCTAGATTTTGTGTCTTCTAATGTCTGTAAAATGGGGTGAATGATGTCACCTTTCCAAGTTGTGAGCATGAGGAAGGATTTCCCACCTCAGATGGTGGCTGGCACATAGTAGATCACTATCCTCCAGCCCCACACATTTGACCTGAGCTGACCACAGTGCTCAGGTGTGCGCATATCTGTGCCAAGCAGAATGACCCCATCACACAGAGCTATTCAGAACAGGAGTTCATTGCCGTTTGGCACAATCTCACTCTTGGCCCACACTAAGATTCTAATCAACCAAAATTTCTTCATGTGTGCAACTGTGCATATACCCACTCATCTTCTACAAGTGTGGCTAATCTTTAATGTACATTAAAACTTAATGTTTACTTTAATTACGTTTTGTCTTGTCAGATTAAATTCATTATTCTTGCCCATGTTAAATCAGAATTTTACTCTTCAATTCTCCTTCATGACTTGAAGTAACCTGAAATTTAGGCCAGTTTCTTTTCAAGCTTCTCCCCAAGGTGCTGATAAAAAGTTCATTACAACAGGGCTGAGAATGGAGTCCTGGGACCAGCATAAAACTTCCATATAGTGTTAGGAACCAGGAAGGATATTTAATTAATGAGGACCTACTCCTCACCAGGCTGTCTGTCACTAAGTCAATGATGCTGATAGCATGCCTGCTGTTATCTCTGAGAGGGGAGAAGACTCCCCTCTCTCCTCCATCATCAGCTAACTGCCACTCATTTGTCTCATCTCTGACTTGTAGTTACCTCCTTTAGGCCCTGGACTTGCTAAACTTCCCCCTTTGTGGGTTTCCATGGTACTCTGAGCCTCCCATATTGAAGTTCTCACTATATTATTGTCTGCATTGCTCACTAGTGTATCTCCAGGATCAATACCAGTTCCTGAAAGACAGCAGAGCCTCAATAAATATTTGTCAAGTGAATGAATGTGTTGACACAAGTTCATAAGTGGTTTCCTCCCTCCCTGATGGGCGTGCACTAGAGAATAGAGGAAAGGTGTGGATCTAGCTCAGGGTTCCTATGACAAGATGTGATGGGTAGATTTGGCACAGCTTGGGTTATTCCTAGGCCCCTAGATAGGTCTAGCTTAGCCTTCCAGAACAGGAAACACCATCTTTTGGAGGAATGAGCTGGATGGTCTCTGGTGATGAGAAGCACATAGATCATCAGGCATCACCCCGTCTTCCTGACTAGTCTCAGGCATAGGCATGTGGATCCTCTAGAATCCATTCATGCCATGCCAGAATTCATGGTTCCCATTACTGCTGTCTACCTATGGATTCTAATATGAACAGCTGAGCTATTCTCTGATGCATAACAGTTGTATTTGTTGATTCACTAAAGGGTGTTATAATGTGTAGGACAAACTGTGGGATGTGGAATTTCTTTCTCTTAATGTCCAGGTAATGCCTGGGTAGAGGAGAGATATGCTATGGCTAGACCCCCATCTCCCATATGTCTGTATGGGAGATTTTTGGTGGCAGTGAAGTTGGGGATTTAATTGTGGAAAAGAAAGAGATTCCTTCATCTTAAGGTACTTCTAGACCAAGAGGTAGATAATTTGTGTCCCCACATGGACAATTACATAAAACCTCCTACAAGAAACCAGTTAACAGTCAGCTCTGTCTTCACCACCACTTCCACATCCTACACATGCTGGGGCCAGATATGTACAACTTTCAACCCTCCTCCTAGGCAGTGAGTAAGCTCACACACCTGGATATTCATTATAGAAATGGTTTTCACTTCTGATTGATCAGAATAATTCTCAAATGGAGGTCCCCGATTTTCATTCTGGAAGTTCAAGCTAAGTAGTTCTAGGATGTATCCTGGGATTCTGTGTCTTTGAGTACCCCAGATAATTTCACTCTAGCATACTGCCTTCCACAAAAAGGAATTTTAGATAACCCACCTGGTCTGGAAGGAACCTCTGAGAACATCTTTCATTCTACAGTGAAGATCCCACTGTGGAAAGCTTAGAAAGAGAAGAAAGATACAGAATTGCAGAAGAATGTAGGCAGGATTCCAAAGTGAGAAGCGTGATCTTCAGGCCCAATCTCTCTCATGTTCTCCCCTTCTCTGGGAGCCAGGCCCCAGTTCTGAGGCAGCATGGCTGGATGTCAGGCATGGACGTCTGGACTGATCACTGCCTTACACTTTGTGACTTGGCCAATTCATGGGCACTTCTGAGCAACAGTTCACCAGACTCTGGTACAGAAGCTACACAACCTGTGCACTGCCTAACATCCGTGTGGGATTTGAAGAGGAGCCTCTCTGGTGGGTTTTTGAGTACATCGAAGGGCCTTATAAATGGTCCCTTTTGCTCTTTTGGGTCTTCAGCCTTGGTCCTGGAGACACTTTAAGTTTCGTTCAAGTGGTTGACACAAAAGGAAAGGTCAGAAAGCCAAGATGCCTGTCATCAGTGAAATGGTGGATGGTGGAGAGTAGAAGAGATGGCAGGGATCATCAAAGCTATTGCTGAAGGACTTAGGATAACCTAAAGCATACTTCTGAGGTCACAGCCCCTGCTGCCAAATGCATTTTAAAAGCTCCAAGCTTTCAAAGCAGACAGTTAGACACACAGACAGACACACAAAAAGAAACATGAAAAACAGACACACACCCCTGTGTGCCTTTTTCCTCTGAGGTGTTTGTCTCTGGCTGTAGAAATGGTCTGGGGGCTGGCTCCTGCATAGCCCTGGGTGGTGGAGAACACCAAGCCATTGGGGGTTTCTTGGCTCAGCTCCAGGCTTGCCCAACCAAAGACCCCTCCATTCTACCATCATTCTGGGAACCAGAATCTATCCCCAGGGGATGGTGCAGACTACAGAGCATCACTCATTCAATAAAGATCCTCGATGGGGACCTGCTGCCCAGACCTGGGGGAGGTCAGGACTTCTTAGAAGTGAATGCCACTTTCTCACAGCCAGTTATATGTTTCTTCAATATTTTGAGGGAGTGAATGGTCTGCCCCCAAGCATCCCCAGGCAAGGGGTTCCTTGTCTAGCAGTGTGTTTTCGAGGCTATGGGAGAGATGTAACAAGAATCCCTTCCCAAACTAGAGCTTCCAAGCCTCTCCCTACCCTGCCCTCCTCACTCCCACCCAGAGGCCTGGGTGATGGAAACCTAGAGATGCTCTATGGGGCCAAATTCAGGCCCTGCCAAGCCCCTGGGGGATTTGCCACACAGCAAATTCAACTCTAGAGTAGCTTGGATTTTAAGAGAGGAGGCAGATGTGGAACTGAAATAACCCATTCAGTGATTGAGAGAACTCCAAGATTGTGTTAGGAAAATAATTGGGTTAAAACAGGAAAGATCTTTGGAAGAGGCAGGGACTGTGACTAAGATCAAAGGTTCCATGTGTGGTAGAAAAGAGTGCAGACTGGGAGTCACGAGTGGCCCTATGGCTTGGGCAAGAGCTTAAACCCTGAGTGCTTAGGTTTTTAATTCTGCAAAAGGGCAAAATTATAATGCCTGCCTGACCGAATATTATGGGAATTAGAGGATGGATAGTTATGTAGATATGTGTCTGTATACACGCACACAGATATACATATACTATATATGTATATTAATATTCTATCTGCATATGGCATTTCACCAAACCAGTGATGACCAAATGTTCCTGGGCATCAGCAGCACTAGGAGAGCTGGTTAAAACACAGCTTGCTGGGCCTTGCTCTCAGAGTCTTTACTTCATTAGGTCTGGGGTGATGCATTTCATTTGCATTGCTAACAAGTTCCTAGGTGTTGCCGATGCTGCTGGTTCAGGTACCATATTTTGAGGACCAGTATACTAGGTTATGCACTGACAGTAAACAAGGTTATGTCTGTCTCTCTAACCAGGACCATCCTAGCAGACGAGCAATAAGTATTGCCCAACAAATAAATGAATGAATGGATTTCACATGAAGGGCCTCAGTTTTCCTTTATATGACACAGGGTTCTACTAGTTGGTTTCTGAAGTCTCCACCATCAGCCTGGCAGAACTAGATCCCTTGGGCAAGGGAGACACATACTCAGAGCCAGGCCCTGGATCTGTTTCCCAACTATGGCTCTGTAGCTGTGAGGTCCTCTGGGGCATGGACTGTGAGGAGCAGGACAATGGATCAGACGTTCAGAGGCCCGGGCCAGAGCTGCCCTCCGCTGTCCTCCTAAGTGGAGCTTTTTCATTCTCTCTCCCTGAGGGAGGTCCTGTCCTCCAGCACCCTCATCCTCCAGAGCCACATCCCCACCCAGCGTTCATCTCACCTGCAAGGACTGAGAGGAGAGTCACTTCTGTCTCTTCTTCCCCTCCAGCCCTTACCTTCATGCTGCCAAGACCACCCATGCCTAATGGAATCTGGGACCAGTTGAGGAATGCAGAGTCAGACTCAAATGGTTCCATAAAAGAAAACAGAAAGAAAAGTAAATAATTTAGTTCTTTTTTTTTTTTTTTTTGAGATGGAGTCTTGCTCTGTTGCCCAGGCTGGAGAGCAGTGGCATGATCTCGGCTCACTGCAACCTCTGCCTCCTGGGTTCAAGCAATTCTCTTGCCTCAACCTCCTGAGTAGCTGGGATTACAGGTGCACGTCACCACGCCCAGATAATTTTTGTATTTTTAATAGAGAGACGGGATTTCACCATGTTGGTTAGGCTGGACTCGAATTATTGACCTCAGGTGATCAGCCCTCCTCAGCCTCCCAAAGTGCTGGGATTACAGGCATGAGCCACCATGCCCGGCCTAGTTCTGGAAGAAGAGGAGTATCCCCAGAGAGCCTCCAGGTGCTTCATTCTTCCCTTCCTCTGGTTCCAGAGGCAACAGGGCTGTGACTGTGGCCCTAGAGCTGGGCAAAACCCAGTTAACCAAAGCCAGGCCTGAAGTCCTTTACTCCTAGACCAGGGGGCAGAGTTATTCTCCCTGTTCCCTCATCCCCTTGTCTTTTTCTTCATCCTTTCCATCTGGGGCCAAGGACACTGAGGGAAGATTGGAAACTCACAAGACAACCCACTTGGTCTAGGCTTAAAAAGCTCACACCATGGGTACAATAAACTAAAGAAGAAAGGTAATAAATTAAAATGAAAATTCATACTATGTCATATCCATCAAGATGGCTATTACAAAAACAAGACAATGAACAGAAAATAACACATGTTGACAAGGATGTGGAGAAATTAGGACTTGTACCCTGTTGGTGGGAATGTAAAATTATGTAGTCACTATGAAAGATAGTATAGCGGTTCCTCAAAAAACTAAAAGTAAAATTACCTATGATCCAGTGATCCCACTTCCAGGTATCTATCCATAAGAATTGAAATCAGGGATTCACAGAAATATTTGTATACCCATGTTCATTGCAACACTATTTACTACAAGAAAAAAGGTGAAAGCAACCTAAGTGCCCATCCATCCACTGATGAATAAATAAACAAAATGTAGTATGTACATTCCATGGAATATCAGTCAGCCTTGAAGAGGAAAGAGATTATGGCACATGCTACAACTTGGATAAACCTTGAGAACATTATGCTAAGTGGAGTAAGCCAGTCATAAAAGGACAAATAATGTCTTTTTCTACTTATATGAGCTGCCTAGAATGGTCAAGTTGATAGAGACAGAAATGGTGGTTGCTAGGGGCTAGAAGGAGCAAGGAATGAGGAGTTATTATTTAATGGATGAAGATTTAATTCAGCGAGATGAGTTCTGTGGACAGATGGTGGTGCTGGTAGCACAACAATGTGAATGTACTTAATGCCATTGAACTGAATGCTTAAATATGGTGAAGATGGTAAAATTTATGTTACATGTGTTTTACTATCACAATTAAAATAGCAACAATAAAAACCTCATCTCAGCAAATCAAGGAATAAAAGCAGGAATGACTCAGGACTCAGGCAGTGAGTACATAATGATCTTTATTGTCACATGGCCTCCTCTCACCTCAGTTCCTGCAGTTGAGCATCAGGACAGAACATGGTTCAAGCTGCCAACCCACAAGCCTTGCTAAGCAACAGCCAGCCCCAGGATAGACACTGAGATTTAGAGATTCTCCGACTCCACTCAGTTGGGAGTTTACAACCTAGTTGGGCAGATAAGGAAGACATGCCTGCAAAGTGAAATAACAATTCAAGAGATGTCACCAGGCAGTTACCAAGTAGTGCGGGGGATGCAGTGAGTTCTAGGAAGTCGGCACAGGTTCTTGTGAGTGGGAACAAGCAAAGAAGGCTCCAAGGGAGAGGCACTGAAAGATGGGGTGGATTTCAGAAGCTGGGGAGGAGGAGAGAAGTGGTCCAGGCAGAGTGGGGAAGAGTGAGCAGAGGCTTGGAGGCAGGGACATCTAAAGTATGGCCTGGGGAACACCCAAGCTGTGCCCAGTGGCCAGACTGGTCTGGCTAGAGCCGAGGATGCGTACGGGCGAGGAGTGACACGTGAGGCTGGAGAGGCATCTGAGACCCAGGTGTGGATCTTTGGATGATAGGCAAAGGAGTTTGGACATCACCTTCGTAATAGGGAGTCTCTGAATATCTTTGGAGAGATTCAAACAAGAGCGTACTGGAAATTGTGGAATAGGAGGAACAACATTTTCAGAGCAGGAGAGAGGGTTATCTCAGTCACCTTTCCTTTAAAAATAAGCACTCTTTGCTTCCCCTTTCACTCCAGCAAAGGCATTGCCTTGGTCTCCATGGCCATCCTGACCCCTCCGCTCTGGAAACACATCACCAGGCCCACAGCCAGCACCACTCTCTTGCCCCTGGTTGTAACTGGATGGGCCACAGTAGGGAGCTTCGGTGTCTAGGCGGTGTGGACTAGACTCATGACAGCCTAGGTCTCCTGGGTATGGAACTGGATTTGGGCCCCAGCATGGGCTGGGGCTGCGCCAAGTCTCCCTGCAGGGCTCCGGGCTTGGGCAGGGCGCCGGCAGGGGAATTGGCTCTGGTCGTGGACAAGGCTCTGGGTGCTCACAGGGCTGCAGGCATGGACGTGGCTCTGGAATCTCACACTGCCCTGGGCGAGGAAGGGGAACTGGCCGCGGTGTTGGACGTAGTGCTGGAAGTGGTTCTGGATACAAACAAGGTTCTGAAAGTTGTCGTGGTAGAGGACGCGGGCGTGGTTCTAGACTTATGCATGGTTCTGGGCGCAGACGTGGACGTGGAGCAGGAGGTGGACATCGCTGCAGTGGTGACTCTGGACACTGGTCAAGACGCCGTGGTGGACAGAAGCTTGGGAGTGGACGTGGCTCTACGTGTGGCCTCAGCTCAGGGCAGGAGGCGCCCCAGGAGGGCTGCGGGCCACAGCTCTGGGAGCGGCGTCTGATGGGAGGAATCTCAACAGGACACCTCTGTGGGGGAACCTGCCTGGGGCAGCACGGGGAGGAAATCTCGATTCGGCACTTGGGGCCACGTCTCTGAGAGCAGCTTGAAATGGGGCGGCGAGGACAGCGACTGTTATATATGGGTTCAGAGCGGCGGGGTGGGGTGCAGTAGTTAGGGAAACCTTCAGAGGGTCTTAGTGGCAGGTAGCTGCTGGAGCAGGGCTCAAAACGTCTTGGTGGGGAACAGCTGCGGGGGAAAAGCTGCAGCCGCCGAGGAGGAGGAAGGCATCTGCTGGTGCTCCGAGAGCGGTGCTGTTCAGTGAAGCTCCCATAGGAGCCCTGGGTCTGGCACTGGGGCACACAGGGACTAAATGAAGTCCGGGACCGATACTGAGGGAAACAGCTGCTGTAGGAAGGCCTCAACTGGAACTGGGGGGTGTAGTTGTTGCAGGTAGCCCTTGACTGAAACTGGGGGCCACAACTGCTATAGGAGCCTTGATACTGGCACTGGGTGGAGAATCTTCCCTGAGGCTGGCACACTGCAGGACGCCCTCTATACATCTGGACAGGCTGAGGAGCTGGACAGGGTACATAGTTCTGGACTGGGCATTCTACATAACAAGTTTCTGTATAACAAACTGGAGCACATTCTACGAAGCAAGTCTGAACAGGTTGTGACGCTTCGCACTGCACGTAGGACACCTCAGATTGGCATGGAGCCTGGCTTTGAACAGAGGAAGTTTGAGATTGGGATGCAGCCTGGCCCTTCACCTGGGTGGTCTTAGACTGACATTGAGCCTGGCCCTTCACCTGCTTGGTCTTAGACTGGCACTTCACCTGTGTGGTCTGAGACTGGCATGGAGCCTGGTCTGACACCTGGCAAACTTGAACTGGGCATGATGCAGGGCAGTCCACAATTTGCATCTCACAAGGGGCTTGAACCACCACTTGGCTCTGGGCAAAGGGGGATTGAGAGGAGCAGAAGGAGGGACCCTTGACGCAGCACTGTTGGAGCGGCAGGCGGCACTGGATCTGCTGCTGGTCACACATGGTCCTGATGCAGCCAGTCAAGAGTGACCTGAGGGCAAAGAGACCAGGGTCAGGAGGGTGAGAGTTGGAGAGGGGGTGCCAGGACCTAGAGGAAGACACCCTGCATCTTCCCTAGCTTTTCTTCCTCCACCCTCAACTTTCATCCAAGTGTCCTGACTTAGTTCGACCCAGGATTAATCTGTTAGACCTGCCCTGGGTCTGTCAAAGGGCACATCCAGGGTTGCAGATGTCCAGGATCTCCCTGGGGGTGGACCTACCAATGCCCAGAAAAGAGGGCACTGATGACAAAAGGATTCTCCTTTCGTCTCCACACTTTCTCACATCCAATGTGGTCTGAGCAGCCCTACAGGAAGTAGAGATAACAACTTGCTCCTAAGGCTATAGCCCAAAGTGGAAACTCCATTCCCACAGGAGCTTGGATTTACTCACACATGTGCACTGGCAGTACACATAAATGTGCAAACATGTAAGAACGTACATATGAGAATAAGCACTCAGCACCATCTGCATTCACAAAATGTCAAAGCATTCACTGGAAAGCGGGCAGCTCAAACCCAACATTAAATGTTTGTTTCTCTATATTCAATGTTTTTAGATAAATTCATTTAAACATGATACAATGTTTTGAAATAAATTCATTTAAACATGACACAATGTTTTGAAATAAATTCATTTAAACATGACACGTGCAAAGTGTGCCCATGCAAAACACACCAGCCTTGGAAAGACTCTGACCACCATGGCAACTTGCCCAGTCAGGTTGCTGTTGCTAATCACCTGAAGTGTGACAGTCTGCAGGCCTCAGAAATGTTTTTCCCCAGCTCTTCTTAGAGGCAAGGTGGAGTTACCTAAGATGGAGTAAGCCAGAAAGTCCAAGGTTCTTAATCAGAAGACGGACATTCTGCCATACTTAAAGATCTACGCAGCTGGGGCATTGCAAACATAACGTGAGGGCTGCAGGCATACACCCTGACACCATGCTTAGCTGGGGAGAGCACAGGGCAGCCTCACTCGTCTGCTTGTGTCAGATGCACGTGTTTATGTGCAGGCAGCCCACTGACCAGCAAAACAAGATCATTTGACAACAGGCTCATCCAACAAACCGTCTTTCAATAAGCTCCCCAAATGCTCCTGATGAGGGTTCAAACCTTCTATTTTCAATTTGTAGAGAATACCTACATATCTATTTCCCTGGGGAAGGTAACCCTTCCACACACAACTTTGCTCATAAGGTGTAAATTGCTAATGTGGCTTTTCCAGAAAGATCATGAGGGAAAATAGTACCTGAGGATAAGGTCAGGGTTATCAAAGGCAAATACACTAGCTTCACAGCCCTAGCTCATCTCGTAAACTCTGTAGCTATGCTTCTGTCTCCTAAAAGCTCACCAGACTTTTCTCCTCAGGTTAATGCACCCCTCGCCCTCCCTGGTGCCTAGCTTCTCCCTTCTTTGTGCCTCACGACTGTGAACCTGGGCTCTCCCCTGAACATCACATCCACCCCGATCCCAGGATCCAGTTCCTAGACTCACCCTCCTCACAGGCAAGCAGTCCTTCAGGCTGAGGCATCTGGGAAGAGGGCTGTCTTTATATAAAGGGTTCTGGGTCTGGCTTGGGCCATGAGACAGCTGGTTGGCATCCGCCTGGTGCATCAACCGGGCTGGCATTCCAGCAGCTGGTTCCCTCCCTGTGTGCCTGCCCTTGCCGTCACCTACAGAGTGTGGGAGTGGCTTGTCTTAGTGTTGAAGCCTCAGGACTATGAATAGCAGATTCTTATTTTCTTCCTCCTTCATTGCCCTAACAGTTTCTCCTCCATCCCTAGAAGACCTGATGGTCGGGAGATGAGGAGTGACAAAGGTATCTTCTCTCCTAAAAGATGATTGTATCTGCCAACTTCCACTTTGCTTCAGATTCTTACCAGAGTGACATAAAAGAGGAAGTGTTTTCTAACCTGAAGTAATTTAAGTTACTTCAAAGATAGAGGCAACTCTATAGAAGGATGAGCCCATGGGGCCAAAGGTGAGTCTAACATCCCAGGCCGTGTACTTATAGCTATGCAACCTTTATAAACAATCTGAGTATCAAATTACTCTTCTGCAAAAGAGAGATAATTAAATCTTCCTTCCTGATTGTTGTGAGGATTAAGGCAAAAAACCAAACACCGCGTGTTCTCACTCATAGGTGGGAATTGAACAATGAGAACACACGGACACAGGAAGGGGAACATCACACACTGGGGACGGTTGTGGGGTGGGGGGAGGGGGGAGGGATAGCATTAGGAGATATACTTAATGCTAAATGACGAGTTAATGGGTGCAGCACACCAACATGGCACGTGTATACATATGTAACAAACCTGCACGTTGTGCATATGTACCCTAAAACTTAAAGTATAATAAAAAAAAATTCATCCAAGAATGATGTTTAAACTATCCCAAATCCACTCAGGGTAAATGCTGGCCATAAGCCACAGGCACTGCTGAGTCATGGGTGCCTGCTGCCTCCCCATCCTGAGCTGAGCAAGTGGATGCCTGCACAACAGGTGCTCAGTCAATGCTGCAGAGCAGTATTTGAAGGCAGCACCAGGCAGGTAGTGCTGTGGAGTAGCCCTTAAAGGCAGCACAGTGCAGGGCAGAAATAATAATCTGGTACTCTGTGAGCCACATAGAGTCAAAATGGACAGCTCTTTATGTTTTCCCTCATAATACTGTCATTAATTGTTAGTATTTAAAAATAGGCAGATTTTATTAAAGATTCCAGAAATTCAGATTTTCTTCTGAAATAAAAAGATCTAGCATAGTTGAACATACCTTCCATTATCCTGATTAGCAGCTGCCCACCTTAGATAGGGCATTGCTATAGTTTGCGTGTTTATCCCTTCCAAACCTCATGCTGAAATTTGACCCCCAGTGTTGGAGATGGAGCCTAATAGCAGAAGTTTGGGTTATGGGGGAGGATACCTCATGAATAGATTAATGCCCTCTCTGGTAGGGGTGGAGGTTAAGGTCTCTCTCTATTTGTTCCTGCAAGAGCTGGTTGTTAAAAAGAGCCTGGCACCTCCCTCACCCCTCTCGTGCTTCTTCTCTCTTCATGTGATGTCTGCACAGCCTGCTCCCCTTCACTTTCTACCATGAGTGGAGGTGGCCTGAGTCCCTCACTAGAAGCCGATGCTGATGCCATGCTTCTTGTTCAGCCTACAGAAATGTGAGCCCAATAAGCCTCTTTTTTTTTTCTTTTCTAAATTATCCGGCCTCACATACTCCTTTATAGTGGCACATTTGGACTACGACAGGTAAATATTTTGCCGTTCTATAATTTTCCGTTATTCTTTTCTATATCTACAATGTAATTCAGTGTAAGTTTCCTTATGTTATTTTACTTGTGCTTTTATTTTCCTTTGGTAAAATTAAAAGTGAAATAATCCTTCTACCTGGATTATTTCACTTGTTTATATCACCCTTCAACCCCTTTCAACAGAATCTTAAAAGATTCTGACCAAGCTTATGAGCGGAGACTTTATTTGGATTTAGACATATTTTGGGTTGAATCTGAGCTCTAGTAACTTACTAATGGTATGAAAGCTACTTAGTCTCCATGAGCCTCAGATTCATTATCTACTTCTAAAATGGAAAGGAGGAGGAGGAGGAAGAAGAGGGGAGATAACAGCAGGAGAAGAGAAGGAATTAGAAAATATTTTCTCCTACACAGTGGGACAAAATCTTCACACTGGGGATCAAATATCAACATGAGGTCTGGAAGGCATAAACACCCAAACTATAGCAATGCCCTATTAAAGGTGGGCAGCTGCTGGCAAGGATGATGGAAGGTACGTTCAACTATGCTAGATTTTTTGATTTTAGAAGGAAAGCTGAATTTCTGGAATCTTAAATAAAATCTCCCTATTTTTAAATGCTAATGATTAATGACAATATTATGAAGGCAAAACATAAAGAGCTGTCCATCTTGACTCTATGTGGCTCACATAATGCTCATTTATTACTTCTGCCCTGCCCTGTGCTGCCTTTAAGGGCTACTCCACAGCACTACCTGCCTGGTGCTGTCTTCAAGCACTGCTCTGCAGCACTGGCTGAGCACCTGCTGTGCAGCCATCCACTCGCTCAGCTCAGGATGGAGAGGGAGCACCCATGACCCAGCTGTGCATGTGGCTTATGGCCATAGGGTTGTTGTGTTAATTAAATGAGAAAACTAATCTAAAGTACTTAAAACTTAATTAGCCACTTCAGCAGAGTAAACAGACAACCCATAGAGTGGGAGAAAATCTTCACAACTTATATATCCGACAAAGGAATAATATCCAGAATCTATAAGGAACTCAAACAAATTAGCAAGAAAAAAAACAAACAATCCCATCAAAGACTTGGTTGAGGACATGAATAGACAATTCTCAAAAGAAGACATACAAATGACCAGCATACATGAAAAAATGCTCAACATCCCTAATGACCAGGGAAATGACCACAAAACCACAATGTGATACCACCTTACTCCTGCAAGAATGGCGACAATAAAAAAAGCAAAAAATAATAGATGTTGGCATGGATGCGGTTAAAAGGGAACACTTCTACACTCCTGGTCGGAATGTAAACTAGTACAGCCACTATGGGAAACAGTGTGGAGATTCCTTAAAGAATTAAAAGTAGAACTACCATTTGATCCAGTAATCCCATTGTTGGGTAACTACCCAGAGGAAAAGAAGTCATTATACGAACAAGATACTTGCTCATGTGTGTTTATAGCAGCTCAATTTGCAACTGAAAAAATATGGAACCAACCCAAACGCCCATTCATCAACAAGTGGATAAAGACTCTGTAGTATATGTATATGATGGAATACTACTCAGCCATAAAAAGGAATGAACTAATGGCATTCGCAGTAACCTGGAGGGAATTGGAGACTATTATTCTAGGTGAAGTAACTCAGGAATGTAAAACCGAACATTGTATGTTCTCACCGATAAGTGGAAGCTAAGGTATGATGATGCAAAGGCATAAGAATGATACAATGGACTTTGGGGACTCAGGGGAAAGATGGGAAGGGGGTGGGGGATAAAAGACTACAACTTGGGTTCAATGTATACTGCTTGGGTGATGGGTGCACCAAAATCTCACATATCATCACTAAAGAACTTACTCATGTAATCAAATACTTCCTATTTCCCAAAAACCTATGGAAATAAAAAATTTAAAAAATATAATAAATAAATCTGACACCTCACAGTTAAAACGAACTTAATTAGCCACTTAGCTGTCTGGACTTTATTTTCCTCATATGACGATAAAAGTGATAATACTGACTTTACCAGGTTCCCACAAAGAAACAATCAGATAATGGGAATGAAGGTGCTTTGTAACTCACAGTACATATGCCAACTATGTGCATGGAATCTGTCCCAGGGGGATGTCTGCCCAACTCAACATGATTTTGGATTCCTAGTTCTGAATCCTGTCACTCATTCCAGAGGGGTCTCCAGATACTATTTAAAACTTGAGTAGGATCATAGATTTTCAGAATGTCATGGCAACAAGAACCCCCAGGAATTATCTGGCCCCACTTTGTCATTCTACAGATGAAGACTATAAATCTCAGAGAGAGGAAGCTATCTAGGGACCTGAAGCTAATGGCTGCCTTGAAGGGACTAGATTTCAGGTAGCCCAAGTCCCAGATCAGGACTCTTTCCACTTCCAAAGTGATTTCTCTGATCACACACTTTGGCCAAGGTGCTATGAACTTGAATAGCCCTAGGACTATGTTCACTAAGAGGGTGGTCAGGAAAGCAGTGAACAACGAAAACTGAGAGCATAGATCAGCTGGCCTCAAGAGAATACAAATTATTGAATCCTAATGGCTATGTCTCTCTGTATCCTGACATATAAGCCTGTTGATGGATAGATAGATGAGTGGAAGGAAGGGTATAAAATTAGGCTTGGTTCATGTATCCTTAATCACTAGAGAATGACTTGGCATTGTCTCATCTAGAGATCAGAGTACTGCAACCCTTGTTACTTTTTGCTTCTTGCTTCTTATGAAGAGAAATAAAGGATAGGGGTGGGAGTAGAAAGAGCCTGAAAGTTAAGTCTTAGAGACGACAATGAGGTTAGCTCTTAGAGTTTTCAACAATATTTTAGAGACTGATTGTTAAGCTAGAAGCAAATGATTTGACTCCTGAAATTCTTCCTTCTCTTGTGTGTAAGGCTCTAGAATTAAAAAGTTGTCATTGCTTAAATAACTGGAACAAGTAATGAGATTGTCTAAAGGCAGGGTTAAATATGGCGTATTCTCTTTTTCTCCGGTGAAGTTTAGAACTCTTTTAAAGGGCATTCTACTTTGGTGATTTATTCAAACTAAATCATTTCTTTAGCTAGGCATCAGTGTAGTCTTTTAATCTCTGTGATTATGTATATATTTATAGGTGTTTCAATTTTGGCTCAACCAACTCAATGTGGACAAAAATAAGTTTTCATCTCCTCCTATACATTTTCTTTTTCCAAGGTCCAGTTTCTGACAATGATCCATTCACACCATTTTTCATTCACCCTGGATGCTGGTTCCACCTTAACTTAACATACAGTCACCACACTATTCATTCTGCTTTGTACTTGCTTTCAAATACACCCCTACTCTTCCCCCCTCTGCCCCTGCTGCATCTCAGGTCTTCATGACTTCCTACATGGTGCAATGATCTCTTAACTGTTTTTTTCTGAGTCCAGTCTTTTCTTCTTTCGTTTAACTTACAAATAGCCACAAGAGTGATCATCCTAAAAATTAAATAAAATTAAAAACAAAGCTGATTATGTTATTCCCTTTGCTTCCCATTGTCTAGTGGAAAATGTTCAAACTCCTAAGCAAGACATACAAATCCTTTCATAAGCTGCCTCAGGTCTACCCTTCCAGCTTTACATCCTCTCATCATCACTACCTCCCGACCCCCCTACCACTCCAGAAAGCATCAAAGGTGGCATGCATAGTGGCTTTCATTCTCTATGCATGCCTTGATATTTCACTATGTCAGATCTTTGCAAATGCTGTTTCTTCTGCCTGAAATGCCCTTTCATCTCCTACCCACATGTGGAACTATTGCTCATCATCTGAGACAACTACAATGTCACTTCCTTTGCAGTGTTCTCTGTCCACTAAGCCATGACTCAACTCTGAGCTCCGGCAGCAATTCATACACACCCCTCATTGAAGTGATCATGTGTTTTGTGATTATTTACATTCCTGTCTTCTACACCATCTGTAAATTCCTCAGTGAAAATAAGTTTTGGTATGTAAATATTGTATCCCAAAAGAGGTGTTGTGCTAATGCTTTGCTCATTTTACCTTGTTGATTAAACATTTCATTTTCATTTTTACAAATATACACATACCCTTCCACATGCTTATATGCATATAAGCCTAGTATATGTATATCTTATGTTGCATTTTATGGATTGATTCATTTTATTATCTATTGAAATACAAAAAACAAATACATGATAATATGCAAAGGTCATATTAAAAACCATAATGGTAGCAAAAGGATCAATGATGATATATATGGATGATATATTGTATATTGCTATATACAATATATATTATACACATAACTATAGATAAAAGGATGTACTAAAGGCAGAGACTATCTCCAGAAAGAAGTCATTAATTTTAGGGAAAGATATTGAGGCTATTTAGATAAATGGAGGTATTTAGAAATAATTAATATAGGTTGAAATACATGTGGCTAGAAATATAATAATATAAATCTAGGAATAAATGATAAGTATGTAGTGATTTATAAAATTGGTATGAACTATCAGAAGAAAGCTAAATATAAAGATATCCATAAAATTATTAACATACACTTAGAAACAATGGCATACAGGGCAAAAGATGAAGATGAAGTTACAAATTTAAATAAATACAGACGTGTAAATGGAGCAAATTAGGAATGGGCAGATCACATGAAAGAGATCATGAGGCACAGGAATAGCAGGATACGTTAATCAACAAAAAAGTGGAGGCAACTTGGAAAGCACACATAAATCTGGAGATAATTCACTGAGGACTTGCTCTATTACTGTCATTTAGCTAGGGAGCTGAATTATGTTAACTCTTAATTTTTCAAACAACTCTGCAGGGTACCTATCATTATCATTATTTATAAAAAATGAGAGAACAAAGGCTCAAAGATGAAGTAATTTGTTGTAGATAACAAGCTTGGAAACAGCAGAACCAGGACTTATAGCCAAATGATCTGGTGAGAGAGGCCTCTGAAAGTAGACATACAGTAAGGTGAAGTTACCTTGAGTTAGAGAACAGAGATGCACTCAATGTTTTATTAAACTATGAGATTATTTCCAGGAATTATGAACCTTTGAGACCCTGGATTTTCATGTGAAGGAATTTAATGATATCTTGATCCTGAGAGCTAGGACATCCATACTTGCCCTCTGCTCCAAAGATAAGTGTTTTCAACAGATTCAAGAAGAATCTTTTCCCTTGTATCATTTCACAATCTTTCCATTTTAGTCTCTCTCCCATCACTGTAATAGACATATATGTCCTGGGACTCATCCCTGACATGAAGGTGGTATTTGTCATCTGAGGTATCTTCCAATATTTCAGTATGAATGCTTAGTGCCTTGTGACTTCTACCTTCAAGCATTGAAGAAATCAGCATTTTACCTGAGTGCTATTGAGCTTTCCTCCTTAAGCCCAGCTCTGGTAGATCAGACACATATCTAAACTGCATAGTACCTATGTGTCAAGTAGGGTAAAGGTGAAAAATAGTATCACAGGTTTTCATCATATGACTGTTAAGTAGATTAAGAGACAAGGACACCCAAGAGCTGTATCAGGAAGAACAAAGTTGACCAGCCATGGTTACTTGTGCCTGTAATCCCAGCATTTTGGGAGGCCAAGGTGGGGGGATTGCTTGAGCATTGGACTTCAAGACCAGCCTGGGCAATATTGGGAGACCCCCTTCTCTACGAAAAATAAAAACATTAGCCATGTGCAGTGATGCACGCCTGTAGTCCTGGCTACTTGAGAGGCTGAGGTGGGAGAATCGCTTGAGCCTAGGAGCTCAAGGCTTCAGTGAGCTGTGATTACACCATGGCATTTCAGCCTGGGTGACAAAAGTAGACTCTGTCTCAAAACCAACAAAAAAAAGGTAAAATGAAACAAAAAACAAATAAATAAAATAAAGAAGAATAAAATTAATACTAAGCAGAGAGGAAGAGTTTCCCAATGCTGTCTGCAGCCACCTTTAACAGGGGCATTAAAAGATTGAAGAGAAAGCACAATAAGGATAGTGATAGAGAACACCAAATAGATGCATAGGGAGAGAGAAGGAGAGGTTGGAGCTGGGAATGTATAACCAGAGAATGTAGAGAAGCAAGGGAAGTAGAACTATATATCTACTTCAACCCTTCTTCACATTTTGCAAATTTGATGTTGTCTCAGTTCAATTAAAGGAAATATATGTATGTTTCATTGGCAGGATAAAAATGAGGGTAGGCAAGTTGTATTCCTGCTTGTACAGATAATTTAAGTTTCTATACAGCTCACTATCTTACAATGCTCATTTTACTTAAACAATAATATTTTAAGCCTAATGTGAAGCTAAATCAACCACTTGTTGAAGTCATAGGAAACTCTCAGACCATCATCACATTTGGTGAATGGAGAGCCTTGCTTAATCACATGTTGAGTCTCAAAGAATGTTAGCAGTATTGCTGGGTTATCAATATCCAATGATCTAGAAAACAACAAAGGGGGCTCAATTATTGGCAAGGATACACCAAATGCCAAGTAGTCTTTGGTTATTTAGAAGCCTTAACCTACATCTAACTTCTCAAAATTGCTCCCAATGTAGGTTGGTGCTTCATTCACTTCCATTTCTCAAAATTCTTTCCTTTGTTAAGAACACTGTCTCCTCACTCACCCCTATTCCCACTGTATGCCAAACTCCTGCCAATATTGTAGGACCTACTGGTATTGCATTTCTATGCTGATGTGTCTGTTTTCTACACTAGATAATGAACCTCTTGATGGCAAAAGACTGTGCCCAGAAGAAAACTGGCTTCCTAAAAGTGTTCATTAAATGTTTGCTGAATGACATAATAAAATCAGTGATAAGCCCCAGAGGACAATGAAAATAATTGGTTATTTGATAGATAATAGGAATGACTTCAGCAGGTGTAAGTTGGCTAGAAAAAAGATGACTTTCATGCCTGTAATCCCAGCATTTTGGGAGGCTGAGGCAGGCGGATCACCTGAGGTCAGGAGTTTGAGACCAGCCTGACCAACATGGAGAAGCCCTGTCTCTACTAAAAATACAAAATTAGCTGGGCATGGTGGTACATGCCCGTAATCCCAGCTACTCAGGAGGCTGAGGCAGGAGAATCTCTTGAACCCGGGAGGCGGAGGTTTCAGTGGGCTGAGATTGTACCATTGCACTCCAGCCTGGGCAATGAGAGTGAAACTCCATTTCAAAAAAAAAAAAAAGACATTTCAGTTATTAAATAGAATGTAATGATACAGATTAACTTTTTGTGTTTGAATTATTTGTTTGCCGTGAGTTTCAAAGAAAAACTTACTTTCCGTTTAGAATTTAACACTTTATTAAATATATTTTTGCCTAAAGTTAATTTATTATTATAAAATTTATTAATTGATGATAAACATATTTAATTACAATAAAGAATACATTAGAAGTTATCTGGCCTCCAGCAAAATCACTTGAATTATCTGGGAATCAGTTGGTCTAAATAAATTCTAAAATTACTTCTGGTCCTAATATTAGGTTCAAATTAGAGAGACAAAAATTGAGTTAGAAAGAGAGAGAGAAAGAGAGAAAGAAAGAGAGAGGGAAAGAGAGAGAGAAAGAGAGAGAGAGAGAGAGAGAGAACTATAGATTGAGGAAGAACAATGAAAGAAATAGACATAAAGCAGTGAAAACAGACTATCATCATTAGACATGCATATAGAAAGATAAGAAGAGAAATTTGTGCAATAAGACTATATAGAGTTGCCTGTAAGAATATACAAATGAAATTAAGATAAAAATATATGATTCCTCACATCATACGCAGAAAGTTACTCAAAATAGATTATATACCTAAATGTAAAAGCTAAAACTATAAAACTCTTAGAAGAAAACACAGGAGTAAATCTTCATGACATTGGGTTAAGCAATAGTTTTTTAACTACAATACCAAAAACACAAGTGACAAATAAAAAAATAGAAAAATTGAATTTAATAAAATTAAAAACTTTCAAGTTGCAAATGATACCATTAAAAAATGAAAAGATGACCCACATAATAAGAGAAAATATTTGCAATTCATATATCTATAAAGTGCCTTTTATCTAGAATATGTAAAAACTCTTGAGATTCAATAATAAGAACATAATACAATTTAAAAATGGGCAATGGATGTGAATAGACAGTTCTCCAAAAAAGATATACAAACAGCCAACAAGCACACGAAAAGTTGCTCAACATCATCAGTCATTAAGGAAATACAAATTAAAACCACAATGACATACCACTTCATACCCACTAGCATTATTATAGTCAGAAAAAATAGACAAGAACAAGAGTTGGGGAGGATGTGGAGAAATTGGAACCATTAATACACTGCTGTGGGGATGGACATGGTACAGTCACTGTGGAAAACAATTTGACAATTCCTCACATAGTTAAACATAGAGTACTATATGATTCATTAATCCCACTCCTAGCAAAAATGAAAATTCCATGCAAGCAAAATGAAAACGTATATCCACTTAAAAACTTGCACATGAATGTTTCAAAGCAGCATTATGCACAATAGCCAAAATGTGAAAACAACATATGCATCCGTCAACTGATGAATGGATAAACACAACATGGTTAACCTATATGAGGGAATATTAATTAGCCATAAAGAAGAATAAAAATCTGATACACGCTCCAACGTGGTTGAACCTTGAAAATGTTATGCTCAGTGAAAGAAGTCAGTCACAAAATACCACATACTGTATGATCCCATTTATATAAAATATCCAGAATAGGCAAATTTGTAGAGATGGAAAATAGGACTTGGGGGAGTGGGGTGTGACTACTTTGGCTACAGGATTTCTTGGGGTGAGGAAAACATTCTAAAATTAGATTGTAGTGATGATAACACAGCTCTGAGAATACACTAAAAACATTGAGTTGTATACTTTAAATAAATGGATATGTGAATTATCTCAATAAAGATTATATATGTGTGTATACATATGTGCATATACATATATGTTGTATGCATAAGTACATATATATCTACACACACACATATATACACGTCTGTGAGACTATATCTATAAATCTTGGTGAAACCTAAATTACATTTATGAACCGTAGAATCACAAACTCCTTGAGATCCAACCTCTCTGCCATACTAATTCCCTCTAAAAGATAGGATAAGCCTCTGTTTGAACCTCAGTTAGGTATCTTTCCCAAGTGTGCTGGGGATACTAATCACCTACATTGATTGACATGTTCACAAGAGGTCAACCCATAATCCAGGAAAACTGTGTATTTCCTTTGGTGATTACTACATTTTAAAGGTCTTCCCTATTAATAGTCGTTATCTCACACACTCTACCTGGAATAGAAAAGATCTTAGTTTATGAAGTGGAGCTTATTCAGTCTAGTTCACTCAACATATATTTACAGATCACCTACCAGATTCCTCACATTGGATTAAGAATAGTCACCATCATTTAGTCAACAAGCACTCCCTGAGCATGTATTCACTGCCTCTTCCCCAGGGATCTTACAGTCTAATAAGGAAAGCACAAAGATACACAGACAAGGCACTGCCTTCCAAAGACTTTAACATCCACTCTGGAGAAACAGCCACGCATGTCAAGCAGTGAGTGAGAGGATGGGCTGTGAATCTCCAATTATGAAGTTGGGTAGCCAACAGCACAAAAAGGCCAATGTGTGGGGCAGGATTTCCAGATTTAGCAAATAAAAATACAAGATTCAGATAAATTTGAATTTGAGGTAGACTACAAAATTTTTTAGTATATATGTGTCCAAGGGACACGAAGAGTTAAGAAAGATATTTCAATACTAACAATGATGAAAGGATGATGGTGATAATGGTGAGGATACTGATTCAATCATTCATTCATTCATGCAAGTATTCACTCAACAAATATTTATTAAGCATTTACTAAGTAAGAAGCACCATGCTATGCCCTGTGGAGACAGTGGTAAGATATGCAAACTATTAAATACAATTCCAGTGCTGAATGAGCTTTTGGTCAGCAGGACAAACCCAAGGGTCACAGAGACAAATAGCCAATGATAACCTTGATTAATATTTGACAGGAGAGGTCCACAGAGCAGCAAAAGCTCCCTAGGGGTGGGTGAACAGGACAGGGGAGAGCTAACTGGGCCAGGGAGGGCTTTCCTGAATAAGCGGCTATGGGGCTGAGATCTGAAGGATAAGTAGAAGCAAAGGAGTGGGAAAAGCATGCTAGAAAGGGAACTCCATGTGCAAGAGGAGTGTGTGGGGGGCAGGAGGGATCATGGCACCTTCACAGAACTGAAAGCAGCCAGTGTGGTAACAGCGGGCAGAAGGGGCCAGTTGGTGCCTGGTTTTAAGAACCAGGTCTATGTCCTTAGACCGATAGCAACTGTTTTAGGTAGAGGCGTGATGGGACCAGTCTCCAGGTGCCCTGTGAGGAATGGTGTTGGGAAGTTGAGCGGAAGCAGAGAGACAGGGATGGAGACTATTTGTTTCAACACAGGAAATGAATCGTTGACCCTATACTAGCACTAGGCACCATCAGACATAATACTCTCTCGTTTGAATCTCAAGAAGTGAAAACCGCAGTTAGGAGGCTGAGTGGCCCAAAGAAACAGCAAAGTCTCCAAGTCAGACACATCTGCGCTTACCCTGTTGCTTCCCTCCAGCCAACTGTGTGTCACACCAAGTCACGTGCTCTCTCTCGGCCTTTTTAGTTTCATCATACATACAATGTAAACAATAGCTGCCTCATAGGTGGTTGTAAAGGCTAAAGAAAAGATATGTGAAGAGTCAAGCCATGAATAAGCCCTCAATAAAGGTAATTATCATTATTGCCATTATATTATTATTATTGCTTAATTGTAGCCATTTTTGTTACATCATGATGCCACCTAGTGGGAAAATAATCATTTCCGAAACAGCTTACAATGAGCCAGAATTATTTGGAGTATGAAATCACATAGGCTGATCATGTGACATGAGGTGTGATTGAAAGGGAAACAGAATGGAGCTTCAGGCTAAGGTTCCAGCTCTCATATGTACCCTCCAGGTGGGCACTCCGCATCTCTGTCTTCATCTCTCAGTTCTGTTGGTTTTGTTTTTCTTGTTTATTTATCAAAGAATGCTATAAAAATAAAACGGAATAAATACTACAATTTTCTCTAAATTAATATGTCAACATAAGCATAGGAGTGTCTTCCCCTAGACACATGTGGCATTTCTAGTCCCTAACCCTGGGACTGGCAGAAGGGAAGCAGGTACTATTTCCAGATTACATGATGAGGTCACTCTGAGGTTGTCTGGACAAAGCAGTGTGTTTTCCGGGATGTCTGGAGACTGAATTGGGCCACCTTTCCTGGAAAACACTAATCAGCTTGGAGGAGTGGGTTACTGGGGAGGCAGTGTGTGTGTATGTGTGTGAGGATCAAGAACAAGGAGCAGGTGGTACTAGAGGAAGAAATTTTATGTGATTTAGGATCTGATGTTCCACAGAGGGGTTTTGCAGGGGCATGGGGTTAGGAGCTTGGGGAGTTTGTACAGAACACAGGGTTGAGTCCTCTGAGAAGAGTTTGTCTTAACATCTCTAGCACCACAAGAGAAGAAAGAATGAGAGGGGAGGAAAGCTCAGAAAGGGAGGTCCATGTTTAGTTGGGTCCTCCCATCACTGCTCCTCTGCAGAAAGGGCCCAGGTCAGCAGCAGCCCCTACAGCTGTGGCAGCAGCCAGAGCCCTTAGTGGGCTCACACTCACAGCAGTCAGGGTTCTAGGTCTGGTATCAGTGGAAGAGACGGCCTGTGGTGGCTCAGTCAGCAGCCACCAATCAGAGCTGCAGCAGCCCCCAGAGCTGGGGCCACAACAATCCCCGGAGCTGACACTGCGGCAGAACAAGACTGGAGGGACACATGGGGCTGGGCACTGGTGTGCCTCACTTAGAAGTGAGGCATTTGGAGGGCACTTGAAAAGGGGCTGGCACTGCTGCTGGTTTTAATGGCAAGACATGTCGGGAAAGGTTCAGTCAACCTGAAAGAAAAAAAAAGAAATCAGTGCACAATATCAAGAACTATTATTTTTTTCTCCTGGATTTCATAGAAACCTACCCCCCAGCAAAAAGCTGGTTCATGAACCAACTTCTACAAAGGAATTTGGAAACTGACTTGGAGGAATGTAAGCCTAATAAATACCCTCCCTGTCTTCAGTCCACTTTGCCTCAACTGGAGTATTCTGGCCTTCTCCCTCCATGCCCTTCAAAGTCAGCCCTACATAAGCCTTCTTTTCCCCAAGGGAAACAAGGTAGTTTAGTCATTTTCTGACTCCTAAACTCAGGGATTTCTGGTGGGAGGATGACATATCCAAGAACATTCATTTTACAGTAAATAAATTGGAAGGAAGTACTACTAAAAACCACAATGGCTGTAGGTTTCACCATCCTTCCCCTCCTCCCTGGCCCCCAGTGATGCCTTCGTCTTTGCCTGCCTTCTTCTGTCTCTCTTTTCACACAGTCCTATTACCCCTGGAGCCGTCTTTGCCAAGCACTCACATGGCTCAGTGGAGGATGCAGGAGCTGTCAGTAATAATTGACAAGGCTAAGGACTGAGAAGCCCTGCACTGGAGCCCTTCTATCCTGGGCCTGGTGTCTCCCTGGGAGTGAGGCACAGACTGTGTATGCAGAACAGTCACTTTCACAACCTGGGAGCAGGATGACTCTTGCCACACTCCCAGCCCTGAGGCTCCAGGATCTCCCTGGACAGAGGCCAAGAGGAATCCCAGGAACTAGAGATGGCCCAGGTATCTGCTCCACAGGCCTGCTGCAAGCCAGCCATTCCACCTTCATGCATTCACTCATTCATTAATTCTGTAAATATGTATTATTTGTCTTGGGCTTTGGTTTTGTAAGATGCTCTTGTCATAAATATGAGCCAAGTTGCCTTGAGGACATAAATGTAAACAATGCACTGTGAAACATTCTATTATGTGCTGTAAGAGGGCAACATGACCCAGAGATGGGCTCCTAAAAACTTTTACACCAGGACAATGTCATGTCCATTTGTATGTCTTTCTGCTCTTCCACATGGATAGCATGTTGAAGGCAGAATCTATACTAGACTTTATTCATCTTCATGTCTCTAGGAATAACCATAAACACAGAGGGTAGCCTTGAAGAATAAATGAGTTAAAGATTGACTGACTGAATAAAAGAACAAATGATTGGCTGCTTTATAGACACATGGGCAGAGGATGTGTCTTAGGATAACATTCTTTGGGCTTCAGAAGTGCTCTGAAGAACAGCACACACTAGGTTAAATGAGACATGACCCTTGGATGTGATTATCTGTCAATGCCTCCATTAACTGTTAATATTCCATTAACAGTCCTACAGGGATACCATTCAGATGGGACATGAGGATGTACAAGCAGGTCAAGAAAGGGAGTGAAGCTCAGGTCACTGATTAGGGAAGAAAATCCAAGGGGCAGTGAAGCAGGGACTAGGAGACAGCCTAAGGCATTATAGGGTCATGGTGGGTCAGTGCTATGAGAAGCTGTGGGGGTGTAGAGGGGGAAGTAACAAATGCTGCCATTTGGTCACA
The DNA here is from genome assembly GCF_000001405.40 of Homo sapiens. NCBI lineage: Eukaryota > Metazoa > Chordata > Mammalia > Primates > Hominidae > Homo > Homo sapiens. The sequence continues at coordinate 152,742,712 of NC_000001.11, read as the reverse complement.
GGAGAGTCCATTGGACTTTGCTTTAAGGGAGAGTACAAGGGTAGAGAATACTGTGATATGTGAAAATCCATATTCTTGCCTTATTGATACATCTGAAACTAGAGACAAAATGACTTAATTTGGCAGATAGTTAATTTGTTCCACCTTGGCAGAGGCACTCTACTAAGTATTCAATATACAAGGATAATTATTCCTTTCCTGAAGGATTCACAGGCCAGTGTGGAAGACAGAGGAATACACAGGTAATTTCTGATAGATAAGCCCTGAGAGCCACTGGAGTGTGGAGGGTGCATAATTCTGCCTGGAGCATGACATAGGGACCTGGCTGATGCCAGGAGCAAGGAGGAGGGCACCACAGTCATTAGGAACAAAGAGGTCCCAGGACCCCAGGCTTTCATAGTTGGACAGCATGAACACTGCATAGAATGGTCAGCATTAGCCAAAGAGAAGGCAAATATTAAGGAACAGTGGTGCATTGTTATTAAAGATAGAGAAAATTCTATGAAGCAGATGATCCCCATTGTCAAATGTTCCAGTGAGCCCACTCCATTTGGCTGTTTGGACATTAATTGTGACCTCAGAGAGTCTGATTTCAGAGAAGTAGAGCAAAAGTCATGATTTAATCTTTCTGTCAATGAATGGGCTTGAGTGATACAAAATCAAGAGTTAGAAGACAACTTTATAAGGACTTAGAAAGGACAAACATGAGAAAACCACCCCTGAGAATTAACAAAAATCTATTGGGACATAAAGCAGTATTCAATTGAGTGTCAAAAATGTGGAACTTACTGAAAGAATTTCAGATGTTTACAAAGGAAGTGAATAATAGGTCTGGACCAGTTAAGGGAGGTTTGCTCAAAGGATCAAGGTCACTGATGGGAGTGGCTGTGATCACAGTGATGATGTTCTTGTTAGTGATGAAGGTAAGTTTAACCATGATGGTGATGGCAAAAGAGCTTCACTGCATGAAATAAATGTATTCCTGAGGGCTTTGTGTTACAATGATGGCTGTGGTATTATACAAAATATGTATTTGGACTTTGTCCCTAGTTCCTGACGCACAGCTCCTAAAACCCTTGGCAGTGAAACCCTTTTTGTTTCTCATAACAAGCCTCTTTAGGCCACACCTAAGTTTATGCTAATGAGACGACTTGTGATGGACCCCCTAGATAGCTTCAAGATTGAGGGTTGGTCACCAGAAAGGCCAAACACATGATTAGAGAGTAGGAACTTTCAGCCTCACCAATAGCTGGTGATTTACTCAATCATGCCTACATATGGGACCTCCATGAACACCCCTGAAGGATAGGTTCCATAAGCTTCTGGCTACCAACCTAGAACATACTAATTTTCTGAAAGGCTGGTGTGACCAGAGAGGACTTAGAAGCTCTGTGCCTCATATCCACACATACATTGCCTTATACATCCCTTCCATTTGACTGCTACTGAGGTTCATTTGTTTTATAATAAACCGGTAATCATAGATAAAGCACTTTTCTGAGTTCTGTGAGTCAGTCTAGCAAATTATTGAGCCTGAGGAGGGGGTCATGGGAACCTCTGAGTTTGTAGTCATTTGGAAACCCCACCTGCAGCTGGCATCTGAAGTGGGGGCACTCTTGTGAGACTGACTTCTTAACCTGGGGTGTCTGTGCTAGCTCTGGGAGTTAGTGTCAGAATTGATTTGAATTGTTGGACACTCAGTTGGTGTTGAAGAATGAAGAATTAGTGCAGAAAACAAACATGCATTTGATGTTGAAAGAAAACCATCCAGCTATCCTAAACTCATTTCATCCTCAAAACAGCCCTATGGTTAAGGCAACTATTTTAATCCTCTTTTTACAAAGTCTATACTAAAGCACAGAGAAGTTAATAACTTACTTCAAGGTCACACAACCAGAATTTTATTGAGATAATATATAGATTTCTAATTCATTTGCATCACCAATGAAAAATCATTCTCAATGATGTCATAAAACACTTAAAATGACCTGTGTAAGTAAAAATAATTATTCATTTATAGAAAAATATTCTTAGGCAGTGGCCTGAGTGTCACTTGGTTTAGTGAAATTTCAGCCTCTTCTTAGCCTAAGCACATCCACTGAGACAGAACTAACCATACAGAAGGATGCCCAAAGCACGGGCAGAGCCTGAGAAGTCCTGCAGTGAGGAGACACAGCTAGAATCACAGCCATACTGGCTACTGTTTGATATCACTTTATATCTCCCTTGCAATGCAAATAAAATCTCCTTCTTCTGGAAGAGAAGCATGTGGTTATTTATTTGTTTATTAGGAAGCCTTAAGCAACGTTGCTCCCAGGAAGGAGAAGAGCTCTATCACCATGGGTCAAAGACTTTGTGTTTGTTAAGGACTGCAGGCTGCTGTCCTATGTTTCTCCCACAGGGGCTTCTTGGCTCTCCTCCTGGGACATCTTCATAAGGAGCTGACATATAAGCTGTGTATCTGGTGGTTGTCCCCTTCAGATATTCTCAGTTATGTCCAGTGGGACCTCTAAATCTCCAAGCGAGAGCATATAACACAGCACAGGAGTTGATCACATTGTGGTCCCTAGGGATCCCAGTATTTCTCTGATTTTTTAATGAGAGGAATATGATTAAGTGGAAAAGTACTGAACTCCAAATATTCCCTGGGGAGCAGCAATGAGTCACAAAGAACACCCAGAGATCCTGACACTGGAGCAATGGAGGACGCAAGGTCTGGGACTGACGAGTTTAAACTTGCATTTTGGAAAGTTTATGAAGGTTGCATTGTGAAGAGCAGATTGGAACAATGTAGGACTAGGCCAGGACTAGGACAGTTAAGACTTGGACTCAGATAGTAACAATGAAGATGGAGAAAAGTAGAGGGATGTAAGACATAGCTTCAGTAGGATTTGGCGTTTGATTGTTTAGATTAGGGATGGGTTACAAGACATTAAAAGAAATTAGGGTGTTTTTGAGTTCAAAAACAAGCAGATAATGACTCTATTTACTAAGTTGGAAATCAACAGAGAGGAGGTTTGTTGAATGGGGGGCTGGGTGTTGAATTTCATTTTGTGAGCTTTGAATTTGAGATTAGAATGGAATCTTTGATGAAATCTAATAGACAGCTAAATATATCAATCAGGATCTCAGGAAACACACATGGACTTCATACGTTGACTTGGAAGTCACTCAGGCAAAAAATAGTTCTTGAGAATCCACAGTAAGCCCATTCTAGGTACTGGAAAAAACAGCAGCTGGCAAGAGGAGAGCAAGGTCCCTCATTTCATGAAGTTTATGTTAAAGTGGAGAGAGCTGAACAAAGGAAAAGTAAATAAATAAAAGACTGTTTGTCAGTGATAAAGCCGAGTGAAGTGACTGAGAGTGACACAGGGCTATTTTAATTTCAATGGTCACTGAGGCCTCTCTGAGAAGGGGCTCCTTGGCCATCATCATGGTGATGTTAACTGTTGCCAGGGAGTAGAAGAGATTGCCCAGGAGAAAGAGGGAAAAGAGAAGACACGGGGCAGGTGGTGAAAGACTCAGACGCTGACAGGGACCTAGTCTTGCTCTTACTGTGTGAACTTGGGGAAATTATTTAACTTCTGAATCTCAGTTACCTAATCTATAAAATCAATAGAGGATCAAAATAATATATTTTAGAGAGTGGTGAGAATTAGCAAAGAAGACTTTGTATGTTAATGCATATGACACACTGTTTGAAGAAAAATAAGACCTTAGATGTATAGTATTGGAGAAATAAAAATATTTGGACCAGGACACATGGTTATCACTGCTCCAGGCATGATCTCCTTAATTGTTAAGTTGGTTGATCTACCAATATATGGATTCACTCATTCATTTGAAAATTTTAACAATATACAAAGAACAGAAATCCACCAAAATGAAAGCCAGGATCTTGACAATAACCTACCTCCAACCACATGGCCCAGCTCCCCCTCCCACCTCCTGCTGCTCTCTACCCAAAGTATGGGTGATTCTAAAACAAGGTTTCATCCATACCTTTTCTTTTCATACAGTTTATTTGTAACCATATATATACCAAGCCTAAAAGAATATGCTTTGCTGTTTTGAAATTTATGAATAGGCTATTATGTTGTAGATAATCTTTTTGGAATTTATTTTTTCATTTACTCATACATTGTTTTGTGTTGATTTAGTTCATTCATTTTGAATTTAGAATCTCAGCACACTGAGTGAATATCTAATAATGAACCATGTACCTTTCATGTAGGAGGCATTTGGCTTGTCCCCAGATTTTACTATTTTGAGGAGTGCTAGCAGTTCTAAATTTTTCACTTCATATCAGCTGTTAGAAATATTATCATAGTTGTTATAATGAGAAAAGTATAGCAGAATAATCGATATAACACCAGAGAAAATGCACAGGCACCCAGAAGAGGATGGTCACCCCAACCGGCAACTAGAAAGCCAAACTGAATCTCTCTGAATGCGGGAAAGGTCAACCCAGGGTTTTCTACCACACCCTGTGAAGGGAGACTGGCCACATGACCCGCACTCTTGAGCCAGCTTTCTGTCCCCAGCCAGGACAGGGCTGGGCCCCATATAGCTAACATTGACCTATGGGGGGATGCAGCAAGATGCTGGTGAGGCTTAGTAGGGAAGAATTTATTATGTTGAAGAAGAGTGAGCCTGCCCATCTGGAGTAATATTTAGAACCTTCCTCGTGAAGATTTCAGCATCTCAGAGTCCAGGACAAGGAAGACAAGAAAAGGAGGGAAGAGCAGCAGCAGGGCTGGGTAGGTCTTCCACATCTTATTTCCTCCAGTACTGCTTGTATGAGGTCTTCATGGCCCAGGTCAGCAGCAGCCCACAGAGCAGCAGCAGGAGCCCCCAGAGCTGTGGCAGCAGCCAGAGCCCCCAGACAGCTGGCCGCTGCCACTGCCACAGCAGTTAGAGCTCTGAGGTCAGAGTCAAAGGGGCCAGTGGGGCTTGTGGTGGCTCAAGCAGCAGCCACCACCCACAGAGCTGCAACAGCCCCCAGAGCTTGAAACACAGCAGCCCCTGGAGCTAACACTGCAGCAGGAACGGACTGGAGGTGGGCATGGGGCTGGGCACTTAGGGGGACATTTTGGGGGACACTTGGGAGGAAACTTAGGAGTACACTTGGGAGGGCATTTGGGGATACACTTGGGAGGAGGCTGGCACTGCTGTTGGCTCTGCTGGCAGGACATTTAGAGAGGAAGTCAGGAAACCTAAGGAGAAATTTCATAAGCCATTAGCACAAATGTCAGGCAGATATGTATGTTGTAGACAATGAATTTCATTGAATCCTCACTCCCAAACAAGATATTTTGTGAAGATGATCCATAAATTGAATTTGGAAACTGATATGAAATGAACTTGAGTGCAAGAAAAGCTTTCCACCTTGTGTTTCTTTCTTTTTTTTTCCCCCAGTGAAAAATGCTGACCATCTTTCTACATGAGCTCCAAAATCAACCCCATAGAAGGCTTCCTAATTTGGAAACACAGCTGGCCATATGTTTAGAAACAATCCTTTAATGGATCAGTCATTCTTCTGCAGGTCAGATGGGTGTCTCTGAGAACATTTATTGGAAGAGGAGTAGAAGGAAAGAGATCAGAGGCGTAAACCTGAGCCCCTCAATTCCTGTGACTACTCTTGCTTTGTTCCTTCTCCTCTTCCTCTACCCCACTGCTCATGAGGCATTTCTTCTTGTTACTCTCCTTCCCTAAGTTAGACATTCACAGCCCCATGGTCTGCTTCTGGCATATATTTAGCAAACCAAGAGAAGTGGAGGGAGGTTGTCACTAACAAGGATACATAAAAACAAGCCCAGACCTAGGTCAACTGCAGGTTGAAGAATTCTCACACTTGTCCCTCCAAACCCAAGTGACTTCTTCTTCTCTGCCTGCCTTTTTCTGCCCTCTCTCCATGCAGTTCTGTCTGGCACCCATGAATCACCATCCAGAGCCTTCTTTGCAAAGCACTGACCTGGTTAGTGGAGGAGCAAGGGCTGTCACTAACAAGGCTAAGGACTGAGGACCCTGGCACTGGAGGCCTTTTATCCTGGGATTGGTGTCTCCCTGGGAGTGAGGCACATCCTGTGTATGCAGAACAATCACTTTCATTGCCTTAGAGGAGGTTGAACTCTTCTCACACACACTTCCAGCCCCAGGGCTCCAGGATTTCCCTGGACAGGAGCCAAGAGGAATCCCACAGGCTAGAGACTACTCCATACACGCTCCATAGATCTGCTGCAAGCCAGCCGTTCCACCTTCATACAGTCACTCATTCATTATTCCAATAAATATATATAATCTATCTTGGGCCCATAATTTTGCCAGATATCAATGACACAGATGATGTAGATTGCTCTGAGGATGTTATGGTCCCACAGTACAAATGTGTAAACAATGATTTGTAAGTTTTTGTACCATGTGATCTTGAACTCTTGTTCAGGTTTCATACAGCATTTCCCCAAGGTGGTTTTACAGTCTTTGTACATGTCTGTCTAATCTATGAACAGTATGAAAGTACGGCATGTTTTGTTAGCCTCCATATCCCATGTGCTTTGTACAGTATCTGGAACAATAAACATAGGAAAAAGATTAAACAGCAGGAAAGAGGAAGGCAGATGTTTAGAAAGCACTGAGGCATATACTCAGGCCATAATGGTGCAGCCTCTTGGCTCTTAGAATCTCTTGTATGAAGATAGATTCCCAGGAAGGTATAGTGTTATTTCACTAATACAGAATACTAATTCCTGAGAAATAAGTTATTTCAGAGCATAGCTCTGTGGAAATGAGACCAGGTTGGCAGAAGGTGGACCTAGAAGAATCCACGTGAGCATGGAAGTAAAGGCTTTGGGGAGCCTAATGGCCCCTAGAGGGCAGTGGGCACATGCAGGGCTGGTGTTGCCATCAGAGGAGGGAGGGGGTTTGAAATGTGAATAAGTTAGAATACAGACAGATATTATGTTGAACTTGGAAGTTCTAACAGACTTTTTATTGGGGGTTGAAGGTAAAGGCTGAAAGTGCTTGAGAATTAGAATAATTGCATTATTGAGCATGTCTATAGGTAGATACCTTACAGAGAAGGGAAATAAAATAAGACATAAGTGGATTTAAGTTGACATTGATTGCACCTACTAGTTAGTAAACACAGGGTTAAATTACTGTGAATAAGGAGTTAGCACTAACTTAAGGAGCTCCTATTGTAGTTAAGGAGCTCCTTAACTTTTTTTTTTTTTAATAGAACAAAGCGATCCTGTAATAGGTTTTTGCCAGGGCTCAATATAATAGGCAGATAGAGGAGAGTGTCACCTAACACAAACTGGATTGCCTCCTTGGTAATTAAGTAACCACTAAAGACACACAAGTGGAGAAGGTTACTAAAAAAGAGTATGCATGCTGAGAGAAAAAAAAAAGACAAAAAAGAGATAGAACCAGGCACAGAACCTTAGGGGTATTCCAACTTTTAGTGGGTAGGCAAAGGAGATGTAAAAATTAAGGAGTCTAAGAAAGAAAGTTGAGGCACATAGCTGGAAAAATAAAGAGAAAATCATGGTATTTTGAAAAAAAAAGGGAAAAGAAATTTCAATAAAGGACATTATCTTATATTATCAAATGCTAGGGAGACAGAATCCACAGCGACATTGGAAACAGTAGTTTCATAGTGAGGGCTAAAACTGCCTTATAATAATTTTGGAAAGAAACAGGAGAGATAAGCAGAGATCACTATTTCAAAGAGTTTAAGAGATAGATAAACAATGAATTTTTTAAAGATGGAGAAATCACAATTTCTATATGTAGAAGTAAGGTCACAATGGCAAATTGTCCATATGATGTGTGATGTTGACTTAAAGAACTACAGCAGTTCAGAGAGATTGGTTTTTAAGAAAAATTATTGAATTTTTAAATAAAAAGCTCTAATTTTAAGGGCAGGGGGTTTTAAAGAAAGAGCTACTTAAAAGCCAATGACAATTGATGAAAAGTGATGATGATACTGACCCTAATTATACCTCTGGTCAAGAGAAGCTTGAGCTGACATTAGAGACACAGAAGGTTGAAAGAAAAGAGGGAACAGGGCACAGTGTCTCACGCCTGTAATCCCAGCAGTTTAGGAGGCTGAGGTGGACAGATCACGAGGTCAGGAGTTCGAGACCAGCCTGGCCAACATGGTGAAACCCTGTCTCTACTAAAGATACAAAAATTAGCTGGGCATGGTGGCAGGTGCCTGTAATCCCAGCTGTTAGGGAGGAAGAAGCAGGATAACGGCTTGAACCCAGGAGGCAGAGGTTGCAGTGAGCTGAGATCATGCCACTGCACTCTAGCCTGGGTGACAGAGCAAGACTCCATCTCAAAAAAAAAAAAAAAAAAGAAAAGAGAGAGAGAGAGAAAAGAAAAGAGGAAGGTGACTAAAACAAATGGGAGGTATTTCAGAGTATTCATATAAAAGAATAGTTTTGGGGTCCGTGAGACAGTGAGACTTAAGTTGGCATTCCTGCTTCTTGAGAAAGTTGTGCAAACTTAAGCAAGTTACGGTTAGGGTACAGTTTCATTGTCTTCAAAATAGTGATCATAGTTCTGCTCATTTGTAAGCATGAAGTGAAATATTACCTATAAAGCACGAGTACAGGACCATGCAGGTAGCTAGAACTCAAAAGGTGGTACCAACTTCTATGGCTACTATTCTTACTACTCTACTGATTATTATTCTTTCACCTGCTTTGGTATTTTAATAGGCATTATTGTGCCTAGTAAGGCTCCTTTGTCACAAAGAAATGATATTACCTGATACAATTAGAACTGTTGATTTTGTTCTGTTTTTCTTATTGAACTCAACAAAGGCCATATGTGAATATTTATGAAGGTACATATGGAAAAAAAAATGAGGGTTAGGTGTGTCTCATTCTATGTCACTTATTAAACATATTTAATGTGCAAAGTATTGCAGCAGGTAATATGGAAGATTCAGAGAGACTTGGAAACCACACTTATTTATCTTCAAAGATGTACTTACAAAGTTTACCATCTAGAAGACCAAACAGACAAGTACTCCACTATTCTCTACAAAATTAAGGTGTGACTCGAGATAGAATCTTAGCAATGAAAATAAACAAGTGAATGTAGAGATGTAGAGCTCTACACTGATAGCTGCAGTGTGCAAGAATGAGACACAGAGAGGTGCAAAATAAGAGGATTCTGGCAGGAAAAACTTCTCCATAACTGGAGAAATAATAATTTAAGAACAATGAAGAAGAGATGGTTGTTTAAGGTAATTCAGAAAGAGATATACATCTCCTTGCACTTAACATAGAACTAAAGGACCACATATTACTCTGTAATTGAATCAATGATTCTAAATGTTGCAGAATTTCAGAAAATAAAGTTTTTCTTATGGGCTGAAAAAATTAAAAGTTGTTTTTAGCAGAATTATAACTACTGAATATTACAATAAGATTGATACCAGTGGTGGTTGCATGATCTTAATTCAGTGGACACAACCATTGACAATGACTGAGTCAAATAAATCTATTTTCACCTGAGTATTCCCCATTATTTCTTATAATACTAAGAACTACCTTCTTCCTAAACTATGTATTTGCCAACCTCACAGTTAAAAGTAGAATAGTTTATCTAAAAGAGTGATTTTAAAAGTTAACTATGATAAAAATCTTCTAGTTATAATAAATGAATTTGGTTTTCTTTTACATAGTGAAGCCCAACTTACTCTTAAGATTTTGAGCTCATGCCTGTAATCTCAGCACTTTGGGAGGTGGAGGCAGGCAGATCACCTGAGGTTAAGAGTTCGAGACCAGGCTGACCAACATGGAGAAACCCCGTCTCTACTAAAAATACAAAATTAGCCGGGCGTGGTGGCACATGCCTGTAATCCCAGCTACTTGGGAGGCTGAGTCAAGAGAATCACTTGAACCCAGGAGACAGAGGTCCAGTGACCCAAGATAGCGCCATTGCACTCAAGACTTCCAGCCTGCTGGGTGACAAGAGTGAAACTCCATCTAAAAAAAAAAAAAGGCCGGGTGCGGTGGCTCACGCCTGTAATCCCAGCACCTTGGGAGGCCGAGGCGGGCGGATCACGAGGTCAGGAGATCGAGACCATCCTGGCTAACGCGGTGAAACCCCATGTCTACTAAAAACATAAAAAAATTAGCCCGGCGTGGTGGCGGATGCCTGTAGTCCCAGCTACTCCGGAGGTTGAGGCAGGAGAATGGCATGAACCCGGGAGGCGGAGCTTGCAGTGAGCGGAGATCACTCCACTGCACTCCAGCCTGGGTGACAGAACAAGACTCCATCTCAAAAAAAAAAAAAAAAAAAAAAAGATTTTGAGTATGTCCTAAAGAAGGGTTGAGAATTCTCCTCACCTTGCTCTCTTTTCAAGATACCTGCAGGCATACAGATTTGTATTAGGGCATGGACATAAGGACTCAGGGGAATTAGGGAAGGGCACAGGGCAACATTTTTACTTTGTCCTTGTTCCAGAGGAAGATAGAGGTTTGTCCTTACTGAGGAGATATGGTCAGATATTTCCACCTAGAAATAAAGAATACAGAGTCCTTTTCCATAGATCTCTTCATTCATGGCCACACACTTTCCAGGAAATATGCAACACTTTCTGACCTGTTAGGGTAGGCAGCAAGTCTAAGAATTGACTTATAATAGGAAAGAACACAGCTCTATTCATACCTGCTTTGCAGAGAAGCTGGGTCTGAGAGAGAGGTGAATAGAGAGATAAATAGGTTGAGGGCAAAGGTAGGTACTCAGTTACTTCTGAGCTCTTCTCCAATTCTTTATCCACATTGGACGACTGGATTGAAGGGACTCTTAGCATTTTGTTCCAAAGGCCTGATCATTCTTTTCCTCAGTTTTGTCAGTAATAATTAAAGATAATATCTATGGAATATCTACTGTGCACTAGAGCCTCTATAATGATTTTATGTACCACATCTCATCTAGTCTCTACAGAAACCTATATACTAAATAGTGATAATAATTATTATCATCAGCTTTGTTTGCTTGCTTGTTTGTTTGTTTGTTTGCTGAGATGGGGGGTCTCACTCTGTTGCCCAGGCAGGAGTGCAGTGGCATAATTATAGCTTGTTGCAACCCCTGACTCCTGAACTCAAGAAGTCCTCCTGTATTAGCCTCCCAAGTAGCTGGGACAACAGGTGTGCATCACCATGCCCAGCTAATTTTTGTATATTTTGCAGAGATGGGATCTCACTATGATGCCCAGGCTGATCTCGAACTCCTGGGCTCAAGTGATCCTCCAATCTCAGCATCCCAAAGTGCTAGGATTACAGGCATAAACCACTGCATCCAGCCTATTATTCAGACTGGGGACATGTGAAGACTGAGGCAAAAAGAAGTTAAATAACTTGCCCAAAGTTTGAGAGTTATTAGTGGACTAGTGACTTAAACCCAGACATTCTAACTCCAAAACCGTAAAACAACATTACCACCCTGACTCTTTTCCTGAAGTTTTTCTTATTAGTTCATTTTCTGCTACTATAACTGAATATCTTAGACTTTGTGATTTATAAAGAACAGAAGTTTCTTTGGCTCTTATTTTTAGAGGCTGGGAAGTCCAAGAGCACAACATCAGCATCTGACAAGGGTCATCCCATGGTGGAAGATGGAAGGCAGAAGAGTGCACATGAGACAGAGTCACTAGGGGCTGGACCAGCTTGATTTTCATTTTGAGACAGGGTCTTGCTCTGTCACCCAGGCTGGAGTGCAGTGGCATAATCACAGCTCACTGCAGCCCTAATACGCTGGACTCAAGTGATCCTCCTGCCTCAATCTCCCAAGTAGCTAGGACCACAGGTGTGCATCACCACACCTGGCTAATATTTTTAAATGTTTTGTACAGAAGAGGTTTCACTATGTTGCCCGGACAGGTCTCAAACAATCCTCCCACATCAGCCTTTCAATGTGCTGGAATTACAGGTGTGAGCCACCACGCCTGGTCGAGATTCACTTTATAACAACCCACTCTCGAGATAATCAACCCACTCCCATGATAACAACATAATCCATTCATGAGGGCTCTGCCATTCATAAGCCCTCATGACCCAAGTTCCTCTTATTAGGCCCTACCACTCAACACTGTTGCATTAGGGATTAAGTTTCCAATACACAAACTTTTTGGGAACACATTGAAATCATAGGGCCTTTCTTCAAAATTTGGCTTTAGGAAAGAAGGCTGATTCACTAAAGACAACTATTTTTCATAATCAAGTACATTGGCCCTTTGTATTCTGAAGGAATGTGCAGCCATCAGAGTGCTGTAGAAATCACACACAATATACAAGGCACAAAAACCCAAGAAATTCCCATGAGAAGAGTTCCTGTGCTTCATGAAATGTAAATTAATTTCTATCTTTCTTCCTCCAACTCCCAGTCTGAGATACCTTAGTAAGCTCCTCTCCCCCAACTCTCCCCTCCCCTGTCACACAGCCTCTATTTTAATCTTCAAGTTGTGGAGTGAAGCTCACCTCACCCATAAAGCATATATGCATATATATATATATATATATATATATATATATATATATATACACACACACACACACACACACACACACACACACACACACACACAGACATACACTCCAGGAGAAGCACCACCCCGGGGCCCGCACCTGCAGAGCAGATGTCCTGACTGGTGATGGCCAAGGAATGGCCAGGGTATGGCAGGAAAAGCATGGGTATGAGAACAGAGAGCATCACCCCCACCCTGCAGAGCAGCAGGGCCACCCCAGCCGGTGCCCACTTCTAGGGTACTCCTCTCTAGTGAGCCTGGGACCCTAGGGACCTGGGGTAACAATGAGAACCTTGATAGGTCTGCATAGTTTGAGTCTTAGAATTCTGTGCTTCTTTTCTGACTGCTGACTCACTTTCATTTTTGTAGTGAATTTAATGTATGGCACTCTCCAACAATACTCAGAGGCTAACGATAATGATGCACAAGTTAGACACATTGTGACATTTACTACATTTTTGAAACTTTTTCAAGAAAACATTATTTGAAATAATGTCCACAATAGCTCAGATAATCTACAAATATTAATGTCATTCAGTCCTTAAAATAACACTACAAGGCTGATAACAATATTTGTCTTTCACAAGTGAAGAAATTGAAACTCAAAGAAGTTAAAATATCTTGTCTCAGTGCAGTGAACAAGTAGGTGGTAGAAGTAAAGTTATAATTTAGAGGCATTTGACTCCAAAGCTTGTGCTCTTTTCACTCTGTCACACTGAGAATTTAGAAGGGTAAACTTTATACAATGTATCTTATACTACAAAGGGATTGGCATTAGGATTGCTGGCATTGGAAAGATACCTGTCAGTTGCCTTTTGTGGAGATGTTGATTATAATTGAGTTAAAAGGTGGGAAAGCATGTAGCCAATGTCCAACACATATTAAATCTTCAATGGTTTTTACGGGCATCTATGATAAACATCAATAAATATTCTCATAGGTGTGTCATGAGATGGCTCCATCAAACACCCAATGACCCAGAACTAGCCCAGGAATGTGGAACTGCATAATAATTAGAAGGGCATAGACACTGGAAATATGTAGATTCTTTTTCTTATCTCCATGAGAAAGTAGCTCAGATCTTTAAAGATACAGTACTTCCTGATACCTACTTTCTTAATGATATGAAAGATGAAACTGCTGGAAATGGAAATGTTCTTTTTAAAAAATATACTCCATAGTTGGTGTATATATTTAATGTAGCATTTCTGTAAAACCAGCTCTTTTGTGTGTGTGCAACTGTCTATATGCATGTGTGTGTGCATTTACACACACTCACACTAGTTAGGAATAGGAATTACCAGGGAAAAACTAAAGAGAAAATAGGAACTATGGAAGAGTAATTTGCTTTTGCTCTAAAGATAAAATCAACATAATCAGCCTTTCCTTTTGGTCATCTCACTTGATGAGGACAGAAGTCAGAGCCCAGTCCCCTGACGGTGTGTAAAATTGAATAGTAGACCACCCTGGAGTCAGCTGGACTCACTCTCAGGGGAGGCTGATCCTGGAGAAACCAACTGCAAAGGCTTGCTGCCGTGCTCCAGACACCCCCAGCTGTGGATTTGGCACAGGTGGTCCTAGAAGAGGAGACCCTCTGGCCTCTGGCAAAAGCAAAAGCAAATCATACCTGGTGGGAGGTACTTGTGTCCTAGGCAAGTTGTTTCCACAAGCACATTTTCAGGTCAGTGACCCCTCACTGTCCTCTCTTTGGCTGAGGAGCTTCTAATCTCTTAAATGTCCTAATAGACTTGTCATAGGTTGTCCTGAACTCCCGCAGATGTTGAACATCTTTCCTCTCTTTCGATAATGTCTGTTTTCATTACCTGACATGCTGGTTCAGCCAGGAGACTGTGAGCTCCTCAAAGGCAGAGACCATGCCTTCTTCATGTTGGTGTTCCCCACACCCAGCACTGAGTTCAATACCTGTTACCAAGCGAATATATAAGCCCTTTCTGAGGGTCTGGGTGACGAGTGGTCCTGTGTGTGAACAGGCAGATAACTTCTGAGATGTGTGGCCACACACACCTCAACCTGGGCTTTCCAGAGCCCTCTTGGCTTATCCCCAGAACCTAAGTCTCCAATCATGGGGATGATGCCTATCATGCCTTCAGGAAGTCTGTCATGGAGGGAGCAGCTTATTCTGAAGAGCTTTTGCAATATGCAAGGAGGAACACAAGGCTCCAGGGGGACAAGGAAGAGAAGGATGAGGAAAAGAGAGGGACGCAGTGGAACCAAGGGGCACCAGCTGTCGCAGACACAAGAATGGGATCAGTGTACAAAACTCCTGTTCTGGGTTTTGTCCCACCACACACTAGTCACCTGGATCAATTCACTGAACCTCTGTTTCCTCACCTATTATAATGGAGCAGTTATAAATATTTACCAGTGCATATGGCTGCTTTTTAAATGAAACAATGGATTTTAGATTGCTCTGTAATACAAAAAGAGCATGTGAAGTGAAGTATATTTTACCTTGCAGTTTTTTTGTTTGTTTTGTGTTTGTTTGTTTGAGACGAAGTCTCGCTCTGTCGCTTAGGCTGGAGGGCAGTGGTGTGATCTCGGCTCAGTGCAACTTCTGCCTCCTGGGTTCAAGCAATTCTCCTGCCTCAGCCTTCCTAGTAGCTGAGACTACAGGTGCCCAACACCACACCTGGCTAATTTTTCATTTTTAGTAGAGATGGATTTTCACCGTGTTGGCCAGGCTGGTCTTGAACTCCTGACCTCAGGGGATCCGCCCGCCTCAGCCTCCAAAAGTGCTGGGATTACAGGCGTGAGCCACCTCACCTGGCCTACCCTGTAGTTTTTAGTTATCATTACTAGTAGTATTTAAAAGGAGACCTGGAAAAAAAAAGGATGCACAAAATGAAGAGAGGTTGAAGATAAAAGACTTTGTTCCTTTGATAGGAAGCAGATTCTCAAATGTCATGAAGGCACAGAAACCTTCCCTATGTGGAATTTACGTTCTAAAGTAGAGGGAAAAAACACACACTGTTTGAGAACTAAGGCTCTGAAGTAAGATTGGGTTAAAATCTGAGCAACAATTAGTGCGATTTTAGGCAAGTTAGTTAACCCTAGGAGGCTATCCTTAGCTATAAAATGAGATAAAGCTTATATTTACTTCTTGGATTATGAATGAGAATTAATCACTCTCCAATAAATATGCATTAACTATTTTATGTTAGATGTTATATTAATGCCAGACATTGCTCTTGGCATGAGGACACAAACAGTAAATAAGATACACAGGACCCTTGACTTCAAGTTGCTTCCATCCTAACAGGAAAGGAAAAACTATAAACAAATGAATATATAATGTAGTATCAGGCAGTAAAACAGTCTAGGAAGAAAAATAAAACAGGGTAGGGTGAGGAATTGAACCATGTACTCTCTGAGACAGGGTGGTCAGAGGACTTGGCACTGTGACAGGCTCAAAGAACAGTAGATAGTATTTAGTTGACATTTTCCAGGCTGAGAAATCCACAGAAGCCAAGCTCATGAGTCCTTTTTGATGCTCCCTGAGTAATTAGACTGGATTTACACAATACAGGAAATCTCCATAGGATAAACACACACACGGGGAAAATTTATTCCTTTATTTGACAGGAATATATTGAGTGCCATCCTGTGCTTGGCTCTGGGGACATCAAAGCAAACGAGGCAGGGTGCCCAGTCTAGTAGGTTAAGACAAACAGGTCTCCCAGCAGAACGTCCATGTAAGCTGAGCGGGAGCGCTGGCCATGAGGATCTCTGAGAATATTACTCACTGCCCGCCTTTCTCAGCCCTTTGGTGCCACACATACTACCCTGCCTCCTCTTCTTCTCCCGTGGCCCAGCCCACCCCAACACCCATTTGTTTCTCACAGCAGACATGCTAAATCAGGCCGTAAACTGCCATCAGCTGGGTGGAGATCCTTACACAGATGACAAAGAAACATATCTGATCATGACATTTTCTCCAGCCAACTTCTGTCTGAGGACCTGGTAGAGATTTTCCTTTTTTTCTCAAGCTCTGGCTCCAATCCAGCAGCTATTATCTGCGTGCCCCACTTCTTATGCTCCATTATGGGGTGCAAGTGGTAATCTCTAAGACCACTGCCCCATTTCTAGTATCTTAGGGAGATACTCTCTCTGAACTTTGAGGAAGATTCAAAGAATGGGAGCTACAGAGTATTAGAGGTAGAAAAGGTTCTTAGTGATGGTTGCACCCAACTTCCCCATTTTACAGAGGAGGAAACTGAGGCCCAAATAGGTGAAGTGGCTTATTTAATGTTACAAAGAAATTTGTGGCAGAATTGGGATAAGAACGGAGGTAGGAGAAGCTGGGAGACAACAGTCACTTGTGACATCAGGTTACACATTTTCATAACTTTGTCTGTAATGAAAACCTTCTCTCATTACATTTTACTATAGAACTAAAAATCCCAAACCATAAAAACCCCTTTAATACTTTTCATATAATATGACTGTCACCCTCTTAGCCTCTAAGATGCCTTTCATATTTACTGTCAGAGCCCCTCCAACCAGGAATAGGAAAATGGCTTAACACATTGTGCACCTACTATGTGGAAGGCATTATCTTAGGCAGTTTTAGCAGACACAATCTCTCTGAGCAGAGAGACTACTAACTTGTCTGGAGTTATAGGGTCAGTAAATACATGTGTCTGACTCAAAAATCCAGATCTTACCACAACACTGGCCTTCTCCCAAAACCTGCCAGCTAATTCAGATCAGTGTTCCCATTACTCAGATAAGGAGAACATTGCATGCAGAGTGACTAACACAGTGCCTGGCACACATAGTAGGCCCTCAATAAATAAAGGGCAATTCTCTGTCTTTTCCTTTAGGTGTCAAGAATAAATAGATTTGAGTCATTTTTCTTATGGGTCTTTACTAATATTGGCTGTACTTTCACAGTATATGTATAATACACGTGTAATTGGACACAGGGTAGGGAACATCACACACCGGGGCCTGTCGTGGGGTTGGGGGAGGGTGGTGGGATAGCATTAGGAGATATACCTAATGTAAATGACGAGTTAATGGATGCAGCACACTAACATGGCACATGCATACATGTGTAACAAACCTGCACGTTGTGCACATGTACCCTAGAACTTAAAGTATAATAAAAAAACTAAATCTTAAAAATATATAATAATAAAAATAATAAATACGTGTAAGATATAAAATTTAGATGTACATGACTATATTTTATTTCTTAATTTTGAGAAATATTACAAAGTCTCTCTGCAGGTATTAGCCTTACTTGTCGGGAAATTTGGCAGAAGTATTTTCCTGCAAGAGAAATCATCATAAAAACTATCTTACCCAGGCAAGTGGGGTTGGGATTCTACTCAGTAGACTTTTCTACTCCAGAAAAATTATGGGAAAGCAGATTCATAAGAGATCCCAGGATAGCAGCATCTCGGCCTGTTCAAGGAATCTCTGTCCAGTTTCCCCGGGGTTTCATTCCATGTTTTGGACTTGCCATTCTCTCTAAATCATTTATAGTCAAATCTCCAATAAATATTGTAAAGGTATTAAGAGCCAGGAAATTGGCCGGGCGCGGTGGTTCATGCCTGTAATCCCAGCACTTTGGGAGGCCGAGGCCGGCGGATCGCGAGGTCAGGAGATCGAGACCATCCTGGCTAACACGATGAAACCCCGTCTCTGCTAAAAATACAAAAAATTAGTCGGGCGTGGTGGTGGGCGCCTGTAGTCCCAGCTACTCAGGAGGCTGAAGCAGGAGACTGGCGTGAACCTGGGAGGTAGAGCTTGCAGTGAGCCGAGATCGCGCCACTGCACTCCAGGATGGGCGACAGAGCAAGACTCCATCTCAAAAAAAAAAAAAAGAGCCAGGAAATTTGGATTATCTTACATTAGAAACAGTGGACCAAAATTTTTTAAGTTATAAAAAAACAGAATATAGTAGAACTTTTGGTTAAACAAAAAATGTCTTGAAACTGAATATTCTGAAGGCCACATTTGTAACTCACCAGTTTTAAAATGAGACCCTGAAGTCCCTGTACCAGGAGGCAAAGATCACCTGATGCTGGTGCTGAAATGCACCCTACTCGTCTTATGGCCCAAGCTGCCATCTTACAGACATGAAAACCAGACCCAAAGAGGGGAGTTATGCATGGCAGGGCTAGGAGAGAACCAGGTACACTAATGCTATTGGGCAATTGTTTTAGATTCTCCTTTATATGCTCTACAAGTATATCTATTTTTTTTCTGCAGAGAAAATTAAACTTTAAAAGGCACAAGTCACATGGCCTGCTTGCAACCTGTCAATGACTGCTGGGATGCCCCACACCGAGGTTGCCCTTAGCCCCCAGGCCCTTCTGCCCCTTTCTGCTTTAATTCTCACTGTCTCACCACCAGCCCCTTACACTTTTTGTTCTCCGCCCCTCCCCCTCCCCCCAACAGAGCCCTGCCTGTGCTCTTGCTTCTGCATGGAAAAGTCTTCCGTCACTGTTCTGTTATTAACTCCTACTCAACCTTGGGGTCAAGCTACACTTTCTCAGGGAAGTCTTTTCTGATCTTCCTGACCATGTAAAATGTGCATATTACAGATATTTGAAACACTTTCTTTATAACTCTAGTCCTAGATGCAGCTTACATTTGTTTATTGAATTACTTGCTTTTTTAAAATTCTCCCTCTCTGCTATAAACTCCAAAACAATAGAGATGGTGCCCGGAATGACATAGAAGTTCAATAACTATATATTAGATAAATGAATTATAATCTGACAAGAAAGTTGTTATAGAACCTTCACACTGGCCAGGTTACTGAGGGTTTCTCAAGCACTGGTATCAGGCTGCTCAGTGTCCTCTGCTCTGTGTAAGAGCAAGGTCACACTGCTGTGTGGTGGGGTCACTGGTAGATGCTCTCAGAACTCACCTGGATGTCTGAAGGACCTAGACCCCAGGGCGGATGCTTCTCTTTACATTGTCTTTTGTACATATCTACCTAACACACAATCAGGGCTCCTGAGAAGGTTTGGGATTATATAAAGCTACTTCTGCTCTAATCCATTTCATATCTCCAAATTCAGTCTCCTAGTTCATGGTAATCAGGGACTTTATTAGTTTTCAATATGACATTAGCTTTCTGGGGTCCAGATGGTGGTTATACACGTGTGTTTAGTGAGTAATACACTTCTAATTTGTATACTTTTCTAGAAGTGTGTTTCATCTAAATAGAAAATTTGAAAACATTTGAAAAAGGCCTTAACAGCAACTTGTATGGTAATAATAAGAGGCAAACAGAGACAGGGAGAAAAAGAGAAGAGAAAAAGAGAAATCAAAAAGGGCAGTCTAAGGGGGTGGTTAGATAAATCGTTGAGCAGCCACACTAAGGAAATATTAAAAACCAAACAACAAAAGGAAAGAAGATATGACTATATGCACTAACCAAAATTTATGTTCAACATTGACGTATTAAATGAAAACAGCTAGTCATAGGGCAACATGTATTATGATCCTATATAATAAAACAGAAAAGTCTAAGATATGCAATCAATTGAGATATATTAATGTGTAGGTTTTTGCTCCTTGACTTTTTCTTCCACTCATATGCTCTATTAAAGAAAATTATATTTTTGCCCTTTGAGCTTTATAATTCTGATACTGAACTAGATGTGTGCTGCCTGTGCACTGTAAGCCACGGCAGCCAACGGATCTCAAATCCACCTTTCCAAGATATGGTTTCAGAGACATTTATGGGATAGAAGAGCAAGGTAGTTCAGGGCCTGGGGAAAGGCAGTTGGAGGCAAGGAACAGTGAGGCAAGTGGCTATTTGCACTTGCATAGTCAAGCTTCATTGCTCTTCATAAGAAGCATGTTCAGAAAATGGTGGTATTAGCATGCTCTGAGGGAGGAGCTTTTGACCCTCTGACATCAAAAGGTCACCTCTCAGGTATTCTTGCAGGCCCAGTTGAAGGGTCGGTGGTTTCAGCTTGAACTAGAAAACAGCCAACACCAAGTTCTTAAAAAAACAACAAGGAACCATCAGCATGGTAACTTATATGTCAGGGATGTTCTCTAAAAGGAAGCTAGCAGATTGCTTAGCTGTGTGACTTTTAGCTACATGGGTTTTAAGATTAACTAGAAGTAAGTGACTAAAAGCAAGCAAGGCAGGTTGAGTTTGGTGAGCTTCGTCAGGTTAGCTCTTGGTTTCAACTACTTTCCTCTCTCTTGTACAAAACCAATAGAGTGGGTTAGAGAAAGCATTAGAACAGCTGGAGAAAAGAGGAGAGGTTTTATTCCTAGGTTAATTCCTATGGAGCAGAGAATACTAAGATTGGGTAAGTATAGAGAAAATTAACAAGGGAGACAGAAAAACTCAAACCATCTACATAACCAGGACCAGAACCAGGTGGGATTGAGGAGGAAAGGAGAGTGAGCAAGGAGAGAAAGAGATGAAAGAAGCCACAATGTCTGGATATTAGGAGCATTTGGGGTAGTTTAGTGAGAGACTGATGAACAGCTATGGAATATGAAGGAATTGAAAAGGATAGAAATAGGATTTTTAGAAGTTTGCATTGGGTTTTAAAGAGGATTCCCTACAATATTTTCAGTGCTGAGTTGGGCTTTGCAGATACCATTCTCTAAAGAGACTAGACCACAGGGAACTTTAGCACCCCATCCTCCAACATTGCAGGACCCAGTTGGTGGTACAAGAGGAAAGTGTGGCCCTGGCCAAGGCAGTTCCTTCCCTGAGTGGGTTTCCAGTGACTGGGCTGTAAGTTTAGGGAGTTTGGATGAAGGGATATTGTGCTGTTTGTGGAGATACAGGTGTTTAGACATTCAAAGGCAGCAGAGTAGTCAAGATGATCTTCTGCTAGTGTCCAGGGTTAGAAACAAACACATGATTCCCTTTTTCATTCATTCCTTTATGCGTTCATTTATACATCACCAAACATTGTCTCCTATGCACCAGACCTTGTGGGATTGTTTTGAACACTTGTTACTCCTCTATTTTTTTAATGTGTGTATTTGGAATCTTTAGTTACAAAAGTCCACCCCAAATTCTCTAGAGCTAGCTAAGCAATGGAGAAGAAAAAGCTAACTAGGGTGAGGGGCCCAGAAGGGGGCCCAGAAGCCCCTCGCACAAGATTCACCTTCCTTTGGAGATGGCTCACTTACTACCAGGACTGACCTGGTGAATACCTACCCACTTCAGGGGGCTCCTAGCCTTTTCCCTCAGGCCTTCAACCTATAGTTTCAACAGGGCAAGCCTGTCAGATGAGAAAATGTAATTCATAAAGTCCTGCATGGGTTCAAGCCCTCTGCACAGTGGTGGAGACATGGTCCAGTGATACTGACCATGACCAGTGATACTGGTCCATGAGCAGATACAATTTCACAATCTCTCCAACACCCAGGAAGATGAGGGTCTCATCATGGTCAACCCTGCTCTGAGGCTCATCAAAGGGCAGCACAGAAACAGCCCCAACCCTCAAATCTCCATTTTCAGATGCTTCTAACTTGCGTGGGAAAGTTTATTCACAGCATTCTAGAAGGCATGGGGCTCCCAGGCTGGGATTTCACCAGCTCAGTCTGCTTGTTCATGTTCGTGCAGATCTTTCCTCTAGCTGAGAAACAAGAGTAAGAAGAGAGGGATGCAGAAGAGTGCCTGATAGAAAAGCATAAATATGGACCAAACAAACAGACAGAAATTACCACGAAATGCATTCAGAGCTTTATTCATGCCAAAGTTTGGGGACTGTACTAACTCTGGCAGGCTGCCTTGGTAGAGAAGCAAAGCACAGAGGCAAAGTGATGAGGTTCTACATCACTGGCACTAACAGAGAGGGGGCCAGAAGCTGGTGCATGTTCCAGAAGGGGTAGCGGGGCAGTGCATTCTGGAGTTGAGCTGTCGTATGTTTAGCAGCAGCAGTCATCCTCATGGTCACAGCATGCAGGACCTCGGGACCTCATGGGGATAATTCCCAAACAGCAGCACCCAGAGCTGCCACATCCACAGCTGCAGCCACAGCCCCCAGAACCACAGCATCCAGAGCTTCCCGAATTCTCACAGCAGCCAGATGATCCTGTGTTGCAGTTCTGGGGCCGCTGAATCCAGCGTCTCAGGGGACTCACCCCGAAGGTCCGGGGAGCCAGACAGCAGTAGCTGGTGGAACAGGGAGCAGAGCATGGGTCAGTGACACAGTACTGGGAGGTTGAGCCACTTGCAGGAGCTTGAACATAATAGCTCTGGCAAGGAGAAGCACCCTGGACATAGCACGTCTGGGTCTGGCAGGGAGCTGGACTTTTGATGTAGGTCATCTGGCAGGGAGCTGGGCACTTCACGTAGGTTTGGCAGGGAGTTGGGCATTTTACATAGGTTGTCTGGCAGGGAGCTGGGCACTTCACATAGGTTTGGCAGGGTGTTGGGTATTTCACATAGGTCCTCTGGCAGGGAGCTGGGCACTTCACGTAGGTTTGAGTCTGGCATGGAACTTGGTACTTCACATAAGTTTGAGTAGGGCATGGAGCAGGGCCTGTCACACAGACAGTTTGGGTCTGGCATGGAACTGGGCATTTCACAGAGGCACCATTGCTACCCTGCCCAGCCCCTAGTCCCGAACCTTTCACACAAGATGGAGGGAACTGTGGCTGCTTCTGCTGGTCACACATTGTTCTGTGGCTTTGCAAAATCTGAAAAGAAAGGTTTCATTAGAACTGTAAAACCAGGAAGGTTTCTAGGGGAAACCTTCAACATCCCCTTTGAATACAGTGATTTGCAAGCAAGGCTTTCTTGAGAAGGTTGCAGACATCCAGAGGCTGTATACTTGGCAGGAGGTGGATTCAGAGCCAGGGACTCTCAGCTCAGCTTCTGTGCCTGTACCTGGCTATGTGGCTTGGTACAAGTCATCGCTTACCTCTGGGCCTCAGTCTCTATATTGGGAAATGGAGGCTTGAAATGGTGCTGCCTGTGTTTCTACCCAACTCTCCAAGCCTCCTCTCCTCTTTCTTCAGTGTCTGCATTGTGAATTACCCTTTGGAAATTGCTGCTCCCAGATGATTGACCCCTGCCACCAGTTCTCTCCAGGGTGACTTCCCTTCTTCCTTCTGCCCAGACAAGGAATACCCAGCAAAGACAAATTTATGTCCATGGACCCTGAGCCAACATGAGCCTCAAGCTGTGCCCGGTACTGAGCAAAGAACAAGGCTAAATTTGAGCAGGTTTCTACCAGGTGCTCCTTGAACCAGCTGGACTAATCAGTTGGCCTCATTAGCACATAGACCCAAGAGAGGACTGCACAATTGCATTCAGATAAGGGGATGGGGAGCCAGTTCTCTAAAGTCCCTTCTTAAACAGGAATGCCAGCTCATCGTGTCCCCCTCCCTCTCCTCTCATGCCCCAGGCTCCAAGTTTCCCACCAGCATTGCTTTCAGCCTCCTTCAGCAGATTTCCTAAGCATCTAGTCCTCGCTCACCCTTCATCCCACAGCTCTCATCCCACCCCAGCTTCCCCAAAGCTCTGTTTCTCACCATGTCCTTATCCCGTATAGAGACTTACCCTCTTTGCTGATAGGAGCAAGACTGGAAGAAGTCAGTGATCTGAAAAACTAGCAGGTGGGGAGACCTTTTATAGGGCAGCAATGAGGCAATTTAATGGCATCTAAATGAAGCACCAGAGATCACAAGGAGAAGGGATGGTGTTGCATTGGCAAGATTCCTCCCCAGTATGCCTGGCTCCTCAGTCAGAGGCAGGGCATGTCTGTGCTTGACATTGGGTTTTCCCAAACACTAGATAAATGATTCCTGTTCCCTTCCTCAGGAAACAAGTCAGTCTCCTTTTCCTATAAGTTATGAGTGATGCCTATGTGATCTGTCTCTAATGAAGCTGTTTCCAGGTCACTTGAGTCTTCAGGACTTATCCAAGTTATAGTTAGATTCTCAATTTTTCATACACTGTGCCAAAAGCTAAGTGTAGCTCAGAGAATCAAACTAAAATTGAGAATCTAATCTAAAGCTAAGTGTAGCTTTTGGCACAGTGTATGAAAAATTGAGAATTTAACTATAGATTCACCTCACTTCACTCAGCCTAAATGAGTGTTCTGTGGGCTTCCAAGGTAACTTCTGCTGGTCTAGGTTGCTGAGCACAGTTTGGCCCAGTGGTCTCTGGCCCAATATGACACAAGACCTCCAAAAAATGGTTTGTTTCATGGAACATCAGGTTATTCTAGGTTCATTTGGAAACTGGGTGGGTGCTTAATGATCCTAGGCCCCAGGCTGGAGTCTAGACTGCCTCCCCTCAGCCTTCTCATGCCCCTTAGGCTCCCCCATTCTTACCTTTCAGGACCTCACTACCAGGCTTCAATTCCAAAGAACGCTGAGCAGGGAAAATTCCAGCCAGATGAGCACTGTGTGATAACAACAACAACAATAATAATAGAATCTAAAGTTTATTTGAATACTTTATATATAACAATTCATGAGGCAGTACATTTACAAATGGACACAACTGAGGCCCTGAAAGTTTAAGGGAGTTACCCTCATCACAAAGCAGGTAAGTAAGGAAGCTAGGCCTCAGATGCAGGAGTCTGCTTTCATAGATCATGATCTTTATTACTACAATATGTTGCCTTTTATTTCTGAACATGGCATTGTCCTTGAATCCCTGCCTGTTTTCTTTTCCACAATGCAGAAGATGTAGAAAGAGAGGTGGGAATATTATCTACTGAGCACTTACTATGTGGTGGATACTGTCCTAGGCTCTTTGCCTGTGTTATTTCATTTGATTTTGAAATAACTCTATGAGACAGGCTTCATTAGCCCCAATTTTACACAAGAGAAAACTGAGACCCAGAGGTCCACTTTTCCAAGGTCATCCCATCAGTAGGTAATGGAGTGACATTGCAACCCAAGCCTATCCAGCTCCAGAGCCCATGCTACCCCCACTGAGCTATATTGGGTCGCCCACTGAAGAAAGTTGTCTTGAGCCTAAGCCTAGCACTGGTCCAAATGTCAATTCCTTAGATAAACCAGTGCAGGCTCCACCGTGGCCCCTACGGCCTCTCAGGTAAATTGTTCTACTGTATTTGTACATAATAGATCCCCACATTTCCCAGGACCCATAAGCTTTAAGGCTTCTACATTTCCTAAACAAAGAGGATGCAAAGACCCACTAATTCACAGCCCCTCTCCCATGTCAAGCCAGGTCCTGCGAAGTCTTCCCCTGAATACTTTAAATATCTCCCCAACCCCACCTACCAGCCACCCCAATCTCTCGTAACCAGCACTCTGCTCTCTATTTCCATGAGATCAACATTTCTAGATTCCACATATAAATTAGATCATGCAGTATGTCTATCTATGCCTGGCTTATTTTGCTTAGCATAATATCTTCCCGGTTCATTCACCTTCTCACAAATGACAGGATTTCCTTCTTTTTGTGACTGAATAGTATTCTTTGTGTATATATAGCATTTTTAAACATCCATTTATCCTTTGATTTACACTTAGGTTGATTCCTTTTATTGCCTATTGTGAATAGTGCTGCAATAAATGTGGGAATGCAGATATCTCTTCAATATTACTGACTTCAATATCTTTGGATATATACCTACTAGTGTGATTGATGGATTATATGCCAGTTCTATTTTTAATTTTTGAAGACCCTCCATACTGTTTTCCACATGGTTGTACTAAATTGCATTCCCACCAATGGTGTGTTAGATTTTATTTTCTCCACATCCTTGGCAACATGTTATCTTTTATCTTCCTAATTTCACTTAACATAATGACCTCCAGTTCCATCCATGTTGCTGGAAATGACAGGATTTCATTCCTTTTTATGGCTGGATAGTATTCCATTCTGTGTTCATACTCCATTTTCTTTATTCATTTATTCACTGATGGACACTTAGGTTGATTCTGTGTCTTTGCTATTTATTGTAAATAGCACTGCAATAAACATGGGAATACAGTTATCCCTTTGATATACTAATTTTCTTTCATTTGGACAAATACCTAGTAGTTAGATTGCTGGATAATGTGATAGTTCCATTTGCAGTTTCTTGAGACACCTCTATACTGTTTCTCATAATGGCTGCACTAACTTACATTCTCGCCAATGGTGTATAAGTTCCCTTTTCTCTACATCTTTGTCATTATTTTCATTTGTTTGTTTTTTGATAATAGCCATTATTACAGGAGTGAGGTGTTATTTCATTGTGGTTTTGATTTGCATTTCCCTGGTGATTAGTGATATTGAGCATTTTTTTCTAGACATGTTGGCCATTTGTACGTCTTCTTTTGAGAAATGTATATTCAGATTCTCTGCCCATTTTTAATTGGGATATTTGTGTTCTTTCTATTGGGTTGTTTGAGTTCCTTATATATTTTGGATATTAACTCCTTATCAGATGTATAGTTTGCAAATGTTTTCTGATTTTGTAGGTTGTCTCTTTACTCTGTTGCTTATTTCCTTTTCTGTACAGAAGCATTTTAACTTGATTTAATCTTATTTGTCAGTTTCTGCTTTTGTTGTCTATGTTTTTGAGGTCATATTCAAAAAATCCTTGCCCAGACCAATGTCATGGAGCTTTTCCCCTGTTTTTTTCCTAGTAGTTTCATAGTTTTGAATCTTAAATTTACATTTTGAATTCATTTTTCAGTTGATGTTTGTATACAGTGTGAGATAAGCATCTTATTTCATTCTTCTTCATGAGGATACCCAGTTTTTTCAGTACCACATATTCAAGAGACTTTCCTTTCCCTATTGTGTGTTCTTGGCACCTTTGTCAAAGATCAGTTGATAGCAAATATATGGATTAATTTCTGGGTTCCCTATTCTGTTCCATTGGTCTATGTGTCTGTTTTTATGCCAGTACCATGCTGTTTCAGTTACTATAGCTTTGTAGTATATTTTAAAGTCAGGTAGTGTGATGCCTGTCTGCTCTTGAACATTTTGGAAGAAGCAAGATGGGAGACTCTGCCTCAGGCTTGGTGTCCTGGCTTGGAGTCCTCAGGCATGGTGTCCTGCTTCCTCCTGCCATTCCTGCCTCTGAAGGGCTTGTCTTACTGCACAGCTTCCACCATGAAGCTCACCAGTCATTCCCTCTCCCCAAAGGGAGGGGTAAATGAGGAGGGATGTGGTTCCAGGCCATTCCACTTCTGCTCTCCTAAGTGTCCCTCCTCAGTGCATACCCAGACCTGATGTTTTATGAAGTAAAAGGAAAAGGAACCATCTCTTTTTGGGGTTAGACACCACACGGGGTAGCTCATCAAATTTGGTTCTCACGATAGTGTTCCAAACAAAAAATAACTTGTCCAAGCTCACACAGTTAGAAGTGATAGAGCCAGAATTTGAACCCAGGTAAAAGAGTCTTCAAATTTTGTTTTTCTACCAAAGCATGCTGCTTCTGGTGTTACAATCCATGATGCTTCAGGAACCATACCTTTCAGTCACCCAACCTATAAGCAGTCATTAAGAAGCCTTCTGCATTATATGTAGGATGGGATATCCCCATTTTACAGAGAAGAAAATGCCCTAGGAGACCAGCCATTTTAAGATGTGCCAACAAAACTGGAGACAGACATTTCAAGGCACAAATAGAAAGACCTGGACCCTTATCCTAATTGTGCCACCACCCCACCCTGTGATTCCACAGTGCCCTGGTGTCTCTAGGCCTTTTCTCTTCCAATCTAAAGCAAAGAGGCTAGATGAGACCCCTTCTGGCTATGATATTCTGTGGTTGTAGGAGCCTGTTCTACAAGGGAAATGTATACTTCCACAACCTAGCCTTCCATGGAGTTATTCCCACGAGACTATGATTTTCAAGAATTGTTAACTGTGGACATATTCACCATATATCATCATAGGACCTGGGAAACATTGACTAAACAAATGCATGAGTGAATGAATGAATGGGGGTGCTTTACATTGACAGCACAGCCCAGACTGACCTCCTTCCTCCATGTGGTCAGTGCTGTTCTGTCTTTAGCCAATCTGTGCATCTCATGCCATCTGTGAGCTCTGATTGGCTCACTTCCTGCTGTATGGAGTCAAGCTCTAACTAATGGGTTTGACATCTGCAAGCAGTACTAGCATACCTGGTGAGAGACACCTTATCTATGTGCCACCAAAACAGGTGGGTGGGTTGTGCCCCACCCACTGTATAGGCTGGGAAGGCAAGGCATGGAGAAGTCAGATAACTGGTGCAAGTGCCAGGATGACTCACAGGGTTATCCCAAAAATCTGCTCCCAGAAACTCCCTTACATTTATCTCTTTGGATGCAAGCTGATAGAATCAGAGACTTGTGGATTCATGGAAAACTAGTCCAGAGAAGTAGGCGGAGAGAATTATCTCCAAGGCAGAAAGTACTAAAATAGGTCATGGGGTCTGGCCCCTGCCAGAATGCAATTGAATACCTGTGTCATACAGCCTAATAGGCTGCTATTCCTAGAAAGATCTGCTAATCTTTAAAAGTTCTCTGTAAGGTAGGTACAGTGGCTCGTGTAATTCTAGTTACTCCAGAGGCTGAGGCAAGAAGATTGCTTGAGCCCATGAGTTCAAGGCTGCGGTGAGCTATGATCATGCCACTGCACCGGAGACCCTGTCTCTAGAAAATAAAATAAAATAAAATAATACAAGTCCTCTGTAGTGCCCCTGGTTAGCTTGTTTTGGGATTTACCATCAGGATAGTCAGGAACTGTATACTAGATTATCTCTCAGATCCCTTACAGCACCAACATCCATGAATCCTAACATTCACTATACATTTGAAGCTTGGCCCCTTAGTGTGGGAACCAGACTCAGATTTTAACCCAGATCAGGGGATTAAATAGGGAGGTGCCCAAAAAGACATGTTGCTCTCCGACATCATGTTCTGGGTCTCCTCTCATCCTAGGAACTTTTCCTGATCAGGGACTGGGGACAATCTAAAGGCCAAATCTGGGTCCCTTCCCTTCTGGGGACAAGAAGTAGGAAGAAATGAGAAGCCACACACTGAAGAGAGGGAGGGCACAGGAATGTTGGTACGCGGTGAGAAATCTCTCTACTGTGTCTGAGATCAGTGATCTCCACTCTTAGATTTTATGTCTATGTATGTCTGTTTCAGGCCTAGCCCCAAGGCTTGCACCAGAGATCCCCTGCGATATTCCTGTGATAATTGGGGGTTCCTCCTAGACTATCAGGAGATTCTGTTGTAGAACCACAGAATGAAGGACAGAGGGCAGCCCCTATATTGTAACTGAGGCCCACAGAGAAGGGAAGAAACTTGTTTGAGGTCACACAGCCAGGCAGGAGCTGACTCTAGACAGGAATTTCTCAATCTGATCTAGGACATGTTCTGTAACCACACGTGAACACTAAGCTGGCTTGCTAGGGAGTTCCCTCACCTGTCTCCCTCCTTACCTCCATTCCCACTCACCACTTCCACCCAGACTACCACAAGAAAAGCCAAGGAACATCTTGTAAAGGACATCCTCTATGGAGCAGAGAGGGTTTTCACATATGGAGGGGAAAAGTCATATAAGACTCCCACTGTGTGCACATATGTGGGTCATCCAAACATGAGAATGCAAGCCCCACCTAGCTCAGAGTCACATGGGCTGTTTGTGCTGGGGACACGGCAAGACAGCACTGAAGCCCTCTTGATCACAGAGGTCAGTGAATATCAATGTCCAGATACTTCTCTTTCTCCTGGAATGGCCCACTAGTGCTGGTTTCCTGGAACGCCCACCACCCTTTCCCTAACCCATTTATTCCCTTATAACATATACTGGGTAACTAGTCCCTCAGATTTACTTACAGCGTTGTAGAACTGTTTCATTGCATTTGATCTTACAACCCCCTCCCAGATTTTCAATGGAAGTTGTCTCTCCATCTTTTCATTTCAAGATGTAAAGGGATACAGAAAACTTTTACAGATAGAACCCACTGGATTATGTCCCCTCTTCGACCCCTCTTAACTATTTTATCCATCCTCTCTGTGCAAATGGCCTGTTCTGACCTTTATTCCAACCTCTTCAAGACCTTCACCCAAAGAGCCAGCTGAACTTTTCACATCTCCTTTCAGACAGTCCCAGTCCTAGTCATAGCTCTGCCAATTCCTAGATGTGTGACCTTAGATAATTAGCTATACATTCTGAAGCTGTTTTCTCATCTATAAAAATGAAGACATTAATAGTCAGAGCATGTCATTCCTCTGCTCAGAAATATTCAAATGACTTCTCATTCTGCTCATGGTAAAAGCCAAAGTCCTTACAAAGGTTTTCAAAAGGGATGCACAGACTGGACCCTACACTCTGTACTTCACTGATCTCATGTCCTATCCTCTCCCCTCACTCTGACCCTACACCAGTCTGCTTGCAGTTTGTCTGATGCTCAGGCACACTCCCACTGCAGGCCCTTTGCTGTTGCTTTTTCTCTACCCACAGTGTTTCCCCAGATGCCCACGTGGCTGACTTTCTCACTCTAGTCTTTGCTCAAATGTGGCTCTTGTGAAGGCTTCACTGGTGACCTCATTTAGCATTATAATCCATACCTACTTGCCCTCCCTGTCCCTCTTCCAAGCTTATTTCTCTCCTTAGAGTTTATCCTCATCTAATACTTATATATTTTATGTATGCATGTATTTTTCATTTTGTCCCATCAGAATGTGAACCCTATTGGCTGAGAACTTTCATTGCTTTTGTTCACTGCTCTGTCCACAGTGCCTTACTATACATAGTGCTTGGTGCACTCAAAACATATTTGTCGGTTGCGTGAATAATACATATTTTTCTTATTCATTTTGTTTGTCACCTGCTTTCTTTTCTTAGAATAAGTTTAATGGGGAAGAAATTTTTGGCTGTTTTGTTCACAAGTCTATTCTTAAAACTGCACTTGATACATAGTAGGCACTTAATAAATATCTTTAGAATAAACAGTCCAAGCAAATGTTGATGTGAGATAAAGCTTATGCCTAACATGAGTAAATGCTAACTGAATGTTTGTTAGTTTTGCTGGTATTGCTATTTCTTATCCCCCATCAACCATATGTAGTCATTACAGTTGCATTTGGTTCTGAACAGCGACCAGAGCAGGGGAACAGGGTGAGGAACAGGGCTCTTCCTTCACTTCAGATGGGCTATGTCCCAGAAAGCCTGTGACCTGCCACACCAGCCCCTGACTTCCAAAGCCACCAGCCTCCACCCTTTCCCCCATCCTAATACATCATTCTGGGGACTAGTGGACCAGAATTTCAAAGAGTGATCTTGGAGCTGTCACACGTGGGTGCTCTCTGTGACAGTACAGCAAGGATGACAGTTTTGTTTCCAGTGCTCTCCTGAGCCAGCACAGCCATTTGGCAAGTCCTACGTCCTGCCCCAAATTCTTCCAGATCTCTGGGTAATCCCTAAGTACCACTTTTACTTATTCAGCCCCTCCAAGACTTTTCTAACAAATTCCCTGCATTAAATCTTTCTGTGTTTAAACTAGCTAGAATGTGGCTAGAATGGTCTCTGTTTTCATGACCAGACACTGACATCCTGAAGCACATACATTATATACATTACATATAATAAATAGTTTATAGTATAATCTTCTTCAGGGATAAGGTGAGAGGCATTTAACAATCAAAGGGAAATAAATATGTAATTTCAATTAGTAGTAAGTGCAAGAACAACAGCAGGAACAACAACAAACCAAGTTTATTTCAACAGCAGTCTGCAAAGGCCCAAGGGTGCATGCTAGTGCCCACCTCAGTCTGCACTTTCTCCCAATGAAATTGTTTGAACTTCCTGCATGACCACAAGGCTAAGACAGGTCTGCAACTTGTGACCTACCATTACCAATGTGTCTGCCTCAGAGAAAGTCCTAAGTCAGCAGAGCTCTGTAACAAGAGGCTCCTTACCTTTGGGACACAGTGGAGAGGACAAGGGAAATAGTACTTCATTGAATTCCAATTCTGACTTTTGGATACTGTAAATAGGCTTCTTAAAGAAAGAAACCTGGGTTTCAATAGAACTTTATTTAACCAGACTCTTGCATGTGCACAACACAATTAATAAGAACAGCTACAAAAATTATTACACTTTTCTACATGGTTCCCAAGTGGATGTGATGCTATTCTGCTTTCTTAATATTAATCCTTTAAACACACACACACACACACACACACACACACACACACACACACACACACACAGAGAGAGAGAGACAGAGAGAAAGAGAATATTGCTTTAGAAAATGTATGGAGCAGTAAGTACATTTTTTTAACTTAAGTAAATTAGATTTTTCTGTCCAAACAACTTTACTGACTTGGCTATTTCACCACTAATTTTTTTTTAAATTTAAGTTAGGTTTATCTTGGAATTCTAATCAATCCTTATTTATTGTTTTCACAAATACTGCAGAATTTTAGATTTTCGTGAAGGTATGTGTACACAAATAAGTAATTCATTAAAGTTTAATTGGTTGATTTTTCTCTATTTCAGTAAAAGCTATAAATCTATCTTTCTATCTAGGAAAAGGATTGGGATTTAGGTAAAAGTGAAGAAAAGTGGAATAAAAACCACCATCAAACTGGGACTAGAAAATTACTTGAAAGTAAATTTACTGTTGCAAAGCACATCAGAAAATTTTTCAATAATCTGAGAAATATAAATATTGACATAAAGCTAAAATAATGCAAATCCAAGGCCTGAAGTTGATGAGACGCAAACCTGCATGTTTATTCAATTGATGGGGCTACAGAAAGGAAAGGCAAGAGAGTGAAGGAGGTAAAACACCAGGCTGCAATGGGTCCTTCGCCCACTAATTCCTTTGGTGCTGCTCCTGGTCCAGGTCAGCAACAGCCCCCTCCAGAGCAGCAGCCAGAACCCCCAGACTGCTGGCCACTGCCACTGCCATAGCAATTGGAGCTCTTGGGTCTGTGGCAGTGGGACCTATGGTGTCTGTGGTGGCTCAGGCAGCAGCCACCTCCCTCAGAGCTGCAGCAACCACAGCCCCCAGAGCTGGAGCCACAGCAGGAAGAGATTGGAGGTGGGCATGAGGATGCACACTTTGAGGGACATTTTGGGGGATACTTGGGGATAGGACACTTGGGAGGGGGCTGGCACTGCTGTTGGTTCTGCTGGCAGGACATCTTGGTGGGATTTCGATAAACCTGAATGACAAAATAGAAACATATACAGAAACTTAATATCAAGAGCCATTACATTTTTTTTTATTTTAAAATCCTCCCCCAAGGTGATGAAGAGGAATATCTAAAATATGGACATGTATAGAAACCTCTTTCAGACAAAGAGTATATCTTCATTACTTTTGTACCCCTAGAGCTTTCAAAAATTCTTAGTATTTGTTAGGTGGTTAATAAGTGACTTCTGAGCTAATAAAGCCAGCAAAATTTGAATGCCATCTCAAAGACATGTTAAATACATTGCAATTCTACCCACATGAATTTATCTAGAAATGGAATTCAGAAATTCGTAGAAAATCTGTTTAATAAATAATAATAAATTTGAGATCTGCACGGTTAGAGAAAAGCTTCCTTCAGAGCAATGGGCTTAGGACCAGCAGGCCAACCATTGGTAGGGATGTAGCAATCCCAGGTCATTCATCATCTTCCTGTCTGATCACAGGGATAATCCTTCCCAGGTTGGTTCCTGCTTTGTCCAGAGCCAACTACTACTTCTGGCCTTCTGGCCTTGTCCACCATGTCATCCTCCTCCTACTCCACGCTTCACTGTTCGACTTCCAGAATTACTCTCCATCTCCATCTTCATCCCGCTAGCGTCCCCCTCTGGATTCCTATAGAAACACTCACCGTGGGTTCAGACGCAGCAACAGATACGTCCCTTAGGAAGCAGAGCAGATGAGAAGCCAGCAGCAGGAACACACTTTGTATGGATCCTGGGGCTGGGCCTCGGATGAGCCATGCTAATGGCAGGAGCAGGACGTGGCTGTTGCACAAGTGTGGGGTCATGCCTGACATTCTCCTGCCTCCTGGTTTCATCTCTTCCTGAGCTGGATGATGAGCTTCCCAGATAGCCTCTTCGGCACTAGTGGGAGAGGGGGTGACTATATGAGACTTTCTGTAAATCAGACCCTTTTCCCAGGCTAAGGTCTCAATGTACAGCAAACAGAGGGGTTTAAGGCTATGGGTACTTACCTTTCAAGCCTCCCTCTGAACACGCTTTGCTCAGTCCCTCAGGAAGAACTTTGGCACCAAAGGCTCCAAGACTGCCCCACATTTAGCCCCTAACATATTCCAGCCAAATTTCAGCCAGAGGCTCTGGGCCTTTCCCAGGTCAGTCAATCCTGAGAGGCTGGTTTGGTGCCATAGGCCTCCTTACTCTTTTAGAGAGTATCTCCCATGCTTTTAGACCAGGCCAAGTCCCCAGTCCTAACTGTGGAGAGAGATGCCCCTCGGTCAGCCACTCTTCTCTTTAGAATTTCTCTTCTATGAACCCTTCAGCCTGGAATTCAAAGGCTATCATATTTGACTACTTCTATTTGGGTTACCAAGGAATGTGTCACCATCAAGGGGCCTTTTGAGTAGGAGTTTCTGAGTTTTTCTGTTGTGTGTTGTGTATGTGATTCTGCTGCATTTAAGTAGCTCATGAGCACAGATCAGAGACTTGAGACTTTTACCAATTCAGGAACCTTTTGTGGAAGTATCTGTCTGTCAACTACACACACACACACACACACAAGTTGCATTTATTGCAACCATTTTTTAAAAAAAGGACTGATTTTTTTTCTTCAACAAACATATAAGAAGATCATTATGAGGAAAATATTTTTCCCATCATAGAAAAAACTCTTCCCTTTTACCCATCAAAACACTCTAAACCAACAAGAAAAAGAAATTTGGTGTGTGTTGCTCTAATTCTCAAAAGGTTTATATAGGATACAACTCTTCATGCAACCCATTAAGATTGATTTATTTCTCCTTATGTATATCATATATGTTATACGTATATACACATATAATCACGAGGTACTTCTGGAAATACCTACTATGCAAAATAGATGTCTAACAATGACAAAAGTTAGCTGATATTAATGAACATGAAGACATTGATAATGATGACAAGGAAGATGACTAAACCCCCAGCCTATATTTCCTCTCTGTAAAGACAGAAATTACCTACTTTTATAGTAATTTCTGCTATTACTAACTCAGAAAATGAGTATTAGACAGCAGGAACGGAATTGTTGTGGAAGGCAGATTTTCTGGCAAGTATTATTGTAGGAATGTCCTCCCATTTTCCATCTCTCTCCCAATCCAGTGCCCCATGTTAATGGTGTTTCTGGCAAGCAAATCATCAGCTATAGAGGGATGTGGTAACAAGCAACAACCTACCACATTGAGCTCTTAATCTGTGACCAGCACTGCCTCAGTTATGTGAGAAATACAATGAATTAACCTTGTTCCTGTCCTCAGGACCTCAGAGTAGAACTGGAGAGAGAAACAGAAACACCTGAGAAGTTAGATAGTGATGCTGAACCTCAACACAAGAGAAACACGGTGTGATTAAAGGAAAATTTCAGGGTTGACACCAGTGGTCCTAGTAGGCAGTCCTAAAACAAAAGATGCCAGGACTCAACTGTAGACAAATTAATTCAGAATTTCTGGGAATAGGGCCCCAGCATTGGTGTTTTTTAAAAGGTCACAAGTTGAATGTGTTGCACAAACAGAGATGAAAGCTATTGGTGTAGCCCTACTCTGCACAATACAGTAGCCACTAACCACATGAGATGATAAAGCCCTTGAAATATAACTTGTCTGAATTGAGATGTGCCATAGCATGACACTGAGTTTGAAGACATAAAATTGTTTTAAATGTAAAATATCTCACTAATATTTTAGATTGATTACGTGCTGAAATGCAAAATTATGGATATACTAGCCTAAATAAAATATAGTATTAAAATTATTTTTACCTAAAAGACCTATAAATCAAAGAGGAAGTCATAAGAAAAACTAGAAAATAGTTTTATTTGAATAAAAATGAAAACACAGACCATCAAAGCTTGTGGGATGCAGCTAAAGCAGTGCTTCCATCACACTTAGAACAAAATCCATATCTTTACTGTGGTGTACAAGGCCCCATCCAATCCTACTTGCATACTTGGACATTATTGCCTAATTCACTTTATCTCAACCACTAGGCTCTGGCAGCTCTGCCCCACTTGCTAATCTTCTAATATACCGAGCGTACTTGTTACTCACAGCCTTTACACTTATTCTTCCAGCTACCTGGAAGAATTCTCTTTATCTAAATAGTAAATTCGTCCACTCTCTCATTTCACTGAGCCCTCTGCTTAAATGCCACCTCTCAACCCACCTTGACTACAATAGAAAACAAAACATAAACACCATTATTCTCCATCTCTACTCTGCTTATTTACTTCATACCTGTCAACACATTGCAATTTATCTATTTGTAGTCGTCCTTTTCAAATAGAATGAAGGCTCCATGAAAGCTGAGATTTAATCAGTTTTGGTCATTGCTCCACTCTCTTAATATGTTAATATAAAGAAATAGATTTTCTAATGATAAATCTTACATTCTTAGCTTAATCAGTAATTGGACAAAATATATTTTTTCATACTGCTGATCTAATTACTTAGCATTAGTTTGTGACTTTCATGTATTTGTTTATAATTAATGTTGGTTTATCATTCTTTTGAGAAATTCGAGTTTAGATGTGGTATAAATGTTGTATCTTCCAATCATTTATATGATTTGTAAGATTTTGTAAAGATAATTGATATGGTTTGGATATTTTTCCCCTCCAAATCTCATGTTGAAATGTGACTCCAAATGTTGGAAGTGGGGACTGGTGGGAGGTGATGGGTTATGGGGTCAGATCCCTCATGAATGGTGCTCTCTGCAAGGTAATGAGTGGTAATGAGATCTGGTTCATGGGATATCTGTTTTTTTAAAGAGTATGACAACCGTTGCCCACCTTACTCCCTTCTCTCATCATGTGATATGCCAGCTTCCCCTTTGCCTTCCACCATGAGTGGGAGCTTTCTGAGACTTCACCAGGAGCAGATGCCAGCACCATGCTTCTTATGCAGCCTGCAAAACCATGAGCCAAATAAACCTCTTTTCTCTATAAATTACCCAGCCTCAGGTATTCCTTTATATCAATGCAGAACAGGCTAACACAATGATAATTATTTGTTCATTGAGTTGGTATTAAAACTCTTAATTCCTCTTAGTTTGAAAATTACTAAGGAATAGCTTTTTAATTCTCTATTAATACAAAATGGAAATCAATAAAGAAAGAAAACAAAACAAATCTCTAAACATATGGAAATTAAATAATATACTCCTAGTCTATGAGTTAAAGAGGAAGTCTCAAAGAAAATTCTTAAAAATACTTAGAAATGAACAAAAACAAATATATAATATATAAATATGTGATTATTTATGGACTGAATGTGTCCCTCACAAAAAAAGCTCACATATTGAAATTCTAGTTCCCAATGTGATGTTATTAAGAGGGGGACCTTTGGGAGGTGATTAGATTATGAGGGTGGAGCCTTCATGAATGGGATTAGTGCCCTTATAAGAAGAAGCAGGAGAGAATTCTTCCCTGGCCATGTGAATATGCAATGAGAAGGTGGATATCTGCAAGCTGGAAGAAGTGCCCTCACCAGACACTGGATCTGCTATCACTTTGATTATGAACTTCCTAGCCTCCAGCACTGTAAGAAATAAATGTTTGTTGTTTAAGCCGCCCAGTCTATGATCCTTTGCTATTGTAACCAAAACTAAGACAGAGAAACAGCCAAAGCAGTGTTAAGAGGGAAATTTTTAGCCCTAAGTGTTCACTAGAAACAAATAAATTCCACAAAACAATAATCTAAGTCTCTGGCTCAAGATACAAGAAGAAGAGCAAAATACACCTGAAACAGGTAGAAGAAAAAGTAAAGATGAAACAAAAATCAGCCTCATTTTAAACTAGAAAATAAAAAAAGAAATTAATGCAATAAGGCTCATTAACCAAAAATAAAATTTATGAACCTCTAGGAAGGTTCATAAAAATAAAAAGAGAGAAGACAAAAATCACCAATACCAGGAATAAAAAGTTCAGTATCACTACAGATCCTGCAGCCATTAAAAAGTTAAGAGAATGCTACAAACACTTCTCTGCTCATAAATGCGACAGCTTAGAAAAAATGAGCCAATTTCTCTAAAACCACAAACTACCAAAACTTAGCTAAGATGAAATAAGTCATCTAGATAGTCCCACAGCCATTCAAGAAATTGAATTTATTACTTAAAAGCTCTTGAAAAAATGTGTAAGCCCAGATGGATTCACTGGGGAATTCTACCAAACATATTTAAAAATTAACATTTCTTTTCCACACTTTCTTTCAGAAATTTCCACAATTTCTTTCAGAAAATAGAAGTAGGCAGAACATTCTCAACTCATTTAATGAGGCCCATGATTTCTCTGATATTATAATCAGATAAATACAGTCCAAAACTAAAGAAAACTACAGTATGCCTTATAAACTTAGACACTAAAATCTTCAACAAAATACCAGCAAATCTAGTCCAACAATACGTAAAAATAATTATACATAATGATCAACTGGGATTTATTTCAGGTATGCAAAACAGGATCAACGTTTGAAAATTTATGAAATCCATTATATCAACAAGCTAAAACAGAAAAATCACGCAATCATATTAATTGGTGCAGTTAAACACTTGATAAAATTCATTACTCATTCATAGTACAATCTCTTAGCAAGTTAAAAATAGAGGGGAATTAGCTCCAATCAATAAAGACTATCTACAAAAATTCTACAGCTAACATCATACTTAAATGTGAAAAACAATGCTTTCTCTCAAGATTGAAAACAAGGCAAAAATGTCAGGTGTTCACTATCTCCATTTGCTGATGGCATATCTCAAGAAGTCTAAGAAAAACCAAAAACTCTAGAACTAATAAATGAGTTAAAAAATGTTGCAAAGTACAAGATCAACAAAAGTAAACAAAGCACATTTCTACAGGTTAACAGTGAACATGCCAAAAGTCTAATACCATTTATAATCCTTCCAAAAAATTTTAAATGCTTAGGTATACACTGAACAAAACATGGACAGAACTGGTATACTGAAAATCACAAAACAATGAGAAAGAAATCAGAGAAGATCTAAATAAATGGAAAGATACACTGTGTTCAAGGATTGGAAGACAACAATAAAGATGTCAGTTTTCACGAAATTGAGCTAAAGGTTTAATACAATTCCCAACAAAATCTCAGCAAAGTTTTTTTTTTCAAATTAAACTTGTTTAAAAATTTATATTAAAAGGCATAGGCCCTAAAGTAGATCAAATGGCCTTGCTAAATAAGAATAATTCTACCCAATATTAGGTCTACAGTAACCAAGATAATATGGTACTGGTGTAGGAACAGACATAGAGATCAATGGAATGGAATAGAGAACTCATAAATAGGCCTACACAAATATGTTCAATTCATCTTTGACAAAAGTGCAAAAGAAATTAAATGGAAGAATATCTTTTTCAACAAATGGTGTTGGAGCAATTGGACATCAACAGGTAAAAAGAAATTTTGAGCTAAACCCTACACTTTATACAAATGAACTCAAGTGGAAATGTAATGGCATTAAATAACTAAAGTAATCACTGAGTGGCAAAAGATATTTGCATTACACATAACAAATAAAATCTGGTACCCAAAATACAGAAATAAAATGCCTACCCATCCTTACAAAATAGAAACACATAATAGAAATGTGAGCAAAGGGCTTGAAAATAAATCTAACAAAAGGGGAGGTTCAAATGGCCAATGAAAGGTGCTCAACTTCACAAATAATTTAGAAAATGCAAAT
This sequence comes from Homo sapiens, assembly GCF_000001405.40. NCBI lineage: Eukaryota > Metazoa > Chordata > Mammalia > Primates > Hominidae > Homo > Homo sapiens. Next base: position 152,702,330 of record NC_000001.11, on the reverse strand, counting down.
TAAAAAGATAATAATAGATACTGACACTCATCCGATTAGCAAAATTAAAATGGTGTGCCAGTACCACTAATGGTGAAGATGCAGAGCAATAGAAATTATCATACAATACTGGTCAGGATAAATATTAATGCAGTCCCTCTGGAAAATATTTTGTTGTTATCCAGATAGTTGAAAATATGTCTACCCAGTAATCATACTTCTGGGGAAAAATAAAAACCTCCCAGATATGTCCCAGAAGACATATACAAGAATTTTCGTAACAGAATTAGAATTATTCATCAAAAACTAGACACAAACTAAATCATCATCATCAGTAGAATAGACAAATATGTTTTGGTATCATTGTAAAATGTAATAAACTATTCAATAATGAAAATGAATAAAGTACAGATCAACATACAGTAGTGTTTACCTTCTCAACTGGACATTGAACAAAGAGAAAAAAATTACATAAAAATGTGACTCCTTGTTTATAAAGCTTAAAAACTCAACTGAGAAGCATACATCGATGGTAAAACTACAATGAAAATTAAAAATTGTGACATGCTTACTTTGGCAGGGGTGGAGAAGAGTCTTGTGATTGGGCAACATGGGGCACCTCTGGAGTTCTAGCAGTCTTCTCTTTCTTATCCTCACTGTGGTTGGTATTATTTGTGTTTCTTTTTAAAGTACATAAATATATTTTATTTTTTCTTTTGTATATAGGTTGTATCTCACAATAAAAATGAATATACTAACAAGTTAGGAAGTAAAACAGCAAGCAAATAAAACCTTAGCAGAAAGTCTTGAAGACTACATGTATAATTTAAGAACATGAAAAAAAATCTCTTAACCGAGAAGTCTAAAACTTTCAAGATAAAAGAAAATTTAAAATGTCTTATAGCAAACAATGTTACTATAAGCCAATATGGCTCATTAAAATATAAGGAGGAAGGGGAGAAGTATGCTGGCTAATTTTATGGAGACTTGACTGGGCCATAAGGTGCCCAGACATTTGGTCAAACATTACTCGGGCTGTTTCTGTGAGGATGTTTTTGGATGAAATTAACATTTGAATTTGTAGACCGATTAAAGTAGATTACTCTTCCCTATATGAGTGGGCTTCATCCAATCAATTGATGACCAGAATAGAACAATAGGGCTGAGTAAGAGGAAATTTCTTCTGCCTGACGGCTCTGTGCTGGGATATTGATCTTCTCATGTGCTCAGACTGCAATTTCCACCATCAGCTCTCCTGGTTTCCATGCCTTCAGACTCAGATGAGAACTATCAGCTCTTCTAGGTTTCCAGTTTTCCAACTACAGATCTTGAGATTTCTCAGCCTTCATAATCATAAATCCATTTCCAATTTCTTGTCATAAATTTGTATCTCTACCTATATCTATAACTATATCTATATTTCTGTCGAGACCGATATCTCCTATTGGTTCTGTTTCTTTGGAGAACCCTGGCTAATGCAGAGGGAAAATACTTAAGATAGACCAGAAGAAAAAAAAAAAAACAAGGAGTATAGTGAAAAATAAGTCAGAGTATATGAATATGTAGTTTGCAGAAAAACAAAAAAGAAAAAGTGTGGGCAATACATATATGAACATAGACTCAGAATTAGTACTATGAGATTTCAAATTAAACTAACAATGACATATAATTACCTATAGGAGTTGCAATAATTACAAAAAGGAGCAAAGAAAGAAGCCTAAAGCATGATAGGGAGGGACTAGAGTGGAAGAACACAAGTGGAGATGTTAATTGGTACCCATCCGTATCATGCAGAAGAAGGGACAGGATGCTTTATTAGCCCATTTTCAGCAGGGCCTTGCTCTAAACTGAGCTCATCATCTCACCGCAAGCACCTCACAGTCTGCTGATAGACTAACTATTTTTAATTCCCCTAGTGGTGCCCTCACTCTTCTTCACACTTCCTCCCCAAGGCACAGAGCCCCAGTCATCCAGACAAGCTGCTTCTCCGTCCTAAAATTCTTTTAATATGAGTGCTGAGCTGAGGAGACCTGAACCTAAGGAGGGCTAGACCCAGGCTGGGCTACATGCAGCTTATTTTACAGCTACATAAGAGTGGTTTTTCTTTTTTGTTTATTTTGGTTTATGTTTTGTTTCATATATATTGTTTGAGAGTGGTATTTCTCATAATTCTCCTTCACACCCTCCAGGCCTGATCCTTTGCAGTGAGGCAGGCGTAGCAATAAAAGTGGGACATGGCCCGGACCCCTGTTCCATACTCTGCTTCACTTAGCCATGGATTGAGTCACAGGAACTGAGCAGGCCCATACTGAGGTGTTCCTTCAGCCTTACACTGCTTACGTATTTATTTAACAGTTGTTTCGTGGAGAGGCTGGAACATGAAAGAAAGCAAGAACTGGACAGACTCTTCCTCCCTGGAGAGTAGTTAAGTGGCAATGAGTTGTCATTTAAACTTGCCCCTAAGGGTTCTGATTCTCATACCAAGCATTTTAAATCAGATGAAAAGAATTCTGTTAAATATACCTTTTTGCTTGGAGTACCAAAGATTTTTCTAGCTTTGTCATCATGGTATGAAGAGAAAATGAAAATAAGTTACATTCAGCATGGTGAGTTAAACTGAGCAAGCAGCACATGGCCAGCGGTTCTCAGCCCTGGGGCTGTCAGTCCCTTCAGGCCCCTGCCTGGGCTGAGAGGGTCCACATCTCACAGTCTCCAAGTGCACACAGGCAGTCCCATTGAGAAGCCCTACTGTGAGGCTGCTCTTTCAGGATTGACCCTCTGGAGACTGCTTCCAGCATACCTCTTTCTCACACTCCACTCCTACCAAAGCATCCTTAAAAGTGTACGGCTGGGGCACTGGACTTTAAGGGATTTGAAAAGAATAGAAGAATTGACAATGGCCAGGGTACTTCACGAAGAGGCAAAAGAGCTTTATTGTTGTATGAGGTAAAGTGGGAAGGTAAGATCAGGATCCAGGATGGGCTCTTGGGCCATGACAACAGACAAAACACCTCACAAGGTGTGTCAGCCCAAGGAAAGGAGAAAAAGGGGCAGGAGAAGCATCACTCTGGGACAGGTCCTGGTTGCAAGTTTCTCCATAAGGGTTGCTCTGTGATGTTCGAGGTCTGGTCAGCAGCAGTCCCCAGAGCTGTGGCAGCAGCCAGAGCCCCCAGAAGGTTCACACTCACAACAATCGGGGCTCTGGTGCCGGTGCCGGTGGAAGAGACGGGGCCTGTGGTGGCTCAGGCAGCAGCCGCCACCCCCAGAGCTGCAGCAGCCCCCAGAGCTGGAGCCGCAGCAGCCCCCAGAGCTGGGACCACAGCAGGAAGAGACTGGAGGTGGGCATGGGGCTGGGCACTGAGGTCGGCACTTTGGAGGACACTTGGGTGGGCATTTTGGGGGGCACTTGGGAGGGGGCTGGCACTGCTGCTGGTTTTGCTGGCAGGACATCTCAGTGCGACTTTTTCAACCTGAAATTCGAAATAGTCAAACCCTTTAGCTGTGAAAAACCAAGGATGGCAATTTTATCTCTTTTAAAACTAAATCATATGGTGATGGTGAATAATACTCAGTGTGTGTATATATATACACATACACACATATATATCAACAAGTGAAAGAAAACAAATCCTGCTGAATGAAAATATATACTTGAAAATCAGATATAATAAGAAGCTTCTTATTCTTTTAGAAGATAGGCAGTATTTTCTAATCTTCATGAGCTTGAATAAAGTATTCATACCCAACAAAGTATCCATTTTTGAAATATAAGAATAAGCCCTTGATGAAACTGTCAGATACACATTTCTCACAGCCCAAGGCAAGATTTCCAGAAACTCAAGTCAGACTGTATCTCTTTTCTGCATATAATAGCACAGAATCAAAGAAATAACTCTCTGAAGCCTCCCTTAATCTTCCCATTCCCCTGTGCCCTCTGGCTCCCAGGTTGCCACTCACCCTGGTCACACACAGGAGCACAGACACGTCCTGGGGAAGTCAGAGCAGATGAGGTGCTGGAGCTGAATATGTCTTTTATAGGCTCAGGCTTGGCTCTGGGAAGAGCGGGAAGTGGCTCTTGCACAACCAGGCACGTGCTGGGTCATTCCTCACATTCCCCTGCCTCCTTGTCCCTACAATCCAAGGAAGCACTGGGAGCTCCCAAGACCTCCCTCTGGGAAGGGGGTCTAAAGGAGCTTTAACCAGTCACAGCCCCCCCCAGGCTGGTCCCCGTGGAGCTGCCAGGGGATTCTTAAGGAGCTTGTGCCTGGACAAAGGCTCAAAGAGTGACTTCTGAGAACACCAGAGATCCTTGCCATAGCTTTCCTGTGGAAGTATGCTATTCCAGCTTCTTCCCATCCCCAAGTATAGTTTTCCAAGCCCTGCTTCCACAGCTAGGCAGGTTTCTTTGTGGCATTGAGTCAGAGACCATTTCCTTCCTAGGATACACTCCTCCCCTTCTGCTCAGCCCTCATTCCTGACCCCATGTTGCTGTGTGGCCTGCAGAACCCTGCTAGGAGGATTAATAAGTGAATCAAGATGGTTTCCTCAGATTTGGTGGTGATGATCATTGTGACTAAACTTCTTCACTTAGAAATTAAAATGTCTACTGTGTAACAAGGCAGTTTTTAAAATAAGCCAATAGTTTTTTGAATTGGAATCAGAAGAGCTCTGTGTTTATGAGCCCAGTGACCTCAAAGACTATATATAGACAATCTAAATCCTCAACTGTAAAACAGGCCTATTAGCACCTTCCTCTCTGAATTGTTGGTTCCATCAAGTGAGGCTTTTGCACATGATAAGGCACAAGGAAGACACTTAAACAATGTCATTTTTTAAAAGAACGAGGGCAGTGTGTGAGACAGAAAAATGGACAATATTCAGTCCCTGTCTTTGAAAATTTTATTTAAAAATATAGGTAGGCTAGCGAAGGCTCTCTTAGGAATGTACAGTGTACATTCAGGATTTTGAGAAGTCTAATTATTTCTTGTCAAGAAGGTGATGGGAATCAAATGATTTATTTAATCTTCTTAGTGAATGACAGGAGAGTAAGGAATCTGATACAATTTTGGATTAGATACATTCATCCATTAATCAATTTATTTCATCCATCCATCCAACATTTACTGAAAACCTACTGTATGGCATAAGTTAGAATACAGCTTTTGAAAAAGATAGTCCCTTCTTTCATATACCCTTGGTCTAGAAGGTAGGAGTATATGGTCTTTACATTTCTGTCATACTAAGAGATGCCCCATCTCCAATAGTTTTCTTTTCTAGTCTCAGATGTAGTTCCCTACCCTTGAGAGTGTTCAGGTCAAGAGTGAAAAATGTTGATATCCAAACATAGCAGTTAATCAAGAAGATACTGCTTTGTCAGCTCCTAGGTATTCAGTGATTTTCTATCCAAACACTTAGGTTTATAGAGGCAAACACTGTGTGTGTTTTGTGACCTCTAGGAATTCACAATTCAGTGGATATTCTGAAGACCTCTGTGAAATTTATGTGCATACCAAATGAGTCTATTTTCCAATGAGATTGTTGGGACACTGGATCACCTGATAATGCCTGAGGGAATGTCATGCTAGGTTCCTCATTCTCCTTGACAAAGATGATAGTAACCATGAAGGAAGAGAATGGGATGGGCTGTGCCTTTATGAATGTGTGTGTATGTGTGTGTGGGCAGCATGGGCATGAAGGTGTGCTTGCAAGTCCAGGGACAAGCACAGCAGCGTGGCCAAGGGTTGGAGAGAAGACTCCAAAGCTGATATGTGCCTCGTTCACAGGAAGCCAGTCTCAGCAGACAAAATGTCCTTCCATATTTTTTATGATAAAATATGGTCAGTCACTGTTAGAGATCAGGCTTACAGCCTTTGACACCAGTAAGAATTCTAGACAATCTTGGCTCTATGTCCACGGATATTAAGTCACCAGAGCATGAGCTCAGAATCAGGTCTTACCCATTGTTTCTTTTCCTGGGGAGTCTAGCAGTTGACCATAGACTATTGATTAGATGGATGAATGAATAAATTAAATGTTATTAGAAGAATTACCTGGGAGTTATTTAAAATACTTCCTTTAAGCCACCTCTGCTTTGCCTAGAAAGTCACTGACCTGCAGTTTGATCCTGCCAAATGTCTTCTAAGAGGCAAATATTTTTGCTGTGACCTCAAACTAACTCTATCACAAAACCTCCTGATCTCCAAAACACGCTCTCTCTTTGTGGTATTTCCTCTCTTATTCACCAGGCATGGGACCTTACCAATGTCACTCATCCCTCTCCTTCAGCTTCTGCAAGCAGTAGGTTATTTTATAGTTTCTTGTTGTAAAACACATCTCTTAGCTCATTTCAACCTCTCCTTCCCTCTGAAAACAGACAATCCCAGTCCTAAGCCACCAGCTCATAGAGCAGACCTGGAGGTGAGGTGAGAACCAAGTTTCGTAACAAGAGTTGACTCCATAGTGAACTGGGTCCCTGAAACTATTGCCCAGTGGCTAGATTCCTGCTGAAGCCATTTATAACTTTTGAGCAGAAGAAACTGGTGGGGTATCCTGGAATCTCCCATGATTTTCCAAAGAGATAAAAGAGGAGAAAAGAATATCAAGAATATCTAGGCATGCTGGGTCAGATGGTTGTAGATATGCAGCATTATTTCTGAGGGCTGTGTTCTGTTCCATTGGTCTATATCTCTGTTTTGGTACCAGTACCATGCTGTTTTGGTTACTGTAGCCTTGTAGTAGAGTTTGAAGTCAGATAGTGTGATGCCTCCAGCTTTGTTCTTTTGGCTTAGGATTGTCTTGGCAATGCGGGCTCTTTTTTGGTTCTATATGAACTTTAAAGTAGTTTTTCCCAATTCTGTGAAGAAAGGCAATGGTAGCTTGATGGGGATAGCATTGAATCTATAAATTACCTTGGGCAGTATGGCCATTTTCACAATATTGATTCTTCCTACCCATGAACATGGAATGTTCTTCCATTTGTTTGTATCCTCTTTTATTTCGTTGAGCAGTGATTTGTAGTTCTCCTTGAAGAGGTCCTTCACATCCCTTGTAAGTTGGATTCCTAGGTATTTTATTCCTTTGAAGCAATTGTGAATGGGAGTTCACTCATGATTTGGCTGTCTGTTATTGGTGTATAAGAATGCTTGTGATTTTTGCACATTGATTTTGTATCTTGAGACTTTGCTGAACTTGCCTATCAGCTTAAGGAGATTTTGGGCTGAGATGATGGGGTTTTCTAGATATACAATCATGTCAACTGCAAACAGGGACAATTTGACTTCCTCTTTTCCTAACTGAATGCCCTTTATTTCCTTCTCCTGCCTGATTGCCCTGGCTAGAACTTCCAACACTATGTTGAATAGGAGTGTTGAGAGAGGGCATCCCTGTCTTGTGCCAGTTTTCAAAGGGAATGCTTCCAGTTTTTGTCCATTAGGTATTATATTGGCTGTGGGTTTGTCATAGATAGCTCTTAGATTATTTTGAGATATGTCCCATCGATACCTAATTTATTGAGAGTTTTTAGCATGAAGTGTTGTTGAATTTTGTCAAAGGCCTTTTCTGAATCTATTGAGATAATCATATGGTTTTTGTTGTTGGTTCTGTTTATATGCTGAATTATGTTTATTGATTTGTGTATGTTGAACCAGCCTTGCATCCCAGGGATGAAGCCCACTTGATCATGGTGGATAAGCTTTTTGATGTGCTGCTGGGTTTGGTTTGCCAGTATTTTATTGAGGATTTTTGCATCGATGTTCATCAGGGGTATTGGTCTAAAATTCTCTTTTTTTGTTGTATCTCTGCCAGACTTTGGTATCAGGATGATGCTGGCCTCATAAAATGAGTTAGGGAGGATTCTCTCTTTTTCTATTGATTGGAATAGTTTCAGAAGGAATGGTACCAGCTCCTCCTTGTACCTCTGGTAGAATTCGGCTGTGAATCCATCTGGTCCTGGACTTTTTTGGGTTGGTAAGCTATTAATTATTGCCTCAATTTCAGAGCCTGTTATTGGTCTATTCAGAGATTCAACTTCTTCCTGGTTTAGTCTTGGGAGGGTGTATGTGTCCAGGAATTTATCCATTTCTTCTAGATTTTCTAGTTTATTTGCGTAGAGGTGTTTATAGTATTCTCTGATGGTAGTTTGTATTGCTGTGGGATTGGTGATGATATCCCCTTTATCATCTTTTATTGTGTCTGTTTGATTCTTCTCTCTTTTCTTCTTTATTAGTCTTGCTAGTGGTCTATCAATTTTGTGGATCTTTTCAAAAAACCAGCTCCTGGATTCATTGATTTTTTGAAGGGTTTCTTGTGTCTCTATTTCCTTCAGTTCTGCTCTGATGTTAGTTATTTCTTGTCTTCTGCTAGCTTTTGAATGTGTTTGCTCTTGCTTCTCTAGTTCTTTTAATTGTGATGTTAGGGTGTCAATTTTAGGTCTTTCCTGCTTTCTCTTTTGGGCATTTAGTGCTATAAATTTCCCTCTACACACTGCTTTGAATGTGTCCCAGAGATTCTAGTATGTTGTGGTCTCGTTGGTTTCAAGAACATCTTTATTTCTGCCTTCATTTCATATGTACCCAGTAGTCAGGAGCAGGTTTTTCAGTTTCCATGTAGTTGAGTGGTTTTGAGTGTGTTTCTTAATCCTGAGTTCTAGTTTGATTGCACTGTGGTCTGAGAGACAGTTTGTTATAGTTTATATTCTTTTACATTTGCTGAGGAGTGCTTTACTTCCAACTATGTGGTCAATTTTAGAATAAGTGTGGTGTGGTGCTGAGAAGAATGTATATTCTGTTGATTTGGGGTGGAAAGTTCTGTAGATGTCTATTAGGTCCACTTGGTGCAGAGCTGAGTTAAATTCCTGGATATCATTGTTAACTTTCTGTCTCGTTGATCTGTCTAATGTTGACAGTGGGGTGTTAAAGTCTCCCATTATTATTTTATGGGAGTCTAAGTCTCTTTGTAGGTCACTAAGGACTTGCTTTATGAATCTGGGTGCTCCTGTATTGCGTGCATATATATTTGGGATAGTTAGCTCTTCTTGTTGAATTGATCCCTTTACCATTATATAATGGCCTTCTTTGTCTCTTTGTTGGTTTAAAGTCTGTTTTATCCGAGACTAGGATTGCAACCCCTGCCTTTTTTTGTTTTCCATTTCCTTAGTAGATCTTCCTCTATCCTTTTATTTTGAGCCTATATGTATCTCTGCACGTGAGATGGGTTTCCTGAATACAGCACACTGATGGGTCTTGACTCTTTATCCAATTTGCCAGTCTGTGCCTTTTAATTGGAGCATTTAGCCCATTTACATTGAAGGTTAATATTGTTATGTGTGAATTTGATCCTATCATTATGCTGTTAGCTGGTTATTTTGCTCGTTAGTTGATGCAGTTTCTTCCTAGCCTCGATGGTCTTTACAATTTGGCATGTTTTTGCAGTGGCTGATACCGGTTGTTCCTTTCCATGTTTAGTGCTTCCTTCAGGAGCTCTTTTAGGGCAGGCCTCGTGGTGACAAAATCTCTCAGCATTTGTTTGTGTGTAAAGGATTTTATTTCTCCTTCACTTATGATGGTTAGTTTGGCTGGATATGAAATTCTGGGTTGAAAATTCTTTTCTTTAAGAACGTTGAATATTGGTCTTCAGTCTCTTCTGGCTTGTAGAGTTTCTGCCAAGAGATCAGCTGTTAGTTTGATGGGCTTCCCTTTGTGGGTAACCCGACCTTTCTCTCTGGCTGCACTTAACATTTTTTCGTTCATTTCAACTTTGGTGAATCTGACAATTATGTGTCTTGGAGCTGCTCTTCTCGAGGAGTATCTTCGTGACGTTTTCTGTATTTCCTGAATTTGAATGTTGGCCTGCCTTAGTAGATTGGGGAAGTTCTCCTGGATGATATCCTGCAGAGTGTTTTCCAACTTGGTTCCATTCTCCCCATCACTTTCAGGTACACCAATCAGACTTAGGCTTGGTCTTTTCACATAGTCCCATATTTCTTGGAGGATTTGTTCATTTCCTTTTATTCTTTTTTCTCTAAACTTCTCTTCTCACTTCATTTCATTCATTTGATCTTCCATCACTGATACCCTTTCTTCCAGTTGATCCAATTGGCTACTGAGGCTTGTGCATTCGTCACATAGTTCTCATGCCATGGTTTTCAGCTCCATCAGGTCCTTTAAGGACTTCTCTGCATTGGTTATTCTAGTTAGCCATTTGTCTAATTTTTTTTCAAGGTTTTTAACTTCTTTGCCATGGGTTCAAACTTCCTCCTTTAGCGCAGAGCAGTTTGATCATCTGAAGCCTTCTTCTCTCCACTCCTCAAAGTCATTCTCTGTCCAGCTTTGTTCTGTTGCTAGAGAGGAGCTGCGTTCCTTTGGAGGAGGAGAGGCACTCTGATTTTTAGAATCTCCAGTTTTTCTGCTGTTTTTTCCCCATCTTTGTGGTTTTATCTACCTTTGGTCTTTGATGATGGTGACGTACAGATGGGGTTTTGGTTTGGATGTCCTTTCTGTTTGTTAGTTTTCCATCTAACAGTCAGGACCCTCAGCTGCAGGTCTGTTGGAGTTTGCTGGAGGTCCACTCCAGACTCTGTTTGCCTGGGTATCAGCAGCAGAGGCTGCAGAACAGCGGATATTGGTGAGCAGCAAATGTTGCTGCCTGATCGTTCCTCTGGAAGTTTTGTCTCAGAGGAGTACCCGACCATGGGAGGCGTCAGTATGCCCCTACTGGGGGGTGCCTCCCAGTTAGGCTACTCGGGGGTCAGGGACCCACAGACTGCCTCCTCAAGTGGGTCCCTGCATTAAATATTTTAATAAGGCGGATCAAGTTTAATATCTGTGATATATCAAGAGCCCTTGAAAATTGAAAAGAAAATTTGAAATCATGTTATGAAATTTGTAGAAATGGCCAATGTACGTGTTTTTAGAAGAACAAAATTACTACTGTTCAGGGACTTGAAATTTCAGTTAATAATGAGACTGGCTGAGCTCTTTAGTTTAATTAGATCCCATTTGTCAACTTTGGCTTTTGTTGCAATTGCTTTTGCTGTTTTAGTCATGAAGTCTTTGCCCATGCCTATGTCCTGAATTGTATTGCCTAGGTTTTCTTCTAGGGTTTTTATACTTTCAGGTTTTACATTTAAGTCTTTAACACCCATTTTGAGTTAATTTTTATATAAGGTGTAAGGAAGGGGTCGAGTTTCTGTTTTCTGCATATGATTAGCCAGTTTTCCCAGCACCATTTATTAAATAGGGAATCCTTTCCCCATTGCTTTTTTGGTCAGGTTTGTTGAAGATCAGATGGTTGTAGACGTGTGATGTTATTTCTGGGGTCTCTGTTTTGTTCCATTGGTCTATATATCTGTTTTGGTACCAGTACCATGCTATTTTGGTTACTGTAGCTCTGTAGTACAGTTTGAAGTCAGGTAGCTTGATGCTTCCAGCTTTGTTCTTTTTGCTTAGGATTGTCTTGGCTATATGGGCTCTTTTTTTGATTCCATATGAAATTTAAAGTAGTTTTTTGTAGTTCTGTGAAGAAAGTCAGTGGTAGCTTGATGGGGATAGCTTGAATCTATAAATTACTTTGGGCAGTATGGCCATTTTCAAGATATTGATTCTTCCTATCCATGAGCATGGAATGTTTTTCCATTTGTTTGTGCCCTCTCTTATTTCCTTGAGCAGTGGTTTGTAGTTCTCCTTGAAGAATTCCTTCACCTCCCTTGTAAGTTATATTCCTAGGTATTTTATTTTCTTTGTAGCAATTGTGAATGGGAGTTTACTCATAATTTGGCTGTCTGCTTGTCTATTATTGGTGTAGAGGAATGCTTGTAATTTTTGCACATTGATTTTGTATCCGGAGACTTTGCTGAAGTTGCTTATCAGCTTAAGGAGTTTTTGGGCTGAGACGATGGGGTTTTCTGAATATACAATCATGTCATCTGCAAAGAGATACGATTTGATGTCCTCTCTTCCTATTTGAATAACCTTTACTTCCTTCTCTTGCCTGATTGCTCTGGCCAGAACTTCTGATACTATGTTGAATAGGAGTGGTGAGAGAAGGCATCTTTGTCTTGTGCTGGTTTTCAAAGGGAATGCTTCCAGCTTTTGCCCATTCAGTATGATATTGGCTACAGGATTGTCATAAATGGCTCTTATTATTTTGAGATATGTTCCATCAATACCTAGTTTATTGAGAGTTTTTAGCGTGAAGCAGTGTTGAATTTTATCAAAGGCCTTTTCTGCATCCATCGAGATAATCATGTGGTTTTTGTCATTAGTTCTGTTTATGTGATGGATTACGTTTATTGATTTGTGTATGTTGAACCAGCCTTGCATCCCAGGGATGAAGCCGACTTGAATGTGGTGGATAAGCTTTTTGATGTGCTGCTGGAATCAGTTTGCCAGTATTTTATTGAGGATTTTTGCATTGATGTTCATCAGTGATATTGGCCTGAAATTTTCTTTTTTTGTTGTGTCTCTGCCAGATTTTAAAATCAGGATGATGCTGGCCTCATTAAATGAGTTAGGGAGGAGTCCCTCTTTTTCTATTGTTTGGAATAGTTTCAGAAGGAATGGTATCAGCTCCTCTTTGTACCTCTGGTAAAATTCGACTGTGAATCTCTCTATTCCTGGGGTTTTTTTTTGCTTGGTAGGCTATTAATTACTGCCTCAATTTCAGAACTTGTTATTGGTCTATTCAAGGATTCAATTTCTTCCTAGTTTAGTGTTGGGAGGGTTTCTGTGTCCAGAAATTTATCCATTTCTTCAAGATTTTCTAGTTTATTTGCATAGAGGTGTTTATATTATTCTTTGATGGTGGTTTGTTTGTATTTCTGTGTTATCAGTGGTGATATATGCTTTATCATTTTTTATTGTGTCTATTTGATTCTTCTCTCATTTATTCTTTATTAGTCTGGCTAGTGGTCTATCTATTTTGTTAATCTTTTCAAAAGACAATATCATCAGAGTCAACAGGCAACCTACAGAGTGGGAGAAAATTTTTGCAATCTATCCATCTGACAAAGGTCTAATATCCAGAATCTACAAGGAACTTAAACAAATTTTCAAGAGAAAAACAAACAACCCCATCAAAAAGTGGGCAAAGGATCTGAACAGACACTTCTCAAAAGAAGACATTTATGCGGCCAACAAACATATGAAAAAAAGCTCATAATCACTGGTCATTAGAGATGTGCAAATCAAAACCAAAATGAGATACCATCTCACACCAGTTAGAATGGCGATCATTAAAAAGTCTGGAAACAACAGATGCTCAAGAGGATGCGGAGAAATAGGAATGCTTTTACACTGTTGGTGGGACTGTAAATTAGATCACCCATGTGGGAGACAGTGTGGTGATTCCTCAAGGATATAGAACCAGAAATACTATTTGACCCAGCAATCCCATTTCTGGGTATATACCCAAAGGATTATAAATTATGCTACTATAAAGACATGCATACTTATGTTTATAGCACAACTATTTACAATAGCAGACTTGGAACCAACCCAAATGCCCATCAATGATAGAGTGGATAAAGAAAATGTGGCACATATACACCATGGAATACTATGCAGCCATAAAAAGAATAAGTTTAGGTCCTTTACAGGCACATGGATGAAGCTGGAAACCATCATCTTCAGCAAACTAACACAGGAACAGAAAACCAAACACCGCATGTTCTCACTAATAAGTGGGAGCTGAGCAATGAGAAGACATAGACACAGGGCAGGGAACATCACACATCGGGGCATATTGGGGGTGGAGGTGAGAGGAGGGAGAGCATTAGGACAAATACGTAATGCATGTGGAGCTTAAAACTTAGATGACGGGTTAATAGACATAGCAAACTACCATGGCACATATATACCTATGTAACAAACCTGCACATTCAGCTCATGTATCCCAGAACTTAAGTAAAAAAAATAAAATAAAATGAGACTGGCAAAAATAATAAAGAGCATTACATCAAATAAAATGACTCAGTGCAAAGGCTAATTTAAAACACAGAGAGTACAGAATCTCAGACTGGTTAAAGAGCTAGGTGTTTTTCTTAGCAGCTGCAAGGATGAGGAGGCAGCTGAACATCTTAATAACAGTCTCCATCTCTGTCAGATTCTCTCTTCGCTGAATCCATTATCTTCATGTTGACACCTGTCAGCCTGAACCTAAGAAGCACTAGTCCTTATTTCCCCTGCTGTTTCCCTGCTTCTCTCCCCTTCTCCCATTAATACTAAAGATCCCCCAACCATCCTGGCACTTCTCCCCCCTCACATCTGAGGGTGGCTGGACAAAGAAGGTTAGTATTGAAGGAGGAAACGTCTAATCTTCCCTACAGTGTCGTGTACCATAAATTCGTTGTATTTTCAAAGTGGGACCTCCATGTTTTTTCTAATAAATATCTCCATCACTCATCACTCACCTGCCCAACACATAGGCCAAGTGGCAGGACAGCATCCTGGGACTCAGATCTAACACTTTGAGGAACTGAAGCTAGGTGTCTGAGGCAGCAAGTCAATGGGCTGATCTTAACCAGACTCACCCTCCCTGAGAAGGAGTTCAGTGACTGTGGGCTGTACTTTGCAGAAGGAAGGGTCTCAACATGCATTTCAAGCATTTTATCCGACTATTGATTCTAACAGCAGGGAAGTTTTGCTTCATAGAGATGTGTTCTTCTCCCTAGAGAAGAACAAGTCTACAGAGCTTCCCAACCTTCCCAATGTCTGGAATACACAGAAAATTAGAACATGTGTCTGGCTTAGTGGAGAGAAAGGCAAAGCTGCCATAGCCAGAGGTGACCCTCTTCGAGCTCCATCCACCCTGCATTTGAGGGAATCAGTTCCTTGGAGCAGCTTTTCATGTATCACCTACTCAGGTCCTGTCCTTGACCCATGAAGAGAATTTCTCTGAGGCCCTGACCTTTGGACGACGTTTGAAATCTCAGAAGAGAAGAGAACGACCAAGACAATTTGTGAGTCAGAAATCAGAGCTTTATTATAACATGAGGTAAAGGAGGAAAACAAAACCTGCAATTGAGGTGCTCCATCAAGTGCAAAGTTCTCCCAGGGAAGCCCCATGAGTCTTTGTGGTCGCTGTCCACCCATGAATGGAATGAGAGGAAATGGAAAGGGTTAAGCATCAGGCTGTAGGAGGTTCTTAAACATTCTGTCCAAAGAGTTCTTCTTAGCCCAGGTCAGCAGCAGCCCCCAGAGCTGTGGCAGCAGCCAGAGCCCCCAGAAGGTTCACTCTCACAGCAGTCGGGGCTCTGGTGCCGGCGCCGGTGGAAGAGACGGGGCCTGTGGTGGCTCAGGCAGCAGCCACCAGCCCCAGAGTTGCAGCAGCCCCCAGAGCTGGGACCACAGCAGCCCCCAGAGATGGGACCACAGCAAGAAGAGACTGCAGGGGAACATGGAGCTGGGCACTGGGGCAGGCATTTAGGGGGACACTTAGGTGGACATTTTGGGGTACACTTGGGAGGACACTTGGGAGGGGGCTGGCACTGCTGCTGGTTTTGCTGGCAAGACATCCTGGCAGAGTTTAGTCAACCTGAAAGATAATAATGAAACTCTTTAAATATTTCAAACCAAGGATCATATTATACCTCTTCTAAAATCAATGCATGTGTAGAAGAAGAATGATATTTAGATCATACAGTCACATCAGTAACCTGAAAGAAACAACTTGAATCTTTCCTCTAAATAAAAGCACATACATTAAAAAACCAACCGAATGAGCTTCGTATTCTTCCTTTCAGGGGAAGCTGAGATTACTCTATCCTCACAAGCCTGAATAGAGTATTCACACTCCATGAAGTACCGATTCCCTTAATACAAGCCCTAAGGACCAGCTGCGTGTTGCAGGACACACCAGGAGGTCCTCTGGAAAAAGATTTTGCAATGAAACCTCCAGATAAAAGAGCCTGGCTTGAAGTATTTGCCAGTTTCCATGGTGTAAATATGCCCAACACAGCAGTTTTGAAGTTACCAACATGAAGTCACTGAACACAGAATTGGAAAAGATGTGCACAGTTAGCTTTCCCCACCTATACGACCTCCGGTAGGCCTCACAGCCTCAACAGATTCGAGGCAGACTGAGTCCCATTCCTCCTCAGTATGGCAGAACACAAGCACACAACTCTTTCTCCAGCCTACCTCCATCCTCCCCATCCCTCTGCCTTGCTCATACCCCTCTGGTATCCCAGGTTGCCACTCACCCTGGTCACACGCAGGAGCACAGACACGTCCCTGGGGAGTCAGAGCAGATGAGGTGCTGAAGCTGGATGTGTCTTTTATAGGGCCCAGGCTTGGCTCTGGAAAGAGGAGGAGGTGGCTTTTGCACAACCAGGCACGTGCTGGGTCATTCCTGACATTCTCCTGCCTCCTAGTCCCTGCAATCCAAAGAGGCCTCAGGAGCTTCCAGGACTCCTCTCTGGGGCTGCGGTCTAGAGAAGCTTTAGCCAGTCAGAGCCTCCACCAGGTGGGAACCCTAATGAGTTAACTTAGGTTACCCAAGGGACCCATGCCTGGACAAGATCCTGTTCCCTGCATCTTTTGTATTCGTGTCCTCTGAGGAAACATCAGTTCTGAGCCACAGCTTTCCCTGACCTTGTGGAAATGTTCCATTATGACTCCCTCCACCCTGAGCAGTTTCTCTTCCATGTCCTGCTGTGGATCCAGCCATCCCAGGGGGCTTCTACAGCCTTGGCTTTTTCTAGGCATCCCTCCCTTGCCTAGGCTCTCAGCCCTTCCTCCTGGCCTCTGTGTTTCTGCTTTTCCTCCAACTCACCATGGCCAGCAGATTCAGTGGATTAAATCTGAGTTGATTCTGTGGTCTAGAGCAAAGAATATGATTGAGAATAAACAATTCCCTCTAAAATCAAAACATTGCCCTTAGTCGGAGGAATTGTATTGAATGTGCTACTGGAATCAGAAAACTTGCATATGATAACTGAGTGATCTCTGGAAATTGCTACAACAATTATCAACAATTGCTAGAGTGTCACTATGATACTCACAATGAGTATCAATTCTCATATGTAATGGCCGTTATAAACCAGGTATACTTATCTCACTGAGCTGTTTTTAATATTAAATGAGAAGTAAGAAAGAGCTTAGTGTGACACTATGTGCTTGATAGACCCTTAATAAATATGTGTTTAAAAGAAAAACTAATGCCATGTATTGGATACTTACCCAGGTCTTATGTGGCATTCATTGTCCATATAGAACCCTTACAAGACAGTTTATTTGAAAACTCCCTTAGGAAGTAGACATCATTTATTGTGGCTTCTGTGGAGAGGGAATTCCTTTCCTATCATGAAGTAGAGGGTCAGAAAGGGGTCTACTTACTCAGAGTTCTGATTCAGGGTTGCACTAGACAGAGTTACCCATTCATTTATTCACTTATTTTAAACAGATATATGGAGGATGAACTTTGAAAACCTTACGCTAAATGGAAGAAGCCAACCACAAAAGACTGCATTTCTTATGATCCTATTTATATGAAATGTGTAGAGTAGGCAAATCTGTAGAACTAGAAAGGGAATGAGGCTTTAGCCAGTTACAGCCTCTCTCAGGCTGGACGCCTGAAGAGCTGACTTAGGGCATCTGAGGAACCAGAGCCTGGACAAGATTCTGTTCCCTGTATCGCCTTTTACTTTTGTGCACATCCTCTGAGGAAATATCAGTGGCTTCCAGGTACTTTAGCAGGCTGGGAGAAATTAGAAAATTACAACAAATGGATATAGGTTTTCTTTGTGGAGTAATGAAAATGTTCTAAAATTTGGTGGTGATTGTCCAACTCTATGAATATATTGAAACCCACTGAATTAACACTTTAAATAAATGAGCTGTATAATAAGTGAATTATGGCTCAATGAAGATGTTGAAATTAGAATTGAAAAAGATAGTTATTCACACCTCTGATTAAAACAGAAACAGACCGTGCCTTGACATTGCCTAATGTTTACTTGGTGGTGGAGGGTGGTTAGGTAGAAAGCATAGTTTCCCATTGTCTGCTTCTACCTGAGGGATTCTATTCACCTATTTACACAGTCCTATTTTCAGACCCGAGTCCTGTTCTCAGAGAGCTTTTACCTCAAGGATAAACTAAGTCCACAGTGTGATTAGAGCAGTGAATTCAAAAGGCATTCTTTGAAAGCCTACAACATTCTTGGAGCATGTATGTCCAAACATAGGGATATAGAGGTGAACAATAAGTAGCCCATGACCTCAAAGACTGTAGAATTTAGTGGCCTTTTTGAAGATGACTGCAGACAAACTGGATACCAAAGAAGATGATGTTTGAGGCCTGAACCTCCTGAGTCACTATTTCCCAATGTGTTTAAAAGATGTTAGTTCATTCCACTGTCTTCATGGTGATATCACCCTCAGCTTCCTCATACTCTTTGACAAAGATATTTGTTACAATGTTGTAAGTGAGGAAATAGGGGAGGCAAGCCTGTGTGTGTGTGTGCATGTGTGCACTGTGTGCATGTATGCACTGTGTGCATGTATGCTGTATTCATATAAAAGTGCAGGTGAAATGAACATGCACATACATGAGCATCTGTATTGAGTGGTTGAATAAGCAATGGAAGGACTAATGGGAACCGACCCTCTGGGAAACCAGAACTGGGAGATAAACAGCTCTTTAACATGCCCACTTTTTCCCTTTATATCTCAAAAAATGGTGGGAATTGGTTCACAAGTCAGTGAAGAAACACCTGACTATAGATATTCTTGCTTCTGTCTCCACAGTCTTCACATCATCATGTGTGATCTCTCTGAGCCAGGAGACCCAGTGGGTCACATTGCCCATGCTCCCTCAGGGACCACCCACATACTTAATTGCCACATGAGTGTTGGCAGGATCAGTGCATCATTTTAGGACCACATGGACGAGCATGTAGGTGTCATGAGAAGAATGCCCTGCGGGTGACTTCAAACATTTCATCTGAAGTTCATGTCATCTGGCAAGTCACTCTCCTGCAGGCTGGTCTCTCCAAGTAGCTCCTTGATTTGTCTCCCTGGGAACTTAAACTCCATATATTCCAGAAAAATACTCCCTACCAAATGTGGGAACTTTATTTTATCTACAGTACAAGAAAAAGCCTTACCATGTCTTTTTATTTGTCTCCCTTTATTTAATAGATTGACCAATCCAAAATTTTCCTGTACCATATCTTTGTAGGCCTTTTGATCTTTTTTGTCAATACTGTCTAGCAGTGTCTAGTGCTAGACATAGTGATAGGGAGGAGCACAGCAGAGGGGTGTTCTGGGCAAAGCAAGAATTGGCCCGTCTAGTATTTACATACATATTTATATGACCTAAAGTGGATCGGTTTTATACTTATCTTAATTCATCAATTCCATGATACAGTCTTCTAATACTTGTTAACAGCCCTTAAATCAGTATATACCATATGATTGGTGGCACGTAATTGTTGAATTTGCAGCATTTTTTTCTTTCCTTGTGGTGCATGAAATAAGGGTGTCCCTTACAATTGATAGCCTCTTAAAGCTCATGAAATACTGTAGGTAGGAAGTGGGTACGTAGATATGAAATGAAATGAGAGACAGAATTGACATTGATTTAGCATTAATTCTGTTTTTAAGCATGTCAGTTCTAACACTTTTAACTTGGGGTTATACGTTTCTTCATAGGTACTAATTCGATACAAATGTATTTTATAAACTGTCTGCCAGCACACCAAGAATAGGTTTAAAAGGGCAAAATTATGCCCGTCCTGGCTCTAATTTATCTGACTTATTATTCAATTCATTCTGAAACTCAGATACCTTTCCAAAAAACCACCAGCAATGCCAATGCCTTCAAAGGGCCCTCCACAGTGCCACTCCAGTGCACAGCCCATGTTCACCTCCGAATCTTCTTGTGTGACCCCTGCATAGGAAGAAGCTGCAGCAATCACCAGTCCCCAGAGCTCCAGCTACTGTGCAGTGGTCAGCAGCCTTGTCCGTGCTGTACTGACTACACTTCTGTGAAACCAAAGTGCGAAGGCCAAGGGCCTCCTCAGCCGCATGCTGCACTCCCTTTCTCCAGTCCTCCTAACATCACAGCTTTGTTGGGCTTACCATGGGGTTACCAGGTAGAAGCTTCTGTTTTCCCAATATTCTCCAAAGGTCTGTCCAGAAATTTGCCTTTATCCTAAGTGAAAATAAAACCATCATGGCATGTTCTTAGTGTGTCCTCGTCACTGTTGACCCTCTTCTGTCTCTTGGGTCATATCTCCAGTGACCTCCATGTATCCTCTCAGTCTCTGTGATGGTTAATTTTGCCCAGGCTATGCTGTGTTACCCAGTTGTTTGATCAAATAGCAATCCACATGTTTCTCTGTAAGTATTTAATCAGTAGACTGAGTAAGCAGATTATCTTCCCTAACATGAGCCTCATCCAATCAGCTGCAGTCTTTAATAATGGACACTGAGGTTTCCCAAAGAATAAATTATCCTCAAGACTGCAATGTAGAAACTCTGCCTGTTTCCAGACTACTGCGTTGCAGAATTTAGACTCAATGCTGCAACATCAACTGTTATCTGAATTTCCAGCCAAGATTTTGGACTTGCCAGCCCACACAGTCATCTCATGAGCCAATTTCTTAAAATAAATTTATCTCTCTCTTCTGTTTCTCTGCAAAACCCTAGCCAATTCAGGTCTACCTACTTCCCCATCTTTCCCTGAGGTATAGGTTGAGTGGAGTTGTGCTTTTGGGTCAAATGCCTCCGTGTGTGTGTGTGTGTGTGTGTGTGTGTGTGTGTGTGTATACATGCATACATACATGTGTGTACAATGATAAAAATAACAGAAAGTAATATAATAACTGATGTTTACTGACCATCTATTTTTTTCTAGGTATTATTTAAGTGTTTTATACACATTATCTCATTTAATCCTCATACTAATCATGTGATGTAGGTGGTATTAATATTCCCACTGTACTAATGAGAAAACAAAGGCTCCTAGAGCTAAACAAATAGCCCAAGTTCACACAGCTGGGAATAAAGTTCAGAAAATTTAACCAAAAAAATTTCAATTATTTTAGTATAATGTCAACAGGTTTCTGACAACAAGTTTACACACAGCATAGATACACTACCATACACACACACACACACACACACACACACACTCACACACACAATGTCAGACCATCTGTCTAGTCCAGATTGTCAATTATTTTGTTTGGTGGGATGAATTTTCCAGATAATTTATAACTATGCTTTCTAAATCCCTCTCCCATACCAATTCCCTGCCAACATTGTCTGTGTACCTCTCTTATATGCAATATCTATGCACTTACTTCTTAATCAAAACCAAGACTGAACCCATCGTTTTTCATGACCCAGACAGCACTATTTATAGGCTATCATGGGAGAAAATTATGTTAATTACATATGATCACTACACACACACACCAACACCCTCACTGCCTATGTCCATTTATATCCAGTATTTCTTTCTAATCATTGGAATTAGAAGAATGTCAGTGTTAGATGAATAGTGCACATTAATTAAATATTCTATTTGCAATCACTGCATATCCATGCCTTAGGATTCCCTGGAGCAAGGAACTTTTCCAAGAATTCTGTGCTGAGCAAATTAGGTAACTATTAAGCAGTTCTTACAAGAGTAAATGAGAGAAGGATATGATCAGATGAATTAAAAGAAAAGAACATCTCTAAAGAGAAAACAATTTGAGGATTTTCTTGGACTGTCTCCCATTAGTAAATTCAATAATCAGAGTTTATTAATTCACTCTTATACACACTCAGCAAGTATTGTTGACTATGTGGCCAACTCTGGGGATACTACATGATATGAAAGGAATATAATATCTGCCCACTGTGACTATATTCTTCAGAAAGGAGGGAGGGACGTGGATGAAGAGGGCATGAGAAATAGAGGCTCATTTTATGCAGTGTGGGAACTAACACAGAAACATTAGTATATCAGGCAAGAAAAGAAGGGAATAGCTGTTTTAAGTCTAGCTTGTTGAGAAGAACTTACCATAAGCTGTTTGAATTTCACACACAGTAAATAGTGCATGCCTTCCCAGTTTAACTCCAGAGAACTTGTTGAGACCACAGAATGTAGTTAAATCACCTAGATTTGGATTCTGAGAACAAGTTACTTGCCTTAAAGCCTTAGAAATGTGCCCGAAATTGTCTGTGCATCTGTCTTTTCATCTATGAAGTGTGGAAAATAGCTGTAATTTCCTAACAGCAATATTGTGTGAATTAATTGTTATTTTGGTTGAGTTACACCTGAAACACTTATAAGAGTGCATATCTTATAACTAGCACAAAAGTTTAGAATTACATAGTTTTACTCTTTCTGTACATAGTTCTGAATTAGGTGTGAAGATGGAGCAATGCAACCAGCGTGGGGGTGGACTAGGATTGAAATCTGACCTAGCAAGGTCAAGGAGCAACCATGAAATGGTAACATGGGGAATTTCTTTCTGAATATTAGTGGGTTTGCCAATTATTTACAAGCAGAAGGAGAATTGTTTAGAAAATGAAAAGTAGCCTTATTCTAGTTTACACATGTGTTCTGTTCAGCTGAATTCACTTCCAGCTGAACTCATGTTAAGATATCCTGCCAACTGAGCCAGCAACAGTAAGAGTCCCTCCAAGAGCCGGCCAATATGCTGGTCCCTCAGGCTCTGGAGTTTTTCTTAGCACTGGGGTTAGTGTTGGTCCTGCTCTGGGAGCAGCTGCTCCTGGAGTTAGCACAGGCAAAACACAGTCAGCAGACCTTGGCTGCAGAGCTGTTGCAGCAGCAGCGACAGAGCCTGGAGAGTCAGTGAGAGAGCAGCGTCGCAGCTCTCGGGCACTGCTGTGGATCTCAGAGGGTCCGAGTTGAGATAACCACACACACAAGCATCCATCCTGGCCCAAAACTCCTTTCTACTCTACCCTATTCCTGGGCTGACCCTCTGGGGACTCAAGAGGGTGACCAGGTAGAATTTTTCATTCGATGTGGAGGTGAAAGTGCTCTCTGGGGATTCTGGCCCAGGTGACAATCTATCCACCTTTTCCTTTTCACAATGTGTTCTGGTTACTGTTGACTCTCCTCACTTGGGTCATATTTCAGATAACCCAGAGTTAATCATCTGTCACCCTCCCACTCTAGATACCTTTGAAAGAGATGCAGCCATAACACCAAGTATGGTTTCTGATTGGACAGCACACTTCTTCTCAGAGCCTCACCCTCCTCCTGCCCTTGAGAGATGATCCAGACCCCTGATCCTTGGCCCACTTCTGGGTGATGGGTGGATTAGAGGTGGGGAGACAGGAGGCAGAAGTAACCTGGAGCCTCCGCCAGGCTTCCATAAGCCAGGTCTTGTGCCTGTCTCCAGGGAGCCCCCCAGAGCACTCCAGACCTCAGCTGCAGGCAGTGAATTCCCCTGCCTAATCAACCTTCCAGGCAGATTTGCCTCAGTGCATACAGCAGAGACCATAAAGGTGGAAACGTGGGCAGGACGTTCCTGAATGTTGCATTAAGAGGTAAGTGAAGTGTACCCAGAGAGTCTGTGTCGCTATTTCCAGAAACCAGCAATCCAGCTGTCTTTACTCAGCAGGTTGAACTATATCAAGAACTACTTGATTGGATGTGTACGCAATGTGCGTGCTCCACTTCATTCTTAACTTACATCTTTAAATTTTGTCCAGAACCACACCATGTCCAGATATCAAAATTTATACTTCTCTATCCCTTCTGTACATACAAGCAGCCAGTGAGATTTAGGAAATTGTTGGGACTTTAGGAAAGCTCAGGTAAGAGGCTCTATTGGGATCAGGACCTTTCACCCACCCTTTCTCTTTCTTCAGACCTGAAGTACAGCGTTGCAGATCAGAACTCCATCAGGCATCTTGAGATCACCAACTGTTTCTCAGGAAATAAGCACTAATAATGAAATGACAAGACAGAGGGGTATCCATCTCTGAATACTCCAGGGAACCACCATACCAGCCATGGACTACTGACCTCTGACTTAATCACATGTGAGTGGAAATAGCCTGCTCTCCTCTTTAAATTGCTGTGATTTTGAGTTCCTGTGATAGTAGCAGAACTTAATTTCTAACACACATGCACACATGCCAAACATAAGATAAGATGCAAGTAAAAACCAATAGTCAGATTGGAAATTATTCTGTGTATGGAAGTTTAGATAAGGAAAGGATTATGTTCACCATGAAAGGAGCACATGGAGCCCCAGATAGCAGGCCCACTGGAGAAGGAAAGGGCCGGTGAGTTGCTCTTACTTAAGGCAGAGGTCCCTGAAAGCATACTCGGGTGTCCACCCCTCCGCAGGCCAGCCTTCACCTGCCCCAGGCAACCTTAGGTCCCCCGCTTGGTGTTCCATTTTATACTGTTTGGGTTTTTTTATTTGTTTTGTTTGCTGACATGTAAACACTAAGGACAAGGAAAAACTTCTTAACCAACTCAGGAAACCCTGAAGCTATGAAAGCAAAGAAAGTCATATTTGAGTATTTAAAAACTACAAATATTTCCATAGCAAAAGTTATTATAAACAGAGTCAATTAATTATGATGTATTAAATATTTTAATAAAGACAGATCAAGGTTAATATCCATGATATATCAAGAGCTCTTGAAAATTGAAAAGAAAATTTAAAATCCTATTACAAATTTTGTAGAAATAGCCAATGTACATATTTATGGAAGCTCAAAATTACTACTGGTCAGGGACTTGAAAATTAGTTAATAATGAGACTGGCAAAATAATAAAGAGCATTGAGTCAAATAAACTGACTCAGTGCAGAGGGTGATTTAAAATGCAGACAGTACAGAATCTCAAACTGGTTAATCAGCTGGGTTTTTGTCTTAGTGGCACTAAGGGTAAGTAAGAAGGTAAACATATTAATAAGAGGCTCCATCTCTGTCAAAATCCGTCTTTGCTGAATCCATTATCTTCATGTCGACACCTGTCAGCCTGAACCTAAGAAGCACTAGCCCTTGTTTCCCCTGCTGTGTCCCTGCTTCCCTCCCCTTCCTCTAGTAATACTTAAGATGCCCCACCCATCCTGGCGCTTCTCCCCCCTCACATTCTGAGGGTGGCTTGGCAAAAAAGATAAGTATTGAAGGAGGAAAGGTCTATTCTTTCATACAGCGTTTTGTATTCTTTGTATTCTTATGTTCCTTATATTCTTTGTATCTTCTAAGCAACACTTCCATGTTTTTTCACTTAATATCTCCATCACTCATCACTCCCCTGCCCAGCACGTGAGCCAAGTGGCAGGACAGCATCCTGGGACTCAGATCTAACACTGTGAGGAACTGAAGCCAGGTGTCCAAGGCAGCAAGTCAAAAGGCTGATCTTAACCAGACTCATGAAAAGAAGCTGAGTGACCATGGGCTGTACTTTACAGGAGGAAGGGTCTCAACATCTGTTTCAAGCATTTTATCCAACTATTGATTCTAAGGGCAGGAAAGTTTTGCTTCATAGGGATGTGTTCTTCTCCCTAGAGAAGAACAAGTCTGCAGAGCTTCCCAACCTTCCCAACGTCTGGATTACACAGAAAATTAGAACATGTGTCTGGCTTAGTGGAGAGAAAGGCAAAGCTACCATAGCCAGAGGTGACCCTCTTGGAGCTCCATTCACTCAGCATCTGGGGGAATCAGTTCCTCAGAGCAGCTTTTCATGTATCACCTACTCATGTCCTGTCCTAGCCTCATGAAGAAAATTACTCTGAGGCCCTGACCTTTGGAGGACATTTGAAATCTCAGAAGAGAAGAGAATGACCAAGACATTTAGTGAGTCAGAGATCAGAGCTTTATTATAACATGAGGTAAAGGAGGAAAAGAAGACTTGCAATTGGGGTGTTACATCAAGCACGAAGTTCTTCCAGGAAAGCCCCATGAGTCTTTGTGGTCTCTGCCAACCAATGAATGGAATGAGAGGAAGTGGAAAGAGTATCCATCAGGCCGTAGCAGGTTCTTGGCCATTCAGTCCCAAGAGCTCTTCTGTAGCCCAGGTCAGCAGCAGCCCCCAGAGCTGTGGCAGCAGCCAGAGCCCCCAGAAGGTTCACTCTCACAGCAGTCGGGGCTCTGGTGCCGGCGCCGGTGGAAGAGACGGGGCCTGTGGTGGCTCAGGGAGCAGCCACCAGCCCCAGAGCTGCAGCAGCCCCCAGAGCTGGGACCACAGCAGCTCCCAGAGCTGGGACCACAGCAAGAAGAGACTGCAGGGAAACATGGAGCTGGGCACTGTGGTGGGCATTTGGGGGGACACTTAGGTGGACATTTTGGGGTACACTTGGGAGGACACTTGGGAGGGGGCTGGCACTGCTGCTGGTTTTGCTGGCAAGACATGCTGGCAGGAGTTTAGTCAACCTGAAAGATAATAATGAAACTCTTTAAATATTTCAAACCAAGGATCATATTATACCTCTTCTAAAATCAATGCATGTGTAGAAGAAGAATGATATTTAGATAATACAATCACATCAGTAACCTGAAAGAAACAACTTGAATCTTTCCTCTAGATAAAAGTACGTAGATAAAAAATCAACAGAATGAGCTTCTTACTCTTCCTTTCAGGGGAAACTGCGATTGCTCTATCCTCACAAGCCCGAATAGAGTATTCACAGCTCCCTGAAGTACCTATTCCTTTAATACAAGCCCTAAGGACAAGCTGGGTGTTGCAGGACATACCAAGGGGTCCTCTGGAAAATATTTTGCAATGAAACCTCCAGATAAAAGAGCCTGGCTTGAAGTATTTGCCAGTTTCCATGGTGTAAATATGCCCAACACAGCAGTTTTGAAGTTACCAACATGAAGTCACTGAACACAGAATTGGAAAAGATGTGCACAGTTAGCTTTCCCCACCTATATGAGCTCCGGTAGGCCTCAGAGCCTCAACAGATTCGAGGCAGGCTGAGTCCCATTCCTGCTCAGTATGGCAGAACACAAGCACACAACTCTTTCTCCAGCCTACCTCCATCCTCCCCATCCCTCTGCCTTGCTCATACCCCTCTGGTATCCCAGGTTGCCACTCACCCTGGTCACACGCAGGAGCACAGACACGTCCCTGGGGAGTCAGAGCAGATGAGATGCTGAAGCTGGATGTGTCTTTTATAGGGCCCAGGCTTGGCTCTGGAAAGAGCAGGAGGTGGCTCTTGCACAACCAGGCACACGCTGGGTCATTCCTGACATTCTCCTGCCTCTTAGTCCCTGCAATCCAAAGAGGCCTCAGGAGCTTCCAGGACTCCTCTCTGGGGCTGCAGTCTAGAGAGGCTGTAGCCAGTCAGAGCCTCCACCAGGTGGGAACCCTAAAGAGTTAACTTAGGGTACCCAAGGGACCCACACCTGGACAAGATTCTGTTCCCTGCATTTTTTTAATGCATGTCCTCTGAGGAAACATCAGTTCTGAGCCACAGCTTTCCCTGACCTTGTGGAAATGTTCCATTATGACTCCCTCCACCCTGAGCAGTTTCTCTTCCATGTCCTGCTGTGGATCCAGCCATCCCAGAGGGCTTCTACAGCCTTGGCTTTTTCTAGGCATCCCTCCCTTGCCTAGGCTCTCAGCCCTTCCTCCTGGCCTCTGTGTTTCTGCTTTTCCTCCGACTCACCATGGCAAGCAGATTCGGTGGATTAAATCTGAGTTGATTCTGTCACCTAAAGCAAGGAGAATGATTGAGAATAAACAATTCCCTCTAAAATCTAAACATTTCCTTCAGTCAGAGGACTTGTATTGAATGTGCTACTGGAATCAGAAAACTTGCATATGATAACTGGGTAATCTCTGAAAGTTGCTGTAACAATTATCAATAATTGCTAGAGTATTACTATGATACTCACTGTGAGTATCAGTTCTCACATATAATGCCCATTATAAACCTATCAGTGAGATATACCTATCTCACTGAGCTGTTTGTAATATAAAGTGAGAAGCAAGAAAGAGCTAAGTATGACATTTTGTGCCTGATAGACCCTTAATAAATATATGTTTAATAGAAAAACTAATGCCATGTATTGGATACTTGCCCCGGTCTTATGTGTCATTAATTGCCCATATAGAGCCCTTACCCTCAGAGAGCTTAACTCCACCAGACACTTAGATTATTTGAAACCTGTCTTGGGAAGTAGACATCATTTCTTGGGGCTCCTATGCAGAGGGAACTCCTTTCCTACCAGGAAGTAGAGGGTCAGCCAGGAATCTAGTTATTCAGAGTTCTGATTCAGGGTTGCACTAGACAGAGTTACCCAGTCATTTATTCATTTAGTTTAAACAGATACATTGAGTGTGAACCTTGAAAACATTACACTACGTGAAAGAAGCCAGTCACAAAAGACTGCATATTGTATGATGTTATTTATATGAAATGTGTAGAGTAGGCAAATCTCTGGAAATAGAAAGGGGATGAGGCTTTAGCCAGTTACAGCCTCTCCCAGGCTGGACCCCTGAAGAGCTGACTCAGGGCATCCGAGGAACAAGAGCCTGGATGAGATTCTGTTCCCTGTATCTCCTTTTATGTTTATGCCTGTCCTCTGAGAAATATCAGTGGCTTCCAGGTGCTTTAGCGGGCTGGGAGATATTGAGAAGTTACTGCCAATGGATACAGGTTTTCTTTGTGAAGTAATGAAAATGTTCTAAAATTATGGTGGTGATTGTCCAACTCTGTGAATATACTGAAAACCATTGAATTTACACTTTAAACAAATGAACTACAAATATGTTAATTACATCTCAATAAAGGTGTTAAAAATTAGAATTGAAAAAAATAGATATTCACACCTCTGATTAAAACAGAAACAGACTGTGCCTTCACATTGCCTAATGCCTACTTAGTGGGGGAGGGGAGGATGCGGAGAAAGCATAGTTTCCCATTGTCAGCTTCTAACTGAGGGATTCTGTTCTCCTAGTTATGCAATCCTATTATCAGATCTGATTCCTGCTCTCAGGAAGCTTTTACCTGAAGGATAAAGTAAGTCAACAGTGTGGTCAGAGCAGTGAATTCAAAAGGCATTCTTTGAAAGCCTACAACGTTCTTGAATCATGTATGTCCAAATATAGGGATATAGAGGTGAATAATAAGTAGCCCATGACCTCAAGGACTGTAGAATTTTTGTAGCCTTTTTGAAGATGACTGCAGACAAACATAGGTCCAAAGAAGATGACGTTTGGGGCCTGAACCTCCTGAGTCACTATTTCCCAGTGTGATTAGAACATGTTAGTTCATTCCACTGTCTTCATGGTGATATCACCCTCAGCTTCCTCATACTCTTTGACAAAGATATTTGTAACAATGTGGTAAGTGAGGAAGTAGGGGAGGCAAGTCTGTGTCTGTGTGTGTGTGTATGTGGGTGTGTGCTCTGTATGTGTGTATGTTGTATTTATACAAAAATTCAGGTAAAATGAACATGCACATACATGAGCGTCTGTATTGAGTGGTTGAATAAGCGATGGAAGAATTAATGGGACCCGATCCCCTGGGAAACCAGAACTGGGAGATAAGCAGCTGTTTAACATGTCCCCTTTGTCCCTTTATATCTCAGAAAATGTTGATAATTAGTTCACAAGTCAGTGAAGAAACACCTGCCTGCAAGTATTCTTGCTTCTGTCTCCACAGCCCTCACATCATCATAGGTGATCCCTCTGAGCCAGAAGACCCCATGTCACATTGTGCATGTTCCCTCAGGGACCAGCCAAACACTTAATTGTCTCATGAGTGTTGGCAGAATCAATGCATGATTGCAGGACCACATGAACAAGTACACAGGTGACATGAAAAGAATGGCCTGGGATTGATTCCAGACATTTCATCTGAAGTTCACCTCATCTGGAAAGTCAGTCTCCTGAAAGCTGATATTTCCAAGTAGCTCCTTGAATTGTCTCCCTGGGAACTTAAACTCCGTATATTCCAGAAAATTATCCCCCACCAAATGCTGGAACTTTATTTTAGCCACAGTACAAGAAAAAGCCTTACCATGTCCCTTGATGTATCTCATCTTATTTAGTAGATTCACTAATCCAAATTTTCCGTTTACTATATCTTTGTAGTCCTTTTCATCTTCTTGTCAACACTGTCTGGCACTGTCTGATTTTGGCCCAGTTTCCACTCCTGAAAGGGTATGTGTGGAGATAAGGGTTTATTGAATTGTAATTTCCAAAAAGTTAAAAGCATGACTCATATAAATATATAGCAGGCATATTATAAAGATTTGTTTCACTTGTTAATAAGAGAATCAGCATGATGGTAATGCTGGTTCAAAGAATAGGAGAGACCAAAAAAATTCTGGAACAAGATTGCAAATTTAGATACAAAACTGGTTAAAGTTTTCAAAGGCAATGAAACCATTAGGTTAAATTTTCTAGAGCACACAAAATAATTTTCAACTTACAAATCTTCTATAATTTAAATCTAGCTTTACAGTGTCTGGGCCTTGATCAATACCAAATACATTAAGTAAAATCATGCCACCATTTTTTTTAAAAACCTAGAGAGTCATATACACCTTAGGCAAGGTTGTTAGTTACTAGGAAGAAGTAAAAATTTAAAAGACTAATCAGAAATCACTTTTTTGCTTAATTTTAAGTTTTGGATAAGTTTAACCCCCAATTTCCTAACAAGAGATGGTTTCTCAGAAACTGGGGCTTCAAAACCCAGGTCCAGAATGGGTTCTTGCTGAAGTCATATTGGCTGATGGACATCAGAGGGGCATGAATTCCAGGCAGAGAGCTGCTGGAGAATTCACGTGTCGTGGTCCTGCTAGAGCTGGGACTCACTTCAGATCTTGGTATTAGCATAGCTTATAAGAGATGTCCCAACACTGCCCCGCATCTGTTTTGCCTCATCTGGGACATGCCATTTTCCTTGCCTGGTTACCAGGGTGAGTTTGCCAGGGGGAGCCATCAAACTGGCTCTCAGCAGAACCATATGGGAGTCTTAAGAGCAACACCGGGAGTATGGAATATGAAAGGAGAAGACGGCCCAGTGATAGGGAGGAGCACAGCAGAGGGGTGTCCTGGGCAAAGCAAGAATTGGCCTGTCTAGTTTGTACATACATGTTTATATGACCTGAAGAGGATGGATTTTATACTTAATTCATCAATTCCATGATACACTCTTCTTACATTTTTTAACAGCCCTTAAATCAGTGTATACCATATGAATGGTGGCATGTAATAGTTGAATTTGCAAAATTTTTATTTCCTTGTGGTGCATGAAATAAGGGTGCCCCTTACAACTGATAGCCTCTTTACGCTCATGAAATATAGTAGGTAGTAAATGGGTCTGTAGATATGAAATGAAATGATGAGAGACAGAAATTGACATTGATTTAGCATTAGTTCTGTTTTCAGAAATGTCACTTCTAACACTTTTAACTTGGGGTTATATGGTTCTTCATAGGTACTATTAGATACTAATGTATTTTATAAACTGTCTGCCAGCACACCATGAATAGGTTTAAAAGGGCAAAATTATGCCCATATTGGCTCTAATTTATCTGACTTATTGCTCGATTCATTTTCAAACTCAGATACCTTGCCAAAACACCACCAGTAATGCCAATGCCTTTAAAGAGCCCTTCACAGTGCCACTCCAGTGCACAGCCCATGTTCACCTCCAGTTCTTCTTGTGTGACTGACCCCGCATGGGAAGCAGCTACAGCTTCATCAGCTCCCAGAGTTCCAGCTACCGTGCAGTGGTCAGCAGCCTTGTCTGTGCTGTACTGACTACACCTCTGTGGAACCAAAGTGCAAAGGCCAAGGGCCTCCCCAGCCACATGCTGCACTCCCTCCCTCCAGTCCTCCTAACATCACAGCCTTGTTGAGACTCATGGGGTTACCAGGTAGAAGGTTCTGTTTTCCCAATATTCTCCAAAGGTCTGTCCAGAAATTTGCCTTTATCCTAAGTGAAAATAAAACCATCATGGCATGTTCTTAGTGTGTCCTGGTCACTGCTGACCCTCTTCTGTCAACAGAAGACCTCTTCTGTCTGTTGGATCATATCTCTAATGACCTCCATGTATCCTCTCAGTCTCTGTGATGGTTAATTTTGCCTAGGCTATCCTATGATATCCAGTTGTTGATCAAACACCAGTCCAGATGTTGCTTTGTATGCATGTAATCAGTAGACTGACTAGGTTGATTATCTTTCCTAACGTGAGCCTCATCCTATCAGCTGAAGCCTTTAATAGCAGAGACTGAGGTTTCCAAAGAAGAAGAAATTATCATCAACACTGCCATATAGAAACTCTGCCTGTTTCCAGACTACTGCCTTGCAGAATTTAGACTCAAGGCTGCAACATCAACTGTTACCTGAATTTCCAGCCTGCTGGCCTGCATAATCATCACAATTATCATGCGATGATTGTGGGGTCTGGCAAGATTTCAGACTTGCCAGCCCCCACAGTCATCACATTAGCCAATCTCCTAATATAAACTTATCCCTCCATCTCTTCTATTTCTCTGGAAATCTCTAACTAAAACAGTTCTCCTTACCTCCATGTCTTCCCCTGAGGTATACATTGAGTGGAACTGTACTTTTGGGTCAACTGCCTCCATATGTATATATACATATATACACACACATCTGTACAAATGATAAAAATAACAAAATGTAATATAATAACTGATGCTTATTGACCACCTATTTTGTTCTAGGTCCTATTTAATTGTTTTATATACATTATCTCATTTAATCCTCATGCCAATTCTGTGATGTAGGTAGTATTAATATCCCCACTATACTAATGAGAAAACAAAGACTCCTAGGACTAAACAAATAGCCCAACTTCACACAGCTGGGAATAAAGTTCAGAAAATTTAACCAAAAAAGATTTTGAGAACTTTAGTATAAGGTCAGCAGGTTTCTGAGAACAAATTTACACACAGCTTAGATACAGTACCATACACACACACACACACACACACACACACACACACACACAATGTCAGACCAACTGTTTGGTCCAGATAGCCAATTATTTTGTTTGGTGGGATGAATTTTCCAGATTATTTATAACTATGCTTTCTAAATCTCTCTCTCATACCAAGTTCCTGACAAACTCATTGTCCATGTAACCTCTCTTTTATGCAATATCTGTGCACTTACTTCCCAATCAAAACAAAGACAGAACCTATAGTTTTTCATGACCCAGACAGCACTATTTATAGGTTATCACGGGATAAAACTATGTTAATTACATATGATCCCTTCACACACATACACCAGTGCCCACACTGCCTATGCCCATTTGTATCCAGTATTTATATCATTTTAATCACTAGAATTAGAAAAATTTTAGTGTTATATGAATAGGTTACATTAATCAAATATTATAATTGCAATCACTGTCTATCCATGCCTTGGGATTCCCTGGAGCAAGGAACTATTTCCAAAGACTCAGTACTGAGCAAATTAGGTAAACATTAGACAGCCTTATGAGAGTAAATGAGAGAAGGATATGATCAGGTGAATTAAAAGAACAGAACATCACTAAAGAGAAAAAAAAACTGAGGATTTTTTGGGACTGTCTTCCATTAGTAAGTTCAATATTCAGAGTTCAAAAATCACTCTCACACACACTCAGCATGTATTGTTGACTATGTAGCAAACTCTGGAGTACAACATGATATAAAAGAAATATAATCTCTGCCCACTGTGACTATATTCTTCAGAAAGGACAGAGGGACATGGGTGAAGAGAAAGGTATGAGAAATCGAGATTTCTTTTGTGCAGTATGGGAACTAGCCCAGAAACATTAGTATACCAGGCAGGAAAATTAGGGGATAGCTGCTTTAAGTCTAGCTTGTTGAGAAGATCTTACCATAAGCTGTTTCAATTTCACACATGGTAAATAATGCAGGCCTTTCCAGTTTAACTCCAGAGAACTGGTTCAGATCACAGACTAAGTAGCTATATCACCTAGAGTTATATTCTGAGTACCAGGTACTTGCCTTAGAACCCTAGAAATGTTCTCAAAGTTGTCTGTACCTCTGTTTTCTCATCTATGAAGTGTGGAAAATAACTGTAATTACCTAATAGCAACATTGTGTGAATTAATTGATCCTTTGGTTGAGTTACACATAAAACACTTATAAGAGTACGTATCTTATAACAAGCACAAAAGTTTAGAATTACCTAATTCTACAATTACTGTACAGAGTTCTGAATTAGGTGTGCAGCTGCAGCAATGCAACCAGCATGGGGGTTGACTAGGATTGAAATCTGACCTAGCAAGACCAAAGAGCAACCATGAAATGGTAACACGGGGAATGTCTTTCTAAATATTAATGGCTTTGCCAATTAATTAGAAGCAGAGGGATAATTGTTTAGAAAAAGCAAAGGTATCCTTATTCTAGGTTTACACATGTGGTCTACTGCTGAATTCACTCTCAGCTTAACTCATGTTGAGATATCCTGAAAACTGAGCCAGCAGCAGGCTTCCTCCCAAGAGCCTGGCAATATGCTCATCCCTCAGTCTCAAGTTTTTCTTAGCACTGGAGATACTGTTCTTCCTACTCTGGGAGCAGCTGCTCCTGGAGTTAGCATGGGCACCACAGAGCCAGCTGACTTTAACTGCAGAGCTGCTGCAGCAGCAGCGACAGAGCCTGGGGAGTCTGTGAGAGAGCAGCGCCGCAGCTCTCGGGCACTGCTATGAAATCTCAGAGGGTCCGAGTTGAGATAACCACACACTCAAGAATCCATCCTGGCCCAAAACTCCTTTTCTACTCTTCCCTCTTCCTGGGATGACCCTTTGGGGACACAAGAGAGTGACCAGGTAGAATTTTCACTCGATGTGGAGGTGAAAGTGCTCTGTGGGGATTCTGGCCCAGGTGACAATACATCTACATTTTCCTTTTCATAATATGTTCTGGTTACTGTTGACTATCCTCACTTGGGTCATATTTCAGATAACCCAACTCAGAGTTAATCATCTGTCACCCTCCAACTCTAGATACCTTTGAAAGAGATGAAGCCATAACACCAAATATGTTTTCTTCTTGCACACTTCTCAGAGTCTCACCCTCTTCCTGCCCTTGAGAGATGATCCAGACCCCTGGTTCTTGGCCCACAGCTGGGTGATGGATGGATTAGAGATGGGGAGACAGGCAGAAGTAACTCTTAGCCTACCCCAGGCATCCATAAGCCAGGTCTTGTGCCTGTCTGCAGGGAGCTCCCCACAGCACTCCAGACCTCAGCCTCACCAGGGAATTCCCCTGCCTAATCAACCTTCCATGCAGGCTTGCCTCAGTGCATACAGCAGAGCCCATGGAGGTGGAACTGTGGGCAGGATGTTCCTGAATGTTTGTGTTAAGAGGTAATTGAAGTGCACTCAGAGAGTCTGTGTCACTATTTCGAGATAACCAGCAATCCAGCTGTCTTTACTCAGCAGGTCAAACTGTATAGAAAATTACTTAATTGGATAGTGCCCAACATACATGCCCCCTTCATTCTTAACTTATATCTTTAAATTTTGACCAGAACCAAATCATGTTCAGATATCAAAATTTACACTTCTCCATCCCCCTTGTATGTACAAGCAGCCAGTGAGATTCAGGAAATTGTTGGGACTTTAGGAAAGCTCAGGTAAGAGGCTTTACTGGGGTCAGGGCCTTTTACCCACCCTTTCTCCTTCTTCCTACCTGAAGCACAGCCTTGCAGATCAGAACTCTATCAGGCACCTCGAGATCACCAACTACCTCCCAGGAAACAACTGCTAACAATGAATTGACAAGACATAGGGGTATCCATCTTTGAAGACTCCAGGGAACCACCGTACCAGCCATGGACCACTGACCTCTGACTTCATCATATGTGAGTGGAAATAGTCTGCTTTCCTTTTTAAATTGCTGTAATTTTGAGTTCCTCTGATAGCATCCGAACATAATTTTCTAACACACCTGCACACATGCCAAACACAAAGTAAGATGCAGCTAAAAACAAATGTTAGAATGGATAAAGAAAATATGGCACATATGCACCATGGAATACTATGCAGCCATAAAAAAGGATGAGTTCATGTCCTTTGGGGGGACATGGATGAATCTGGAAACCATTATTCTCAGCAAACTAACACAGGAACAGAAAACCAAACACTGCATGTTCACAATCATAAGTGTGAGTTGAAAAATGAGAACACATGGACACATGGAGGGGAACATCACACACCAGGGCCTGTCAGTGGGTAGGGGGCTAGGGGAGGGATAGCATTAGCAGAGATACCTAATGTAGTTGACAGGTTGATGGGTGCAGCAAACCACCATGGCACGTGTATACCTATGTAACAAACCTGCACGTTCTGCACATGTATCCCAGAACTTAAAGCATAATTTAAAACAAAAAAAGTTAGATGGGAAATTATTCTGTGTATGGAGGGTTAGATAGAGAAAGGAAGTTGCTCACTATGAAAGGAGCACATGGAGGCCCAGATAGCAGGCCCACTGGGGAAGGGAATGGCCGGTGGGTTGCTCTTACTTAAGGCAGAGGTCCCTGAAAGCACACTTGGGTGTCCACCTCTCTGTAGGCCAGCCTTCAACTGCCCCGGGCAACCTTAGGTCCCATGCTTGGCACTCCATTTTGTACTGTTTGGTTTTTTCATTTGTTTTGCTGCTCACATGTAAACACTAAGGACAAGGGAAAACTTCTTAACCAACTCAGGAAACCCTGAAGCTATAAAAGCGAAGAAAGTCATATTTGAGTATATAAAAACTAAAAATCTTTCCATAGCAAAAGCTATTATAAATGGATTCAATTAAATCTGATGCATTAAATATTTTAATAAACACAGATCAAGGTTAATATCCATGATATATCAAGAGCTCTTGAAAATTGAAAAGAAAATTTAAAATCATATTACAAATTTTGTAGAAATGGCCAATGTACATATTTTTAGAAGCTCAAAATTACTACTGGTCAGGGACTTGAAAATTCAGTTAATAATGAGACTGGAAAAAATAATGAAGAGCATCAAGTCAAATAAACTGACTCAGTGCAGTGGGTGATTTAAAATGCGGAGAGTACAGAATCTCAGACTGGTTAAACAGCTGGGTGTTTGTCTTAGCAGCAGTAAGGATGAGGAGGCAGATGAACATCTTAATAAGAGACTCCACCTCTGACAGAATCTCTCTGCACTGAATCCATCATCTTCATGTAGACACCTGTCAGCCTGAACCTAAGAAGCACTAGTCCTTATTTCCCCCTGCTGTGTCCCTTTTCCCTTCACACTGAGAGGAAGAGACGCCAGGTGTCTGAGAGAGCAAGTCAAGAAGTGAATCTTAACCAGACTCACCCTCCTGGGAAGGGAGTTCACTGACCATGGGCTGTACTTTGCAGGAGGAGGGGTCTCAACATTCGTTTCAAGCATTTTATTCAACTATTGATTCGAACAGCAGGGAAGTTTTGCTTCATAGAGATGTGTTCTTCTCCCTAGAGAAGAACAAGTCTACAGAGCTTCCCAACCTTCCCAATGTCTGGAATACACAGAAAATTAGAACATATGTCTGGCTTAGTGGGGACAAAGTCAAAGCTGCCGTTGCCAGAGGTGATCATCTTGGAGCTCCATCTACCCTGCAGTTGGGGTAATCAGTTCCTCGGAGCAGCCTTTCATGTATCACTTGCTCATGTCCTGTCCTTGCCTCATGAAGAGAATTTCTCTGGGGCCCTGACCGTTAGAAGACATTAGAAATCTCAGAAGAGAAGAGTATGACCAAGACATTTAAAGAGTCAGAAATCAGAGCTTTATTACAATATGAGGTAAAGGAGAAAAAGAAGGCTTCCATCTGGGGTGCTCCATCAAGCACAAAGTTCTGGGGAAGCCCCATGAGTCTTTGTGGTCCCTGTCCACCCATGAGTGGAATGAAAGGAAGGGGAAATAGTTAAGCATCAGGCTGTAGCAGGTTTTTGACCATTCAGTACCAGAGCTCTTCTGCAGCCCAGGTCAGCAGCAGCCCCCAGAGCTGTGGCAGCAGCCAGAGGCCCCAGAAGGTTCACTCTCACAGCAATCGGGGCTCTGGTGCCGGCGCCGGTGGAAGAGACGGGGCCTGTGGTGGCTCAGGCAGCAGCCACCACCCCCAGAGCTGCAGCAGCCCCCAGAGCTGGGACCACAGCAGCTCCCAGAGCTGGGACCACAGCAGGAAGAGACTGCAGGGGAACATGGAGCTGGGCACTGTGGTGGGCATTTGGGGGGACACTTAGGTGGACATTTTGGGGTACACTTGGGAGGACATTTGGGAGGGGGCTGGCACTGCTGCTGGTTTTGCTGGCAAGACATCCTGGCAGGAGTTTAGTCAACCTAAAAGATAATAA
Organism: Homo sapiens; assembly: GCF_000001405.40. Classification (NCBI taxonomy): domain Eukaryota; kingdom Metazoa; phylum Chordata; class Mammalia; order Primates; family Hominidae; genus Homo; species Homo sapiens. The sequence continues at coordinate 152,664,070 of NC_000001.11, read as the reverse complement.
TGAAACTCTTTAAATATTTCAAACCAAAGGTCATAATTATGCCTCCTCTAAAATCAATGCATGTGTAGAAGAAGAATGATATTTAGGTAATACAGTCACATCAGTAACCTGAAAGAAACAACTTGAATCTTTCTTCCAGATAAAAGTACATAGATTAAAAAATCAACAGAATGAGCTTCATATTCTTCCTTTCAGAGGGAAGCTGGGATTGCTCTATCTTCACAAGCCTGAATAGAGTATTCACAGCTCCATGAAGTACCTGTTCTCTTAATACAAGCCCCAGCGCCCAGATGGGTGCTGTAGACACACCAGGGATCCTCTGGAAAATGTTTAGCCATGAAAACTCCAGGTAAAAGGGCCTGGCCTGAAGCATTTGACAATTTCCATGGTGCAAATCTGCCCAAGATGGCCAACATGAAGTCATTGAAGACAGAGTTGGGAAAGATGGGCACAGTTAGCTATTCCCTTCTACGTGAGCTCCAGCAAGTCCCAGAGCTTCTAGAGATTTGAGGCAAACTGAGTCCTATTCCTGCTCAGTATGGGAGAACACAAGCGCACAACTATCTTTCTCCAGCCTACCTCCATCCTCCCCATCCCTCTACCTTGCTAATACCCTTCTGGTATCCCAGGTTGCCACTCACCCTGGTCACATGCAAAAGCACAGACACGTCCCTGGGGAGTCAGAGCAGATGAGGTGCTGAAGCTGGATGTGTCTTTTATAGGACTCAGACTTGGCTCTGGGAAGAGCAGGAGGTGGCTCTTGCACAACCAGGCACGTGCTGGGTCATTCCTGACATTCTCCTGTCTCCTAGTCCCTGCACCCAAAGAGGCCTCGGGAGCTTCTAGGACTCCTCTCTGGGGCTGTGGTCTAGAGAGGCTTTAGCCAGTCAGAGCCTCCAGCAGGTGGGAGCCCTAAAGAGTTAACTTAGGGAACCCAAGGCACCCATGCCTGGACATGGTTCTGTTCCTTGCATCTTTTTTATTCCTGTCCTCTGAGGTTACATCAGCTCTGAGCCACAGCATTCCCTGACCTTGTGGAAATGTTCCATTATGACTCCCTGCACCTTGAGCAGTTTGTCTTCCATGTCCTGCTGTGCATCCAGCCATCCCAGGGGGCTTCTACAGCCTTGGCTCTTTCTAGGCATCCCTCCCTTGACTAGGCTCACAGTCCTTCCTCTCGGCCTCTGAGTTTCTGCTTTTCCTCAGACTCATCATGACAAGCTTTCACTGAATTAAATCTGAGTTGATTCTGTCTCCTAGAGCAAGGAGAATGATTGAGAATAAGCAATTCCCTCTAAAATCTAAACGTTTCCTTTAGTCGAAGCAATTGTATTGAATCCATTGCCGGAATCAGGAAACTTGCATATGATAACTTGGTAACCTATAGAAGTAGCTAGAACAATTATCAACAATTGCTAGAGTGTCATTATGATACTCACTATGAGTATCAGTTCTCATATGTAATGGCCATTATAAACCAGATATACCTATCTCACTGAGCTGTTTTGAATATTAAATAAGAAGTAAGAAAAAACTTGGTACAACACTATATGCCTGATAGACCCTTAATAAATATGTGTTTCAAAGAAAACTAATGCCATGTGTTGGGTACTTGCCCAGGTCTTATGTGTCATTAATTGCCTGTATAGAGTCCTTACCCTCAGAGGGTTTAATTCAATCAGACACTGAGATTATTTGAAACCTCTCTTGGGAAGTACACATCATTTCTTGGGGCTCCTATGCAGAGGGAACTCCTTTCCTACCAGGAAGTAGAGGGTCAGCCAGGGGTCTAGTTATTCAGAGTTCTGATTCAGGGTTGCACTAGACAGAGTTACCCAGTCATTTATTCATTTAGTTTAAACAGATACATTGAGTGTGAACCTTGAAAACATTACACTAAGTGAAAGAAGCCAGTCATAAAAGACTGCATATTGTATGATGTTATTTATATGAAATGTGTAGAGTAGGCAAATCTCTGGAAATGAAAGGGGATGAGGCTTTAGCCAGTTACAGCCTCTCCCAGGCTGGACCCCTGAAGAGCTGACTCAGGACATCCGAGGAATGGGAGCCTGGACGAGATTCTGTTCCCTGTATCTCCTTTTATGTTTATGCCTGTCCTCTGAGAAATATCAGTGGCTTCCAGGTGCTTTAGCGGGCTGGGAGAAATTGGGAAGTTACTGCCAATGAATACAGGTTTTCTTTGTGGAGTAATGACAATGTTCTAAAATTGTGGTGGTGATTGTCCAACTCTGTGAATATACTGAAAACCATTGAATTTACACTTTAAACAAGTGAACTATACAATATGTGAATTACGTCTCAATAAAGATGTTAAAATTAGAATTGAAAAAAATATTCACACCTCTGATTAAAACAGAAACAGACCGCGCCTTCACATTGCCTAATGCCTACTTATGGGGGAGGGGAGGATGCGGAGAAAGTATAGTTTCCCATTGTCAGCTTCTAACTGAGGGATTCTATTCTCCTAGTTATCCAATCCTATTATCAGATCTGATTCCTGCTCTCAGGGAGCTTTTACCTGAAGGATAAAGTAAGTCAACAGTGTGACCAGGGCAGTGAATTCAAAAGGCATTCTTTGAAAGCCTACAACATTCTTGGATCATGTATGTCCAAACATACGGATATAGAGGTGAATAATAAGTAGCCCATGACCTCAAGGACTGTAGAATTTTGGCCCTTTTGAAGATGACTGCAGACAAACATGGGTACCAAAGAAGATGACGTTTGGGGACTGAACCTCCTGAGTCACTATTTCCCAATGTGATTAAAAGATGTTAGTTCATTCCACTGTCTTCATGGTGATATCACCCTCAGCTTCCTCATACTCTTTGACAAAGATATTTGTAACAATGTTGTAAGTGAGGAAGTAGGGGAGGCAAGCCTGTGTGTGCGTGTGTGCATGTGTGCACTGTATGTGTGTATGCTGTATTCATATAAAAGTGCAGGTGAAATGAACATGCAGATACATGAACATCTGTATTGAGTGGTTGAATAAGCAATGGAAGAGCTAATGGGATCTGATCCCCTGGGAAACCAGAACTGGGAGATAAGCAGCTCTTTAACATGTCCCCTTTGTCCCTTTATAACTCAGAAAATGTTGAGAATTGGTTCACAAGTCAGTGAAGAAACACCTGCCTGCAAGTATTCTTGCTTCTGTCTCCACAGTCCTCACACCATCATATGTGATCCCTCTGAGCCAGGAGACCCTGTGTCAAGTTGCCCATGTTCCCTCAGGGACCAGCCAAACCATTGCCACACGAATGTTGGCAGGATCAATGCATGATTGCAAGACCTCATGAAGGAGCACATAGGTGTCATAAGAAGAATGGCCTGGGGGTGATTTCAGACATTTCATCTGAAGTTCACCTCATCTGGAAAGTCAGTATCCTGCAGGCTGGTCTCTCCATGTAGCTCCTTGATTTGTCTCCCTGGGAGCTTAAACTGCATATATTCCAGAAAATTATTCCCCATGAAATGCTGGAAATTTATTTTAGCCACAGTACAAGAAAAAGCCTTACCATGTATCTTGATGTATCTCACCTTATTTAATAGATTCACTAGTCCAAATTTTCCCTTTACTATATCTTTGTAGTCCTTTTGATCTTCTTGTTGATACTGTCTGGCACTGTCTGGTTTGGGCCTGTTTTCACTCCCAAAAGAGTAAGTGTAGAGATAAGGGTTTATTTAACTATAACTTCCAAAAAGTTAAAAGTATATTTATATATGTTAATATATAGCAGACATATATCAAAGATTTGTTTCACTTGTTAATAAGGGAACCAGCATGATGGTAATGCTGGTTCAAAGAATTGGAGACAACAAATTATATACAGTCAGAGGAAAAAATTCTAAAACAAGATTGCAAATTTAGATACATACTGGTTACAGTTTTAAAAGGCAATGAAACCATGAGGTTATAAATCTTCTGTAAGTTCAATCTAGCTTTACAGAGTCTGGGCCTTAATCAACACCACATATTGTAAGCAAAATCATCCCACCAATTATTTTTAAAAAAATCTAGAGTCTTATAAATCTTAGGCAAGGTTGTTAGTTACTAGGAAGAAGTGAAAATTTAAAAGACTGATCCGAAATTACTTTTTGGCTTAATTTTAAGTTCTGGACAATTTTATCCCCTAATTTTTAACAAGAGATGATTTCACAGGAAAGTGGGGCTTGAGAACCCAGGTCCAGAATGGCTCTTTGCTGAAGTCACATTTGGTGATAGACATTAGAGGGCCATGAACTCCAGGCAGAGAACTGTTGGAGAATTCATGTGTCGTGGTCCTGCCAGAACTGGGACTCATTTCAGGTCTTGATATTAGCATAACTTTTAAGAGATTTCCTAACACTGTCCTGCATCTGTTTTGCCTCATCTGGGACCTGCCATTTTCCTTAGCTGGTTGCCAGAGTGAGTTTACCACTGGGGGCCATTGAACTGGCTCTCGACAGAACCATGTGGGAGTCTAAAGAGCAACACCAGGAGTATGGAATACGAGAGGAGAAGAGGTCCCTGCTATAGGGAGCAGGACAGCAGAGGGGTGTTCTGGGCAAAGCAAGAATGGCCCATCTAGTAACTACATACATATTTATATGACCTAAAGAAGATGGGTTTTATACTTATCTTAATTCATCAATTCCATGATACACTCTTCTTACATTTGTTAACAGCCCTTAAATCAGCATATAGCATATGATTGGTGGCATGTAATAGTTGAATTTGCAACATTTTTCTCTTTCCTTATGATGCATGAAATAAGGGTGCCCCTTACAACTGATACCCTCTTAAAGCTCATGAAATACAGTAGGTAGGAATTGGGTCTGTAGATATGAAATGAAATGATGAGAGACCGAAATTGACATTGATTTAGCATTAGTTCTGTTTTCAGGAATGTCACTTCTAACACTTTTAACTTGGGGTAATATGTTTCTTTACAGGTACTAATTAGATACTAATGTATTTTATAAACTGTCTGCCAGCACACCGTGAATAGGTTTAAAAGGGCAAAATTATTCCTGTCCTGGCTCTAATTTATCTGACTTATTATTCAATTCACTTTCAAACTCAGATACCTTGACAAAACACCGCCAGCAATGCCAATGCCTTTGAAGGGCCCTCCGCAGTGCCACTCCAGTGCACAGCCCATGTTCACCTCCAGTTCTTCCTGTGTGACTGACCCCTGCATGGGAAGCAGCTCCAGCTACTGTGCAGTGTCAGCAGCCTTGTTTGTGCTGTACTGACTATACCTCTGTGGAACCAAAGTGCGAAGTGCAAAGACCAAGGGCCTCCCCAGCTGAATGCTGTGCTCCCTCTCTCCAGTCCTCCTGGTTTTATGCAATATCTATGCACTTACTTCTCAATCAAAACCAAGACAGAACCCATCATTTTTCATGACCCAGAGAGCACTATTTATAGACTATCATGGGATAAAACTATGTTAATTACATATGATCACTACACACACACACCAACACCCTCACTGCCTATGTCCATTTATATCCAGTATTTCTATCTTCTTAATCACTGGAATTAGAAGAATTTCAGTGTTAGATGAATAGGTCACATTAATTAAATATTATAATTGTAATCACTGCATATCTATGCCTTGGGATTTCCGAGAGCAAGGAACTATTTTTCAAAGATTCTGGCTGAGCAAATTAGGTAATCATTAAGCAGGTCTTACAAGAGTAAATGAGAGAAGGATATGATCAGGTGAATTAAAAAAAAAAACAGAACATCTCTAAAGAGAAAACAATTTGAGGATTTCCTGGACTGTCCTCCATTAGTAAGCTCAAAAATCAGAGTTCATTAATTCACTCTCACATACACTCAGCAAGTATTGTTGACTATGTGGTCAACTCTGGAGATACAACATGACGTGAAGGAAATATAATCTCTCCCCACTGTGACTGTGTTTCAATGTAGAGACAGAAGCTTGACAAATAAAAGAAAATATATAATTACTAATTATAAATAGTTCTCAACTTACCATCGTAAGTTCAACTTAGGATTTTTCAACTTTATTATTTCGGTAGAAATTATACTTGGGATTTTGAATTTTGATATTTTCCAAAGCTAGCAATACATCCTATAAATGAAAGTCTGTGTTGATGCCTGGCATGCTGCTGCAGCTCCCAGTCAACTATGGGGTTGCAAGAGTAAACAGTCAATACTCTATGGTGTACGCTGTTGCCAGATGATCTTGCTCAACTATTGGCTAATGTAAGTGTTCTAAGCCTGTTTAAGGAAGGCTAGGCTAAGCTATGATGTTTGGTAGGTTAGTTATATTAAGTGTGTTTTTGGCTTAGGATATTTTCAACTCGCCATAGGTTTATCTGGACATAAACCCATCATAAGTTGAGGAACATCTGTATAGGCATTCAGGTGGGTGGAACTATCCCACTGCAGGTTTTCAAATGTTGCTAGGAATTCCCATTGAGACCTAACCTTATTTCTCAAGGCCTTTCCTAACTGACTATTCTGGAGGTCCAACAGAGGTGAGTACTAAGATTGCTTAATAGCTCTCCACCACATCAATCAGAAGGGTCTGTAGGCTGGAGAAACTGTAAGCTGGATGTCTTTGAGACATCCCCACCCCGAGGCTGTAAGAGTGAAAAGGACAAGGAAGAACCACATAGGCATCCTCTCCGGCTCACTGCACATTTGGAAATGGGCTTCTATTTTGATGTGTGGTTGTCAAGAGGGCTTAATTCAATTAGCTTTACCTGTGCATGAGAAGGAACAAAGAATCAGAGCAGGGGATAATATGCTTCCTTCATTTGGACTCAGGGAAACCATGGCATTCCTCTGCAGAAATCCTCTTTTATGTAACAGCTAGCTCCGCCACAGAGACTGAGCACAAAATTATACATTTATCTCATATTTTATCGTAAGAGCATTTAGGAAACAATGTCTTTTATATGCAAGGACATTTTCTTTCATAGTCACCTAAAAGACAATTATTTAAAGGAATATTTTGAACATATTATAGTAATATTTTCCCCGATACACCATTATATCCTTAATTTATTTATTTCAACAGTGTGTTCATATTTTAGGTTATTTATTTCATCTTATTTTATTTATTAAAACAAAGCATTTATGTATTTTTAAAAGTTAATTTATGTTGGAGGGTTGATTTTTCTTCTATTCATCCAAAGTTAGGAACCTTAGCAGTGTATTCAGGAAGAAGAAATGGGAATTGGTAAGTAGATGGAAACATAAAATATTTAAAAATAGAAGCAAGGAAACTTGAAAATATTTATTGTGGCAAAGCAGCTTGTTCAGAGCAATCACATCCAAACTTCAAGAGAGCAAATTTTTGAGCCCAGCCCCAAGCCACTGTGCCAATGGCTGCTTCTGAGACACACCTCAGGCATAGCAATGCTCTGAGGCAAGAGCTCTTGAAGGTATGAAAGGCACTGATGAACGAGATGCATGAGACTGGTGCAGGTTGTTGGTGTTTCGGTTACTCAGGTGATGCTCAAAGTCCTGGTAGCAGCAGCCCCAAAGCAATAGCTGGAGCTCTGATGCCAACATCAGCTGAAGCCACAGCAGCCCCAAAGCTAGGCCCACAGCAGTCCCAGAGCTAGGCCCACAGCAGGAAGAGACTTGAACAGGGCACCTTAGGAGGGCTCTTAGGGGGACATTTTGGGGGGCACTTGGTAGTGGGCCCTTTAAGAGGAGGCTGGCACAGCTGCTGGGTTTGCTGGCAGGACATCTTTGTGGGAGTTCAGTCAACCTAAAAGCCAATAGAGGTGTTTTATAGACTTGTTAAATCTTAGATCATTGTTTCCTCCTTTGGAATCTACCCTGGGGCTGCTGACATATTGAACAAATCATAACCCCCCACCCTCCCCCACACACACACAGTCAAGCCAAAGCCTCCATCTTGTTCATTTCTCTGTCTCTAAGATATGGCACAGTTCTTGTCACATAGATGATGTCCAATAAATGTAGATTTCCCCCTGAAATGGAAGCACCACAAGAGCAGGGATTATCCTCCCCTCTTTTGCATACTTCTATATTCCAATGTCTAGAATAACACCAGGTAATTAGTAGGAGCTCAATAAATAGCTGGTGATATAGGAATAATATATGAATGAATAAATAAAGGAGAAAAGAAAGGTAGCCAAGAAGGGAGGGAGGAAGAGATTGGGGAAGGGAAGGAGGGAGGGAATTATATCTGAGGTAGAGGAAAGGATACCAGTTGGCATTTCATGGTAATATTGGGTATTGCCATTTTCTCTGTGTGCCTCTGCCATCTTCTCTAAGCATCTAGAAATGGATCTATGAGATGTGAATAGCGTGGAATAATCCCTCCCCAGCCAGCTGACTCAGTTGCCAGAAGCCAGATATTGGCAAGAATTTGGATTGGCTAATCCCTCTAATTCCCAGGGACTCTTAATTCCCAGGCTGGATCTTCCTAGGCCAACATCTCTCCTCCTATTACCCTCTTTTTTCCTGTCTTTCCTTTCCCCCTGTGATTTTCAACAGCTACTTACCCTTTCAGTTGTGCTCTGTCTAGGTTCCAAAAGATCCACTCACCCTGGTCAGACCCAGGTGTGGAGCAGGCAGTCCCCAGGGTGTCAGGGCAGATGAGAAGCGGGGTCCTGACACACATTTTATAGGCAGGCACTCGCCTGACTGGGCCTTAGTGAGCCATGGTTCTGGGTGGAGCAGGAAGTGGTTCCTCCCATACTGGGGCATCTGCAGGGTAATTCCTGACATTTCCCTCCCTGTCTCTTCAATCCATCCTTCCCAGGGAGATACTGAGTTACTCTTCTGAAGCTAGAGAACGAAATCTCATCAAAGTATATTATTTCCTAGGCTGGGACTCCATAAAGCGGCATAGGATTCCTGACCCTTGAGACAAGAATCTGGTTTCTCAAGACTCTATGGTCCTGTTCCTTCTTGGAAATAAATAAATAAGTTTCCTTTCTTCCTAATTCAGTCTGTGATCCAGCTTCTCACTCTCTTTCTCTTTTCAAAAACATATATTAACTGTAACTTTTTAAAGAGGATTCTTTTTTTAAATGTTTTTTCAAAATAAGGGATCCTATTGCATTCATTGAATGTCGGTGTTCTCCCTGTCTATCAAAGTTCTTCTGTAAGAACTGGATACTTACACTCTTTCCCTTCACAAAGTCTTCCCAATTTTAAGAAACTATGTTTTACTCTTACATTTTACTTAAACATTTGACATTTCAATGACTTTCTGCTAGCAAGAAATAGTATAAATATCTACGATTTCTTAAAACGTCAGGTACAATTGCTTTTGAACTATATAGACCTATTTTCACTTTATAAGTCACATTTTTCTGCCAGTAAAATTGTTACAAGTTCGCAAAATGAAATAAGTACATTATTATTTCAGGATATTCTTTTTGTCCATCAGTTCCTCCATGTTAACCTATTAGAGATTTGTATCAGTCTGTGTCCATTCAGGAAAACAGAAACACTCCTTATTTTGACAGAAACAATAAGCATTGGATTAAACAGGTGTTAGAGGATTGAAAAGGCAAATATGGAGAATTCTAGCATCACGCGGAACAGCTATTGCCACACTAAGGATAGGGAACAAGGGAAAGGAGATGGACTTCTTGAAACCTAGGAATTTAGAGGAGAGACCTGCAGAGCGAGAACCCAAGCTTCTGAGGTGGGACACTGGCTAGTGGGGCCGGTGCTTCTGAGGAAAGGAGAAGAGGATAGTTCTGGAAGTGTGGAGAAAACTGGGAACAGGAACCAACTGCTGCTGCCAGATTAAAAAAAAAAAAAAAAAAAATCTATAGGGTGACACTTACAGGCCTTTCTTTCTCTCCTGACTTCTGCGTCTCTTGCGCCCCCTAGTGACAAAACCTAATAGAGGACTGCCCGCGAAGTAGAACCACGGTTGCAAAGCCCAGGCCAGCATCACGAAGTAGAGCCCAGAAGGGTAGGTTTGGAGCTGACAGACAAGAGTTTATCAGTCCACAGAGAGCTGCTGGGGTAGATGGAGAAAATAGAGAAGCATGTTTCAAGCAGGGATGCGTGCATGATTCCACACTTTAAAAGTGCAACTAAAGTCAGTAAATGCAGAGTAAGTAGATCTATATGACTCCAGTTGAGGGTTTGCATTGCTGAAAAATGGAAGGAGGAAGACTATATTTAAAAGCCAAGTTGTAGTCAGCAGATGAAGTTGAAAATTAGGAGAAAATTTTTTATTTAATTGACTTCCTTCTATCAGTAGCAAGGAGACAGTGCAAGCTTTTGTGCAAGGCTCAAAGTGTTTAGGGTCCAACAGCAGACTGGGAATTTAAAAAAAAGTCCTCTAGCTCTGGCTTTGCCTGCATTTTCATTTGTGACTTGGGATCAGTCATTTCACCTCTGTGAGCATCAGTTTCTCTGTCTAAGGTCCATCTGACTTTAAAAATGTAATGGCAATATAATGAAAGCAGTTTTATGTTTTTTTTTAAAGTGCTTATCTGTAGCTCAAGCAAGGAGAAGAAGCACGATTATTCTCATATATTTTCTTTTTTAAGAGATATTGTTATGTCACCTAGGCTGGTCTCAAACTCCTGGTCTCAAGCAATCCTCCCACCTCAGCCTCCTGAGTAGCTGGGACTACAGGCACATACCACCACGCCTGGCTCTAATAGATTTTAAAATGTCTTTTGATAACAAAAAATTTCATAAAATTCTAGTGTCAGTCAAAATGAAGAAAAAGAAAAAATAACCTAAACTTGTGAGTTCCAGTTCAAGAAGGCTGACTGAACACATGCTGCAGACTTTTGCTAATTACTGTTTAGTGGAATAAGAATATTCTCTTTGATTACAGGTTTTCAGAGGTCTGTATTGAGAACGGTATTAAAGTTTGTTAAATTTTTTTCTACATCTATTGAGATGATCTTTTTGTTTTTTCTTTAATCTGTAAATGCACTGATTATATTGGTAGATTTTCTAATTACAAAACATACCTTCCCTTGCAAACTTTCCTCATTAGATAAGATGAAATAGTTATTGAGAGACCAGTTCTCCTAACTAACATAACTATAAAACTCAGATTAAACCAGAAATTGTGTTTTGGAAGGCAGCAGAGAAGTGCTGCAGCAGTGTGAACTGGAGGAGCTAAGACTCCAGGGAGAGGAGCTGACTTCTGCAACCACTTTTAATCCTGAGAGTATTTGTCAATTCTGGGCAGGTAAAACACTAAGAATCCAGATTTTAAGCATGGAAAGAACATAGCTGGGAGACAAAGAAATCAACTGAGCCTGTAGCAGAGACATGGGGGCCCTCAAGTGCACACCTAGTTTTCCCCTAAGGTATTTGACAAGTTCAGGGATATGTAGGACAATAAGCTAAAACCTAAGTGGGAAGTCTCTAGAACGCTGCAAAGCTTTTTATGGTTGATGAGACTAAGATTAGAGTTCAGGAATATATCTGTTAACTATGGCCTCAATTATAGTGCACAACGACAACGTAATAAACAAAATGCATAGAACAATTATTTATTTAGCTTGTGAGAGTGCAGGTCTTCAGGGTGATGGAGGTCAAATGTGACCTAGGCTGGGCTCAGCTGGGTGGTTCAGCTCTGCTCCACGGGTCTTTCATTCCTCCTTTTGGGTCCTGTAGGCTATCTTGGACATGTTTTCCTTGTGGGCATGGGATACCATCACTGCTCCGTTATTCTATTGACCAAAGAAAGCCAGAAGGCCAAACTCGAGGTCAAGGGATTAGGAAATATATTTTGCTCCTCAGTGAGGGGAACTGCAAAGTCACAATGCATAAGGGCATGAATACTGGCAACAATGCAATCTATCTCTACCATGGGAAACCAAGGGAGGGGAGGCATCACCAAATACTTCAGGCAAATTCTAGATTTATTGAAGACTTGAAAGGAGAAGAAAAGCGTATATCTTTATTCAGAAAAAATAAAAGCAAATATATATTATGTTATCTGAGTGAAAAAATAATTTAAATATTTAAAATTGAGGAAAACATAAATGTGTATACCCAGAAAACAATGAAATAAAATGAGATGGCACACAATATGAAAAATTTTACCATAAATAAAGCAAAAATGTATATGAGTGAAAACTAATTGTGAACAAATGAACTTTGATGTGTATGCATAGTTAGTCTAAATGAAGAATGGAAATGAGCAATATAAGTCCTCTGTTAAGATTCTTAAAATATAAAGAGCATACTTCAGGGGAAATTTTGGCAGTCAACATGCATGTACTACCTAGATTATCTCTTGTCCCTTTTTACTGCTCTTGTGCACACTGCCCACCCCAACCCCCACCTTCTGTTGTTTTCTCACCTTCAACAGCCAGTACCTGCAGCTCTTCATCAGTATCTAGGCTGCCCTTGAGTTCTGGAGCCACTTTGCCCATACATGCAGAGAGCTGGAAGTACTAGGGATGTCCAGGTGGGCAGGTTCTAAATTCCCTTAGTTTTCTCCCATCTGAGAATGTCTCTATATCACCTTCATTGTTGAAAGACAGAAAATTATTTGCTGCATGTAAATATCTGGTTGACAATTGTCATTTTTGTTGTTTTCCTTCAGTACTTTAAAAATGATAAGCTACTTTCTTCTGGCCTCTGTGATTTCTGATAAGAAATCTGCAATGATTTGAATCTTTGCTCCTGTTTTAGTGATGCATCATTTTTTCTGGCTGTTTTCAAGATTACTCCTGTGTCTTTAGTTTTCAGCTGATGTTATCAGGGTTTTTTGAGCTTAGCTTGGGATCACTCTTGGTGATTTCATGAGTTTTGGGTTCACTCTGATTCTTGAAACTGTATGTTTATTTCTTTTACTAAACTTGAAAAGTTTCAACTATTATTTCTTCACACATTTTTTTCAGTTCTACACTCATTCTTCTGTCTTTCTGGGATTTCAATGACATAAATGATAGATTTTGTTATTGTCTCACAGATCCCTGATGCTCTGCTAATTTCTTGTTTGTTTTTCTCTCTGTTGTTTAGATTAGATTATTTCTCCTGATCCATTTTCAAGTCTACTGACTCTTTCTTTGTCATCTCCTTCTGCTATTAAATTTATCCAGTGGCTTTTTGAAAATTTAATTATTGCATTTTTTAGTGTTAACATTTCTATTTGGTTCTTCTTTATATTATTATCTTTGCTGAGACTTTTTATTTTAACATTATTTCAATAGTGTTTATAATTGCTCATTTGAGCATTCATATAATAGCTGCTTTAAAGTCTTTGCCAGATAATTTCAATATTTGTGTTATCTGAGCATTGGTTTCTGTTTATTGTTTCTTCCTATGCGAGTGACATTTTCGTGGTTCTTCTTTTGTAAAGTAATTGTTTGTATGCTGGATATTTTTAACATTCTAAACAAGACTCTGGATCTTGTTTAAATTTGATGGAAAATGTTGATGTTTTCATTTTAATGGGCAACCTTCCATGTAAAACTATTCCAATTATCAATTAAGTTTTTGAGGTTTTTGTAGTGCTGTTCATAACTGTCCAGAGTGAGTGCCAACCAGCATCAGCCTGAGATCTGGGAAGTAGAACCTCTATTAATAAGTTATCACTTTTTTGTCTGCTAATGAGGATCAGAGCCTTGCACGTGTGTCCTCACAGCAAACTCTGGAATTCATAAACAATTTTATGGGGTCTCTTTCCTGAGCTTCTGTCTCTCTCTCTGCAATCTCCTCAGTACTTTCAGGTTCAGCGAGGCTCACCTTCATGGTCTTCTTGCCAGAAATTGAGCCTCTAGTTACCCTTCTCTCCACACATTTATATGACTAGGCCCATGTCTAGGACCAAGAATTGGGAAGACAGTGAGAGAAAGAAAGCAATAGGGGTTGGCCCCACCCTTTTGGGATTACAGCTCCATGAAATGGAGAAGTAGTTCCTCTTCTCACATTTTATACTCCTGCTAGCTCCCTTATCAGCTGTTGTCACTGCCATCCACCATGGAGTTGCCTGAGATATGGGGTATGAAAGAACAAGGAGATTGAAATGGGGGACTTCCACATCTTCTATGGGCTTACCCTTTTGCTCCTCAAGCCAGAACTAGCTGACTTCTTCAAAAACTCTGTATGTGCCCCCACAGCTCTCATTTCCAGGTTTCCACCTGCATTAAGTTCAGGCCAGGAGAAACCAAAGGAGGAAAAGTGAAGCTATGCACCTTTTCAGTTCTACTTTTTTAATTCTCATGTCCTTCCCCTATCTGTCTGCTGCTATTTCTAGCTCCCAACTAGCTAGTTCCTGTCAGTCTTCCCAGGTTTTATAGTTGCATTGAGTGGAAGAAAGAGAATTTTACTCCATACATAGATAAAAGTCTCTGAATTATAATGTGAAGTATTTATTCTAATTCATTGTCTTTCTTTCCTTCTTCAGGTATACAAATTATATGTAAGTTAGATCTCCATTGTCTGTCTTCTATATTCATTACCTTCTGTCTTATCCTTTAGGGGTTTTTGTTGTTGTTATTCTTTTATATTTTCTAACTTGTGTGTCCCTTACTGTACATTTAGTTGTATTTATTATTCCTTGGATATCTCATAAGGAGTTTTGTATTTTGATTCAATTTCTTTTTTCTTGTCTTTTGATTCAACTTCTTTTCATATTCAGTATATTTATAATACTTTTTTTAAAAAAGTATTGGTCAGGGGCAAAAAGTGCTGATGAATTAAGAATTTACTTCATAGAACATCAAAGAATCTTATGTATTCATTTTAAACAATGGTGAATTATTTCTAATACCTCTGATGTTAGTGGAATCTTTTTAAATGCTTGTGACTTTATGTTTTTATCATTTAGGCCTGTGAATTCATATTCTGCTGGGGAGTATTAGAGATTCTGACTGGAAATAATTACGAGGGAAAGGCTCCAGTGTCTCTGTCAAGCCCCCAGTGAGGTCAAGGCCCCACTTTATAGTCCAAGCATCAGGAAACCAGCTCATCAGGTGAGGACTTTACCTCGATACTTCTCCTTCCCCCTCCCTGGCAAAAAATATTACCTACCTTTTAGATTGTAGTCTACCACCTTCTAGGGGGTCGGAGAAAGAAGGATGAGGATGTGAAACTCAAACTAATTTAATTCCCAACCATTTTCCTGAGTTCTTCACAGGAGCAGGGTTTCTCTATGTTTCCCTGGCTTTACTCAAGAGGGGACTTAATCCTCCATGGTAGCTCCCTGACCACCATACCCTGGGATCTGAAAATAGTTGAAAGGAAAACTTGGCAAGAACTCTCATCCTTAAGGATGAGAAATATTTTTAAATAGAGGAGTCCCAATTCCAGAATAGGCAAACAAACAAACAGCAACAACAACAAATACCCAGAAAACCCACCCTGGCAAGACTAATCTAGGTTAAAAAAAGAGAAGTTATCATCAAATATTATAAATTAAAAAGTTATGTATCTTCATAACAATAATAAAGCAGAGAACAAAATATAAAAATGAAAGACTGTCAATAACTATACACTGCCAACGTTGAAAGCTTAGACAAAATGGAAAACATACATTAAAAAGTATAATCTAGTAAAATAAGCTCAAGAAGAGACAAAAAGTATGAATTCTCTTATAACTAGTTGAGAAACTAAAGTACTATTAAGAAACATAGAAAACAATGGCCAAAATTGTTTTCTAGGCGAACAGTACAAAACTATAAAGGAGTAGATCGTTTCAAATTTATTTAAGGATATTGGGCATAAAAATTCAATCATTTTGAAAAACAGATTAGCTCTCCATTATAAATTTAAATTCTTAGCTACTAAATACACCAAGATTCAGCAATTCTGCTCCTAGAAGACATGTACAAGAATGCTTAGAGTAAACATCTGAAAACCACAAAACTGCCAAATCCAGAGATGTCCTTTGGTTTTGCACAGACACACTTACCAGGATGAGTCTCAGAATTAGCTCAGGCTGCAGAGGTGTCCAAAAGGAGGAAGAAGAAGAACCAGGGACACCTTTCATAGGAGGAGTCCCCAGGCTGGGCTCAGAAATGAGCCTTGTCTCTGGAAAGAGCAGGAGAAAATCTCTCACAACCAAGGAACACTTAGGGCCATTCCTGACATTCTCCTTCCAAAAGAGCTGTAGGAGCACTCCAGCCTCTCAATGGGGCCCAAGACCTGTGGGCCTTCAACGAGCCACACCCTTTCCCAAATATAAGCCTCAGATAGCCTGAGATCCCAAGAACCTGGTCACTGGGCTGAGGCTCTAAGGCCTGGGTCGCTGCGTGCCAGTCCCTTCTCATGAAATAGGTGGTCACATCTTTCTTGCCAAGCTTTGTGAGGTGGGGCTTAGATGAGACAAATAGGAAAGAGAGGATAGAAAACTTTAAGAGAGTTTTTTCAAAAGAATCTACAAGACTGGATGTCCCTTTGTGTATATGTGATGGGGAAAAGGGATAGATCAAAGATTATACCAAATGTCTTGACCAGATATCAAATGTCTTGACCAGAGAAATAATCATATGGTGGAAAGAGAACAAATATTGGGAGGGGTGTAGATTTGAGGTCCTAGCAAGACCTTCTGATGAATGAAGAGGTTCTGGAGACATTTAGAGATACCACCTTGGAGGTTATTGATTCCCAGTCTAAAGGGACTTGGAGATAAACTTCTGAAATCATCACCCTGGCATTCATCATTATTTACTCATCCATCTAACATAATTATTTATTTATTTGAACAACCACTTTACGGGGACCCAAGAGGATGAAAACAGGGTTTCTTTACTCAGCAGCTCTCACATTCTGATAGGATCAGAATTATAGAAATAAACACACATATCTTATAATGTTTTAAAATACTAGTAAGAAATCTTATGGAGTAGGGACAACTTTGTGAAATAGTATGCTGTTTCATATGCATTTCAGTACATGGAACAGTGAGAAGGCACACTAAATACTTGGACACCGGTGAGTGTAATGAAGTGCTTCTCTATCCCCTGCCACCAAAAACCAGGGGAATTGGCTTTTTTGTGCTTTTGTACCCACCGCCAATTAAGTATATAAGTGTGTGTGTGTGTGTGTGTGTGTGTGTGTACATGCATGGATGATGGATGCACACACACACACACCACATGTAAATGCCCATACACTTCAGTCCTGCCTCTCACTCCATCATGGTTGCTACAAACATCTCTTCACAGAGAATGAGGAAACTCAGGCTGACAACACCAAAGAAAAATTTGGACTAATGAAAGTATCTCACATATCTCATTGCAAAGTAGTGATTCAGGAGATGAAATTCAGAGCCACCTGCTTTGGACCTCATGGGCTTTTCTCATGCAAAGAAGTGCTTCAGAGATTCTAGTGGACTGTGAGCTTCTCAAGGTTAGAGGTTGTGTCTGATTCACATCCAAATCCCAAATTCCAGACTGATGTCCACAGACCTCATCTGGTGTGCTAAATGAATGTCCATTTAACCAAACACTTTGTTCATTTTTTAAATCTATTTTACATTTGGCCTGAAAGCTTGTGGAGGGTAGGGACCTTGTCTGAAAATAGGTAATAAATAAATAGAGAATGGAGCACCTCTAAAAGAGACTTTTAGAGGTCATATGTTTCTCCTTATTTGGGAACCTCAGTGAGGGAGTGGCCACTGCCATTTAGTTCACAGCTTTATTCTGCTCCTCAAACAATGAATGGTACAATGACTGCCTTCAATAAATGAAAAAATCTGTCTAACCCAACTCTTCCCTGATTTTTCAATGTCAAGTGTACTCAATCCCTCAGTCAATGTCATCTCCCATTCCTCATTCCCAGGGATAACTGGACTCCAGATTTAGAAGCTCCCCAGGATGGCAAGCCCTTCTCAGGCCACTTGTTAGAGTTTAGGGATAAGCTCCTTAAAAGTAGCAACCGTAAGTGACCATCTTTCAACCCCCCATAAGGCCTAGATGCTGTCAATTTGTTTTAGCATGCATTATTGAGCATCTTCTACGTACAAAACACATGCTACATATTTTCATTTCTTAATGTTCAAATCAATGAGTATTAGGGTACTCATTGATCATTTTAAAAAGAACACAGATGCCTAGGAAACATGAGTGATATTTCAAAGGTCACGAGTTACAGCTAGAATTGACACCAGGTTTCCTGACTATAGTTACAGAGACATGACCTCTATAGCCTGCCTTCCTCTTGCCAAATTAAGAAAGAGTTAATTGTTTTGACTAAATCAGCTCAGTCATCACTATCCTCACAAGTAAAATAAATCAGAATAGCACAGCTGCTCCTCAGAGGACAGCTGAGGGAGAAGCAGAGACCCAGAGTCCACCCTGAAGGACAGGTCCCAGGAAGGATGGCTGGGTGGGGAGGGTTCTTCCTAATTCAAAACTCCAGAACAACCAGCCTAGGAATGGCTGGTACCTAAAGCAGGACCTCAAAGACAAACCCCAAGCGTGGGGGAAATCAGAACGGAATGTTTCCACAATGAAAAATAAAAATAAAAAATAAAATATGGCTTTGACCTGAGTTTTCCCAAAGAACAAATAGCATCTTTATCCAGACATTGGCTCCCTGTGCATCCCAAGTTAACCCTTCAGAGCTCCAGCCTAGAAGAGGGTGCAACTGGATAAAGCGTGTCTAGACCCTAGCCCCAGAGAGGGGTCCTGGGAGCTCCCAAGGCCTCCTTGAATTGCAGGGACAAGGAGAGAGGGGAATGTCACAGATCACCGAGCACATGCCTGGTTGGACAAGAGCCACTTCCTGCTCTTACTGGAGCCAAGCCTGGGTCTATAAAAGACACATACCCAGCTCCAGCACCTCATCTGCTCTGACGCCCTAGGGACATGTCTGTGCTCTTTTGTGTGACCAGGATGAATGAGAACCTGGGAGACCAGAGGGGTTGGAGAAGGACAGAGAGATTGGAGGAAGTAAAGAGTCTTAGGAAAAAGAGTTATGTATTTGATTTCTGCCATACTGAACAGGAATAAAATTCAGAGGGAGAGGAAACTATTGCCTTGTGGCTTAAGATGTCAGTGGCACTTTGCCACTCTGGAAACTGCCCTGGGCCAAAAGGCAAGTGTGCCAACCTCATCTATTTTAGGGGCTTGTTTTTATAATAATATGGTGGCACTTCAGAGAGTTTTGAATGCTGCATGCAGGACTATGAAGACTGAGAAATCCTTGTGTCCTATTATAAAGGAGAATAAGATGTTGTTTACTACATCTGCATTTAAAATCTATGTACTTTTAATTAGAGGAAAGATTTATATGTTTCCTCTGGATGCTTATTTATGTTTTCTAAATATCATTTACTATCGCCCTTCATACTCATTCTAGAGCAGGTAAAAAACATGCCCCTTGATTTAACTAATCCATACCATGTCATTATTCTCTTCCAGGTTGATTGAACACCTGCCCAGATGTCCTGCCAGCAGAACCAGCAGCAGTGTCAGCCCCCTGCAAGTGCCCTTCCAAGTGTACTCTGAAATGCCCCCCAAACTGTCCATCCCAGTGCACAGCACTATGCCCAGTCTCTTCCTGCTGCAGCTCTAGCTCTGGGGGCTGCCGTGGCTCCAGCTCTGGGGGCTGCTGCAGCTCAGGAGGTGGTGGCTGCTGCCTGAGCACTACAGGTGCCACAGGTCCCACTGCCACAGACCCCAGAGCTCCAGCTGCTGTGAATGTGAGCCTTCACAGGGCTCCAGCTGCTGCCACAGCTCTGGGAGCTGCTGCTGCCTTGGGTCCTGAGGACCTCTGAAGTACACATGGGACAAAGCATCAAACAATTTGCTTCTCATTCTTCCATTCCCTCATTTTGACATCCTGGGGATGGTAGATCACAAAGCTAATGTAGGCATTTCCACACGTAGAACATTCTGTTTATCTTCCATTTTCTTTGCAAAAATAAAGTTCCTGTTTCCTACTTAAAGTGTGCCCCGGTCACTCTCTCAGCCCTGCATAGTCCACAATCATCAGTGAGCCCTTCTTCAGAGAGCCTGAGGCCAAGGCAGAGCTTGACTAAGGGGTGGGTAACTAGGCAGCTTCCCAGGGTTTGTGTGTGTGTGTGTGTCTGTGTGTGTGTGTGTGTGTGTGTCTGTGTGTGTGTGTGTGTGTGTGTGTGTGTGAAATATGAGATATAAGAAAACATCACCAGAAGTGTAGTGACACTGAGGAATATGTACTCAGCCGAGCTTGTTTGGAGGAGTGAGCTTATGTAACAGAAGAAATGGAAAGCAGATAGAAGTGAAAATATGCTATTTGATCGCAGTGTAGGTTCATAAGCAGTCTTCTAATTATAGACATACCTGTCATTGCAAATAGCTTTAGTGTTTGTCACAGATACTGCTTTTTTTTTCTTTACAATTGAGATTTGCAGAAACCCTGCATCTAGCAAGTCTGTCGGTGTCATTTTTCTAGGAGCATCTGTTCTTTGTGCCTTTTTGTCACATTTTGGAAATTCTCAAAATATTTCAACTTTTTCATTATTATTATATGTGTCATGGTGATCTATGATCAGTGACCTTTGAAGCAATGACTGTAATTGCTTTGGGGGCACTATGAACTGCATTCATATAACACACCAATCTTAATCAGTAAGTGTTGTGTGTGTTCTGACTGCCCCACCTATTGGCCATTCTCCTGTCTGTGTCTCCTGGGGTATTCCTATTCCTTGAGACACAACAGTATTGAAATTAGGCCAGTTTATAACCCTACAATGGTCTCTAGGCATTCAAGTGAAGTGAAGAGTCACAAATCTCTCATTTTAAATAAAAGCTAGAAATAATTAAGCTGAATGAGAAAGGCATGTGGAAAGCCAAGCTATGCCTTTTGGTCCAGTTAGCTAAGTTGTGATTGCAAATGAAAAGTTCTTGTAGGAAATTAAAAGTGCTACTCCAGTGAACACAAAAGTGTAAGAAAGCAAAACCGCCTTATTGCTGATATTGTAAAAAAAAAATTAGTGGTCTAGATAATAGATCAAACCAGCCACAAGATTTCCTTAAGCCAAAACCTATTCCAGAGCAAAGCTCTAACTCTCTTCAATTCCATGAAGGCTGAGAAATGTGAGGAAGCTGCTGAAGAAAAGTTGGAAGCTAACAGAGGTTGGTTCATGATGTTTAAAGAAAGAAGCCATCTTCAAAACCTAAAGTGCAAGGTGAAGCAGCAAGGGCTGATGCAGAAACTGCAGCAAGTGATCCAGAAGATGTAGCTAAGATAATTGATAAAAGTGAATACACTAAGCAACAGATTTTTAATGTAGGTGAAACAGCCTTATATTGGAAGAAGATGCCATCTGGGACATTGATAGCTAGAGAGGAGAAATCAATGCCTGGCTTCAAAGTTTCAAAGAAAGGCTGATTCTTGTGGTAGGGACTAATGCAGCTATTGACATTAAGTCTAAGTCAATCATCATTTATAATTCCAAAAATCCTAGGGTCCTTAAGAATTATGCTAAATCTACTATGCCTGTGCTCTATAAAGTGGAACAACAAAGCCTGGATGGCAGCACATGTGTTTACAGCATGGTTTACTGAATATTTTAAACCCACTTTTGAGGCCTACTGCTCAGAACAAAGGATAACTTTCAAAATATTACTGTTCATTCACAATGCACCTATTCAGCAAAGAGCTCTGATAGAGATGTACAAGATTAATCTTGTTTTCATGCCTGCTAAGACAACATCTGTTATGAAGTCCATGAATCAAGAAGTAATTTGTTTTTTTGTTTTTTTTTGTTTGTTTTTGTTTTTGTTTTTTTCTTGAGACAGAGACTCGCACTGTTGCCCAGGCTGGAGTGCAGTGGTGCGATCTTGGCTCACTGCAAGCTCCACCTCCTGGGCTCACGCCATTCTCCTGCCTCAGCCTCCTGAGTAGCTGGGACTACAGGCGCCCGCCACCATGCCTAGCTAATTTTTTGTTCTTTTAGTAGAGATGGGGTTTCACCATGTTAGCCAGGATGGTCTCAATCTCCTGACCTGATCTGCCCACCTCGGCCTCCCAAAGTGCTGGGATTACAGGCGTGAGCCACCAAGCCTGGCCATAATTTCAGTTTTTAAGCATCATTATTATATAAGAAAAACATTTTGTAAGGCTATAGCTACCATAGACAGTGATTCCTCTGATGTGTCTGAGCTAAATCAATTGAAAACCTTCTAGAAAGGATGCCCCATTCTAGATACCATTAAGAAAATTCATGATTCATAGGACAATGTCAAAATATCAACATAAACAAGAGTTTGGAAGAAGTTGATTCCAACCCTCATGGATGACTTTGAGGGATTCAAGACTTCAGCGGAGAAAGTAACTGTATATGTGATGGACATAGGAAGAGAAATACAAGTGGAGTCAGAAGATGGGACTGAATTGCTGCAATCTTATGACAAAATTTGAATGGATGTGGAGCTGCTTCTTATGGATGAACAAAGAAAGTGGTTTCTTGACATGGAATCTACTCCTGTGAAGATACTGTGATCATTATTGAATGACAACAAAGGATTTAAAATATTACATGAACTTTGTGATAAAGCAGCGGCAAGGTTTGAGAGGATTGACTCAAATTTTGAAAGCAGTTCCACTGTAAGTAAAATGTTATCAAACAGCATCACATGCTACAGAGAAATCTTTTGTGAAAGGAAGTGTCAATCAATGCAGCAAATGTCATTGTTGTCTTATTTCAGAAAATTGTCACAACTACCCCACCTTCGGCAGCCACCACCCTGATCAATCAGTGACCATCAAGACAAGACCCTGCATCCGCAAAAATATTATAACTCAATGAAGGCTCACATTATGGTGTATTTTTAATTAAGATATCCTCATTATTTCTTAAATTTAATGCTATTGCACACTTAATAGACTGTAGTATAGTGTGAACATAACTTTCACATGCACCGAGAAGACAAAAAATTCGTTTGACTTGGTTTATTGCAATATTTGCTTTATTGCAGTGGTCTGGAACTGAACTCACAGTATCTTCGAAATATGCCTGTAGAGTAAATCCAGTTAACTGTAGAATTTTATTTTGCAAGCTGGTGAAACATCCTTTTGTTTAAACCTTCTCCTATTACAGAGCTCAATCTCTCTTCTCAATCTGTGTTGAATATATATTTGCACAATACCAGATTGAAATTACCCGTAAAATGAGTTTGTCCAGATGCCTATGTGTCTCTGTCTAGTCTGGCCGATTACCTGGTGGTTAAGAGCATAGACTCTGAACCAAACTTCTGGGGTTTGAATTCCAGTCCTGCCACTTAGTAGCTGTGTGAACCTCTCTGAGCCTGAGATTACTAAAATGATAATAATAATGTCTTCCTTGAAGAGCTGTTGTGAGTTAAACAGGTTAATATATGTAACATGCTAACAGCAGAGACTGTCCTAAAATGAAGCCTGTATTTGTCGTTGTTGCTGCTGGTGTTTTGCTGTGAAAAGTGAGTCTGGGTTGCCAGAAAGTCTAGACTAGGAAGCTGAACCAATGTCTCATTTCCATTTGGACTTACTCAACAATCATACCCACCACAGGAGGCCACAGCTGAAGGCCATCACCCTTGTTGCTTTTCTTGCTTGCCAGGGGCCAAGAACAGGTGAGAGCTGAGAATACATTTTTAGAACACCCACAGCCCTCAAGATCTAACCAGAATATCTGTTTTCTTTCCAAGCTTAATCCTCTGGCCATGATAGGGCCTATGACTCAGGAAAATGTTGGGGAAATAGCTCAAGTACCAACAGGGAAATAAAGACAACTTTCCCTAGTGTCAAACTGAGAAGAGTCTATGTAGAGAAAATTCCAGACCCAGATTGGGCTGAGATTCGATAACAGAGTGGCTCTGCATGTTATACAGCTATCTGCTCCTCCCTATGCCACTGCACATGCCACAGACTGGCCTTTGCCTATCTCCTGTACTAGAAAAATAACTGGTTGGGTGGCCATTCTGCCTATAGCTTACCCCAACCAAAAAGAAAAAAAAAAAACCTTCCATACTGCAACAGTAACCATTTAGGATTCTTTTTCAATCAACTTTAAAATTGTAAAAATAGTTTGGAAACTATGGGGATATAGAAAGAATAGATTAATAATCATCCCCACATATCCTGCCACCCAGATAGTACTATTGACACCCCTGCTTATTGGTACCAGAGCACACCTTTCATCCTACTGCCTTCAGGCACAAACTCATGCTATCTTTGGGCCTTGAAAACCTTCCTCCCTTTTAATTTTAATTAAATAAAAATTTACTGCCTCCAATTAGTCAAAGCTCATTGAGGGCAGAAATCAAGACCTATTAAACTGTCTCTGTCACCCAGCTCTAGCACAGACCTGAGTACAGAGCCAAGGAGAAGATATGCTGATTGGTCAACTGGTTGCCATGAATCCCTTCAAAAGCTTCTCTCCAGTAACATACAGTGGACCCATATATGGAAGACGCTCATACTAATTGTTAGTGTTTTGCTGTTGGGGCAAAAAAAATAGAAAGATATAAAGGAATGTGGACATTTCTATGGTTAAGAATGCCAATTAAACACTCTAACCCCACAACCACATCATAAGATGTCACCTAGACATGGGGTTTTTGTCAGTATCATCACCTTTGTCATGTTAAATATCATCAACGTAAGGGGGAAGCTCTTTAAATAGTAAATATATTTCTAAAATTTTTTTGGGGGGGAGGCACAACAAAAGCTCATCCATTTATTCATTGACCAGTTATTTATTGAGTGCCAAATTTATGCCAGAAACTATTAAGTGATTTCTTAGTCTATTTTCTGCTGCCATGACAGAGTACCAAACACTAGTTAATTTTTTTTATGTCTCACTTGTAAGTGGGAGCTAAACAATGAGAACACACGGATGCAAAGAGGGCAACAACAGACACCAGAGCCTACTTGAGGATGGAGACTGGGAGAAGAGAGAGAATCAAAAAAAGTACCTCTCAGCTACTATACTTATCACCTGGGTGACTAAATAATCTGTACACCAAACCCCCACAACATGCAATTTGGCTATATAACAATCCTGCACATGTACTCCTAAACCTAAAATAAAAGTTAGGAAAAAAAAGACTGGATAATTTAAACACAATAGTTTATTTGGCTTACAGTTCTGGAGGCTGGGAAGTCCAAGAGCATGGTGCTAGTATCTGGTAAGGGTTATTCTGTGGCAGAAGGCAGAAGGCAGAAGGCCAAGTGAATATATGAGACAGAGAGAAAATGGGGACTGAATTTATTCCTTTATCAGGAACCCACTCCTGCAACAACTAGCCCACTCCCATGACAACAGCACTAATCCACTCATGATGGTGGAGCCCTCATGGCCCAATCACCTCTGAAAGGCCCAAATTTTCAACACTGTTACAATGGCAACCAAATTGCAACATGAGTGTTGGAGGGGACATTTAAACTATAGCAGAAAAACAAAACAATTTTAGTCTCTATCCTCATGGAGGTAATAAACTCATGGCTAAAGCAGCCAATTATGCAAGAAATTACTACAAAATGTGGACTGTGGGAGTATATAGTAAGATAACCCAAGATAGTCTATGTAGGACTGAAGGGAGCTGGTTAATAAGAGTACCTTCTCAATGATAACAGCCTACACCACCTCTCTGCTGCCCAAGACCCATCACAGACACGAGGCAGACTTTCACTGCCATTGAGACAAACACTAAGAATGGGTAACATGATGACACAAATGATGCCAAGGACTTCCAAGAATACAGAGCAATAACTCTCATACAGACTTTTTAAAAAATTACTTGGTAGTATCTAGTAAAACTGAGCATATGCACAACTTGTGACCTATTCCCCAAATATAATCCTCCAAAATCCACACGTATATGTACCGAAGGCATATATAAGAATGGTCATGGCAGAACTACTTGTAACAAACAAAAAACTGAAACCTAACCAAATGTCCTTTAATCAGAGAATTAAGTGTGGAATGCTTACCCAATTAAATACTATATCACTATGAAAATTGACAAACTATAACTTCACACAATACTATGGATGAGTCTCATAAACATAATGCTGAGCAAAGAAACCAGATGCAAAAGAGCACTTAGCATATGGTTTCATTTCTATAAAGTTTGAAAACAAGCAAAATTAATCCATACTGTTAAAAATCAGGATAACAGTTACCTTTGGTGTGGATGGGAATAACGGTAACTCGAAAGGGGAGTAAGGAGAGCTTCTAAGATGCTGGTAATCATTTCTCTGTTGATCTGGGTGTTGTTATGTAAGTGTGTTACCTTTTTGAAAAAGCATCAGGCTGTATACAATGATTGTGTGCTTTGCTTTATGCATGTAATACTTCAATTAAGTTATCTTTTAAAACTCAGGAATTTCTCTCCCAGCAATAGCCAACTATGTTGTTTTAGCTTCCCAATAAGAACAGCTAAAATATGTGGACAATATGTTTCTAAACTCCTTTGAAGACCGAGAAGAGGGACTAAGGTAGATTTCTGGATTTAGCAAATAAAAATACAAGACACCCAATTAAATGTAAATTTCAGATAAACAATAACTTTTTAGTATAAATCTCCAATACTACATAGTATATACTTACACTAAAAATGTATTCGCTGGTTATCCATTGTTTAAATTTAACTGGCCATCTTATATTTTATCTTGCAAGCCTATTCCAAGGCAGTGAAAACAGATGATGTCAAGACGTGGAAACAGAGGGTCTTCAAGCAGGGTGGGTCAGATATTTGGGACATGTATTCCCTGCAGCCATTTGTGAATGCTGAAAGTGAAAGTGGTGGCTAAGAAGCTGAGAGGCCAAATCAAGATTTTAGCATCTCACCAGGAAGGAGTTCAGAGCTTGACAAGAAGGAGTGCAAGAAACACCAGGCCTCAGGTGGATCCCCAAGCACTAATAGTAGAAGAAGTTTGTGCATGGGATGCCTAATCATTCTTGGAACTGTGGTTTGATATCTTTTGTCAGTATGTCAAAATTCAGAGTGATTATTTCTTCATGTACTGCTTATTTCTGTTCTCTCTCTTCTTCTGGGATTCCAAGTATTATTATCTAGATATTAGAACTTTTCACTATAGTCCATATATATTTTGTATTTTTTTTTTATTTTCTGGTTGTTTGTCTTCCCTTGCTTCAATATTTTCTTCTGTCCAATCTAACAGTTGCTAATTATCTCTTCTGTTGTGCTGTCTGTTATTTAACCTCTCTACTGAGTTCTTAATTTTGGTTATTAATTTTTCAGGTCTAGACTTCCATGTTGTTACCTTTTGGAATTTGTAGATCCCTGTGCAAGTTTTCCACCTTGCCTTTTAATTTATTCAGCATACTAATCATAGATATTTTCAAATATGTATCTCATAACTATACTAGCTAGATATCCTCTGGTCTGTTTGCATTGCTTGTTTTCTCTTACTTTTTCTAGTCAAATTTTTAAAAATATATTTGGTTTTTTTTCATTAATTGTAGAGCTCTATATGAAAAATTTATAGAAGTCATTTAGTCTCTAAATGTCGATTTTATTTTCTTTCTAGCAAGCATCTAGGCTGGGAGCACTAACACTCCCAGGTAATACCAATCTGATCAGGGGCTAAGATCATTCAAAGCCTGGCTTCAGTCTCTTTGCAGAATTGCAGGCTGCTTTTATTTTTGGGACAGAGTCTTGCTCTGTCTCCCAAGCTGGAGTGTAGCGGTGCGATCTTGGCTCACTGCAACCTCTGCTTCCCAGGCTCAAACGATTCTCCTGCCTCAGCCTCCCAAGTAGCTGGGACTACAGGCACACACCACCACACCCAGCTAATTTTTGTGGCTAATTCTTGTGTTTTTAGTAGAAACGGAGTTTCACCATGTTGCCAAGGCTAGACTCCAACTCCTGCGCTCAAGTGACCCCCTCACCTCCTCCTCCCAAAGTGCTGGGATTACAGGCATAAGCTACTGTGCCCTGCCAGGATGTTCTATTTCTGATTCTCCTCATTCATAGTTTATAGCCCTTCTGGCTCCAACCAAATCCTGGAGTGTTTACCAGAACCCCTCCTTCTTGACAGCCCTAAATCTAATTTTCGTCCTCCCTCCTCCCTGACCCCTATGAATTTTCTGACAGATATACTCATATTCTCAACTTCCAGCTACAGCTTTTCAGAATTGGCAAATGTATCAAGAGAAAAGTTGTGTTACATTCTAGGCTGTCTCTTGGCTTCTCTGCTTTTTAGAATTTGGTCCCAAAAATCTTCACTGAATTGATAGGTTGATGACATATTTAGACAGATATTTTATTTTGTCTTTTCTAGCTTTTACAGTTATTCTCTGTGGAAATTTTGTATAAAGTAACCTACTTTTCCATTTCCAAAAGCAGGTCTTCTCTTCTTTTACATCTAACGGTATATAAAATGTCCATGATTTCAATTGCTTGAATGTTTACATTCCACAAATGAGTGAAAACATGAGAAGCTTGTCTTTCTGTGCCTGGCTTATTTCACTTAACATAATGTCTTCCAGTTCCATCCATGTTGTTGCAAATGACAGGATCTCATTCTTTTTATGGCTGAATAATACTCCCTTGTATATATGTACCATATTTTCTTTATCCATTCATCTGTTGATGGACACTTAGGTTGCTTCCAAATTTTGGCTATTGTGATTAGTACTGCAATAAACATAAAAGCACCGATATCTCTTCGGCATGCTGATTTCATTTCCTTTGGAGAAATACCAAGCAGTGGGATTGCTGGATCATATGGTAGTTATATCTAGTTTTTTGAGGAGCCTCCATACTGTTCTCCATAGTGGCTGTACGAGTTTACATTCCCACCAGTAGTGTTCCCTTTTCTCCACATCCTCTCCAGCATTCATTATTGCCTGTCTTTTGGATAAAAGTCATTTTTACTGGGGTGAGATTATATCTCATTGCAGTTTTAATTTGCATTTCTCTAACAAGCGCCGATGAGTACCGTTTCATATGCCTGTTTGACATTTGTGTATCTGCTTTTGATAAATGTCTATTCATGTCTTTTGCCCAATTTTAAAAACGGGTTATTAGGCCAGGCATGGTGGCTCACTCCTGTAATCCTAGCACTTTGGGAGACAAAGGCAGGTGGACCATCTGAGGTCAGGAGTTTGAGACCAGCCTGGCCAATATGGCGAAACCCCATCTCTACTAAAAATACAAACATTAGCTGTGTGTGTTGGCTTGGGCCTGTAATCCCAGCTACTGGGGAGGCTGAGGCAGGAGAATCACTTGAACTGGGAGGCAGAGTTTGCAATGAGCTGAGATCATGCCACTGCACTCCAACCTGGGTGACAGAGCAAGACTCTATCCCCAAAATAGAAAATAAATAAATGAAATAAAATCAGATTATTAGACTTTTTCCCTATACAGTTTTTTGAGTTCCTTATATATTGTTGTTACTAATCTCTTGTCAGATGGATAGTTTGCAAATATATTCTCCCATTCTGTGGGTTGTCTCTTCACTTCATTGATTGTTCCTTTGCTGTGCAGAAGCTTTTTAATTTGATGTGATCCAATTTGTCCATTTTGCTTTTGTTGCCTGTGCTTTGGGATATTACTTAAGAAATCTTTGCCCAGATCAACATCCTAGAGAGTTTCCCCAATGTTTCCTTATAGTAGTTTCATATTTTGAGGTCTAAGTCCATCAAGTCTTAGTCCATTTTGATTTGATTTTTTATATGGCCATAGATAGGTTGAGTTTCATTCTTCTGCATATGGATATCCAGTTTTTGCAGCACCACTTATTGAAGAGACTGTCCTTTCCTCAATGTATATTCTTAGCACCTTAGTCAAAAATGAGTTTACTGGAGATATATGAATTTATTTCTGGATTTTCTATTTGATTCCATTGGTCTATATGTCTGTTTTTATGCCAATACCATACGGTTTTGGTTACTATAGCTCTGTAGTATAATTTGAAGTCAGGTAATATGATTCCTCTAGTTTTTTAATTTTTATCTTTTATTTTGGGTTCAGGGGTATATGTGCAGTTTTTTTATGTAGGTAAACTCATGCCATAGGGGTTTATTGTACAGATTATTTCATCACCATGGTACTAAGCCTAGCACCCAATAGTTACTTTTTCTGATCCTCTCCCTCCTCCCACCCTCCAACCTCAAGTAAGCCCCAGTGTCTGTTGTTCCCCTCCTTGTGTTCTCATCACTTAGCTCACACTTATAAGTGAGAATGTGTGATATTTGGTTTTCTGTTCCTGCATTAGTTTGCTAAGGATAATGGTCTCCAGCTTTGTTTATGTTCCTGCAAAAGACATAATCTCATTATTTCTTATAGCTGCATTGTATTCCATGGTGTATATGTACCACATTTTCTTTACCCAATCTGTCATTGATGGGCATTTAGGTTGAATCCATGTCTTTGCTATTATGAATAGTGCTGCAATGAACATATGTGTGCATGTATCTTTATGGTAGAACAATTTATATTCCTTTGGGTATATACCCAGTAATGGGATGGCTATGTTGAATGGTAGTTCTGTTTTTAGCTCTTTTAGGAATTACTGCACTGTTATCCGCAATGGTTAAACTAACTCACACTCCCATAACAGAGTATAAGCATTTTTTTTTCTCCACAACTTTGCCAGTATCTGTTATTTTTTGGCTTTTTAATAGTAGCCATTCTGACTGGTGTGAGATGACATCTCATTGTGGTTTTGATTTGTGTTTCTGTAATGGTCAATGATACTGAACTTTTTTTTAATATGATTGCTGGCTACATGTATGTAATTTTTTGAAAAGTGTCTGTTCATTTACTTTGCCCACTTTTTAATGGGGTTGCTTTTTTCTTGTAAATTTGTTTAAGTTTCTTATAGATGCTGGATATTAGATCTTTGTCAGATGCTTAATTTGCAAAAATTTTCTCCCATTTTGTAGGTTGTCTGTTTACTCTGTTATAGTTTCTTTTCCTGTTCAGAAGCTCTTAAATTTAATTAGATCCCATTTGTCAATTTTTGCTTTTGTTGTGATTATTTTTGGCATCTTTATCATGAAATCTTTGCCCATTCCTATGTCTAGAATGTTATTGCCTAAGTCGTCTTCCAAGGTTTTTATAGTTTTAGATTTTACACGTAAGTCTTTCATCCATCTTGAGTTGAATTTTGTATATGGTGTAAGGAAGGGGTCCAGTTTCTGTCTTCTGTTTATGATTAGACAATTAGCACAATTTATTGAATAGATAGTACTTTCCCCATTGCTTATTTCTGTCAATTTTATTGAAGATCAGATGGCTATAGGTGTGCAGCCTTATTCCTGGGCTCTCTACTCTGTTCCATTTTTCTATGTGTCTGGTTTTGTACCGGTAATATGCTGTTTTGATTACTGTAGCTTTGTAGTACAGTTTGAAATTGGGTAATGTGATACCTCCAGCTTTGTTATTTTTGCTTAGCATTGCCTTGGGTATTTGGGCTCTTTTTTGGTTCCATTTAAATTTTAAAATAGTTTTTTCTAGTTCGTGAAGAATGTCATTTGTAGTTTGACACTTGATTTGTAAGTATTTTGTTGAGAATTTTCGCACCAATGTTTATCAAGGTTATTGGCCTGCATTTTTCTCTTTTGTTGTGCCTCTGCCAGGTTTTTTGGTATCAGGATGATGCTGGCCTCACAGAATGAGTTGGGGAGTCATCCCTCCTCCTCAATATTTTGGAACAGTTTCAGTAGGTATACTACCAGCTCTTCTTTGTACTTCTGGTAGGATTCAGCTGTGAATCCACCTGGTCCTGGGCTTTCTTTTTTTTTTTTTTTTGGTTGGTAGCCTGCTTATTACTTATTCAATTTTGGAATTCATCATTAGTCTGTTCATGGAATCCATTCTTCCTGGTTCAGTCTTAGGAGACTGTATGTGTCCAAGAATTTATCCATCTCTTCCAGGTTTTCTAGTTTGTGTGCATAGAGGTGTTCATTGTAGCCTCTGATGGGTGTTTATATTTCTGTAGGGTCAGTGGTAACCTCCCCTGTTGTTTCTGATTGTGTTTATTTGGATCTTCTCTCTTTTCTTCTTTATTAGTCTAGCTAGTTGTCTATCTATTTTATTAATTTTTTTCAAAAAACCAACTGCTGAATTTGTTGATCTTTTGAATGGTTTTTTTGTGTGTGTCTTGATTGCCTTCAGTTTAGCTCTGATTCTGATTATTTCTTGTCTTCTGATAGCTTTGGGATTGGTTTCCTCTTGGTTCTCTCAGGTTTTTGTTTTGTTTTGTTTTTCTCCTCAGGATGGATTTGGCTACTCTGGGTTTTGTGTGGTTTCACATAAATTTTAGGATTGTCTTTTCCATTTTTGTGAGGAATGTCAATGGTATTTTCATAAAGATTGCACTGAATCAGTAGATTGCTTGGGGTAGGTTTGGAAAGTTCTTTGTATTACCTCTTTGAATAAGCTTTCTATCCCAATCTCTCTTCTCTTCTCTCCTCTCTCTCTCTTTCTCTCTCTCTCTCTTCCTTTTTAAGGCCAATAAACCTTAGATTTTCCCTTTTGAGGCTGTTTTGTAGATCTTGTAGGCATGCTTCATTCATTTTTATTTTTTTTTTTTTGTCTCTCTGACTGTGTATTTTCAAACAGCCCATCTTCAAGCTCACTAATTCTTTCTTCTGCTTTACTGATTCTGCTGTTGAGAGACTCTGATGCATTTTTCAGTAAGCCAATTGAGTTTTTCAGCTCTGGAATTTCTGCTTGATTTTTAAAATTAGTTCAATCTCTTTGTTAAATTTATCTGATAGGATTCTGAATTCCTTCTCTGTGTTATCTTGAATTTTGTTGAGCTTCCTCAAAACAGGTATTTTGAATTCTCGGTGTGAAAGGTCACATATCGCTGTCACTCCAGGACTGGTCACTGGTGCCTTCTTTAATTCATGTCTTGAGGTCATATTTTCCTGGATGGTTTTAACGCTTGTGGATGTTTATTCACGTCTGATCACCGAAGAGTTAGGTATTTTTTGTAGACTTTGCAGTCTGGGCTTTTGAAGACAGACAGGACATCGCCCTGTCCTTGGGAAAGTTTCCAAATTTTCAAAGATAATTGTGTGTTGTGATCTAAATCTTTAGTCACTGCAGCAGTATCTGCATTAGGGGGTACCCCAAGCCCCATAATGCTGTGACTTTTGCAGAGTCGTAGAGGTACCGTTTTGGTGGTCTTGGGTAAGATTTACGAAAATTCCGATTACCAGGCAGAGACGCTTGTTCTCTTTCTTTCACTTTCCCCAAGACAAACAGAATCTCTCTGTGCTGAGATGCCTGGAGCTATGGGAGGAGTGACACAAGCACCACTGCGGTCACCACCACTGGGACTGTGCTGGGTCAGACTCAAGTTCAGCACAGCACTGGGTCTTACCCAAGGCCTTCAGTGACCATTGCCTGGCTACTGATGATGTTCACTCAAGGCCCAAGGGCTCTTCAGTAAGCATGTGGTGAATCCAACTGGGCTTGTGTCCTACGCTTCAGGGCAGTGAGCTGTACCCCAGCCCAGGGCAGGCCCCAGAATGCCATGCAGGAGCCAGAGACTAGAGTTGGGAATCTTAGGAAGCTACTTGGTCCTCTATTTTGCTGTGGATAGCTGGCACCAAAGCCACTAAAGTCCTTCCCACTCTTTTTATTCTTTTCCTTATGCAGAAAGAGCCTCTCCTTATGGCCACCGCCAATCCAGGCCCCCAGTGAGTACTGCCTGGCTACCACTGATGTTCACTCAAGGACCAAGGGCTTTTCAGTCAGCTTGTGGTAAATGCTGCCAGGCCTGGGTCTCTCCCTCCAGGGCAATGGGCTCCTCTCTGGCCCAGGGTAGGTCCAGAAATGCTGTCCAGGAGCCAAGATCTGGAATCAGGGACCCTGGGAGCCTGCTTGGTGCTTATCCCACTGTGGTCGAGCCAGTGCCCAAGCTGCAGGACAAAGTTCCCTTTACTCTTTCCTCTCCTTTCCTAAAGCAGAAAGAGTCTTCTCCCATAGCCACCACAGCTGAGAAGGCACTGGGTCACCCCTGAAGCCAGCACAGCCCTGGGTCTTACCCAAAACCTGAGGTGAAAACTGTCTGGTTACCACGGATGATTATTCAAGGCCCAAGGGCTCTTTAGTCAGCAGGTGATGAATCCTGCCAGGACTGGGTCCTTTCCTTCAAGGCAGTGGGTTCCTTTCTGGCCCAGGCTGTGTCTAGAATTGTCAACTGGGAGCTAGGGCAGGGAATGGGGGCCTTAGGCCACTGCATGGTGCCCTATTATACTGTGGCTGAGCTGCTATCCAAGTTGCAAGGCTAAGTACTCTTTACTCTCTTCTGTCCTCTCCTCAAGTGTCAGGAAGGAGTCTTTCCCAGGGCAGTAAGCTGTGCTGCCTAGGGTTGGGGAAGAAGTAAGACAAGCACTCCCTTGGCTGCCCTGGCTGGTGTCTCACTAGGTCATGTGCACCCCAAGTCCACTGGCTCCGAGCCCAGCAGAGCACCAGGACTTGCTCAGGAATTTATGTCCTTGTGGCCTAGACTGCCTTTCAAGTTTATTTAGAATCCCAGAATACTTAGTCCATGGTGATGGGGCTAGCCAGAACTCAGATTTCAACTCCTGGCATGGGCAATTCCTCTCTGGCTGGGGCTGGTCTAAATGGTCTCTCCATGGGCATTAGCTGAATTCTACCCCATGCTTCTTTTTACTGTGACAAGGCAGCGCTGAGTTTCAATGCAAAGTCCCACAATCACTGCACTCTCTTTCTTTGAAGCACACACTATCTCTCACCATGCCATGTAGCTGCTGCCATGGGATGAGGAAGAAGTGGTGTCAGCAGTTCAAGACTGTGTTTCCTATCCTGTTCAGTGCCTTTTTCCTTGACATGATGTGAAAACCAGGTACTCTGATCGCTCACCTAATTTTTGGTTCATATGAAGCTGGTTTCTTGTGTGGATAGTTGTTCAATTTGGTGTTCTTGCAGGGGGGAAATTGCTGGAGGCTTCTATTTGACTACCTTGCTCCACCTCTCCCCATTGTCTTGCTTATTATATCATTAATTGATACTTATATTCCATACCATCAGCTTAATCCCTATTTTATGGATAAGGAAATTGAGGCATTGGGAAATTAAGTAATTTATAGAGAGTAAATTTACAGAAGGTAATAGAGAAAGCCCACCCCCACATATTTGCCTCAGATCCTATCTAGCTCTTCCCCACACCCTTCACCCCTAACTCCTTCCCCTCCCCATGCCTTTAATATGCAGTCAGCTCAACTATGACCCACATCAGCTACAGAAGACAGATGTTCTCAGGGAAGTCCAATCTCACTCCATAGATTTCCTCATATGGTTGAGAAAGCATCCAGAAATTGCTCAGTTACATCCAGGCAACTCTTTCTCTAACACTTATTTTCTCATCAAGTTGAATCCGTAAGACCCCACTCCTAGGAAATGGAACAAAGAAGCAGTCTATTCCTGTGTTCATGTGAGGGAACTCTGAAGAAACAGGGTCTTGACATCTTCAGGCATCCACACTTTTCCTGAGGGGGTTCAGATTACATGATTTCTTTAAGGCTCCTCTCCCAGAGCCTCAAATAAGATTTCAGCCTCCTTAGGCCTCTCTGTCTCTCACCTGCTAGGTCCCTGTGAATATCCCAATGAGGAGGTTCCTCGGCTCACTACAGATGCTCCCCCTTGGCCCCACTCCTGGGCCAGAACAGGATATCTCGTCAGATCCCCTTATTCTATTCTAGGCTGGATTCCCCACAGCATTGCCCAAGCACAGAGCAAGGAGGAGGCTCTTTGATGAGGTGGAGGGGACATGCTCAGCCCTGAGATCCAAATCCCTGCTGAGCCTTGAGTCTCATCTGGGGAGCATGGAAATACAGTAGTCATAAGCAGAACAGAGCATGTTAGTGGGGCAAGGGTACTTAGCTGTCAGAAGCCAGACACGGGCCAAGAGCAAGAGCATGTGCCATGGGAATTCCTGACATTAGCCAAGCCCTTGGCCTCTGTGACTCTTCTTTTTTCAGTCTCCAAGTTCTCACTGATTTTCTGTTCCCAGATATGGCCGCTATCCTCTCAGAGCTGTGAGTTTAATTCAGCAAAGATTAATTAAACACCTTCCATAAAGACAATTCTCAGTTCATCATTGCTTAGAAATTCAAAGATGATAACATAAGGATCTCCCCAAGTTGTTCAAAGTTCAGTGGAATATTTGAAAACCATCTTATAATAATTAGAAAAGAAAAAGAAAGAAAGAAGGAAAGGGGGAGGGAAGAAAAAAATGAAGGAAGGAAGGAAAGAACAAAGGAAGGAAGGGACACTTGCACAGGTTTGAAGTTTGAATTACTGTTTTCCAATGAGATAGTCAAGACACTGAATCATCTAAAAATGGCCTTGGTGATGTCTTCTGTGGTTCCCTCATTCCGTTTGACAGGAATAGTCATAATGGAGCATCATTATGTGTATGGATATGTGGTGAATGTGTGTAGATGGGTGTGCTCAGAGCAGAAGGATGAAAAGTCTCTAGCCATGTGTC
Source organism: Homo sapiens (assembly GCF_000001405.40). Taxonomy (NCBI): domain Eukaryota; kingdom Metazoa; phylum Chordata; class Mammalia; order Primates; family Hominidae; genus Homo; species Homo sapiens. The sequence goes on along the minus strand of NC_000001.11, from coordinate 152,627,691 downwards.
CCATAATGCCCAGGGACAATCACTGTTGTACCATAAACTGGGAACTACTAGGAACACTGTGCTACTAGGAACACTGTTGACAAGGTGGTCACTGCTTCCATGAATCTTCATATCAGTGGTTTAAAGTTTTAGATACTTTTGTACCCACCCACCACTCTTAGCTGATTGGGGCTGCAGTGACAACAGAAACATCATGTGTGATATTCACTGGCTTTGTTTGGTCTCATAGACCAAATTGGTTCTTGGTTAGTGGTGCAAAGGAAGGGAGGGAAGAGGAAGGGAGGGAGGGAAGGAGGAAGAAAGAAGAAAAGAATAGAGGTAAAGAGGGAGGGATGGAAGGAAGGAGGAGAATACAAGAAAATAATCAGAGTGTGATTCAGAAGTTTCCCTCCAGGACTTTCTTGACCAGTAGATCATAAGCCTCCACCCCCATTTCTTCAAACATCCTGAAGCTATATCCACTTCAAGGTCCTTCTGTGACCTCAACCTCAAAATTCTCTAAAGAAAGCTTTCTATGCTCCTAATCATTAGGAGAGTTAATAACATAATCTTGGCTAATTCATATCCTCCATCTTGCACAGACAATGAGTCACTAAGTCTTGAATATGCTTTTCTACAAATCCATTCTGTTCTGTCAGTCCCCTGGCCAGCAACTGATCTCCCTTCCTCCTGCCCTCTTTCAAATAAGTTAAAGGAGAGGGTGTGACTAGATGTTTCCTAAGAAGGGACAGACACATGGATACCTGGAGTCATATAATCTCTAATCCAATGACGGGCTTCTTGGGAATCCCCAGGCTGCTCAGTGGGGACTAAGCCTGAGGAAAGGGTGTTCCTTGGCAAAACTTCATCTCCTCATTGGCAACAAAAAGCAACCACTTGGGAGTTTCCATGGGGCCACCACAGGAGGAATGAGCAAGCACAGGATGCCAGGAAGAGCCTTTACCTGCCCTGCAAGTGTAAGAGGCTTGACCTGCTCCACCGATAGCCATATCACACCTCAGAGCCCAGCCCTGGATCTCCCAGGAAAGGGAGCTTCATCACAAGCCTTTCCTCCAGTCTGCCTCCACAGGTAGGAGTTCTTGTCTGAAACTAGGGAAGTTTCACTGTGGCAGGATTCATAAGTCTTAGAAGAAAAGGTGAAAATGATGGAACAAGAAAAAAAAAAGGAAAGAGATTGGAGAATAAAGAGACGTCCAGACAGAGAAGGAACCGGCCCTGGAATTGTATAGCCTTAAAGGCCAAGGCAAAGTGACTCTCAGCCCAGCCACTATTCAACCTCCCTTGGCTGAGTTTCTGCAAGTAGCCGAGAGCTTGGCCCGGGCCATGTATATCTATGAATACATGTATATGGCTACCTATCTATACTTATCTAGAGAAAAAGAAATCTTAAAGAAATTAATCTGGGTAAAAAATTTTCTTTCTGAAACTTGTTTATTTTACCTATATATTGTCTACAAAATGTGATTTTAATTTCAAAAGGAAACATTTTTTATTATTATTTGATGCATCTGAATAGGTGCTAAATAGATCCTGCTGAGATAAGCTGCCAATAAAGCCATCAGCCATACCAAACACCTATCAAGTGCTTCACTCCTAAGTAATTCACCAAGTGCGTTCTAAAGTGACTACCTTTGACCAGCTCCAAGTCCTCTTCCAGGCTCATCTCACCATGGCTCCAGCTCTAGGAGCAGCTCAGATGCCTGAGCTGATCCCACCAGTGTTACTACCTATGGTCATGGTATTGCAGTGGTCAGTGGTGGGAGCTTCCGTTGCTGCCACAGGTCAGTAGGACTGCTGCTGATCTGGGCCTGGCAGTCTCAGAAGAAGAGCATTAGGTGAACCAACAATTCAAGAGATAAGTACTTTCCCTGCTCTGAAGGTATCACAGCCCATTCTCCTCAACCTTTTGGGCTGTGTCTGGAAAAGGCATTTGGTTCAGACAAGGATTAAGTCTGCAGGAGGCCCAGATTTCACTAACAGCATGCTTCCCTCAAGGTGATCCCCTCCTGTCCTTCTCTCACACCCATTCCACCAGCAAAGTCAGTGCAGCAGTGCGAAGAGATCTATGTTTCCTTTACGCTCTTCTCATTCACAACACCCAGTGTGGCATTTCAAAAGTGCCCATTCACATCCTTTGCAATTGTCTCTTTTTATTATTATATCCTCTGAGGGAAGGAAGTAGGAGTACTTAAGGATATAAGGGCAAAGTTACTTCCAGCATAGCTCTGACACTAAAACTTAACAAAGCCTTGAGGACCCCATTCAGCATGTTCCTAAAAACATGCTTCTGGCACACCTGTCCTAGCCTTTCACCAGCTTTCCACCAGGAATTCCCACTCTTCCATTCATAATTCTGCAGAACTATTTTTTTTTTTTGAGACAGTCTTGCTCTGTCACCCAAGCTGGAGTGCAGTTGCGCGATCTCAGCTCATTGCAACCTCTGCCTCCCCAGCTCAAGCGATTCTCCTGCCTCAGCCTCCCGAGTAGCTAGGATTACAGATGCCCACCACCACACCCAGCTAATTTTTGTATTTTTAGTAGAGACGGGGTTTTGCCGTGTTGAACAGGCTGGTCTTGAACTCCTGACCTCATAGAACTCTTAAAAGAATGCATGGTATTGCAGTTTGTTCAAAGTGGAGTGATAGGCAAAGGGGAAGAAGGAACTAATATCCTCTAGCAGTGTATTTTGTACCAAAGAACAAGCATCTTCAGGCTTTCATATACTCTGATCAAAATAACATTTTGCTTAAAATTACAATATAATTTAAATTCATGATTATTAGAAACTTAATATTGTCTCAATTGTGATTATTTTCCTTGGAAGAATATATAGTATAATAAAGATTATTTTAAAATTCATTACAGTGGTTTTTATTTAGAGGCTATGGCATATTGTATTGTATTATTAGAGATGAATTCACTGATAAATTTATCACTGATATAACTAAAACCAAATAGTAAATAATATTCCATTTTTATGAATTCATCATATACAAACTTCAAGCATTATCACAGGTATTCATTAAGTGAAATGCATACAACCCCATCAACCTCATCATTATCAACAAATTCAAAGAAATTTTAATGAATTACTAACATAATATATAGGATTAAATTCAGCCTTGCACATTTCACAGACAGCCAAAAACGGATGCCCCTTTTTTCCCATTAAGTGTGATTTCTGTTGATCCCACAGATGGAGGTCACATTTTTATACCATCTGCACCTCCCTCCACTCTACCCCTCTGCCCCCACAGTGCCCAATGCCACCTTTAAGATGCCATGATATTCCCTGAAGACACTACCTCTCAAGCCATGGCCCCAGCTCCATTCTTCCACCCCTTACTCAACCCAGGTCCAGTGAGCTCAGTGCAGCCAACATCTCAGGACACAGGGGCTGATTCCATCACCTATGTAAAGGAATCCACAAAGCAATGGGGACTGACACCCAAAGGCAGTGACCCCAGCCTGCCATGTTTGTGCACACTTGTGCTGCGTCGCTTAGCACATAGGATGTGATTTAATTGCTCAGTTGTCCATCTGGCCTTCTGAAAAGCTGTGAGCTAGTCAAGGGGAGAAATGTGTTCTGTTTGTCCCCATATTACCAGGCCCCACAAAGGACGTACCCTGGCTTCAGAGCATGTGAGCTGAATGAAGAAAAAAAAGTGGAACAGCAGCCAGAGGGCCTGAACGGTGGATAATTGGACCGTCATCGAGATTTCCTGCTTCCCTTTTGTCATTCCTCAAAATATGCGCCTTAAGAATATGCTGAAAGCCTGGTCCTTGGGAGTGTGTGGTGCTTCCCCTCCCTTTGGGGAGCAAAGGAGGACACATAGTTGGGCTGTGCATCATAATACCCAGGATAAAAGGGCTGAGGCCCTGGGTTCCTCAGTCCACAATCACCTCAGGAAGAACCTTCTCCTGCCTCCACCAAACCAGGTGAGCGTCCAGCTGGCGAGAGGACCTGGGCTGAAAGGGCTGCGCAAACACGTCTGTGCTTCAACAAGGAGAGGGGAGGAGGCAGACACGGTGGAGGCGGCAGAGAGGCTGTGGTGGGTGGCCGGCTGGGACTGGGATGGGAGATGGGCGGGATAGTGAGGAAGACAGACAAGTCTGCGAGCCACTTCAGGGGCTCCGCGATGCTGCGACCTCTGAACCCCCTTTTCCTCATGTGCGCAGAGATGCGTTGCCTCCTCACACCCTGCGCTCACAGGCGTCCAGAGAGACGCCACCCTGGAGGGTCATGGGCGTTGTGTTCACGGGACGCCTGCAGGGGGAGCTGTTCGCATCGGGTCCGGAGGTGTGACAGGCCCCGCAGGGCGTGCGCAGGAGCCCCAGAGGCCCACCCAGGAGTGTCAGCTGCCTCCCAGGCAGGGGAGAGGGCCGGAGGAAGGGGCAGTATCAGGCCGGTTTAACTTCAGATCCGTTTGCATTCCCCTTCCCCAGGTCTTAGCTGGAGGGCAGACTGAGTTTAGGGGAAGGGATCCACAATTAAACCAAAGCATGAGGAGGCCCTGGCCTGAAACCTGCATTGACACGTATTTTGCTTTGCTTTTATTTTGCCCAGGCTCCCTGACCTCCTGCCTAGATGTCCTGCCAGCAGAACCAGCAGCAGTGCCAGCCTCCGCCCAAGTGCCCTGCAAAGAGCCCAGCACAGTGTCTGCCTCCAGCTTCCTCCAGCTGTGCCCCAAGCTCTGGGGGCTGTGGGCCCAGCTCCGAGCGCAGCTGCTGCCTGAGTCACCACAGATGCCGCAGGTCTCACCGTTGCCGTTGCCAGAGCTCCAACTCCTGTGACAGGGGAAGTGGTCAGCAAGGCGGGAGCTCCAGCTGTGGCCACAGTTCTGCGGGCTGCTGCTGACCTGAGCCACGAGATTAAGTAAAAATATTTGAGAAAAGAAAGTGCCAAAATGACTGGAACCAGCCCTAGCCTGGTGCTTCTTTGCTCCTGTCTCCTCTTTCCTACTGAGATGTTCCTTGATGAGTTTCAAGTACTCCCCCAGGGGATTTATCCTGCTGGTCTTAGTGTTTTCCCTCCTTCTTTAATATCCCTGTGCTGTGAAGAATAAAGCTGTGCTTTCTCGTTGCAAGCTCTGTCCAGTGCGTTCCCGTCTTTGCCTTACAGGGGCTGCCCCACATTGGGTACATAGGCCTATCTTAGGAACAGACACAAGTGGGTCATACACCCCTCAACTCACAAAACCCTTTTAGGGGGGTTGTATATTAGTGTGGGAATGAGGTGAGCAGTCTTTCACAAGGTCAAGGACAGAAGCATGAGTTGGAAATAAACACAGAGCTCTGGAAAACAAAGGGAATGAGCTTACTGGGCCCGTTCAGATCCTTCCGAAAACACTTTGGTAGCTCAGCCCTAGATGGCAGAGAAGAAGAGAAGCTCCAGATGGGAGCAGGTCCTTGGTCCTCTGGTTCCTCCAACTCTGATACTCTGTAGTCTTCATGACCCAGGACCACAGCAGCCCCCAGAGCTGTGGCAGCAACTGGAGCCTCCAGAATGCTCTGTTGGGCATGTCAGTGGGATCTGTGGGCCCATGGTGACTCCGGTAGCAGCTTCCTGCAGAGCTGGAACCACAACAGAAATAGACTGGCAGCAAACAACCAAAAGGATACTTGAGGGTTAGGCACTTGGGAGGGGGCTGACAGTGCTGTTAGTTTTTCCTTTCAGGACATCTCAGCTCAGTGATCCCTGGAAGAAATGAAAAAGTAAATCATTGTTTTCTATCTATCTATCTATCTATCTATCTATCTATCTATCTATCTATCTATCTATCTCTATCTACCTATCTGTCTCCCCTTGTCCCTCACCGTCTTTCTCAGACCCTGACCCTATGACCCTAAGCTCACGTTTTTGCTAACCTAAGGGCAGCAGGGAAACAGGGCCTTGGGCAGGGATGAATTGGCTCAGAATGTTTGCTGATCAAGGTATTTTCTCCTCCTACTTTGATTTAGAATCAGAAAAAAAGGAGATGGGACATGGAGAGTGATGATAGTGATGGACTCTACTCCAAGTAACAGCTCTTCAAACTCTAGCCCCTCAGTAGGAAATTCAATAATTATTCAGTAGATGCCCAGATGTTTTCTGATAGAAGGGAACCAGGAAGTCCCTGTAACACCCAAATATCTGGCCTTGATTATCAAGACTGTTGAAAACTAATTGTCTATACTATTTTATTCATTAATTAATTCATTCAAACAACAGGAATTGAGGACACAGTTCAGATATATGTTGACACAAAGGACTCAGAAATGTGTGAAATATGATTCCCATCCTTGAGATGCCGACTGACAAGTCAGCAATCCACTTATGAGCTGGAATGATATGGACTGTTACATAAGTGTGTGGGAAGTCCATGGGACTTATCCTTTGGATGGTAACCCCCTGTTTCCCTGACAAGAGTGAAGTGTCCAGACATTGTCACTAGTATCATTTGTGGGTGTTGGGTGAGGTTTCTGGCCTGCAAAATGACCTTTGATGGTCCTGTGATGGCCTAGCTAAAGTGACTAAGAGGAACTAATGGGACCCAAGAGCCAGGAGTCCCTGGGCAGAAGGTTTCCTGGCAGAGGGAGGAAATGAAGCTGCCCTTTGAGAGAAGTTGGATCTGAAAGGGAAGCAAGCTAAGATAATGGGAGGCAGAATAGTGTGCAGGCCAAGAACATGGGCACTGGAGTCGGACATTCCCATTGCCTCCCCTCTTTTAAATACCAGGAGAAACCTTGAAGAGTCTAGGGGAAAACAAAGCTAAAAAATAAAGGCAAAATGAACCAGAAATGCTGGAATTAAAAGCTGAGCCACCAATTAGCAGTCTAGATCTGTGACATGACAGACTTGCAAATCTAGCAGTCTAGATCTGTGACATGACAGACATTGCTTCAGCATTTACTTGACTGCACTATTGATCCAAGAGATAGGAATGGTTCAGACACAGGGATGCTCATATCACATTGGCCAGAACGCTTTAGGAAAAAGGAGGGATTGAATGATAATTGATGGGAGAAAAAATAAAGTGATGGACAATAGTGGTAATTAAGTTTATTTCACCAGTGTTTCTGCTGAATATAAATGACAGATGTATACTATTTTCCCATTGCATTTAATTTTTTTTAGGTGGAGTCTCACTCTGTCTCCAGGGCTGGAGTGCAGTGGCATGATATCTGCTCACTGCAACCTCCCAGGTTCAAGTGATTCTCCTGCCTCAGCCTCCTGAGTAGCTGAAACTACCACGAGCCACCACGCCTGGTTAATTTTTGTATTTTTAGTAGAGATGGGGTTTCACCATGTTGGCCAGGAATTAGATAATTATCTGGCATATGTAAATAACTTTGATATATTTTGGTAAGACATCATTATTGCAGCAATAGTTCTGAACATTCTAGTTCCATAAAGGTTATAGGAGTGGCCACCCTCTTCAAAGCTTGAATATGTTACAAGCATGACCAAAATCTGAGTCTTTTCAAAACACTGTGGGAACATTAATTTATACTAGGGCTTCAGCAACATGTAGAGTGAACTGACAAGAGGGTGAGGATTTGGCTGATACCTATTTGTGATGATTTTAAAGCATGGTTCAAATTTTTTTTGACATTCCTCTCATTGAGAAGTTAGGCCTATGTCCACTTACCTTGAATCTAAGCGGGCTTGTAACTCCTTTAACCAAATGAATATGGTTGAAATATGCTATGTGACTTCAAAGGCTGGGTCACAAAAGGTCATGCAGATTCCACCTGGTCCTCTTAGGAGGCTGTCTCTGGGGAAGCCAGTTACCATGTAAAAAGTCTCGCTATTCTAAGACCATCATGCAAGAGAGGCCAGATGTAGGTCCTCCAGGTGACAACCCCAGAAGAGGGCTCAGCTGGCATCCAGCATCAACAGCCAACCATCTGAGTGAGACTTCTTGGATGTCCAGCCCAGTCAGCCTTCAGATGACCACAGCTCCAATCAACATCTGACGACAAATGCATGAAATGAGAATTGCCCTGCTGAGTCCTTTCTGAATTTGTGACCCATAAAATTGTGAGAAAACCAAGATGGCTGTCATTCCAATCACTTAGTGTATTGTTTCACATCACTAAGTTTTGGGGTGATTTGTTATGTAACAATAGGACACCCACTGATTTTCTGCCATCAGCAACTTATGTTCTTCCTTCTAAAGTTGTTGGCTCTGCTGAGGTGCCAATAGCCACTAGATAGCTTTCTTAGTCCCCCCAAAATTCACCACTTTCATGCCTTAATGTTTTTCCAAGGTTTATCTCACCTACACTGACACTCATGACACACAGGGTATGATAATCCAACTGAATGCAGAGCAAGGAAAATGTCAGCCTGCAACATGCCCAGTCGATGTCTGCTCCAAGTAAAAAGAAACTTCATCTGTTCCCATTGTATCTACAATGCCTAGAGTGGCACCTGGCATGGGAGATACACTCATTGTTGGGAGAAAAGCTGAGTGTTGGGAGACAAGCTGAGTCAGGGCTTGGAACATGTCTGGGTTCCAGGATCTAAAACCCCCTTGTGGCCTCTGGAATGTGTCTAGACTTGCTGGCTCCTCGCTTCTAGCATTCCCATTATTGCAAGTAGCCATATGTTTCAAAGAAAATGCTAAACCATCACAGCTGTAGCTCATTCACTTAATACATTGCTTCCTTTCAACCCCCACATCCTCACCACCTGTTTCTTTGATCACAAATAAATAGCATGGGCTCCCAGAGCTCGGGGCCTTTGCAGTCTCCATACTAGCATTGGCCCCCTGGTCCCACTTTATTTCTTAACTGGTCTTTTCTCATTCCTTTGACTCCACCGGACTTCGTAGCCCCCCCCCAGCCTGGTGTTGGGTCTGATCACCCCAACACTCATCAAATGTTTGTGCAATCTCAGTCTCTATGCACCCTGAAATGCACACAATTCCTGTGAATTTTAGGCCAACTAGCTTCATCAATGCTTGTGGCTTTGCATGTACAACTTAGCTGAATGTGGGACTCAGGTGTTCCCATAAGGAGCTTGCCCATCCTTTTCCTTTTTTCTCCATTATGTGTTTTAATTCTGACTTTTAAAAAGTACTTCCCAAGCATGTCTTAAGTGTACCAGAGCAAGAAGCCTATTACATTGATTCAAGTCTACTCAATTGTAAGCTTCAAATCTCTGTTCACTTTCTCAGAGAACCCTTCTCAGCCAGTTAAGTGATTTGACTAGCAGAGCAGATTTGACTTCAACTTTCAGTTATGGTTCCTTTTGACACTTTTCATTCCAGTTTCTTAAGAAATAATGTGTCCACATATATTGGAGCAAAACTGATTTTTCCAGTTTGCCACTTTTTAAAAATGAAATTAAAAAAAGTATTATAATCAGTTGAATTCCCAAAGTATCATATAGGTCTTATTCTCTGTCTAAAATGTCCAAGCTCAACCTCTAATTTCTCTCAAAAGTTTCTGCTTTGACTGTAGCCACAGCTATATGATTTGTTTTCATCTTTCTGAAGTTATCTCAAGAACCATCATAGCTTGGGTTGAACAGTCCCCAGTTTTGCAACATTATTTCCAAAATCCAGCTATCAAAATGAAGCAGCACTGATGATTCACATCAATCACTTTGGTTTGGAGTAGAGATAAAACACTGCCATATTCCAATGTTGGGGCAGGAGCTGCCCAGTTAGAGTCCAGTGGTAACTAGAATATGGCTGTGTCTCATTATTGTTGAGTTCAAAAAGTAACACACGACAGAAAATAATAATGAGTTCAATTCTATCTCAAATATCTTAAAAGAAATTTACAGATATGTAATCTGTACCCCCAGAAGCATTCATCATGTCCGCTTTTTTCTGTTTTCTCAGAGCACAGAGCCTCTCATTAGCATTCCCGTCAGAGAAAACTTCAATTCCAATTGCTTCAGAATCCACTGACTTCAGCTAACCTCCCTCCCTAAGGTCCATTATGTGCAGCTTGACTTGATCTTCATCCTTCAGACCTTTCTTTCTGCCTCCACATGCTCCATCCACTTTGGTCTCATTCTTGTCGATTTTCTGATTCTCTACATCACCGTCAATGGAAACTGTGGGCTACAGGGTCAAATCACTCCTCCCACGGTATCATCCAAGAAAAGTCAGGCCTTTATTTTTTTTAATTATACTTTAAGTTTTAGGGTACATGTGCACAACATGCAGGTTTGTTACATATGTATACATGTGCCATGTTGGTGTGCACCCATTAACTCGTCATTTAACATTAGGTATATCTCGTAATGCTATCCCTCCCCCCTACCCCCACCCCACAACAGGCCCTGGTGTGTGATGTTCCCCTTCCTGTGTCCATGTGTCCTCATTGTTCAATTCGCACCTATGAGTGAGAACATGCAGTGTTTGGTTTTTTGTCCTTGCGATAGTTTGCTGAGAATGATGGTTTCCAGCTTCATCCATGTCCCTACAGAGGACATGAACTCATCATTTTTTATGGCTGCATAGTATTCCATGGTGTATATGTGCCACATTTTCTTAATCCAGTCTATCATTGTTGGACATTTGGGTTGGTTCCAAGTCTTTGCTATTGTGAATAGTGCCACAATAAACATACGTGTGCATGTGTCTTTATAGCAGCATGATTTATAATCCTTTGGGTATATACCCAGTAATGGGATGGCTGGGTCAAATGGTATTTCTAGTTCTAGATTCCTGAGGAATCGCCACACTGACTTCCACAATGGTACAGTCCCACCAACATTGTAAAAGTGTTCCCATTTCTCCACATCCTCTCCAGCACCTGTTGTTTCCTGACTTTTTAATGATTGCCATTCTAACTGGTGTGAGATGGTATCTCATTGTGGTTTTGATTTACATTTCTCTGATGGCCAGTGATGTTGAGCATTTTTTCATGTGTCTTTTGGCTGCATAAATGTCTTCTTTTGAGAAGTGTCTGTTCATATCCTTCGCCCACTTTTTGATGGGGTTGTTTGCTTTTTTCTTGTAAATTTGTTTGAGTTCATTGTAGATTCTGGATATTAGCCCTTTGTCAGATGAGTAGATTGCAAAAATTTTCTACCAGTCTATAGGTTGCCTGTTCACTCTGATGGTAGTTTCTTTTGCTGTGCAGAAGCACTTTAGTTTAATTAGATTCCATTTGTCAATTTTGGCTTTTGTTGCCATTGCTTTTGGTGTTTTAGACATGAAGTCCTTGCCCATGCCTATGTCCTGAATGGTATTGCCTAGGTTTTCTTCTAGGGTTTTTATAGTTTTAGGTTTAAGATTTAAGTCTTTAATCCATCTTGAATTAATTTTTGTATAAGGTATAAGGAAGGTATCCAGTTTCAGCTTTCTACATATGGCTAGCAGTTTTGGGAATCCTTTCCCCATTTCTTGTTTTTGTCAGGTTTGTCAAAGATCTGACAGCTGTAGATATGCAGCATTATTTCTGAGGGCTCTGTTCTGTTCCATTGGTCTATATTTCTGTTTTGGTACCAGTACCATGCTGTTTTGGTTACTGTAGCCTTATAGTAGAGTTTGAAGTCAGGTAGCGTGATGCCTCCAGCTTTGTTCTTTTGGCTTAGGATTGACTTGGCAATGAGGGCTCTTTTTTGGTTCCATATGAATTTTAAAGTAGTTTTTTCCAATTCTGTGAAGAAAGGCATTGGTAGCTTGATGGGTATGACATTGAATCTATAAATTACCTTGGGCAGTATGGCCATTTTCACGATATTGATTCTTCCTACCCATGAGCATGGAATGTTCTTCCATTTGTTTGTATCCTCTTTTATTTCATTGAGCAGTGGTTTGTAGTTCTCCTTGAAGAGGTCCTTCACATCCCTTGTAAGTTGGATTCCTAGGTATTTTATTCTCTTCGAAGCAATTGTGAATGAGAGTTCACTCATGATTTGGCTCTGTGTTTGTCTGTTATTGGTGTATAAGAATGCTTGTGATTTTTGCACATTGATTTTGTATCCTGAGACTTTGCTGAAGTTGCCTATCAGCTTAAGGAGATTTTGGGCTGAGACAATGGGGTTTTCTAGATATACAATCATGTCATCTGCAAACAGGGACAATTTGACTCCCTCTTTTGCTAATTGAATACACTTTATTTCCTTCTCCTGCCTGATTACCCTGGCCAGAACTTCCAACACTATGTTGAATAGGAGTGGTGAGAGAGGGCATCTCTGTCTTGTGCCAGTTTTCAAAGGGAATGCTTCCAGTTTTTGCCCATTCGGTATGATATTGGCTGTGGGTTTGTCATAGATAGCTCTTAGATTATTTTGAGATACGTCCCATCGATACCTAATTTATTGAGAGTTTTTAGCATGAAGTATTGTTGAATTTTGTCAAAGGCCTTTTCTGCATCTATTGAGATAATCATATGGTTTTTGTCATTGGTTCTGTTTATATGCTGGATTATGTTTGTTGATTTGTGTGTGTTGAACCAGCCTTGCATCCCAGGGATGAAGCCCACTTGATCATGGTGGATAAGCTTTTTGATGTGCTGCTGGGTTTGGTTTGCCAGTATTTTATTGAGGATTTTTGCATCGATGTTCATCAGGGATATTGGTCTAAAATTCTCTTTTTTGTTGTTGTTGTTGTGTCTCTGCCAGACTTTGGTATCAGGATGATGCTGGCCTCATAAAATGAGTTAGGGAGGATTCCCTCTTTTTCTATTGATTGGAATAGTTTCAGAAGGAATGGTACCAGCTCCTCCTTGTACCTCTGGTAGAATTTGGCTGTGAATCCTTCTGGTCCTGGACTTTTTTGGGTTGGTAAGCTATTAATTATTGCCTCAATTTTAGAGTCTGTTATTGGTCTATTCAGAGATTCAACTTCTTCCTGGTTTAGTCTTGGGAGGGTGTATGTGTCCAGAAATTCATCCATTTCTTCTAGATTTTCTAGTTTATTTGTGTAGAGGTGTTTATAGTATTCTCTGATGGTAGTTTGTATTTCTGTGGGATCTGTGGTGATATCCCCTTTATCATTTTTTATTGTGTCTATTTGATTCTTCTCTCTTTTCTTCTTTATTAGTCTTGCTAGCGGTCTACCAATTTTGTTGATCTTTTCTAAAAACCAGCTCCTGGATTCATTGATTTTTTGAAGGGTTTTTTGTGTCTCTATTTCCTTCAGTTCTGCTCTGATCTTAGGCCTTTTTTAAGAGATTTTCACCAACCTCTCTCAACACCTCCCCTTTCTCCTACACTTCTATACTCAAATCTCCCACAGGGACTCCCTGCATGAAGAAAAATATGAACGTTTAATTTTCCAGCCACAAGCCAGTATTATTCTCTATGCAGGGTGTGCTAGACCTTCAGGAGCTGAGGGAGGGGAGACCCACTGAGCAGCCTTCTGTGGAGCAGAGTGAAAGACAAGTTAGATGCAGGTGCTGTTCAGAAGCTTTATTTCTCTGTATAATCAGACACAAGTGATAACATTGTCAGGAGGAAAGGAGGCTTCCACGATCTTGGAAAACACATGGGTGGAGCCTTTTGGAAAAAGCACAATTCTTCCCCATGAATGAATGGTTAATTAGCATGTCTAAGAAAGGATCTAACAAGTTGGGGCTTTTCCTTTTTCCTTGAGATACTTGTTTCCTCTAAAGTCGCTTGTCTCAGCATCAGGAATTAGGTCAGCAGCAGCCTCCAGAGCCATAGCCACAGTCGGAGGCACCATCTTGCTGACCACTGCCTCTGTCACAGGAGTTGGAGCTCTGGCGCCGGCATCGGTGGGACCTGCAGCACCTGTGGTGGCTCAGGCAGCAGCCGCCCTCAGAGCTGGGGCCACCACAGCACCCAGGTCTTGGAGCACAGCAGGAGGAGGCTGGAGGCAGACACTGTGCTGAGCTCTTTGGGGGGCACTTGGGTGAGGGGCACTTGGGCAGAGGCTGGCACTGCTGCTGGTTCTGCTGGCAGGACATCTTGGCAGGAGGTGACAGCCTGGATAGATAAAAGGAAAAGGTCAACGCAAAAGCTCCAGGCTAATGTCTCCTCTACAAATGGTTTTATGAAGCCCTTACTCCTAATACCAGTTGCTTCCTGAGATATGCACTTCAGGAATAAAAACAGAAACTGATCTCAAGTAAAACTGGCCTGGTAAGACATTTCCTTCCATTTTTCCCTCTTCCAGAAAAGAATGCTGGTGTCTTCTAACTGGGTCCCAAGTCCTCCTGTCTTCACAAAAACACTGATGCAAAAGCACCTAATTGAGTAATGATTCTCAGAGAATATCACTGGGCATGTATGCATCTCCCAGGAAAAGAGTGGAGAGAATGCTGAGAGCCAGGGCTCTGGTGAGTCACAGACTCCCATGCACCCCAAAGAGGTTCCTTGCTCACTGCCCCTTCCCCTACCCTCAGCTGCCCTCTGAAGTCCTCTTCCTGCTGTCTGTACATCTGACACCTCTGCTTCCCCCTTCCCTAGTAAAATCTGGGCTTATCTTCCCCAGACACCCCCAGCTGAGGGTCCCCTGCTAGATACTTGCCAGATACAGAAGATGCTGAAGAGGAGAAGGCTGTTCTCTAGGAGGCTGTGGATGAGGAGCCCAAGATAAGAGGCTTTTTATCTTGTGCAGGGTTAGAGATGCACAGACCAGGCATGCTGCTTTCACAACAAGGGGAGGTGGCAGAGCCAAACACTCCCATCCCAGGCCTCCAGCATCTTGCTTCATGCTTGCCAAGATGCCTGGCAAGAGGGAACCAGGAAGTCTTGATGACAGATCTCCACGTGTGTTGGGGACCTGTCATTTCTTCTCCTTTCACTCATTCAGTTTGGATGCTTTAGTTTGAGCTCTGCCTCTTGCACTTTGAGGGAGAATGTAAAGATGCATATGACACATTTCCTGACCTTGAGCCTTTCAAAGTTAACTGGACTAACATCAGAGATGTAAACTTATGTGTCTGATATGATATCATGTGATTCGTCCTGGGTATCCCAGGATGTCTTTTTTTGGACATCACTTCCCTATTCCTCTGCATATTCCCCAGGGGCATGGTTTGTTGAGATGTAATTGGCTCCTGACTCTTGGGGATGTTGGGTGATCTGAGACTATTGGACCCTGGGAGTGAGATGTATTAGGTAATGAATGGAGAATGGGACACAAGCCCTGTCTGGGGCTGTTGGGGCCCTTAAGAGAATTAAGGTAGGATTATATGAATAAGCAGACAAAATCATTAAGGAATATACAATAGTTGAGATCACAAGACTCATACTTAATATGAAAAAGGTCAATTTGCCCATATTTAGCTTCCCATGGGATATATGATACTGATTATAAGCAAATAAAATGGTCCATGAGCATAAAATATGTAAGATAGTTGGTGTGAGTCATGAACATGATTCGTTCAATGTATTGTTGATGATGAGGTTAGTGATGGTAGTAACATCATGTGCATCAAATTTAATGGAACAAACCTTATAAATTCTAAGGTTTCTGTAGGATGACATATAAAGTCTGATTTGTATTTTTCCCATTTGATTGTATAATAGTTTTAGACATGAATTTTTCACTGAATTCATCTCTATTATTATAATACCTGAACTTTGCTATTTGTTTCTAAAAAGTTAAAGTCAGAACTATAACAGAACATTAAATTTAAGTTAAATGGTAATTTTAAATAACACATGTTTATGGTAAATGCCTGTTATTGCTCCCTGTACTTGATAGTTTATGGCTTTTAGACAACAAACTCCTTATCAGAGTATGCACTTTACAACTTACCCTCTTTAAAACATGGTGGGAGGTGGGGGGCAGAATTCCATGATTTATTTTGAGATATTTAAGAGAAAGTGAATTGTCTCTAGGAATGTGGCTTGGGAATGGAGGAAGAGGAAAAGGATCAGACCTGTCATTGACTCCCCTCTCTGATATTCTTCTGCCTGCAGAAGCCTCTTGCTGAAGGGATATTTTTGGGCTTAGCCCCGGGACTACACTAGGTGTCCATTTCTTTTGCATTCTTTAGAACACACAAATTGCTAGTGCATTGGAAGGAATTACTCATGATGGTTGAAATGGGTACTTTCTCATTCCATACTGGTGAAGTTGAAGAGGGACACAATCTGTTGAAAAATTCAGTTAAAAAATTACTGGGGTTTAGACTTTGCTGCAAATCTGAACGTTTATTTCTCTGTATCTTGTATTTATCATAAGCAAGTCTTGTCCTCCCAACAGAGCAAGCATGATAGCCATTTTCCTGCATGGGTTGCAACCCTGAGTCATTGGCAGCTGAGGGAGGTAGGAGATGGAAGCGTTAATTGAGAAAGAAACATAAATCACACATTTTGGGCAAGTTTCAAAGGAAAAAAAATCCTTGCCTATGACATTCAATATATCGTGTTACCGCTGTTTTATAAAACACAATAGATGACTGTTAGGCTTTCCTCCAGCCCCATTCTTGACTGCCTGTCTTGAAAGCCTCCCCACAAGACCTGGAGAGCTCATTAATCTCCCTTCTACCTTAGTGATTGCTCCTGTCACCACTCTCCTCTTCCTGAAATCAGGTGTCCACAGTTCTCACACGCACAGGATTTGTCCCGTGATGACAAACAGTAGCTATAAGATCATGATCTTGTCACTTCCCCTACAGCACAAGGGCACCTCCCTGAGAATCACTAGTCCTGAGAGTCCCATCCTGAGGAGCCTTGGCTTCCTGTGGCCCAAAGACATCAAGGAAATACAGAGACTGCTCTGGCTGGATGAATCCAGGAAAAATTTCATGACTTAGTCATTCCAATTGGTACTATAGGAACAGGCACTGCAGGACCTCAGATTTAGCCCCTTGGAGTGCATTTTGGACATTCCACATCAGCAATCAAGGATGAGTCAACAAACAGAATTCTTCTCCCTTTGCTTAAAACTCACAGTTCCTTCTCCATTCTGTTCCTGCCATGTCTGCGACAATCAAATTCCATGGCAAGCAGCTAAGTTATTCTTAAGGAAAATGGGAAGCAGTGGCCAGAAAGTGCCATATACCTCCAACGTGCCTAAGTTTCTTATATGGATTTGAATTTTTCCCTCAGATTAAATAGTATTTTGAGATATTTACACCGCTCTATTCTCCTGAGAAAGCTCTGGTAGGACCCAGTGTGTAAGAAGATGTTGGACTCAAATTTTCTTCTTGTATTACGATGTTGGCTGAAGTCAAAAGATGAAAATAGTAGATGCCTCTTATCCCCATATACTAAAGTAAACTTAGGATAAGCTGCTGAAAATCTCTGCAAGACTTGCTAAGAAAAAAAAATAGAACTCTATTTCTCTGGTTCAGCTATATATTTGGAAGGTTGAACTTTGGTGAGAATTTTTTAGATAGGAAAGTTATTATCCTAAAAGACAATGATGTAGTCTCCCCCTAATCTTGTACATGGGAGGGAAACTGGTTGTTCTCCTACAACAGAGGTCAATTGAAAGGGCAGGATTCACAATGACAGCCTGTAGATGTTAGAGATTCCTTCAAGAAAGAAAGACAGCATTTTTATCCCCCAGCAGAATGTCTGCTGTAGTAGTAGACTTGATGTTCTAACCTCTGAGCCTATTGTTGAATAAAGAAAAGGAACTGAAGAGATAGAACAGGACATTGAGACATAACAGCAGATGACATCTAAGAAGGAAGACCAGCTTCCACAGTCTTGCTAGTGTTGTGCTTAGGATGGTTTTCTGTTGGGCAGACAGACCTCATTATCGAGAAGCCATGGCTGGTGCCAACGAAGGTAGGAGCTTAGGGAGTACGTGAAGGGTTAAATCCGACTGCTCATCCCATGTCTGGAAATCATGCTGTTAGGAAAATGCTTGAAGATACTCCAGGACTCACAAAAGCACCCTATAAGACAGCCCTCCTGCAGAACCTGCCACACAGAAGAAGCAGAGACAGCCCTGCCGCAGAACCTGCCAACAGAGGAGGCTAGTGGTACAGTCACATGTGTAATGATTCTCCCTCCCCTTTTCCATCTCCCAATACAATGGAGGAGGAAGGGCTACTGAGGAAGAAGGTGGAGGGGTGGTAGTGAATGAGAGAAAGAGCCCATCATATTCCCCTTCCAACTCCAGTCTCCTGGGAGATACCTGGACAATGCTTGTGTGCAAGGGAGAATTTGAGTTTCAAATTTTGTTCAGAATTAAATTTAGCTGGTCTGGACTTTAGTATCCATAGAAGTGACTGACGAAATGTGGAATTTCCCTGAGGTATTTTCAAGAGAGATTCAACAGAGCATAGGAAAAAACAATGACCGAAAAAGACAATGCTTCATGTTTTTATTGTACTGACTTTAGACTGTTCAATACACAACTTAGTAGGCTCTTAGGTTTTTATAAGAAAGGGGCAGTTTTGGATTCTCCCACCCTTTCTAGCATCAATCAAATCAATAAATGCCCAGATTTCAGGTCCCCAAGGACAAACGAGAAGCAAGTTCAGGAATGTTGGTGGAAGCTTCATAATGACCACACACAGGTACTGTAAAGGCAACTGGAAGTAGAAACTGGGTAGTTACTGGAGACATGATGGAGTTTGGAAGGTCAGGGAGGAAGTCTTTCATGAACAGGAGTATCTTAGAAGATCAAGAGGGAGGACAGGGAGTTGGGTGTTGGATGGTGAGAATATTCATGTGCTACTTACCTGTAGTCCATGGGGAAAAAGGAAAACTCTCTGGGAGGCAATAGAAGACCCTGACCAATATGACCCTTGACAAATTCCGTTTCTTCAACACCTGCCATCTCTTTTGCCAATTCTTTGCTACAGTTATCTTTTACCATGTTTTCTTTCAACATTCTGCCTATCCTGAATGTAGGGAGAGGAATGGACATATTAGGGGCATGAAGGGTCTGTGCTAGGTCCCAGGCAGCTGCATCACTTTAGTGACAGATACTCTGCTCAATGAATATACTTTGGCTCTGAGGGAGGTCTCATCTCCAGGGGGCTTGGAATGGACACAAGCTTGTTCACTGTGGGATGCAAAACTGCAGCAGAGTGGTTGGGGGAAAAGTGAAAGGAAGCATTGAAAGAGCTCAATGACGTTTGACAGAGAAAATTGGGAGTGGGCACCACAAGAGTGTTCTGACTGGAACTGCACCTGGGCATTCTGTTGAGTGAGGATCTTTCTGGTAATAAGACCTAAGAAGGGATTACTAAGACAAGGATACGCTGAGTTCGAAACCAAACACTTGTTGATGCAAATGGCTTTGAAACACAAAAGATTAGGATTTATAGTACCTGCCCAATTCTCAGACTATTAACAGTAATTTCTACAAGGGCATTCCCACCCTTATTATCTTCACTAATGTTCCACGGGACTTCTCCACCAAGGAGGAGCAGAGGTGAGGGAGGAGGAAAATCACCACACTGGGAAGAGGCTTCTCTCTTTGCTTCACTGGATCATCCAGCCCTGCTCCACTGTGGTTTTCAGTGCCCTGGTCACTGCATGAGTGACAGCATCCAGAGGGCTGATGCTGTGCCTTGTGGGATGTGTAAAGCCTGTGATGGCTCAAACAGGATCAAAAATTGGATCTTTTTATGTTTATTTCAAAGCATATGTGGCTTTGAATCCACAACTTAGGAAAAATTCCCGAGCAGAGGAGTGCAGGAAATAGAAAGTAACTTGGGTTGAGGCATCCTGATTCCAGTGAGGACTGAGCAAACCTTAGAGCTCTTTTTCTATTTTCTTTTGCAGGCAAGAAATGGGTGTTGGGATTGGGAGGGGTGAGAATGTGAGTCTCGTTTAGGAGTCAGCTTCTTTGCCTCTGTAGCCCCAAGACCTCTGTATCTCCATGGCAGGTGTCAAGAGTTTTGAGGAGAGTGGGGATTCAAGAAACCCCGTGACTATTCACATACCTGTGCCTCAGTCTTTCTGTAGGTCTGCAATTCTTCATTTTTCATTCATTAACATCATTCCTTCTTTAAACAAGTTATATTGAGATGGTGACACTCACTGTGCTGGGCAAAGCAGATTCAAGACTGAAGAAGATACCATCCCTACCCTTAGGCTGATGGTGTAGTGAGACTGACAGATAAGTAGGAAACTAAGCCTGAGCCAGGAGAGGGTGCTGGGATACAGTGTGTGGGAGTCCCCAGGCCTGAAGTCAGGGTTTTGGGGCATTAGTCCCTTTTGGTTCTGTAGCGACTCTGAATAAATGATGAATCCAAAAGGTGTCACCTGCTGTCACTTGGGATTGTTGATGGGATGAATGAGAAGTGGAGCCTGTATCCATCCAAGGGCAGTAAACCGAGGCATGGCAACTAAGAGAAATTTGTGGACCCAAGAAACATCAAGGAGGTGCCCAGGAGAAAGAGACAATGCTGAGGTCGAGGTAGAACAGGGCTGAGGGGAATACTGGGGACATGTACAGTCTTGAATGCAGAATAATTTGCTCATTAAGAGCATCCATTTTGGAGACAGGAACTTCTAGGTTTTAATCTTTCCCTGCTTCTCCTAATAGCTGTATTAAGGTAAAGATGTCTGAGGCAAAACAAATCTGTTTACATGGAGGCAAAATGACCCAGGGATATCACAGGTAAATTCAGAGACAAGTATAAGAAATCCACAATGGCTTTGGTAATATGCATCATGGATTAACATACATTTAAGGAACCTTGTGTCAGGATCTTAGCGACTGTACTATTGATTCTAAGAGACCCAGGGAAGAGAGTGATTCAAATTGGATGGGATGACTAAAAGAGATTTGTCCAAATAGAAATGATAATTGATGGGTATGATTATAATGAGGTTAATATGATCACCGTGAGCACCTGACACAACATGGACCAAGGTTGTAGAGAGAGCACTAAACTCTATAGTATTTTTCCAATGCATTTATTATAATAATAGATATATATTTTATCCTGAATCATGATATATTAAAAGTATGTAAAAATGGAATACACATGTAAGTTTCAAACATATCCTAAAACGACAAGGTTTTAATAAAACATTATTATTGCATTAAATGTGTCTGAGTATCCTGATACAGGGAAGGGTATAGGTGTGGCCATTTTTTTTATTTGCTCCATACATTATAGCTAAGTACCAAACAGAAGCACTTTCAAGATACTTGGGTGAATGGGGTTGTTCACTGAGAACTGGGAAGTGAGAAAGGCACTGGGAAGGGACAAGGACTTTTCAACTTTTAAACAAACATTTCACCATTGGAATCACCCACCTACCCCTTGACTCACTAAGCTCCTACCTTTGATGTGGAAACAACCAGACATTGGATGTCCTTTTTGTATTCACCCAAAAAATGATATCCAGTTTTCAAAAGTTTGCCCATGATGGGTGCCTTCACTGGGTTTAGCCACCCTTTACCGGCATCTGTCAAGTGCCCCAGAGTGGGAATCCAACTGAATATAGAACCATCTTTGTCTAAATCTGCTGACAAGCCAGGAAACCAGAAGATGTCTCCAATGGGCCCACTGGAACATAAGCTGCCTGAAAGGGGACTTCATCTTGTTTCACACTGATCTAAACACCTAGACCAGTGCCACAAAACTACGTGTTGAGCAGATAAATTATGAATGATTGGGTGTTGGACTTGGTCTAGAAGTCATAACACAACATTCTTTATGTCGCCTGGGCTGATTTTATTCAAGAGTTTCTCAATTTTTGAGTAGCAAGTGGTTGTCGTAGTGAATCAAAAGTCTGTATCATAGGCTTTTATAAGTCCTACAGCTGTGGTAACTTCTTAAACAAATCTTTCTTAGCTAGTTGAATCAGTAAATGATGAATCCAGCCAGAGTAAATGATGAATCCAGATGGTGTCACCTGCTGTCACCTGGGATGGTTGATGGGATGAGTAAGATGTGGAGCCTGTATCCATCCAAGGGCAATAAACCCAGGCATGGCAACTAAGAGGAATTGAGCTGGGCAGTCGATCTAAACTCATCAGAGCAGTTCTGACATCAACTTCCTCATAGGATCCCTTTGGGTACCTTTTTCATCCCAATGAGTTAAGAAAATGAATGTCTATGAACACAGAAGAGGGGAGTAATTTTCTTTTCCCTATTTCCCAAGAGCTTGGAAAAAAAGCTTCTAAAATTTAATATATTCACCTATTACTGGATACATTAATTTCTCTGTTGTATCTAGCCCTAAACTACTCTTAAGATCTGCTCTTTCACTTTGGCTCAGAGTTTATGAGACCTCCTTGGATTGCTAGTATTTTACTGATGAGCACCAAGGCTTGAATTTTTACTGAGTCTTTCTCCAGTTCATTAACATTCTCAAAATTGGTAGTGAAAGTGAATTGTTGTTTTAATGCACATCAAAAATAATGATTTTAATCCTGTGGTGCAGCTGAATACTACACTCTGGGTCCAAACTCTGGGAGGCGAACTCCTTAAAAGTGTGATTCATATGGTTTGGTGGTTTAGTGATGTATAATTCAAACAACAAAATACTGTGGACTAAAATAATTACAAAACAAATCCATTGTTTACTCACATCTCTTAAAACATTTTAGAAGAACTTAGAACACCACAGTCATCAGGAGCATAGGCTTCTCAGCAAAACTGCCAAGGTTTGCATGGCAGCTGTTGGGAGACCCTGGACACTCATTCCATGATGATTCCCATCTGTAAAATGGGACAAGGGTTGTACGTAACTTGAAGGACTGCAGTGAGGATTAAATTATTTACTGTATGTCAAGCCACTGGCACATCATGAGTAGTATACAAATCATTGACCCTATGAATATATCCAGTTTACAACTCCTGCAATGATCAGGTTTTTATTTTCTTACTTCTTCTAAGTTCCTCTCAGTGTATACCTCTGCAACCATCTACATTTCTCTCCTTGCACCCATCAACTATTCAGCTTTCAAGGATCCCTTCCTACCTCCTCAACACCCAGATCTTCCATATAGAAATAAGGTGAACTTTCCTCCCTGCAGCCATGTGGCCTTCTGTAGCCTCTTCCTAGCAGCAACTCATGGTCTCCCTATGAGTAGAGAGAAGTGTTGTCTCTCATTCCTCTCATCCTGTGAAGCATTCAGTCTGGGAGATAAGGCATGGGAGAGCAATGGAGCAGCCTTCGGAGGGGCAATATAGAAACGTAGGTGAGAAAGGAAAGCTTTATTTTTTACAGAGTGAGACATAAGTGCTGCTAAGCACTGACCAGAACATGGATGTGGAGACAACCATGAGGGACACCAGGGAGACCACTGGAGATCACTGACAACCCTTGTCAGGATGAACTCAGGAGCTCCGACCATGGGCAGGAGGTTAGGAGCAGGTACATCAGACTGAGGTTAATCCTGGGCACTTTGGGTCTCTGATTCCTCTAAAACTGCTTATCTCAATGCACTGCCCAGGTCAGCAGCAGTGCCCAAAGCTCTGGCAACAGCTGCAGCTGCCAGTGGGTAAACTCACAGCAGTCATGTCTCTAGTGCCTGTGCCAGTGGAAGAGATAGCACCTGTGGTAGCCCAGGCTGCAGCTGCCCCCTAAGAGTTAAAGCAACCCCTGGAGCTGGAGCCATAGCAGGAGAAGACTGAAGGTAGACTAGACATGGGGCTCAGACTGGGTGGGGAACTCTGGGAGCCTTTGGAGGCTATCCCTGCTGCGCGTTTTGCTGACACAAAATCTCAGAAAGCATCAATGACTCTAGAGAGAATGCAATAATGCAAATGAATCTTTGTAATATCTCTTCTCTGATGGGTGTACTTCTGCACTAAGAAATATAGGGAGGAGGACCAGGGGCCATGGCTCACGCCTGTAATCCCAGCACTTTGGGAGGCCGAGGCAGGCGGATCACCAGGTCAGGAGATCGAGTCCATCCTGGCTAATATGGTGAAACCCCGTCTCTACTAAAAATACAAAAAATTAGTACAGCGTGGTGGCGGGCACCTGTAGTCCCAGCTACTCGGGAGGCTGAGGCAGGAGAATGGCGTGAACCTGGGAGGCAGAGCTGGCAGTGAGCCGAGATCACGCCACTGCACTCCAGCCTGGGTGACAGAGCGAGACTCCGTCTCAAAAAAAAAGAAAAGAAAAGAAAAGAAATATAGGGAGGAAATGAAAATAAATTTGGAGTTAGTTTATCCTGGAAAGATGTTCTTTTCTCTTTGGTCACCTGCTACAAAATGATACTGGGTCTTTTCTAATTGAGCAGCTGAGGTGTCCTATCTTCATGTAATCACAGAGGAGAATAAACCTGTTTGGGTAAAGCTTCCTTGATGATGTCTGGTGAGATCAGTGCATCTCTCAGAACATATATAGGAAGAAGATGAGGGTGTGCTGAAGACCCATGACCTTCGCAGTCACAGGACACCTGATACATCCCGGGAGGGTGCCCATTAACCCCACACTCTTCCTGCTTCCTCCATCCCATACCCTCTGCTTCCTTCTCCCCTGATGGAAGAAACCCGGGCTTGTCTTCCTAGGTCTTCCAGCTCAGGTCCTGTCTCCAGCTAGACATCCATCTGGTTTCATGGCAGCAAGAGAAAGCTTATTCGAAAGAAGTCCATGGTCTGGGAAGCCCAAGACAGAGCTGCTAGATTGTGAGGGGCAGCATGAATGGGTTGCTCGGGGAGGTGACAGCACCAAACAACCCAGCCCAGGTCCAGGCCTTCACCGTCTTCCCAGGAACAGGGTGGCATGTTTGACACAGGAAGCCCTGGTCCTCACTTGTACACCTTCCACCCAGGCCTACATGTGTGCTTAAAATATGTCATGCTCCATGCATTGTGGTGGAAGGTAGAGTTCAATATGACACATCACCTGACCTATAGAAATTAACTGTCTAACTGCACAGGCAGTCAAGTAAATAGGGAGACTGCTTCCATGAGATAAGTACTGCAATGTAAATGACTACCCACGAAGTCCATGGTTCTTTGCCCATCTACTTTTTTCTGTAATGTTCCCTTAGGAAAATCAAGCATCAGATGTGATCAGCACTTGCTGTTGGGGTGGTGACTGAGGTAAGGATGCTGGACATTCAGAATGGGCTGTGTGTAAAACAGATGGAAGGGTAAAGTCAGCGGAGATGAGGACTCTTGAAAGAGCCTCACTGGTACCCAGGAGGTAACATAGGCCCCTGGGCAGGAGAGGAGGGGAGCCAAATGAATACCTGATTGAGGGGCAAATATGGAGAAGGAAAGTACAACAATTGGAGTGCCAAGAGTCACAGTAAGCACATTACAAAAGGCATGACCTTCCATCAAAATCCAGGGAATGTGTGCTCTTTATTTGAAGACCATGAAAACACAGAGGGAGGAGTCGTTCATCTGCTTGGACTCGAAATGAAGTTCTGCAAGCATGCATGATAATGGATGGGCTTGATGAAGATGACTTTGGTATGTGTTGCTGCTTTTGAGGTTGATGGTAGTGCTGGGTGCATCTCATGTAATGGAGCTGACCTGATCATGTCTATATTTTGGGTACGGAGAATTGATGCAAACTGAATGCTATTTTCTCTGCGAATTTCATTTTAATTGTAGATAAATTTCTCATTCAATTAATCTCTAATATTAAAATAAGTACCTTTTTCTAGATATTTTTCAAGATAAATCAGTCAGGCTGTAATCAAACTTTATACATATTTAAATTAAATTATAATTGTCAACAAAAATTAAATTATGTTCACTATTGGGGTTATAATTTTTGTCTTCTTATTCTGCCTGACAGCCCACCCTAGCAAACTGAAATAGTGATGCCTGTGGGAGCATAAAGGCACTGGGCCGTAGGAAAGAGGGTGGCTCTGAATGTGGACTGGGGAGAGGGTAGGTTTAGGTATTGATATTCTCAGCAGCATTTTCCTGCCTCCAGCACATGACCCCTGTCTCTGTCTTGGAAGTATTTTCAGGAATTATCCCTTGAACTACTCTTGGGTGGCCACTTTACTCTTAATGTTAAGGGTCCCTTCAGTGGCCTCTGTCCTGCAAAGAGACATTTAAAAGAGATAGACCAAGCACTTTCTCATGGTAGCCAGATTGTGGGGCTGAATATAGCTGAGTGACCACTTTTGCTTCTTAGGAGTAAAATCTGTAGTCATTGGGATACAACAACAGAGGAGTAAGTTCTGAAGTTTCAGAACACCCCAGAACTGTAATGGGGGGCCCTTTCTGTTCCTATGGAATGCAGCAGATGTCCACAAATGAGTTTCTCCACAGCCCCAACCCTGATGCCTGGCTTGGGAGGCTCCATACCCATCCTGGTGATGGTGCCCATCAACCTTTCCTCCCCTCCATGAGGGGCTCCCAATTCCTCGCTCCTCTGTTTGTCATCAGAGCAAAAACTACACAGGTCTGAGGCTGAGCAGGTGTCCTGTGATGACAGAGGGTTGGCTGGGAGAACACAGCCCAGTTACTTGCCCGAGCATGAGGTCAGCTCTCTGGGGTCACCTCTACCAGGGGTAACACACTTAAATCTCTGGCTTTCTAAGGTCCTGCGAGTTCGGGTGACAGGAGAACCTGGCCTGGATGGATAAATCCTGGATAGTTTCCTAACAAGTGAGACACCGTGGTAATGAGAACAAGAAGCTTTATTTTTTGGCAGGGTTAGGCACAGGGAACTGCCAATCCTTGGCAGGGGCAGGGATGAGGGAACTGTGAGATCCTATACACCAGACAGGAAGCACCTTCTGGGGACAGCTTGGATACTCAACAGGAACACCCCCAGCTCAGCTTGTGAAAGCCAGAACAAGGTATCTGGAAAAGCATGCATCAGGATGGAGCTTTTCCTGGGCCTTTGGGATCCTTGTTTCCTCCAAAGATCACTTGTCTCATCATCAGGATCCAGGTCAGCAGCAGCCCCCAGAGCCATGGCCACGGCAGGAGCCCCCGCCTTGCTGACCACTGCCCCTGTCACAGGAGTTGGATCTCTGGCGCCGGCATTGATGGGACCTGAAGTGCCTGTGGTGGCTCAGGCAGCAGCCACTTTCAGAACTGGGGCCACAGCCCCCGGAGCTTAGAGCACAGTCAGAAGAGGGTGGAGGCAGACACTGTGCTGGGCTCTTTGGGGGACACTTGGGTGAGGGACAACTGGGAGGGGGCTGGCACTGCTGCTGGTTTTGCTGGCAGGACATCTTTGCAGGAATGCAGGAATTTTACCTTGAACAGAATAATAGAAACATTTGAGCACAGAACCCTCAGACCATCTCCTTATTTTTGGGTTTGTCACACACTGACCCCCTTGATGAAGCCACTTTCTAAGCCAAGATCTGTAGGAGAGAAATGGGAATGTAGTAGAGGGAACCCTACACATGCATTTGGATAAAGCAACCTTAAAAATATAAAATGGATCTATGTGCATTCCTGACAACATGCTCCAAACAAGAATGTGAAGGAATCCTAAGGTCCTGCGGGTTTTGCAGCTCACGGGTCCCTGACATGTGCTTTAGAGGCTCCTTATTCTCCATCACCTCCCCCACTGCTGCCCACTGTGGGCTTCTTTCTGATGGTTCCATTTCAGTTCTGGGCCTCTCTTTCCCAAACACTCCCAGCTGAGGATCTGTCCCCTGCTGGCCACTCACCAGATGCAGAGGAGGTAGGAGAAGAAGGCTGCTCCTAAGGATGCTGTGGATGAGAAGCCCAGGGTAGGAGCCCTTTTATCCCGTGCAGTGTACACGATGATGCACAACCTGAGTATGCTGCTGTTTTCACAACCAGGGAGGTGACAGCACCAGACACTTCCCAGTTGCCTGCTGCCTCAGCATGTGCCTAAAGGTGTAATAAGATGACCCCTGTGTCTTCCTGGGCACATGCCTAAAGATTTAATAAGATGGAAGCAGGATGTCCTCGTGACTGCAGAAGTACTTCCCACTCTGGTCCACCCTGTACCTCCTGCCCACCTCTGCTTGTTCATTCCAAGCTCTGTTCGTTTTACTTCTTTCAACAGTAGTAGTATGGAGATGTATCGGACATATTTCTTCCATTGAGCACCTTACAGCCTAAATGGACTATCACTCAGAAAAGTAAATATATTTGATCTGACAGAATAAGCACTATCACAGAAGTGTTTAAAAAGACTTCAAGCCTAAGACCACAGCCTTTGTAAGTCAGTCCTCTATTGCACTGATGGTCCCAAAGGGTGATGGTTTTCAGGTGTTCTCCAGGAATGACAGCTGGACACACTTACCATTTTTTGTAATAAGACCACTCAAAGTCTACTCTTTTAGAAATTTTCAAAAATACAATACATTGTTATAGTCATCATGCTGTACAATAAATCTCCTGAATTTATTACTCCGGTCTTATTGAAATTTTGTATCCTTTGACCAACATCTCCCCAGTTCTTCCCCACTCCCCAACCCAACCCCTGATAATGATCATTTCTACTTCCACGCACTCGACTTTTTAGGATTCCACATAAAAGTGAGATCACGAATATTTGTCTTTCTATATCTGGCTTATTTTACTTAGCATAATATCTTTCAGGTTTATACATGTTGTCACAAATTAGAAACTTCCCTTTTTATATAAGGCTGAGTTGTATTCCATTACACTTATATAACATGTTTTTTAATCCATTTACCCACTAAAGGACACTTAGGTTGATTCTATATCTTGACTGTAGTAAACAATGCTGCAATAAATTTGGGAGTGCAGATATCTCTTCAAAATACTGATTTCATTTCCTTTAGCTATATACCCAGTAGTGGGATTGTTGAATCACATAGTAGTTTCATTTTTAATTTTTTAAGGAAACTTCACACTGTTTTCCACAATGGCCATACTACTTTACTTTCCCACTAATACTGTAAAAAGGTTCCCTTTTCTCCAAATCTTTGCCAATACTTGTTATTTCTTGTCTTTTGATAATAGCCATTCTAGCAGATGTGAGGTGATATTGTGTTTTTAACTTGCATTTCCCTGATTATTAGCGATGTTGAGCACATTTTTATATATACTGTAGGCCATTTGTATGGCTTCTTTTGGGAAACTCCCTGTGCCCACTTTTTTGATTGGTTTATGTGTTTTCTTGCTACTGAGTTGTTTGAGTTTCTAAAATATTTTGAATATTAACTCCTTATCAGATGTGTAGTTCACAGATATTTTATCACATACTGTATGTTGTCTCTTCACTCCATTAACTGTTTGCTTTATTTTGCAGAAGCTTTTTACTTTGATGCAACCACATTTGTCTATTTTTTATTTTGTTGCCTGTACTTTTAGGGTCAAAATTCAAAAATAATATTTGCCCAGGTCTAATGTCAAGAAGTTTTCCCCCTGTGTTTTACTCCAGTAGTTTTAAAATTTCAGGTCTTATGTTTAAGACTTTAATACAAAATCAACGTACAGAAATCAGTAGCACTTACACATACCATAACAACTATCCAAAAAAAGAAGTTAAAAATCCCATTTATAATATCATCCAAAAAATACTTAGGAATAAATTTTACCAAAGAAGTGAAAGATCTGTATACTAAAAACTATAAAACATTGAGGAAAGAAAATGAAGACACAAATAGAAAGATATTACATGTTCACAGACTGGAAAAGTGAATGTTGCTAAAATGTTCATACTAGGGGAGATGTTAGAAATATAATAGAATAGGAATTCTCTGACTCCAGTAGTCCCACCACAGAAATCCAACTAGCAACCAACAGCAGACAAGGATACCCTTGTGAATATCTCAGAACTTGAAGTGAGGCACAGACATCCCCTTGGACCACAGTACTGAGAAAAACCACACACGTAGAGCAAGAGGAGGTTTTACTTTGACCACACTGTCCCTCCCTCAAGCCAGCACATCACACATAAGAGGATTCCCAGAACCCATGGCTTTTACAGAGGGAAGAGAGAGTTGAGAATGAACATTCAGCTTTCCCACCATTTTGGAATCCTTCGCAGAAGAAACTCTCTTGTCTTATCCCACAGGAAACATTAGCAATGTTTATTTAGAAACTCAGAACAGGGTGAGACTCACAGTGACCAGTTCAGGGGTCTTGATAGTTGCTCTGCATTCTGGCCAGCAGAGGCACACCACCAGAGAGGCTTGCAATGCTCAACAAGAAGCACAGTTGATTAGTCTGCCAGGTTTGAATCTCTGCTCAGCTTCCACACTCAGCCCCAGTGCTCCCCTTGAAACTTCCCCAGGCCAGGAGATAAGGGTAGAATGGCAATTACCTGCAAAGAGAACATCTGGCCCCAACCATTCCCAGCTGCCAAGCTTTCACCCAGTCAAGCCCTGCCCTTTGTGCTCCTTAACGCTTCCTAAGGCCAGAAAACAGGGGCATGGTGGCAATTAACTGTAGAAGGAGCATCTGTTCCACCCAGGCCCAGCATCCAAGTGGCTAATATATCAAGCCATGGTGCTCTGCCTTAGGTCATCCCAGGATTAGAGCTGAACCCATGCCCATGTGTATCTGTGGAGCACAGCCTCTGGTCCTGTCACCCTGCATGGTTAGGTAGCAATCTCAGAGTCTTTGTTCAGCCTTGACACCTAAAACATGGCCTTGCCCAACTACATATTCAAAACTGTAGTACTGGCCATCTAAGGAAGACAACCAACAATACTGCTCAATCAGAGGCAATTTCAGCCAGCAGCTCTGTCTTATTACAGAGTCCAGCCAGTTCTCTCACCAGACCATGGAACAGAGCCAGAAATTCTACTCAACCAGTACAGTTAACAGTTCAGCCCAGCTAGAGAGCATGACAGCAAGGTCTTCCCGTTCAAGGTCACCACCAACTTGCTTAATCAGAATTCCAGGTTTGATCAAATAGTGAAGGTATACCATGGCCAAATAACACAAACAAAGGCGGAATAGTTGGCCATTTCCTCAAATGGTTGGGCACCAATGCAAGGACACAAGGATTATGAAAAATCTGAAAAAATACATCATCATCATAAGGAAATTAATAAATCTCCAATAAGGGATCCTGAAGAAGTGAAGATTTATAAAATGACTGATGAAGAATTCAGAACAATTATCTTAAACGCGGTGAAACCCCGTCTCTACTAAAAAACAAAAAATTAGTCGTGTGTGGCAGCATGCACCTGTAGTCCCAGCTATTTGGGAGGTTGAGGCAGGAGAATTGCTTGAGCCTGGGAGACAGAGGTTGCAGTGAGCCGAGATCATTCCACTGCACTCCAGCCTGGGTGACGGAGCAAGACTCTATCTCAAAAAAAAAAAAAAAAAATTCACCTAGTTTTGTAAAATGTATCCGTTAATAATTTATTGTACCTACAGTTATTTTTAATAGTTGTGTCTTTTTAATCTTCACAGGAAAGATAAAGCTTTTTTATACTTCACTGTTACAGCTTTAGAATATTCTGAATATGATACATAGTCGTATTACTTATAGGGGACTACAAGTAAATACAGATAAAAAACTAAATTAAATGTGGAAAACAATTTATAAAACAAAATGAGGAGATTGCCAAATAAATAGAAACAATAAAAATAGAAATCCTAGAGATAAAGTATGTAATAACAGAACTATAAAATTCAATAGAAAGCTTCAACAGCAGACTTGATCAAGTGGAAGAAAGAATAACTTGAAGATAGGATATTTGAAATTATCCAGTTAGAGGAGTAAAAAGAAAAAAGAATGGAAAAGACCTACAGAAATTATGGGACACTATTAAGAGAATTAACCTCCACATAATAGGAGTTTCTGAAGAAGAAGAAGAGAGAGACAAAGGCCCAGAAAGCACATTTAAGGTAATAATGACTAAAAATTTTCAAAATCTGAAGAAAGATGACAGCATTCAGGTATAGGAAGCTCATAAGTCTCCAAGTAAATTCAACCCAAACATTAATTCTAGAATAAAATTATCAAAAAATTCTAGAATAAAATTATCAAAAATGCAAGACAAAAAAAAAACACCAAGAGATAAGAAACATCACATTCAAAGCAGTCCCAATACAGCTGTTAACAGCTTTCCTGGCAGAAATTCTGCAGGCCATGAGAAAGTAGAATGAGATATTCAAAATTCTGAAGAAAAAAGTGCTAACCAAGGATACATTACCTGGAAAGTCTGCTCTTCAGAAATTAGGCAGAAATAAAAACTTTCTCAGACAAACAAAAGCTAAGGGAATTCATCATCACTAGGCCTGCTCCATAGGAATTGCTAAAGGGAGTTCTTCAAGCTAAAATGAAAATCTGCTAATTAATAACAAAAACACAAAAGTAAATATCTCAATGGTATAAGTAATATGACTATGTAATCATATTCAGAATATTCTAAAACTGTAAGGGTGAAGCATAAAACAATTTTATCTGTCCTATGAGGATTAAAAAAAGAACTATTAAAAATAACTGTAGCTACAATAAATAATTAAGAGATATAAATTATAAAACTAGGTAAATATCAAAAGTATACAAGGGGAAGGAGGGAATTAATGTGCAGTTCTGTTTGTAATTAAAGTTATTAGCTTAAAATAGCCTGTTTCAAATTTAGGATGTTTTATATAAGCCCCATGGTAGCCATAAAGCAAAATCCTGTAGAACAAAATATAAAAAAAAATCAAAGAAGACCACCACAGAAAACTATAAGCCACAAAGGAAGAGAACAAGAAATTAAGAAAGAAACAAAAGATCAAGAAAACAACCAGAAAACAATTAAGAAAATAATGGTAGTAAGTTTAAACTATCAAAAATTGTCTTGACTGTAACAGGATTAAGTTATCTAATCAAAAGACAGAGGAGCTCAATAGATTTTTTTAAAGATCAAACCATATGCTGCCTACAAGAGACTCACTTTCCTTCTAAGGACATACATAGACTGAACATGAAGGGATGGGAAAAGATACTTCATAAAAATGGAAACAAAGAGAGCATGGTAGCTATACTTATAGCATATAAAATATACTTTAAGTCAAAAACTATAAAAAAGACAGAGTAGGTCATTTTACGGCAATAGAAAGTGCTAAGCCATCAAAAGAATATAATTGTAAATATATATGCACCCAACATAAGAGCACATATATACCAATGCAATTATTAAATTTTCTGAAGGGAATGATAGACTGCAATACCATAACAACAGGAAATCTCAATACTCTACTTTCAACAATAGACAGCTCATCTAAGCAGAAAGTTAATAAGGGAACACTAGGCTTGAATTACACCTCAGACCAAAGAGAACTAACAGACACATACAAAACATTCCACCAAACAGCAACAGAATATACTTTCTTCTCAGGAGCACATAGAATATTCTCTAAAATAGACTGTATGTTAGGCCACAAAACAATTCTTAACAAATCTCGGAAGATTAAAACTATACCAACCAACCAATGACATCAAACTAGAAATCTGTAACAGGAGAAACCTTATAAAATTTTAAAATATGTGAAAATCAAGCAAGATGCTCTTAAAAACCAATGGGTCACAGAAGAAATAAAAAAAGAAAATCAAAAAATGCCTTGAGATAAACAAAAATGAAAACACAACAAAACAAATTTTGTGGGATGCAGCAAAAGCAGTGCTAAGAGGGAAAATAATAACAATAAATGTCTATATCAAAAAGACAAAAGATCTCAAATAAACAATGTAATGTTACATCTCAAGGAACTAGAAAAAGAAGAACAAACTAAGCCCAAAGTTAAGAGAAGGAAAGGAATGACAAAGATCCAAGCAGAAATAAATAAAATAGAGCCTAGGAAAACAGTAGAAAAAATTAATGAAACAAATAATTATTTTTTTAAAGATAAACAAAATCAACAAACCTTAGCTAGACTAACTAAGAAAAAAAGAAAGAAGGCTCAAAGAAATAAAAATCAGAAATGAAAGTGGACACATTATAACTGATGCCACAGAAATACAAATGATTATAACAACTGTAGGCCAGATAATTGGATATCTAGAAGAAATTTATAAATTCCTAAACACATAGAACCTAACAAAACTGACTCATGAATAGAAAACCTTAACAGACCAATAGTGAGTAAAGGGATTAAATCAGCAATAAATAAGGGATTAAATCAGTAACAGTCTCCTATCAAAGAAACGCCCAGGACTGGGTGGCTTTAGAAATAAATTCTACCAATCTCTTAAAGAAGATTGTATACCAATCCTTCTGAAACTCTTCCAAAATATTGAAGAAGAAGGAATACTTTCAAACTCATTTTACAAGACCAACATTACTCTGATACCAAATCCAGACAAGGACACTCCGAGAAAAGAAAATTGCAGGCCAATGCCTTTGATAAACCTAAACGCAAAAATCCTTACCAAACTGCTAGCAAACCAAATGCAACCGCATGTTAAACGAATCATCTGCCCTGATCAAATGGGATTTACCCAGGGCTGCGAGGATGGTTCAAAAAATACAAATGAATATATGTGACTCATTCCACTAATAAAATGAAGAATAAAAACCATGTAATCAACTCATTAGATGCAGAAAAAGCATATGACAAAACTCAATATCCTTTCATGATAAAAACTCTCAATAGAATAGGTATAAAGGAAATGTACCTCAAAACAATAAAAGCCATATCTGACAAACCTATAGCAAACATCGTACTTAATCATGAAAAGTTGAAAGCTTTTTCTCTAAGATTAGGAATAAAAGAAGGAGGCCCACTCTCACAATTCTTTACAACATAGTTCTGGAAGTCCTAACCAGAGCAACTAGGCAAGAGAAAGAAATAAAAGGAATCCTAAGACAAAAGGAATTAATGAAAGTGTTTCTATTTGCTGACAATATAATCTCATATAAAGAAAATTCTAAAGAGTCCACCAAAAACTTGTTAGAACTGATAAATTCAGTAAAGTTGCAGGACACAAAATCAACATATGAAAATAAGTAGTGTTCTATACACTAATAATGAGTTATCCAAGCAGAAAACTAAGGAAACAATCCCACTTACATCAGCAAAAAAAGAAAATAAAATACTTAGGTGTAAATTTAACTAAGGAGGTGAAAAACGTGTATACTAAAGACTATTAAAACACTAATCAAATAAATTTAAGAAAACACATATAAAAATATGTTCATGGTTTGAAAAAGTTAACATTGTTAAAATGTTCATATTACTCGAAGTGATCTGTAGATGCAATACAACTTACATCAAAATTCCATTGCCATTTTCACAGAAATAGAAAAAAAAACTTTTTTTTTTTTTTTTTTTTTTGAGACGGAGTCTCGCTCTGTCGCCCAGGCTGGAGTGCAGTGGCGCGATCTCGGCTCACTGCAAGCTCCGCCTCCAGGTTTCACGCCATTCTCCTGCCTCAGCATCCCGAGTAGCTGGGACTACAGGCGCCCGCCACTACGCCCAGCTAATTTTTTCGTATGTTTAGTAGAGACGGGGTTTCACCGTGTTAGCCACGATGGTCTCGATCGCCTGACCTCGTGATCCGCCCGTCTCGGCCTCCCAAAGTGCTGGGATTACAGGTGTGAGCCACCACGCCAGGCCAAAAATAATCTTTAAATTCACGTGAAAGCACAAAAGACCACAAACAGTTCAAGGCAATCTTGAACAAAAATAACAAAGCTGGGGATATCACCTGACCTATTTTTGAAATCTACTACAAAGCTACAGTAGTAAAAACAGCACAGTGCTTGCATAAAAACAGACACATAGACAAATGGAACAATTTAGTAGAAAGCCAGGGAATAAACCTAAGCGTTCACAGTCGATTGACTTTTGACAAAGGTACCAAGAACACACAATGGGTAAAGGACAGTCTCTTCAATAAGTAGTGCTGGGAAAACTGGTTATCATGCATAAAAGTGAAATTAGACCTTTATTTTGCAGCATACACAAAAATAAACTCAAAATGGATTAAAGACATAAACATAATACCTGAAACTTTAAAACTATTAGAAGAAAACATAGGGGGAAAGCTCCATGACATTGCTCGGGGCAATAATTTTTTGAATATGACCCTGAAAGCTCAGGCAACGAAAGCAAAAATAGAAAAATTGGATTGCTTTTGTTAGTTAAACTAAAAACCTTCTGCACAGCCAAAGAACCAATTAACAAAGTGAACAGACAACCCACAGAGTGGAAAAAAAATTTGCAAACCATATATCTGATAAAGGGTTAATATCCAAAATATGTAATGAACTCAACTCAGTAGCAAGAAAAAAAATTTGAACATGGGGAAAGAACTTTAACAGACACTTCTCAAACAAAGACCTAGGGATGACCAACGGGTTTAGGAAAAAAAAAAAACTCAGCATCACTAATTATCAGGAAAATGCAAATTAAAACCACAGTAAGATAACAACTCACACCTGTTAGAATGGCTTATATATCTAAAAAAAGAAAAAAAGAAAAGAAAAGTGTTGGTGAGAATGCAGAGAAAAGGGAACACTTGTACACTGTTGGTGGGAATGTAAATTATAATAAACATTATACAAAATGATATGGATGTTCCTGAAAAAACTAAAAATAGAACTAAAATATGATTCAGCAATCTTACTTCTGAAAATATATCCAAGGCATTGAAATCGTTGTATCAAAGGGATATCTACATTCCCATATTTATTACAGCATTAATTACAGTATCTAAGATATGGAATAAACCTGTGTCTATCAATGGAGAAAGAAAATGTAGTATACGTACACAATAGACTACTACTCAGCCTTATAAAATAAGGAAATCCCGTCATTTGTGACAACATGGATGAACCTAAAGGACATTACACTAAGTGAAATAAGCCAGATATGGAAAGACAATGCATGATCTCACTTATTTATAGAATCTAAAAATAGCTGAATTCATAGAAGCAGACAGTATAATGGTAGTTAACAGAGGCTAGAGGGAGAGGGCAGCAAAGGACTTGGGGATTTGTTAATCAAAAACTTAAAATTTTTAGCTAGACAGCAGGGATATGTTTTAAGATCTATCGCACAGGAGAGTGAATACAGTCAATAATTATGTATGGCTTAGTTCAAAATAGAGAGAGCAAATTTCAAATATATCACTACACAAAATGTCAAAACATTACATTGTACTCAATAAATGTAATACAATTCTAGTTTGTCAATTAAAAATAATATACATTAAAATAAATAAATGAATAAATTGTCCATATTCCCCAAAGCAATCTACAGATTTACTGCAATGTCTATCAAAATTCCAATGACATTCTGACAGAATTTTTTGATGTTGTTTTTACAGTTTCAACTTTTATTTTAGATTCAGGTGTACACGAGCAGATTGTTTATATTAGTATGTTACACAATGTTAAGGTTTGGGTACAAATGATCCCATCACTCAGGTAGTGAGCATATACCCAATAGTAGTTTTCCACTCCTTGCATCCTTTCCTCTCTCCCCTTCTAGTTGTCTAGTGTCTATTGTTGCCATCATTATGTTTATGTGTATCCAGTATTTAGCTCCCACTTATAAGTGAGAACATGAAGTATTTGGTTTTCTGTTCCTGCATTAATTTTCTTAGGATAATGGCATCCAGTTGGATCTACACTGCTGCAAAAGACGTGATTTCATTCTTTTCTATGGCTGTGTAATATTCCATGGTGTATATGTACCACGTTATAATTTTCCAATCCACTGTTGATGGGCATCTAGGCTGATTCCATGTCTTTGCTATTGTGAATTGTGCTGTGATGAATTTAAGAGTGTATAGGTTATTATTATTACTATTATTATTGGTAGAACAGTTTATTTTCCTTTGGATATATACCCAGTAATGAGATTGCCAGGTCGAATAGCATTTCTGTTTTAAGTTCTCTGAGAAATCTCCAAACCGCTTTCCACAGTGGCTGAACTAATTTACATTCCCACCAGCAGTGTACAAGCATTTCCTTTTCTGCACAACCTTGCCAATATCTGTTATTTTTTGACTTTTTAATAATAGCCATTCTAACTGGTGTGAGACAGTATCTCATGTGGTTTTGATTTGCATTTCTCTGATGATTAGTGATATTGAGTATGTTTATTGGCCGCTTATATGCCTTCTTTTGAGAAGTGTCTGTTCATGTCCTTTGCCCACTTTTTAATGGGGTTATTTGTGGGGTTTTTTTGCCTGTCGAATTGTTTAAATTCCTTAAAGATTCTGGATATTAGAACTGTGTTGTATGCATAGTTTATGAATATTTTCTCCTATTCTGTAGGTTGTCTGTTTACTCTGCGATGGTTTCATTTGCTGTGCAGAAGCTCTTTAGTTTAATTAGGTCCCACTTGACTTTTCTTGTTGTTGCAATTGCCTTTGGGGACTTAATCATAAATTCTTTGCCAAGGCTGATGTTCAGAATTGTATTTCTTTGGCTTTCTTCCAGAATTTTTATAGTTTGAGGTCTTACATTTACATTTTTAATTCACCTTGAGTTAATTTTTGTATATGATGAATGGTAGGGGTCCAGATTCATTCTTCCACATATGGATAGCCAGTTATCCCAGCATAATTTATTGAATAGGGAATCCTTTCCCTATTGCTTATTTTTGTTGACTTTGTCAAAAATCAGCTGGCTATAGAGGTATTGCTTTATTTCTAGGTAATCTGTCTGTTCTTTTGGTCTATATGTCTGTTTTTGTACCAGTACCATGCTGTTTTGGTTAGTGGCCTTACAGTATGGTTTAAGTTGGGTAATATGATGCTTCCAAATTTGTTCTTTTTGCTTAGAATTGCCTTGGCTATTTTGGCTCATTTTTGGTTCCATATTGAATATAGAGTAGTTTTTATCAAAATTCCATGAAAAATTATATTGGTAGTTTGATAGGAATAGTGTTGAATCTGTAGATTGTTTCAGGCGATATGGTCATTATAACGACATTGATTCTTCCAATCCAAGAGCATGGAATGTTTTCCGATTTGTTTGTGTCATCTACGATTTCTTTCAGTAGTGATTTTTAGTCTTCCTTATAGAGATCTTTCACCATCTTGGTTAGATGTATGCCTAGGTATTTTTGGGGGTCTATTGTAAATGGATTGCATTCTTTATTTGGCTCTTAGTTTGAACGTAATTGGTGAGTAGAAGTGCTACTTATTTTTGTGTGTTGATTTTGTATCCTGAAACTTTACTGAAGTTGCTTATCAGTTCTAGGAAACTTAGGGCAGAGTCTTTAGGGTTTTCTAGGTACAGAATCAGAGAAAAGAGATAATTTGACTTACTCTTTTCCTATTTGGATGTCTTTTATTTCTTTCTTTTGCCTGATTGCTCTGACTAGAATTTCCACTACTAGATTTAATAGGAGTGGTGAGAAGGAGCCTATTTGTCTTCATGTTCTTAAGGGGAATGCTTCCAGATTCTACACATTCTGTATGATGTTGATTGTGAGTTCGTCATAAATGGCTCTTATTATTTTGAGGTATGTTCCTTCAATGCCTAGTTTGTGGAGGGTTTTTATGACAGGATGTTAGATTTTATCAAAAGATTTTTCTGCACTATTGAGACAATCATAAGGTTTTTGTTTTTAATTCTGTTTATGAGGTGAATCACTTATATTGATTTGCATATGTTGAACCAAACCTACATGCCAGGAATAAGGCCTACTCGATTGTGGTTAATTAACTTTCTGGTGTGCTGCTGGATTCAGCTTGCTAGTATTTTGTTGAGGATTTTTGTGTCTGTTCATCTGAGATATTGACCTATATTTTTCTTTTTCATTCTATCTTTCCCAGATTTTTAGTATCAGAATGATGCTGGACTCATAGAATGAGTTAGGGAGGAGTCCTTCCTCCTCAATTTTTTGGAATAGTTTTAGTAGAATGGGTACCAGCTATTCTTTGTACCTCTGGTAGAATTCAGCTATGAATCCATCTGGTCTAGGGCTTTTTTTGGTTGGTACGGTTTCTTAATTACTAATTCCATTTTGGAGCTCCATGTTGGTCTGGTCAAGTTTTCAGTTTCTTCCTGATTTAGTCTTGGGAAGTTGTGTGGTTTTGGATCTTAATTTCATTCAGTTTTGCTCTGATTTTAGTTATTTCTTTTCTTCTAACTTTGGGTTAATTTTTCTCATTTCCCTAGTTCCTCTAGGAGTGATGTTAGGTTGTTAACTTTTTGGATGTTTTATCTCTGTTTTCATTTATTTCAAAGAATTTTTTATGTCTGCCTTAATTTTGTTGTTTCCCCCAAATTCATCCAGAAACAAGCTGTTTAATTTCCATGTAATTGTTTGGTTTTGAGACATCTCCTTAGTATTGACTTTTGTTTTTATTCCACTGTGGTCCAAAAGTATAAATTGTATGATTTCAATTTTTTTAAATTTATTGAGACTCACCTTATGGCTGAGCATGTGGTTAATCTTGGAGTATGTTCCATGTGCAGGTGAGAAGAATTTATTTTGTGATTAATGGGTGAAGTACTCTGTAGAAGTTTGTTAACCCAATTCATCAAGTGTCCAATTTAAGTCCAGAATTTGTTAGTTTTCTGCCTCGATGATGTGTCTAACACTGCCAATGGAGTGTTGAAGTCCTCACTATCATTGTGTGGCTAAGTTCTTTTCATATACCTAGAAGTACTTGTTTTATGAACTGGAGTGCCCCAATGTTGAATGCATATATATTTAGGATAGTCAAATCTTATTGTTTAATTGAATGCATTATTTTTATGTAATTGCCTTCTTTGGTTTTTCTCTTAGTTTTTGTTGATTTAAAGTCTATTTTATCTAAGAATATTGACTCCCACTTTGTTTTGTTTTCCATTTGCATGATAGATCCTTTTCCAACCCCTTTGAGCTTATAATTGTCGCTACATTTGAGATGGGTCTCTTGAAGACATCAGATGGATAAGTCTTGCTTTTTCATCCTACCTGCCATTCTGTGCCATTTAAATTGGGCCTGCAGACCATTTATACTCAAGCCCACATATTGATATGTGAAGTTTTGATTGTGAAGTTGTGAGCTGGCTGCTTTGTAGTTTCTATTGTGTAGCTGCTTCATGGGGTCTGCAAGCTATGTACTTAACTGTGTTTTTGTGGACCAGGTATTGTTCTTTTGTTTCCATGTTTAGAACTCCTTTAAAGATTTCTTGTAAGGTTAGTCTAGTGGTAACAAATTCCCTTAGTAATCATTGGTCTGGAAAAGATTTTATTTCTTCTTTGCTTATGAAGCATAGTTTGATAGGGGATTAAATTCTTGGTTGGAATTTCTTTTCTTTAAGGATGCT
This sequence comes from Homo sapiens, assembly GCF_000001405.40. NCBI lineage: Eukaryota > Metazoa > Chordata > Mammalia > Primates > Hominidae > Homo > Homo sapiens. The sequence continues at coordinate 152,586,784 of NC_000001.11, read as the reverse complement.
GAAAATGAGCCCCCAATGTCTTCTGATTTGTATGTTTTCTGCTGAGAACTCTGCAGTTAGCCTGATGGGCTTCCCTTTGTATGTGGTCTGACCTTTTTCTCTAGCTGCCTTTAAGATTTTTTTCTTTAGCATTAATCTTGGACAGTCTGGTGACTATCTGCCTTGGTGATGTTTGTTTTGTATAGTATCTTGCACACATTCTCTATATTTCTTGTGTCTTAATGTCTACCTCTTTAGCAAGATGAGGGGAATTTCCTTGAGTTATTCCCTCAAATATACTTTCCAGGTTGTTTACTCTTTCTCCTTCTTTCTTGGAAATGCCAGTAATTTGTAGGTTTGGTTGCTTTACAGAATATCCTTCCTCAAAGACTTTGTTCGTTTTTTAAATTCTTTTTTCTTTATTCTTGTCTGACTGGATTAGTTCAAAAGATTGGTATTCATACCAGTGAAATTCTTTCTTCTGCTTGGTCTAGTCTAGTGGTAAAGCTTTCAATCATATTTTGAATTTCTTTAAGTGAGTTTTTAAATTCAGAATCTCTGATTGATTTAAGATTTTTTATCTCTTCCTTTATTTTCTGCATTGCTTTAGAAGTTTCTTTATGTTGATTTTCAACCTTGTCTTCGATCTCATTGTGCTTTGTTGCAATTCATGTTTTGAATTTGTTATATGTAATTCCTGAGATTTCATTTTGGTTAGGGACCATTGCTGAAGATCTTTTGGAGGTGTCACAACATTCAGACTTTTCATGGTACCAGAGTCCTTGTGCTAGTTCTTTCTCATCTGGTGATGCTAGCCTAGCACTTCTATGTAAATATTTTCATGTGGATAAGATTTTTTCTTTATTTATTTCCCTATAATTTTATTGATTTGTTCTTTTTTTTTTTTTCCTTCCCCCTTCCTCCCTAGAAGGTGTGACTGTAGAAAATGTTGGCTAGGGTCTTTTGACTACTTCTGTAGCCCTATGCCCTAGGCACTTCTATTGGCAGGTTTTATTTTGGGCTGATCAGTTTGACCTACAGGCCAGTAGATGGTGCTTATGAGTAAAAGCCAGCAGTGGTCAATGCAAATAGGTATATATTTGATACTTGTTTACGGACAGAAGCTCTGAATTGCCTCAGGCAATGGGCTGATCTGTGGGGTGCTCAGTGGTTTGAGCTCCCTGCTCAGTCCTTGGGGGCATACAAAGATGGGTAGAGCCACACTGGGCAGCCCACCTAACAGATCCTCCAATGGCAGGCACAAGCACCAGCACCAAGGGAGAAAGGCTCCCAGTGGGGTGCCTAGGCCTGGAGCTGGGAAACCTCCTTGGCCCCAAGTTCTCTGCATGGAAGTGTTGGGGGGCAGCTTGAACTCCTAATCCAGGAGAGTGGGTGCTCCAGATGCCTGAATATCTGCCTAGGCATAAAGCATAGAGGGCCCTGCTTTACCACAATCTGCACTGGAAGAATGGGGCAGCTCAGGCTGCTGATCCAGACAAGTGGAGTCCTGAATGTCTGAAGATCTGTGGGAGCATGGAGCAGAAATTGCCCTGCTGCAGCACAGTCTCAGGGGAGCAGGCTGGAGCACCCATGAATGACACATACAGACTAATTCCGGGTCTCCACACCAGGTGGCCCTGGCTGCAAGTCTTACCACCCAGAAGAAACAGCAGCTGCAGTAGTTCTCCTACTGCGGTGATAGGGGAGAACACAGTTCCAGCACCTACTTGTGGGGCACTTTCCACACTTGCCATTAGATTATGGCTGTAGAGACCCCTACCCTACTCCAGGGTAAGTGCTCCACTCTCTGGCCCAAGACTAAAATGCCTGCACAGCCATACTGCCAAGTCATCAGAGAATGGCTGACTTTGTATGTGCCTGGATTAAAAATGGCATCCTGCTTTCAGTACTGGGTTCGGGAAAATCTCCGCAGCTTTTCCCAGTGTCTTTCCCTCTCAGTGTCTCCCAACCTCTTCTCAAGCTAGCTCCAGGGCATGGGAGAAATATGATGCTCTCCTTTGGCCTGGGTTGCATGGATCCCCATTAGAAAGCTAAGTCATAATGTGTGCCCCTCTCACATATTGGGGCTTCACTCACTTTTCAGCTGGACTCTATAACAAGGGTTGTTTGCCCATTTTCGCCTCCTTAGGAACTGTGATGTCTTTTGCTTTCCAGTGAATTCCCATTTTCGTTCTTGAATTAAAGCCATAATTTTGATCTTTATGCATTATTTTGCTATTTCCAAGTGGAAGAGTCATGCTAAAGCCTCCAATATACCATCTTGAAAAATAAAATAGAATTTTTTTTAAATCCTAAAATTCATGTGGAACTACAAAATACCCTGAATAGCCAAAGCAATCTTAAGGACAAAAGAACAAAGCTGGACGTAATACACCACTTGATTTCAAATGTACTACAAAGCTCCAGTAATCAAAACAGCATGAAAAAAAAAAGACAGACACATAGATCAATGGAACAGAATAGAGAGCTAGAGAGCCCATAAATTAACCCACACACACACTTCCTGTTAACTGATCTTTGACAAAGGTGCCAAGAACACACAATGGAAAAAGGATAGTTTCTTAAATAAATGGTTTGGGGAAAACTAGATATTCACATGCAGAAGAATGAAACTGGACCCTTATCTCACCCCATATACAAAAGTCCTCTCGGTCTTCAACATAAGATCCTCATTCCCTTCCGGGTTTCTAGGTGTATTTGCATTTTCAGCTTAACTGCTGCACTGAGAGCAGCCATTAGCTCTTCTAGTGACTGTCCCATAACAGGTGCAATGTGCTTTTTTATGTCAAACTGGATGGTGAGGCTGAAAAGCAACCAAGAGAGTGGAAAAAAAATATCGGAAAAAATGCCAGTGGTGTCAGACCTAAAACCTAGAGAACAGGAATGGGGCAGCCTGAGTGAGAGGAGTGAGAGGGTGCTCCCAGAGAGTCCCAGATGCCCTGTTGGGTCTACCCTGACCCCTGATCTGCAACCCTCACTGGAGACATCACTCTATAACTTTTCTTCTCAAGCCCAAAGTTTGATCTGAGCCTCTCTCTTTCCGACATGCCATCACCAATCTTACATGTTGGAATTGACTCTCATCATCCTTTATTTGAGAAACACAAGCTGAATATCTGCTAAGGCCAGTAAGTGGCTTGCTCAGCTTGGGTTTCAGCACTGAATAAGGGGCACATTTACTTTCTTCAGGGATCTTACAACCTAGCAGAGAAGATAGACACTACACAAATATGGTATTTATATCTGTGATGACTGAGCCCAAAGGCAAAATGTAGGCATTATAGTGTGGGTGAGAGAACTGTCTTTGTCTTGGAGTTCAAACCTAGCTTCAGAAGTGAATAATTACTTTTCCATGTACAGTCGTTGTCCAGAAATAAGTACAGAGTCCGTATTTACTCCTAATGATGTACAACTTTGAATTGCTGTAAGACTTCATTTTGAGTATAACACATGTCCGCCTGTCAGTGTGACTCAAAGCATTTCAGAACTTGTCAGCAGGAGGGTCCACCTTTCCTCATGAATTGAAAGCTGACTTGTAGCTGGCTTTTTCTTAGCTCCACCACTGGGTCCCTTTCTGAGTTTCTGTCTCCATATCCTAATTTGGAGACATTCTTTTTCTTCTTGGGATGGAACTCCTTAATCTCACACATCTCTTATGAAATCTCCAACCACTTGTTCTTCTCAGAACACAGTCCACAGCCCAGTTACTTCTCTCAGAGCATGGAGCAGCTCCAAATGTTCTGCACTGTGAGAACTTCTTAGTATCCCTGACATCCTGAGGACCTGGGATAATGAAGAAGAAATTTACTTGACTGGCTCAAAATGAGGATGTTATGACCTAATAACAAGCATGTTGACTCTGGGCCAGGAGGTGCTTTATCTGAGGTCTAGTTCCAGGGTGAATCTTCTGAGAAGTCATATTAGTAATAAATGAGTGGACAAACAACCAACCAAGGATCAACCCTTCTCCTTTGCAATATATGACTGATGCTATGAAAAGCAGCTGAGTCATTCTTGGGGAAGATGAGATGAGCAAGCCATCAATGGCAACTTGGGAAGTTGTCCAAGTTGTCGTGGAGTTTATGTCATTTAATTTTCTTACTATTGGATTTCAGAAGCACAAAATTAGATTAACAAATACCCTCTGTTCATATTATATGCTCACAATTCATCCATGCTTGGCCTTCTTAATTAATGTGCCTACCTGTTTGTCTATTATTTAAATAACAAACACACAAAAATTCACCATCCAAGCGAAAATGATAACTTTGATAGTAAATTATATGCACCTGTGTAATTCAGCCTTCACCCATGTCCCTGCCTGTCCCATCTAATATAACCATGATCCTAAATCTTGTATTCATCATTCTTTGCTTCCCTTTTGGTATATTTCATTATTTTTTATTTCTAAAAATTGTTATTTTAATTGTTTTTTCTATTTTAAGTTTCATTTCTTGAGATTTTGTATACCAAAATATCATCCATTTAATTATCCAATTCTATGAGCTTTAACTAACATATATAGTCAGGTAAACCCCACAACAACTAAGACATACAACAGTTCTATCACCTCAAAATATTCCCTCATCTGCTTATTAAATCAGCCTCTCCCTCATACCAGCCCTTGGCAACCACTGACCTATTTTCAGTTCTTATAATTTTGCCTTTTCAAGAATGCCCTATAATTAAAATTATATAATATGTAGTATGTAAAGTCTGACTTCTTTTGCATTTGAGATTCATCCCTGTTGTTTTATATATCAGTAGTTGATTCCTTTTTTATTGCTAAGTAGCCTTCCATTGCATAAATATACCATTTTTAAAACTCTATTCATCAGTTGAAGATCTTGTGGGGTTCTTCAAATTCAGGGCAGTTATGAATAAAGCCACTATAAATGTTGGGCTACAGGTTTTTCTGTGAACATACAACTATATTTCTTTTGGCTAAATATCTAAGAATAGGATTTCTGGGGCAAATTGTAAGTTGTATGTTTAATTTTTTTGATAGACTGCCAACTAATGTAATTTTGCATTTCTACCAGCAATGACTTGGGCTTCTTGTTGTTCTACATCCCTCATATTACTTGATATTGTCATTTATTTCATTTTAGCCATTCCAATGTGTATAGAGTGGTATCTCACTTTGCTTTTAAATTGCATTTCTCTAATGACTGATTAGGTTGAGTATCTTTTCATGTGCTTAACTGCCACCCATATATCTTCTTTGTTAAAATGACTCTTCAAATACTTTGCCCATATTTTCTGTGTTATTACCTATTTTTGAGAATTTAAAAAACATTGGCCGGGCACAGTGGCTCTGTAATCCCACCACTTTGGGAGGCCGAGGCGGGTGGATCACAGGTCAGGAGATAGAGACCATCCTGGCTAACACAGTGAAACCCCATCTCTACTAAAAATACAAAAAAATTAGCTGGGTGTGGTGGCAGGCGCCTGTAGACCCAGCTGCTTGGGAGGCTGAGCAGGGAGAATGGCGAGAACCCGGGAGGCAGAGCTTGCAGTGAGCCAAGATCGCGCCACTGCACTTCAGTCTGGACGACAGAGCAAGACTCCGTCTCAAAAAATAAAAATAAAAAAAAAATTCTTGAACCAAGTCCTTGGTAAGATTTGTGTTTTACAATATTGTCTCCAAGTCTGTGAATTTTCTTTGCATTTGCCTAGCAGTGCCTTTTGAAAAGCAGAAGTTTTTAATTTTGATGAAGTCCTATATTTCTTTTTTGAATTGTACCTTTTTGGCATATCTGAAAAATTTTGCATAACCCAAAGTCACAAAGATTTATTATGTTTTATTGCAGAAGTTTCATAGTTTAATTTTTTAAATTATGATCTATTAATTTTTATATCTAGCATTAGGTATGATTTCTTTTACATATGGACGTCCAATTATTTCATCTCTATTTGTTGAAATGACTATTATTTCTCCAGTCATGACTCAAGAAAGAATTATGTCATACTAATTCCCAGGAAATTGTAAAGGACAGACTGTGCTCCACAGCACGTGAGTTGAAACAAGGAAGAAGGGAGGAAGAAAAGAAGCAGTGGTAGCCTCCCAGGTGAGAGGTATGTGGACAGTGATCCTGCTTCCAGGTTCAATGTCATTGGTTGGATATTATGGAAGTGCCAAAGCTACAAACCTAGTCTTGGGCGTGTGCCTTGTTGACACCTCCCCTGGTTGTGAAAGCAGCAGCATGCCCAGGCTGTGCATCACACACCGTGCACAAGATAAAAGCACTCCTGCCCTGGGCTCCTCATCCACCGTCTCCTCAGGAACAGCCTTCTCCTGCCTCCTCTGCACCTGGTGAGTGTCCAGCAGGGGATGGGACTCAACTTGGGATGTTGGAACAGAAAACTAAGGTCATAGCAGGAGAGGGAAATGGAGAGATCTGAAACAAAAGCCCGGAGAGAGGATGGCAGAGAGGGTACCAATGTGGGAACTGGGGCCAGGAGGGAGACCCTGCAGGAACTGACAGCAATTCCATGACCTGCAAAGGCCACAGAAGCTTATGATTCCTTCCCATCCTCTTTCTACTCAGGCTGGCACATGTTTCCTATGATCTCCATTCTCCAGAATGCCTTTTGTCAAAAGGGTACATTCCTAGAGGCTCTTTGGAGAAACAGAAACATGGATGCCCACTTAGACTCACAGCAATCTGTCCCTGGTGGAGAACAAAGTGAGAGGCATCTGGCATGTCCCACCAACTCCACATCAGCTTCCCTCACCTTCCTGCAGCTCTTGCCTCAGGAGGCCGCTGGTCTTAGAGACATTGGACTGTAGATTTTGGACTAACAAATGGCTTTGTTTTGTCCAGGACAACTCAACTCCTGCCAAGATGTCCTGCCAGCAGAACCAGCAGCAGTGCCAACCCCCACCCAAGTGTCCCTCACCCAAGTGTCCCCCAAAGAGCCCAGTACAGTGTCTGCCTCCAGCTTCCTCTGGCTGTGCCCCAAGCTCTGGGGGCTGTGGCCCTAGCTCCGAGGGCGGCTGCTTCCTGAACCACCACAGGCGCCACCACCGATGCCGGCGCCAGAGGCCCAACTCCTGTGACAGGGGCAGTGGTCAGCAAGGCGGGGGCTCTGGCTGCGGCCATGGCTCTGGAGGCTGCTGCTGACCTGGATCCTGATGCTGAGACAAGCGATTTTGGAGGAAACAAGAATCCCAAGGGCCCAGGAAAACCCCATCTTGATGCATGAGTTCCCAGATACCCTCTTCTGGCTTTCACAGGCTGAGCTAGGGGTTTTCCTGTGGAAGGTCTGAGCTCTCCCCAGAAGGCACTTCCTGTCTGATGTCCAGGATGTCACATGTTCCCTTACCCCTGTACCTGTGAAGGATTGGCAGTGCTTGTGCCTGACCTCATCAAAAAATAAAGCTCCTTGTCCTCATTACCACTGGTGTCTCCCTTGGCATTTCACTCTGTCTCTCCCTAGGTGGGGCTGGAAGTGTGCCCTCCTGTCTGCCCCTGACATCCAGCACCACCACAGGGAAGATGCAGAATTCTAGCTCTAGGTCTGCAAAATTCAGGAATCTGTCGAGTCCTTTTCTGCTGGAATTGTGCGGCAGTGGGGGACAGGATGTGATGAGAGGGGTTGTAGTGAGGCCTCTAACTGTCAGAAAAGAATGACTGAAATGTGATTGTCCTCTCATAATGGACTCCCCAGTCGTAGGAGGAGCTAGCTACTAGATGTTTCTGACATCTCTATTACAAAACAGTGAAGATGTAGCAGGCAATTATCAAAAAAATAGGCAGAATTAGCATTTCTTCTAAAGGGGTAAATTTGACTCTCCAAGGGACATTTTTTGTTGTCAAAACTTAGAGGTAGAAAGAGAATTTCTGGCATCTAGTGGGTAGAGGCCAGGGATGCAGCTAAGCCTCCTACTAAGCATAGAACAGCCCCACAGTGGAGAATTATCTGCCCCAAGAAGTCCAATAATTGCAAGGCTGAAAACCTTTAGACTACAATTAAAAGATGGGTAAAGAAAAACATGGCCTCAGCTGTCTGTAATCCTAGCACTTTGGGAGGCTGAGGCAAGTGGATTACCTGAGGTCAGGAGTTTGAGACTGCCTGACCAACATGATGAAACCACATGTTATATGGTTAGTCTCTACTAAAAATACAAAAAAAAAAAATAGCTTGGCATAGTGGCAGATGCCTGTAATCCCAGCTACTCAGGAGGCTGAGGCAGGAGAATTGCTTGAACCTGGGAGGCAGAGGTTGCAGTGAGCCTGTTGTACCACTGCACTCCAGCCTGGGCAACAAGAGTGAAACTCCATTTCAAAAAGAAAAGAAAGAAAAGAAAAGAAAAAAGAAAAAGCTGGTCTCAGGAAAAACAGATAACTCCACATACACAATTAAATCTTCAGAGAGAGAAGGTGGAGGGAGTAGAATTAATTAAAGCTTAAGAAGTCCTGGGTCAGGGGAGAAATGGAGCTGAGAGCTTAGGGAATGTAGTAATGTGGAAGGTGTGGACTGAGACCATTAAGATAAAGGAAGAGAGAAAATGAGAAGTATTGCTAGGCTTATAAATTAGAATAATTGTAAGATCAAAAACTTATTTGCTTATTAGGTGCTAGAAAACCCTAAGTGACTACTATGAACTCATTTAATTTTCTAACTCGATAAGCCAGGTGCTCTTAATAACCATATTTTACAAACAGGGAAATTGTGGGTCCAACAGTTCTGCACAGGACCCAGCCAATAAGTCCGTGATCCTCGCTGATGCCACTTGTCCCTCCCTGGAGACTTTTCAAGAGATCTTTAGAAACAATTAGTATTTTCTACTTTACATTTATTTTGTCCTGTTTAACTTCGTGTTTTGTTTTTATTTTTGTTTGATTTTTTTAAATCTGCAGAGCTAAGAGCCCAACTATGTGACTCATAACTTCAATAAAACTTTTTAAAAATTTTTCTCTGTCATGTTTTGGATGTGTGATACTTAACCGCCCTCTAGGCTGAATTACCTCCTTAGAGATGAGTCTCTCTGTCTGTCAGATTGTTGAAATACTAGCTTAGAGAAACAGTTCATCAAAGCCATTCATATAGTTCTTAGAATAAGCCAAAGGAACACCACAGGACATGAATTAAATTACAAATTGAAAATGTGGGAGAACTCTGTGTGGAGCTGGGTACAACAAGCAAAAATAAATAAATATAGATAAAACATTAGGAGTTTATTGAATCAAAAATATCCTTTTGAAAACGTCAAACTGCCTATTTATTTTTACTGCAAAGTCTAAGAACTCAGGATTTCTAAAATCTCTGAAATTTAGTAAAGAAAAGGGCTCTCAAGGAGTCTGATGTGAGAAATACTCTAACCAGTTCTGATTACTCTCCAGCTCAGCACAGTTGCTGAAAGTAGGAACCACAGCCGTCCTGTTTGATTCATCACCACAAGCTGCTTGTTACTCAAAACTGGAGACATTCTTGGGTAGCGCTCCACCATGGGACAGAAACAGTGTCAAGTCATGATTCAAATATGTCTCAAAAATATTGAGAATGCATAAGGTTGGTTGGGAGGTTGGAGTTGCTACCCTGTGTGTGAGGCCTTGCCACATGGACCCCACACCAAGGAGCCCACAGATCTAGCCAGAACCACTCCACTAGTCCAGAAACTGAGGACCACTGTTTAGAGCAGGACTAGAATTCATGAGACAAATTCCTAACTGCATATCACCTGAAAGAGAAAAGATCCAGCCTTTGAAGAAATAAAGCCTGCCATCAAAGTCTATGGAAAGAGGACTGGAGGCTCCAAGCACCTACCAAGGTCAAGCTCTTGATGTCAAATTGTCCGCCAATTCTTACACCCACTGTGAGTCCACTCAGGAGGGAGAAGAAATAGGAGTTGGACCAACTTATGAAGTTTGAACCTGCAATACCAAGACAGTCAAAGATAGATGTTATGCAGTTCATGATGCTGCCCCTAAAAGTGGACCCCAACAGGTCACTAATAAAGACCACCTCAACCCAGCCTAGGATTCAATAATTAATAATTAATCATTCATTATTTAAAAACTATTTATTAAACATCTATTATATACTGACACCTCTATAGATACTGGAGATACATTAGAGAAAATGAAAAAATAAGATGTTCTCAGGGAACTTCCAATCTAGTGGGTCCATTCAAGACAGTCCTCTGATTTGCTTGTAAAACAGCAAAGTAAGGTATCAACACCCCTCTATCCAGTTGGTTTCCCATATCTCTGGATTGAGGAGGCAGCAGTGTAGCTTTGATAAACACAATGAAAGACACTAGCCTGAGAACAACATTGATGATTAAATATACTGGCTTTGCTACTGCAAAAAGCTCATGTAGTAACACCTTACTTTTATACCACAGACAGCAATCAAGTAAGAATAAGGGATGAGTTGCTAGTGGTGATGAGAAGAATATTAGTGCACTAGAAGGCCTATGTTCTCAGACCACTGCCAGTGGAAAAAATAATGTTTGCACCAGTAGTATGAAGGTACTCTCATTTTCCTCCTGTTAGACCTTATCTCAAAGTGGGTAGCCACAACTATAGGCTTTCCTGTAGTAGGATAAACAGACACATTTACTGTACTAATAATGTTTTCTCAAAAGCCGTGCATTTTTATTTAACTTTTATTTGAAGTTCAGGGGTACATGTGCGGGTTTGTTATACAGGTAAACTTATGTCATGGGGATTTGTTGTACAGATTATTTTGTCACCCAGGTATTAAGCCTAGTACCCATTAGTCATTTTCCCTGGTCCTCTCACTCCTTCTATTCCCCACCCTCTGGTACGTCCCTGTGTCTGTTGTCCTCTCTATGTGTCCATGTGTTCTCATTATTTACCTGCCACTTACAAATGACAACATGCAGTGTTTGGTTTTCTTTTCTTGTCTTACTTTGCTAAAGATAATGGCCTCCAGCTCCATTTATGTTCCTGCAAAGGACATGATCTCACTCTTTTTTATGGCTGCATAGTATTCTATGGTATACCTGTATCACATTTTCTTTATCCAGTCTCTCTTTGATGAGCATTTAGGTTGATTCCATGTTTTTGCTATTGTGAGTAGTGCTGCAATAAACATATGTGTGCATGTGTCTTTACGAGAGAACGATTTATATTATTTTGGGTATATACCCAGTAACGGATTGCTGTGTTGAATGGTATTTTGGTCCTTAGGTCTTTTAGGAATAGCCACACTGTCTCCAACAGCAGTTGAACTAATTTACACTCACGTCAACAATGTATAAGCATTCCTTTTCCTCTGCAACCTTACAACACCTGCTATTTTTTGACTTTTTAATGACAGCCATTCTGACTGGTTTGAGATGATACCTTACTGCGGTTTTGATATGAATTTCTCTAATGATCAGTGGGATGTTGGGCTTTTTAAAAATATGCTTATTGACTGCATGCACCTCTTCTTTTGAAAAGTGTCTGTTCATGTCCTTTGCTTGCTTTTTAATTGGGTTGTTTGTTTGTTTTTTTTCTTGTAGATTTGCTTAAGTTCCTTATAGATGCTGGATATTATTAGATTTTTGTCAGATGCATAGTTTGCAAAGATTTTCTCCCATCCTGTAGGTTGTCTGTTTACTGTATTGATAGTTTATTTTGCTGTGCAGAAGCTCTTTAGTTTAATTAGATCCCATTTGTCATTTTTGCAATTGATTTTGGTGTCTTTGTCATAAAATCTTTGTCCATTTCTATGTCTGGAATGGTATTGCCTCAGTCGTCTTCCAGGGTTTTTATAATTTTGGGTTTTACATTTAAGTCTTTGATCCATCTTAAGTTGATTTTTGTATATGGTGTAAGGAAGGAGTCTAGTTTCAATCTTCTGCATATGGCTGACCAGTTATCCTAGCACCATGTATTGACTAGGAGTCTTTTCTCCATTGCTTGTTTTTGTCAGCTTTGTTGAATACCAGATGGTTGTAGGTGTGTGGCCTTATTTTTTGGCTTTCTATTCTGAACCACTGGTGTATTTGTCTGAAAAAAATACATATTGTTAATTACCTGTGTGATATAAAAGATTTGTCTTATTCTTGAGTATGCTTATATTTCAGAAGAAAATGCGTCTTTATTGTTATAATAAAATGCAATAGGAAAATTCTACAGAGCTGATTCAAATGCAGTTTTTACAGGCATTAGTCACACATCAATTGCATTACATCAGGTATACATAATAACACTACAAAATGTATCTATAATTATTCACCTTCAATTAATTATAATTACCTTTCAGATAAATTCTCCCTGAATATCCCAGCCTGGGTGAATCACCTTCTTCTCTGACCCATGTCTGCAACTCAGAAACTTACAAAGTGAGTGGCTTACTGACACATCGTTCATCAGATGTAGGTTAGTTTCTTATCTCCATCTCTGGTTGCAGCTCTAACATCCGTGGTCCACTGTGCTTTCATTCCATTGTAGTTTTTTCTCTCTTCAAACACCTTTACCTTATGACAACTATCACCTGAAGAAATAAGAAAACAAAGCCTGAAATATCTGACTCCCCAACCTATGTTCTTAATGAACCTATTATTCTGGCCGCTTCTATCCACCACATTCTGTCCTCAGACAGGAATTTTGTCCATCCCCCTTCTCTCTGCAGGGACACCTCTGCCTCCTAGGTTTCATGAGTTTCTCTGTGTCTCTCTGACCATAAACTGCAAGGGGAGGTCAGACTCCTTATCCCTTTGTTCCTGCTCCATGCCCATCATCAGCTCCTATAGGCTGCTGACCTCACCTCAACTACTCTCAAGTGATACCAAATGACAACCTCTGGGCACACTGAGGAGACAGGAGACTGATAGCCAAAAGCTCTTGCATAAGCCTCAGGACTCAACACATGTTTTATGTAGCTTTCATCATCTTGGGTCATAGTCATTTGATCACCTGTCTGTCTGCCCTGCTACAAGGTGAGCTACTCAACCAGAACCACATCTCATTTATTTATAATTAGGTGTGTCCACCATCCAATGGATTGCACATCTATCACCATGCCCACTGTGTAATATCTGTTCATTTTTTAGAGAATAGAAGAAAGTAAAGAAGGAATGTAAAGAGAGGGGGAGAGCAAAAGAGGATGGGAGAAAGAGAAGAAAACACACCAAAAACAAACTTAAGAAATAGGTACCCGGACAGTCTTGGGGCATCCCAGATCCTTCTCTTAGAAAAACTTACTCTTTCCTCCCCCACACCTCCCGCCCCCCCGCCTACTACCAGGACCCTGCAGCCTATAAGCAAGCAACATAGAACCTGGTAACAAGATCCTGTCCAGAGAGTCTATGAACTAGAACTTCCTGAGACATCTGCCTCTTTCCTCAAGGTGTTCAGACAGACACTCCCTGAGCACCAAGCTTCAGTCACTAAGGTGCCCCCCAGCTCAGGCCCAGGGAGAAGCCTCAGACCCCTTGGTGTGACAAAGACAGGTAAAGAAGTAGAAGAGGATAGTAGAAGTTGAGACTAGAGAAATCAGCCAGTTCCTGACCAGCCAGAGACTAGTACTGTAGCCAAAGAATTTTTTGTTTGTTTTGTGGACAATAGGTACGTATGCACGTAAGCCCACAGGTGATCTCATTCTCCAACCTCCAATTCTTTCTCTTCCACCTCATGTGATCTGATCCTCTCAAACCTGACTGTGCATCAGAATCACCTGGGAGATACTAAAACCCTGATGCCTAGCCCAAGCCAACCAGCGTCTTGAGGGATGAAACTCAGAGTTTTGTATTTTTAAAAAACCCTCCAAGATGATGCCAATGTGCAGCCAAAGCTGAGAACTTCTGAGGTAGAGGATTCTCTTCTCTCCAGAAATTCCACCCTCCCTGATCTCCTGGCATCCATCTTCTCCCTACCTCCCCGACCCCCATCTCCTCTTTCTATATGTGACTTTCTGAAATAACAAAACTTTCTTCAACTTTATCTGCCTTCCCTACACCACTCTTAGCAACTCAAAGCCCCCTGGATGATTGGAGGTCTGACCCATTCCTCAGCACTCCAGGCCCACCATGACCTGTACTGAAAATTGGAGCCCAGCTCAAGAGTAAAGAAAGATCATGTCACAGACCACCCAAGATAGCTCACAGAAACTGAAGGTTTTGAGGGTGACATGGAGTTTGGAGACAAAACTTTTCATTGTTGACATCTGAAGTCTTTCACATTTTTCACCACAAAGCCCTGATTTTACAGTGATAATTAGCTCCAAGAAGGAATGTTTTCCTAAATGCAGTTTAAAAAATATTATGCAATTTATGAAATTGAGTATTGATTTATTTATTGACTGATATTGGAAAGAGAGGAAGAACCAAGAGAGATCCTTGGCAGGAAAATCTTCCAAGGGCCTCTGAAGTTTATTAAGTAGTCTGAACTCAGTGTCAGATACAAATAGTGACTTATTTTTCCTCTAGTCTCTGTCTTCTACTATGTTATACTGACTCTACTTTGATAATATCTCAAGTGTGTTTCAGGCCTTTCTAATCATTTTTCAGGTATTCAGGAAGCATCCTATCCTGTCCAGTTGGATATAACTCAGAATAAGAATATTAACTCCTCCCTCTCCAACCCAGCACAGCCCAACTGTCTCCTAAAGGACTGTGTGGAAAACAGGCATCTAGTGTGTGGAAAAGAGACATGGTTAGTTCCATCATTTATTGTCCACCTCCTCCTCTCCCCTGCGGGTTCCCTTTATTCTGCACTGTTTTGAGGCCGGAATGAGAAAAGGGGGGACAAAGCAAATATCTCATATTTGGCTGGTACTGCTAGTGTCTCTCAGTGGCTGCATCCTCTCTGTGCTGACCCATGAGGGCTCTCTTACCAGATAAATGACTGATTTCTTTAAGGAACCTTTAGCACAGTGACCTGATGTGAAAAATTTGGCCTCTTTTGACACTCCCCTGCACTCTTAGCCCCATTGGTACAGGCCTCTTGCCTTGATAGCCACATTCCCAGCAGGACTGTGGCAGTACAGCTATGCCTAGCTGCCCTCCAAACTGTCCACTGGCTCAGGGAAACTCATGAACTCTGGCCATGTCAAGCAGTAAGGGACTGGCTGCTTCTCTTTTCCCCATTCTCCTTTCCATTTTCCCTTTCCAATTATTTTTCACTCTCCAGAATAGCCAGAGAACTGTTCAGCAAGTCCAATGATGACACTGAGACCTGAAATTTTAGTCTTCCTGGGTTTTGCGTGTGTGTGTGTGTGTGTGTGTGTGTTTTATTGTTTTGTTTTGTTTTGTTTTGAGATGGAATCTTGCTCTGCCGCCCAGGCTGGAGTGCAGTGGCACAATCTCAGCTCACTGCAAACTCCGTCTCCCTGGTTCAAGCGATTCTCCTGCCTCAGCCTCCTGGGTAGTTGGGATTACAGGCACCAGCCAACACACCCAGCTATTTTTGTATTTTTAGTATAGATGGGGTTTCACCACGTTGGCAAGGCTGGTCTTGAACTCCTGACCTCAAGTGATCCACCCACCTTCACCTCCCAAAGTGTTGAGATTACAAGCATGAGCCACCGCTACTGGCCAAGTCTTTCTGTTTTTTAGGCATTGATAAGTTCTACAATTTGTCCCCTTGAAATTTCTATGACTTTTCCTCTAGTGGAGGGTAAGAGTAATAACCTGTTGCTTCCCCATGTGAAATGTAAGGGGAAAATCCACAGCATTCTATCCAGTTTTGAAAACTTCTCATTACTATAACAAGAGAAGAGTGATAGCATCTCAGGGCTCCTTCCAACCTCTTTATAAGGTGGAGAGTTATTTGTGCCTATTGTTTACAAGTTGGCAGTTATTTTTGTCAAATCTCAATAAAACAGGAAAAGCTTAATCTTACTTTCTCATATATGACCTGGATATTATATGGAAGCATCTCTGTGGTGATGAGAAGAGCTGTATATCTCAAAATAATAATGCT
Organism: Homo sapiens; assembly: GCF_000001405.40. NCBI lineage: Eukaryota > Metazoa > Chordata > Mammalia > Primates > Hominidae > Homo > Homo sapiens. The sequence goes on along the minus strand of NC_000001.11, from coordinate 152,570,897 downwards.
TATTGGATGTGAAGTTTGTGACCCAGATGAAAAACTAGGGACTCATGTTTTCACTTAAGAAGACAAGGTTGGGAATGATTGAGCAAGGATCTCCAAAAATCTGCTCTTCCATTAAAAACACCTTGAAAATGAAAAATTGTGAAAATCAACTTTTGCAAAACTCTGGAGATTTACCAAAGGCTTGCAAAAATATTAGAGTGTTCACTTAAGAAAAGCAGTTGAATATGGGTAAGAGCAGTGAGCTTTGTGACATTTTAACTTGCCCTATTATCATCTCCCTGTTCCCAGTGCCATAATAGTCTTGAAATCTAAAATGCTAGTAGCACATGGAGGTAACAGAACATATCTGAAACTATCCAAAAACCCCATCCCTAGAGAAATGTCATTATCTGACTATATGGCACATAATGAAGATCCCATTCCCATTTCCCCTAGAAATCCCAACTAGCCAAGCTTGTTTTCATTCCAGTTGACTCAGAACTCTCTCACTGAAAACAGCTTTTACCCCAGGGTGTTTGCCAAAAACAATCAGTAAAAAATGTTTAGCATCACAGCTGCCTGTGATGGTGATAATAGTTGGGCAAATCAGAAGTTGACCAAAAACTTAGATGGAAAATCTGAGGAATGAGATTCTCATAGAGAGTTTTAAAAATCTATGACACATTTCTGGAAATCTAGGAGACTATGTGGACTTACAGGGTGTGTGCATGTACAGAAAAGACCTGGGAAGACCCTAATATCTCAACTTTGACTGATCTTGAAGTTCCATCCAAGCAGGAAATGAAACCTAAGACAGATTTGTAAACTGTCTTCTGAAGTCTTGAAAACATGCCCCAACATACACACAGAGGTCCTCAGCAAAGGTTGAAAGACATTAACTCAAGGCATTTAAGGAAATCTCTGTCTACTAAGCTAACTGAGTACAGAGTTAAATGACTACACACAATAAAGAATACAGATTTTACAAAATTGGTTCAGGAAAGTCATGAAGCAAATGGACAGTGAAAACAAACAGCAACAAACCCCAGAGAGGGTTGGGAAATTTGATTTCCAGGATTTTATATCATTTTAAATGTCCAATTATTAACCAAAAAAGAAAGAAAGCTACAAATAAACAAGAAAGTATGACCTACACAAGGGGCAAAGTCCAGGGAGGTAGTCAAGAGAGACTGTCCCTGAAGAAGTTTAAACATTGGTTTTACTAGACAAAGATAAAAATCAACTATTTTAAATGTGCTTAAAGTACTAAAATAAACTACGTCTTAAGAATTAAAAGAAAACATAAGAATGTTGTCTTGCCAAATAGAGAATAACAACAAAGAATTAAAAAGAATTTCTTAAAACAACCAAATAGAAATTTGAGGCTTGACAAATATAATAACTGAAATTTAAAATTGACTAGAAGGGCTCAACAGCAGGTTTGAACTAGAAGAACAAATCAGTGAACTTGAAGATAGGTCAATTGTGATTATCCAACCCGAGGAACAGAAAGAAATAAGATTGAATAAAAATTAACAGAGCCTTCAGAGGCCTGTGAGTAACCATCAAGCCCACCAACATGTTTATAATAAGAATCCCAGGAGGAGATGAGAGAAATAAAAAGACAGGAAGAATATTCAAAGGAATAACAGTTAATTACTTATCAAATTTGATGAAAAATATTAATCTACACATCTAAGAAGATCAACAAACTCCTAGCAGGGTATAGTCAAACCTCTCCACACCTAAACACACCATAGTACAAATGTCAAAAGACAAAGAGAGAATTTTTAAAACAGCAAAAGAGAAAAGACCCATCATATACAAAAAAAATTAATAATAACATTAACAGCTGGTTTCTCATCAGAAACCATGGAGGACAGAAGCCAGTTGGATAACACATTCAAAGTGCTAAAGAAAAAAAAAGTAAACCAAGAGTTCTATATCCAGCAAAACTATTCTCCAAAAATTAAGACATTCCCAGATAAACAAAAATTGAGAAAATTTGTTTCCAGAAACCCTACTCTACAAAAAATACTAAAAGGATTAATTCAGTCTGAAATGAAATAACACTAGAGAGTATTTGAAATTTTTATGAAGAAACGAAGAGCATTTGTAAAGTTAACTACATGGTAAATATAAAAGACAGTATAAATGCATTTTGTGCTTTTAAGTCTTTTTTCTCCAATTTGATCTGAAAGACAACTGCATAAAGAAATACTTATAGAACTGCATTGATGGCCTTCTAATGTAAAGATATGATTTATATGACAATAACAGTATACAGAAGGGGGAGGGAACAAACCTACACAGGAGCAAAGCTTTGCGTGCTATCAAAATTAAGTTGGTATTGATCTGAGTTATAATCACTGTAAGTTAAGATGTTAATAAGAACTCCCAAGGAAACCACTAAGAAAATAACTCAAAAAATATACTAAAATATATAACATTGAAATTAAAAGGGTATACTAGAAAATGCCTGTTCAATAAAAAACAAAGCCATAGTGAAGAAAAAGAGGGGCAAAGAAAGTTATGAAATATATAGGAAATAAATAGTAAATGGTAGACATAAATTCTACCTTAATAGTAATTACATTAATTGTGAATAGATTAAATACCCCAATCAAAAGGCTAAGACTGGCAAAATGGATAAAATAGCATGAACTAACTATATGCTATCTATAAGACACACATTTTAGGCTCAAAGACAAAATAGATTCAAAGTAAAAGGTAGAAAAACATACACCATGCAATGGTAATCAAGAGATCTGGAGTGGCTATACAATACTGGACGAAATAGACTTTAAGACGAAATTAATGGCAGAGACAAAGAGGACATTTTATAATGACAAAAGGATCCATATCTATTAAAGAAATAATTATTATACATATATATGCACCTAACAATGGAGTCCCATATTACATGTAACAAAGACTAACAAAATTGAAGGGAGAAACAGACAACTCATAAACAATTTAACAATAATACTTGAAGCTTTCATACTCCACTTTCATTAATGGAAGAACAACTAGGAAGAAAATCAACAAACTGAAGACTTTAACAACACTATAAACCAATTAAATCTAACAGACATCTTGTTGAACACTCCAACCACAATAGCAGAATACACATTTTTCTCAATTGCACATGGAACATTCTGCAGGGTAGACCATTTGTTGGGTCATAAAAGAAGTATCATTAAATTTTAAAACACTGAAATCATACAAAGTATCATCCGTAACCACAGGAGAATGAAACTAGAAATCAATAACAGAAGGAAAACTGGAAAATTCAGAAATGTCTTAAGCAACCAATGAGTTCAGAAAGAAATCACAAGGAGAATTAGAAAATACTTTGAGATGAATGAAAATAAAAATACAACATACCAAAAATTATGGGATACAGCAAAGGAAATGCTTACAGGGAAATACATGGCTGCAAATGCCTACATTAAGGAAGAAGAAAAATCTCAAATCAATTACCTAACCTTCTGCCTTAAAACACTGAAAAAAAGAAGAAACTAAACATAAAGCAGGAGGAAGGAAATAATAAAGATTAAGTTTGTAGCTGCATTATTCACAATAACCAAAAATTGGAGCTAACTCAAATGTCCATCACTTGATGAATGGTTAAATAAAACGTGCTAAATTCATAAAGTGAAATATTACTCAACCATAAAGAAGAATGGAGTTCTGACACATGCTACAGCATGGATAAATCTTAAACAATATATTAAGTGAAAGAAGCTAATGCAAAATGCCATATATTATATGATTCTATTTATATGAAGTGTCCAGAATAGGCAAGTCCATACAGGCAAAAAATTGATTACTAGTTGCCAGAGGGGCAATGTGGAATAAGGAGTGACTACTAATGAGTGGTGATAAAAACAATTGCTTCAAGGAAGGTAGGATTGCAACCCCCAGCAGGCCTGAATGAGGTGAAGGTAAACAGGCGTCAGACCTTCCTGGTTCCCTCTTGTCAGGCATCTTGGTGAGTACACAGGAAGGTGATGAATGGATAGTCTCAAGGGTGTGCCTGGCTGTCACCTCCCCTGGTTGTGAAAGCAGCAGCATGCCCAGCCTGTGCATCACACACCCTGCACAGGATAAAAGCACTCCTGCCCTGGGCTCCTCCACAGTCTCCTCAGGAACAGCCTTCTCCTGCCTCTCTGCACCTGGTAAGTATTCAGCAGGGGACAGGGCTTGATATGGGATGTTAGAACAGAAAGCTAAGGCCATAGCAGAAGAGATGGAAACAGAGAGGTTTGAAACAAAGACCCAGATACAGGACTGTGAGAGGGCAGCAATGGGGGAAGGGGGCAGGAGGGAGACCCTGCAGGAACTGACAGCAATTCCATGACCTGCAAAGGCCACAGAGCTCACAATTCCCTCCCATCCTCTTTCTACTCAGGCAGGCACATTTCCTGTAACATCCATTCTACAGAATTCTTTTTCCCAAAAGGGTGCATTCCCTAGGGGTTCTTTGGAGAAACAGAAACACACGTGCCCACTTAGACTCACAGCAATCTGTCCCGGGTGGAGAGCAATGTGAGAAGTATCTGGCATATCCCACCAGCTCCACATCAGCTTCCCTCACCCTCTTGCAGCTCTTGCCTCAGGAGGCAGCTGGTCTTAGAGACGTTGGACTGTAGATTTTGAACTAAGAAGTGGCTTCGTTTTCTCCAGGACATCTCAACTCCTGCCAAGATGTCCTGCCAGCAGAACCAGAAGCAGTGCCAACCCCCACCCAAGTGCCCCTCACCCAAGTGTCCCCCAAAGAACCCAGTACAGTGTCTGCCTCCAGCTTCCTCTGGCTGTGCCCCAAGCTCTGGGGGCTGTGGCCCTAGCTCCGAGGGCGGCTGCTTCCTGAACCACCACAGGCGCCACCACCGATGCCGGCGCCAGAGGTCCAACTCCTGTGACAGGGGCAGTGGTCAGCAAGGCGGGGGCTCTGGCTGCTGCCACGGTTCTGGGGGCTGCTGCTGATCCAGATCCTGATGCTGAGACAAGCGATCTTTGGAGGAAACAAGAATCCCAAGAGGCCAAGAACAGCCCCATCTGACGCATGCCTTCCCATATACCCTCTTCTGACTTTCACAGGCTGAGCTGGAGGTTTTCCTGTGGGGGATCTGAGCTCTCCCCAGAAGGCACTTCTTGTTTTATGTACAGGATGTCATATGTCCCCCTACCCCTGTACCTGCCAAGGATTGGCAGTGCTTGTGCCCAACCTCGTAAAAAAGATAAAGTTCCTTGTCCTCATTACCACCAGCGTCCCACTGGGCATTTCACAGTCTCTCTCCTCAGCTCTTTGGTCAGTACAACCCAGCTCAGGAGCCAAACCTTATCTCTGCACCAGGAAAACATAGTGGATCCGACCCCGCTCCACTGATGGAAGGGAAGGGGAGAGTTTTATGTTGTAGTGGGAGGGAGAGAACGACACAGGTTGTGCTGGTTTGAGGCCCTGAAACTCAACCTCAAACTCAAAGAGGGTATCAGTGCAAAAATTGACTTTTCCTGTAAAATCTGAGAGGACATTAATACAATTGGGGAATTTCCAGTGTATGACAGAAGACCACTAGTTTGTTTTGATGAGCTGTTTCTGGAGTGCTAACTAAGAAACCGGAAATCAAAAGGCAAAAAAGCAGAAAATAGGCAGAAGAGAAGCAGAATCAAAAGATGGAGGGAAGAGATGTAAGCCTTGGGAAGAAGTATAACTCAGTGACTGAAAATCCAGGGAGAGAGATGAAAGCTGAGAGAGGTGCTTAAATTAATGAGATAATGGAGCAGAGATGTGGCTGGGAGTTTACTCAATGAGATTATTGGAATGTGCAAAATGAGAATTTTAGGAAAAAGAAAAAGGCAGAAAATGAGAAGTGTTCCTGGAATTATAAATAGATATACCAAAGAAGCAACAAATTATTAATTTTGTAACTACACGACCTTGACATCAACACATGGAAGTTACAACTTCAATGGAGTCACATGTTTTGGCCTAAATTGTGAGACTGAGATGCTCCTGGGGTTGAAGGAATGTTTTTTTATGTGAACTAAGAGTAACATCTCACTTTGACTACCAGAAAACCAGAGAAGTGTCACGTAGAGCTACAGTCAAATTACAAATACTAAGAGAAGTTGATGTGAGGGCTAAGTAGAGCAGGTGGAGGGGGGGCATTAAAAATAAAGATGGATAACCTTATAAGTCCATTGAACTAAAAAAGGATTTTGTCAAATCCTATAAATTAATTCTTAAAATTTAGGGATCAAAAAGACCCTGAGGCCCAGCATGGTGACTCACACCTGTAATCCCAGCATTTTGGGAGGCCAAGGCAGGTGGGTCACTTGAGGTCAGGAGTTCAAAACCAGCCTGGACAACATGGTGAAACCCCATCTCTGCTAAAAATACAAAAAATTAGCTGGGCGTGGCGGTGGACACCTGTAATCCCAGCTACTCAGGAGGCTGAGGCAGAATTGCTTGAACCAGGAGTCAGAGGTTGCAGTGAGCTGATTGTGCCACTACACTCCAGCCTGGGTGACAGAGTGAGACTCCACCTCCAAAAATAAGAAAAAAAAAGAACCTGAGAGAAGTTTAATATCAGATATTCAGATACGCACCAATAGGTATTTAAAAAAAGAGAGAAATTTGTTGAAATTGAAGCAGGAGGCACAGCTTTGGGCCATTGGTTTAAGTTCGGTTTGAAATCACTAGAGAGCTCTCACCCAGGGACAGTGAAGGGGGTGAAAGGCCTGCCCCCAGGGAAGAGTGTGCCATGGCTGATACAGCCTGCAAAGCTCCACACTTGGAATGTGAGTGATACCCACATGCAGACCCAGCATCTCTGTGCAGACCTGGAAGCAGCATGACACAGGCTGGACAAAACTGGAGAATTAGAGCCTGCCTCCTGTCAGGGGCTGCAGAACAAGGTTGGAGGCCCAGAACACCTCATTCCACTACACTGAAGAATGACGGGGTTCTGGCTATGGTTGGATCGAATCTGAGTGGAGAGAAAATGGAGCAGAGTCAACATTGCTGGCAAATCAATGAGATCCTGGGAATCTATAAAGAAGTATAAAAGGACCTCTCAAAAATGGAGCCCAATAAGGGAGTTTCCAGCAGCAGAGAAAAACAAAGTCCCAAACTGCATCTGGGCAATACCAAGTCCTGAGCCCTGGACCCATTTATTCACTTGACACATTTTTATTGAGCATTGATTATGTGCTTGATTGTAGGCACTAGGGACACAATAAGGAATCAGAGAGACAAATTTCTGTCTTTTGGGACCTCACATTCAAAACTGGTCCAAAGGAGACAGTTCCCGATTTTGCATGCATCGCAGAGTGAATCACAGTGGCCTTCTCCTCAGTTGGCCTCTCAGCCTCTGGAGGTGAGTGGACACTGGTGTTTATTTAATAAACCCAGAGAAGACACTCAGCCTAGGCAAAATATTGAGGCTCTGAGACAGTGGCTTTGGTGGTGACAAAAGGAAAGGGCATCAAGTGTTTTCTAGCTTCCACATCAAAAGACAACAGCCAAGAAAGAAGAAAGGATAAATCATGACTACCAAGGGGACAAAGTTATTGCACAAGCAGGCCTCTCTCCTCATGCCCTTCCCCATCTCCCTCCCTCTCTCCACAGCCCTGTGAATAAACCTCTTCTCACAGGGTCACTTTTCATCCCACAAATATTAACTATTTCATCATCTAATGGAGATTTCATCACTTATACGCCTCCCTGTAACAGGATAACCAGACACAAAATTTTCATCAACGTTTATAAAAGACAGTAACATTTTGTGATCATTTTAATTCGTGTTTTTGATTTAAAAGATTTGTCCCATTTTTAAAGGTGGTGTTTCAGAGGCAATGCATCTCTAATGTTATATAAAATGCAATGGAAAAAATACTACATAGCTTATGTAATTGCAATTTGCTAAATCCTGTTCAATCACTGCCCATTCAGTGTTCACAAGCTTCCCCACTGTTGGCCTCATCATCACTACATCCATGAAGTATTATTCACAGCTCAGCTAATTTCCCTTAGCCACCCCAACTAAGGTGGATCACTCCCTCCCTGAAACTACTCTGGAGCTCTTAGAGTAAATACCACAGTCACTAAGATACTGATACAATGGCCCTCAGATGTACTTTAATTTGTAAACCATGTCCTCACAGCCTCTATAGACTTCCTGTCTCTTTCTCTGATTTTGCCCCTCACATCTTTGGTCCATTGTGCCTCTTATCACTTTATAGCTTCCCACCTTGATACCAGCTGCTACCTGGGGAAGCAGGATTCAAACTCAGGAATGTCTGAGTCCAAAATGAATGCTCTGAACAAGCCCATTATCCTGCCCCCTCCACTTTGTCTTAGATCCCTCAGGGTCCCCCTCAGCTCTCTTCTCCTTAGCAACAGCATTATCTCTTCCTCCTGGTGAGGTTCCATGAGCTGGGTTCCATTAGCTCCTCTTGGTATCACCATCTTGGCTGGCTGCCCACAGACAGATCAAGGATTTATACCTCTGCTCCTGCTACTTGCACAGATACTATTGTCAAAGGCCAGTGATCTCATCCTCAAATGATAGCATGTGGCAACATCTAGACACATTTTCCCCCACAGAGTCACTCCAAGTAAAAGGGGTTTGAAACCCAAAGGGTCTGAACTTGAGCCCAAGGACATTCCACACACCTGCATTCCTGTACTTGCCACATTGGATCATGCTTATTTTGTTATTTGTCTGTCTGCCCCACTGCACTGTGAGCTACTCAAGAACAGAGAACAAATCTTATTCATTTATAACTCTCCTGTGTATAGCAAAATGCCTGGTGTGCCATATCAGCACAACACATCTCACTTGAATAATTGAATAAATGGATGACTGAATGAAAGAAAAAATTAAAGTGACAGGCCTACAGGAAGGCTGGGCCCCAGGAATTTCAAGAGTCCTGTGACTTTCCTCACAAAAAAACTCTTAGCATCTGCCCAAGAAGATATAGAGGGCGTAGTAATAGAGATTACAGTTGTTCAGCTCAACATATTCCAAAGTAAAGAAGGAAAGAATGACAGAAGGAGGGAAAGGTAGGGAAAGGGAAAGGGAATGGGGAAGGAATAGAGAGGGAGGGGGCAGGAAGGGAAAGAGAAGGGCAGGAGGGCAGGAAGGAAGAAGAGAAGGGATGAGGGGAGGAAGGACAAAAAGAAAAATAAGAGATGGTAGGCCTACAGAAGATTTAAAGAACAGATATTTGGACAGTTTGGGGGATTCCTGGATCTTTTCCATTAGTAAGGCTCTCTTCCATTCCCCTTTTACTCCCAACCACCACATGGAGGGCTTCACATCTCTCTGTGGTACCTGTGTCTCCACTAGGGACACAAGGATAACATTGAGAACCCAGATTGTCTCAGCTGCTTGCCATGGTCATGCTAATGGTTTGGGGATGGGAAGGTCCTAAACTGAAAGGAAGCTGTGTTCTGCAGGGAATGAAAAAGATCTTTTTGTTATTTAGATAGTCATTTACGTGTATTTTATATGACCTGATTAAAATGCACTCCAAAGAGCCAAACCTGAGCCACTATACCACCTGTGCCCATCATTCCCATTGGCACTACTAAGTCATGAAATTATCCAGATATATCCAGCCAGGCCAGGTTCTCTTGTCACCTGACCTCACAGAACCTTAGAAAGCCAGAGATCTAAGGGTGGTACTCCTGGTAGAGATTACCCTCAGAGAGCTGATGTCATGCTCTGGGTAAGTGGCAGGGCAGTGGTCCTCCAGCCAAGCCTCTGTCATCCCAGGACACCTGCTCAGCCTTGAACCTACAGAGCTCCTGCTCTGATAACAAACAGAGGGGCCAAAAAGTGGGAGTTCCTCGTGGAGGGGAAGAAAGTTTGGTGGGCATCCTCACCAGGACAAGTATGGAGCCTCCCAAGCCAGGCATCGGGGGAGGGGCTGTGGAGAGGCCCATATGCACACATCTGCTGCATTCCATGAGACAGAAGGAGGGCCCCCACTACAGTTCTGGGGTGTTTTGAAACTTTAGAACTTACTCCTCTGTTGTTGTATCCCAAATACTAGAGATTCTACACCTAAGAAGCAAAAGTGGCCACCCAGCTTTGTTCAGCTTCACAATCTAGGTACCATGAGAAAGTACTTGGTCCATTTTTCTTAAGTGCCTTTTTGCAGGCCAGGGTCTACTGAAGAAACCCTAAACAATATGAGAAAAACGGCCACTCAGGAGTAGTTCTGGAAATGATTCTGAAAATACCTTTCAACCAGAGGCAGGTACCATGGGCTGGAGGCAGGAAAAGGCTGCTGAGGATATCAAAATCTGCACCCACCCTCTACCCATCCACACAGAGCCACTGTCCTCCTTACAGCCCGGTGCATTTATGCTCCTACAGGCATCACTATGTACTTAAAGGGGCAAACTCTTAGGCAGAGTAAGAGAAAAATTACACCCACTGATAATGAACATAATTTAATTTTCTTTGAAAATTATAATTTTAATATGGCTAAAGTTTGGTTATAGACCTGACTGTGATTTATCTTGAAAAATATCTAGCAAAAGGTCTTTTAATATTAGAGATTAATTGAATGATAAATTCATTTAAAATTAAAATGAAATTAACAAGGAAATAGCATTCAGTTTGCACCAATTCGGCATACCCAAACATAGACACCATCAGGTCAGCTTCATTACAAGAGATGCACCCAGCACTACCATCAACCTCATAAGCAGCAACACGTACAGCAAAGCCATCTTCATCAAGGCCATCCATTATCATGCACATTTGCACAACTTCCTTACCGAGTCCAAGCAGATGAACGACTCCTCCCTCAGTGTTTTCATCGTCTTCAAATAAAGAGCACGCATTCCTTGGATTTTGATGGAAGGTCATGCTTTTTTATAATGCGTCAGTTGTGACTCTTATTACTGCAACTATTGTACTTTCCTTCTCTACATTTGCCCTTCAATCGGGTACTCATTTGACTCCCCTCCTCTCCTGCCCGGGGGCTCTTTCAGGGACCCTCACCTCCCCTGACTTTAGGCTTCCATCTGTTTTACACACAGCCCATACTGAATGTCCAGCGTCCTTAGCTCAGTCACCGCCCCAACAGCAAGTCACCACCCCAACACCACATCTGGGTGTTTGGTTTTCCTAAGGGAACATGCTAGAAAGAAGTATATGGACAAAGACCTGCAAACTTTGTGCATAGTGACTTACATTATAGCAATTTTCTCATGGAAGCAGGCTCCCTATTTACTTGTTTGTCTGTGCAATTAGACAATTAATTTCTATAGGTCAGGTGACATGTCATATTGAACTCTACCTTTCA